>NC_000011.10:10685000-11310000 GCF_000001405.40 Homo sapiens
AGGCAGAGGTGGCTCATCAGGCCACATCATAGCTTAGGTGACCCACCCCTCAGAACTTTCTGCCTTCTTACCTAAATCTCTATCTATCAAGCATTTTGGTCATTGGAAAGGGTTTGTCTCCTATCATATACTGGCACATAGACATTCAGAATTGCATACTTGGCTGGGTGCAGTGGCTTACACCTGTAATCCCAGCACTTTGAAAGGAGGCTGAGGCAGGTGGATCACTTGAGGTTAGGAGTTCGAGACCAGAATGGCCAACATGGTGAAACCCTGTCTCTACTAAAAATGCAAAAAATTATCTGGGCATGGTGGCGCATGCCTGTAATCCCAGCTACTTGGGAGGCAGAGGTTGCAGTGAGCCGAGATCGCACCACTGTACTTCAGCGTGGGTGATGCAGCAAGATTCCGTTCCCAAAAAAAAAAAAAAAGAATTAAAAGAATTGTATACTTTAGTAATCTCAGTGCTTTAGCAGGCTGAGGCAAGAGTATCACTTGAGTCCAGGAGTTTGAGACCAGCATGGGCAACATAGCAAGACCCTGTCTCTAAAACAAAAAAACGTTTAAAACATTAGCCAGGTGAGGTAGTATATGCCTGTAGTCCTAGCTACTTGGGAGGCTGAGGTGGGAGGATCACTTGAGCCAGGGAGGTCAAGCCTGCAAGTCAGCTGTGACTATACCACTGCACTCCAGCCCAGGGGTCAGAGTGAGACCCTGCCTCTCTTGAAAAAAAAAAAAAAAAATTGTATACTTCAGTCTCTTGTGAGTTTGATTATTGTGAGTCAGTCTCTACATAAGCAATCAACTAATCAATTCCAGGTCACTAACCAGGCTTAGGGATAGGTCCAGGACTCTAGAACATCCCCAAGGTGATGCTCCTTGGGGAAGTCTCTTAGAAGCCAACTAGCCAGGTTTATCTTGACAACACCTAGCCTTATCATCATTGCCTTCCAAACTACAACGGGGACCAGTTAGATCTCAGGTGGGAAACAAGAAAGATGTCTTAGGTAAGAAGCCCAGGAAGACATTACATTCTTTCTACCATACCCATACAAGTCAAAAATATGACAAGAGAGTCCTTGGGGAAACCTGACCATTTGGGGGCATCCAAAATAGAGGACTCCCATGTGCTCAATATTAATCTGGGCTTCAATAATAATAATTACTTATTGGGTACTTATTCAGGTATAAGTACTTTAGATCTAGCAATCCATTTCATAGGTAAGGGGACTCAGAGGTTAGATCATTCGCCCACGTCAAACAGTAAGTTGTGGGGCTGGGATTTGAACAGACTGGGTGACCTCGGCAACATTTACAGACTTTTAGGGCACAAACTTTGGAGAGCCATAGAAAGTGACTCAAGACACACAATGTAGGACATGGCATTTCTTGCCAGTAAAAAGCTTGTGATTCTAAATTTGTATTTTTCCTTCTAAATAGAGGAAGGAACTTGTTCATAAACAAGACTAGGAGACCTGATAAAGATCATTACATACTGAAAGAAACCAAGAGAAGTGCAAAGTAGAGCAAGCCTAGTGGGGAAGCTGCTCCAGTGCCCTGCCCCGAGAGCTCAGGACCTCAGCTCTGAGCAGCAGCACTGGGACCTCCAGGGCTTTGTTCTTATAGGGGCAGGAACAAAGGGTCAGGCATTATCACTCTGTCCTGCAGCCAGGTCTATAGGCCACAGAGAGATGGAAAGAGATGGGGCTTGGTGGTCTGATGGTTTTGGTTTGACTCTCATTCTTCTCATACTAGTTACTATCCTCCTTGAATCAGTTTGTTCACAAATACCTCCCTTGCATGGCTAAAGTACAGATTTGATGAGATATTGTATAAAATGTGCCTGGCACATACAAACTTGCTCAAACAATGGTAGTTCCTTTCCCATATATTTTCTCATCTATCTGTAAGAAGTAACCCAGAAGAAAGGAGTTAAGAGATCACTTGCTCCCTGTCTGGAGTTGCCTAAATGAAACTTCTGTGAAAAAAGGAAAATTCATCGCCGCAGAAACTTCTAGTCAGATGCTTGCCTTGTCTAAGGAAGGACTCTGCATTAAACAAGTTCCCCACCAGGCATCTCTGGAGAAAAGATGAGGATTGATTAACTGGAAAAGGGAGGAGAGGGGGTGCCCATGGGACCATGTGGCAACCCCTGCAGCCTCGGCCCTGCCTGTCTCTCACTAGGGCAGGACACAAGTCTTGCCAGGTGCCCATGGGAGACCAGCCTTGCAAGTGGGCTTTAGCCAGGCCCTCATAGTGGTACCCCAGAGTGCCACGCTCTTCCACACCAAGAGAATGGCTATCTGATGGTGAGTTCTGAGAAGTACCTGCATGAATAGCTCAGCCCTCCCTCTTCTGTTTCTCTAGGGAATTAGCTGCTTTCAGGGGACACACATTCTGCTCTGTTTCTCCAAGCTTTAATATTTAAAGAGCCCTACTTTCCCCAGTGGGCACCCCCTAGGGCTGGGGGATAAATCTGCTCAATGCAATATTAGAAAACCTACTTGCCTGTTGATCCAAACACTTTCCAACACCAGCTTCATCAGTCATACGGGTGATATTAGTCTCTGAATTCCCAACAAGCCTTAAAGCTTCAGTGAAGGAAAGAGGTGTTATTTATTGGGCCTCCTTAAAGACTTCACCAGACACAGATGCCCAATCCTCTTGAGAGGAAGTCCACCACTCTCCTTGCGGTGTTTTTGGAGTTGAGAATAGGACCCAGGACTGTGGATGGTCAGAGCCTCAAACCCAGTGCAGAAGTCTTCTTGATGGAATCTCTGGAGGGGAACAGACAGGGGCTAGAAATAATAAGACCTAATGTATACCGAGTGCTAAGAATAGACAGTGGGCTAAGGGATTTAGCTTTGCTTTTTTTTGGGGGGGGGTGGTATTTAACTTTGTAAAATGGACACTATCATTACAGGTCGAGCATTCCAAATCTGAAAAATCTGAAATCTAAAATGCTCCAAAATGCAAGAATTTCTGGCCACTGGCAAGACACTCAAAGGAAATGCTCACTGGAGCATTTCAGATTTTGGATTTTTGGATTTGGGATGCTGAACTGGGTAAATATGATGCAAATATTCCAAAGGCCAAAAAAAAAAAAAGTGAAATCTGAAACACCTGTGGTCCCAAGCATTTTGGTAAGGGATACTGAACCCATATTACAGGAGAAGAAACTGAAGCGCCAACAGATTAGGTGCAGCTCAAGGGATACAGCTGGTCAGTGGTGGAGCCACACGGTCACTCCAGGGTCCACACTTTCCATAGGGACACTGTGCTGCCTCCATTACAAGATGTCATCTCCCCACTGTGATAATAAGGGAAGAGCTGGCCAACACTGAGCCCACCTCCTGACTCAGAGCCCGGGGTTATTTTCACCACACCTGTATGAGCAAAGTCAAGAATGTCTTCAGGCTTTCTTCTCCTCCTGATGAGCCAGGAAGCTTGGGCTCTCTGGAAACACCCTCTTGATTTGCTTATCAGCCACAGAACTCTCTGTGGCCTCTCTGTGTCCCTTCCCTGGTGGCCACTCTGGGAACCACATCCCACCCCTAGAGCCAGGCTGTGTGCAGTGTATAGTCTCATCCCTCTCAGCCTCTCTCATTGAGCCCATTGGTTCCTAAATTCCTGTTGGTTTTGCTGGGATGACTCAACTTCCCCAACACCCTGCACTCACCAATACCTGGATTCCACCAAGTTCATACAACCCGATTTCCACCAAGCCGTGGTGGAATGACCTGACTCATTTATACACTATGCTCACAATTTTTCCCATGCCTGTGTTTTACCTATGCCTTTATTTACTTAATATTCTTTCATTTGAGTAGCAATGGGCCAGAAAATCAAGACTGAAACCCCGGTTGGCCATTTACTAACTTTGTGTTGTTAGGCAAGTTTCTTGCCCTCTCTGTGCCCCAGTTTCCTGATCTGTATAAGGAGGACAATGACAGTAACTACTTCAGAGGGTTGCTGTGAGGACTGAATGAGCGACTGCAGGTAAAGCATTAGGACAGTGCCTAGCACACGGTACACACTCACCAAGTGTTAGCTACCATTGTCATTACTTTTATTTAAAAGGGAAACTTTATATTCCTACCTTAAATGGAAAAAGCAATACCACTTACCACAAATAGAGTTATAAAAATAAATAAAATGAAAACGGTTATTAAACCTTAGCTAAGGCCTGCTCTCATTTTTTTAAGAAGGGAAACAAACAGAAAGATGGTGAAGGCATATGAGGCTTAAATGAGGGTGACCAACCTTTTGAATTTGTCCAGGACCTGTCCCAATTTTAGCACTGGAAGTCCTGCAGCAATTCTCATTCCCGGCTGACCCTGGACAGTCGGTCAACCTACCTCAAATAGAGGCTTTCTCTCCTTCATTCAAAGGAATAAAAAGAACTTAAGAAGGAATAATGTTCTTACAATGTGATGTTGTGTGTTTAAGGCTGGGTCAGTATCCCACATACGATCATCTTGCAGAACAAGCTCACACCTTGGGCCACACCACACAAACCCACCTCTGAGAGCTGAGTCTCCAAATGCTATAAACCTATGGAAGAGCCATCATGTCACATGTGCCACTGAGAAAGTCCCCAAAGAAAAATCACATTTGTAAATGCCAAGAAGAGGAACAGTGATTAAATTGTTGCACGGCTAAAATGACTCTATGTTATAAAACCATTGAAAAATCATGTTTTGGAGAATCTTTAATGATATGGAAAAAGGATTATATTAGAATGCTCAGTTTTAAAAAGCAGACTAAAAAATAGCATATACACTAAGATCCTAGTTTTACAAAATATAGAGAAATGTAAAGGAAGAAACACACCATAATATAAACAATACTTATCACTGAGGAATGGTATTCTAGAGGGTTTTTTATTTCTTTATATTTATTTCTGAATTTCTTATTTATATCCACTTCTATATTTTCCAAGAAAGTCTAGCAAAGAACATGCATTACTTTTTTTTCTAGAAAAAACTGAATAGAAATTACAAATTACAAATAAAAAAGTAATAGGAAGAAAGTAACCAGAGCTGATTAAGCCCAGCCTTAGCAGACTTTTTTTACATGTCTTCTCCGCTAGGAAAAGTTTTCAGTCTGGCCGGGTGCGATGGCTCACGCCTATAATCCCAGACTTTGGGAGGCTGAGGTGGGCTGATCACTTGAGGTCAGGAGTTCGAGACCAGCCTGGGCAACATGACAAAACTCCATCTTTACTAAAAATGTAAAAATTAGCCAGGCATGGTGGTACTCACCTGTAATCCCAGCTACTTGGGAGGCTGAGGCATGAGAATTGCTTGAACCCGGGAGGTGGGGTTGCACCACTGCACTCCAGCCTGGGTGACAGTGCGAGACCCTGTCTAAAAAAAAAAAAAATGTTTCCTGTCCGACCAACTGTCCTCTGCTTTCCACCTCCCTTGGAGAAAGCCCTTGCAGAGAAGGCAGGGCTTGTCCAGGGTCATGGGCGTGAGTTACCTCTGCTAAGACTCTGAATTTGAAGGCCCATTTGTGAGGCTGCCCTGGACTGTCGCCTGAACTCAGAGTCTAGCCTCCAAGGTCCACAGGACTAACATGATATCCCCTTTCCCTCTATTCGTGATTTTCCTGTGATTTGGACTGTGACACTCAGTAACTGCCCCAGGACCTAAGTTACTAACTAGCGGCAGGGTGACATCTAATGCAGGAAGCGCCCGCTTTGGACCAAGGTGGCTTGAGCTGGAGTCCACCACCTACCAGCTGTATGCCTCTCTCCTCATCTCTAACATGAGGCTTAAATTAAATAACAGATCTAGCACAGATCCTGGCACAAAGTAGAAGCTCAATTAATACCAATTTTCTCCCGTTTCCTTTTACATTCACTACCTGAGAACTCAGCTCTCCATCTCCCTCCTCTGACTCAGCTCCCCAAGGGGCAGGGGCAGGGCCAGAGTCTGGGGGCCCCAAGCTCTCTTCTCCCTATCTACCCAGGCCTCTGCTTCTATTCAGTCAGCAAACAATCCCTCTGCTGACCAATAAGCCCCAGAGAGAGCGGCTGAGGGGCAGTCCAGGCTCTGTGAGGTGACCCAGGAGAGGAGGCAGGGTGAGAGAGGTGGGTAACTTCAGGCCCCCACCTTGTGTTCTTTAGGGTCAAACTAGATGAATCTGATCATCAGGCACATGTACAAAATCAACCCAGGGCCCTGTGTAACCAGAACCCACTTTATAAGCATTGTGTCCATTTATTCACAGAAACATGATTGAACCTGAGCACTTCGTGTGCTCCCGGCATTCTGGGTGCTAGACACACAACGGGTGAGGAACGGGATAAGGTCTCCGCCCTTGCAGGGCTCAGTCTGCTCCTCCAGGAGGTGTGGGGTGCTTCTGTCCACCTCTGTTACAAAGACTTAGAGGAGAAAGGCAGGGCTTTTTAGAAAGCTGAGGACCCATCACGTATAGTTCAGCCCATCAGTCAAGGAACCTAGCTTCCTCACACAGACCCACAGAACTCCTCATCCCCAAACCATGAGCCTCCTCAGCCTCCCAGGGATTCAGTTTCAAGTAGGTTTCACATGGCCCTAACTTCCTCACCCAAGATACTATTTAAATTCCCTGCTTTGTCACTTGGTGGCTGGGTGAGCTTGGACGAGTCATTTAACATCCCCTAGCCCCACTGTCCTCACCTGGAGCAGTAAGGTAAAGATACATCCCCCATGGCATTCTGTGAGGGGGCATGTGAAATCCCTCGTGGAAAGCCTCAGATGCACCATGTTGCAAGGGGGCCGGTGATTCCCCCGCTGCACTCTGACATGGGGTCCCAAGCAGACGGGAGCTGACCATGGAGGTCAAGAGCAGAGCCTCCAGAGACCATGGCCTGGGGCTGAGCATCAGCTGTGCAGTCTCTCTGTGCTAAAGTGTCCTCCTCTACAAGACCAGGGTGGAAAGAATGACCCCTGCTTTGTAGAGCTGTGGGAGTCATGAGTTACTGTATGGGAAGGGGAACAGTGTTCAATACATAGTAAGAACCATGTGTTTGCTGTTTATTTTCTTTCAGAAATATATTTATGGGGATAACCAATCATGTAGTAGCAGCTAGCACATGGTTATCCCTCCAAGATGATAAAGGATACAGGAATGCCTCCCTTACCTCCAAGCATAAAGATAGGTGCATCCGCTGTGAATATAAACAGCCACCCACCAAATATGCATGCACACACACACACATACACGCACTATGGAATCATGGACAGTACAAACATGATAATGACAACTGTTTTGTCCATTAGGTCAAAAATCGCAAGACACAATTGGAGGCAGCATCATACCCTGGCATTCACGTCTGTGTTGAGAGGCATGGGCACTGGAGTTAGAGTCATACAAACTCATACAGGGTTTGAGTCCTAGCTCCGCTCCATCTTGGTGGAACGACCTTAGGCAAGTCACTTAACCTGAGTTCCCTCCCCCATAGAACTGTTGGGGTAGGGGAGTGCAGGGGGATGGGCAACTCCACCTGCCTCACTAGCATGTCATCGTCCCTCGGTGGGGGCAATACAATCCTTGGCAGGTCCTGACTCCTTTGGACCCCCAGCCTCACAGTCCCAGGAAGCTTCCTCCTTTTCCCTGCAAAAGACTCTGCTCAGACCAGATTTACTTCCCTGTGCCACCCCAGTGAGCAGCCTGAAGAGTGTTCAGCAGCTGCCGAGCTCTGGGAGGCTGGAGTGCTGGCCAGGGGTCCCAGACCCCGGGCTGCTGTTTACTCAAACTGCAGAGCCTCTATAGCCTTTACAACTGTTTCCTGGGCAGGAGGGAGCAAGACAGCTGGGCCTCTCTCTGGCCTCTGGCTTCCACTGGCTTTTCCTTTGGAAAAAGCCAGTTCAAATGGTGCTCACTCTAGGAATCGCTTCAACTCGGAGCCCTGGAGGTGAGCAGGGCCGGGCACGGGCCGGGCACATACACCCCCTCTAGGGAGCAGGGAAGGGCACAGGCCAGGGGAAGCTGGAGACAAAAGAGGAGACAGGGACAGAGATAAAAACAGGGACTGTGACAAGAACACAGGATGGGAAGGGCAGAGACAGAAATAGAGGCAGGCTTAAGGATCTAGACAGGTCATGCCAGCCCAGGTTCAAGGCAGAGGGGCGTAGGGGGACAGAGAGAGAGACACAGGAAGCACAGAGGGGAGAAAGCTCTGCTTAGCAGACTTGCCAAAGCTGAAGACCCCACTGTTGCCACAAAGGGGCCCACAGGAAAGCTAGGGGTTGCAATCGCCTGTCAGGACCCACATTTTCACCCTGAGCTGTGCACACTTTCCAACGGCAAGCAAAAGGAGCACAATCTAGTTAAGTTAGGACTGGCAAGATTCACTTCTGATTTAAAACTTAAGACAGCAACAATAAAGATACTCAGCTGAAATGCCACCCAACAAAGCCAGCTCCCCTGGAAAGTTAAAGTTTAGCACCCCCATCCCAGCACCCTGTACCTTTAAGGAAGAGAAGGTTCCCTCCGCTTCCCAGCCGAAGAGGCAGGTTATTCTAGGATATAGGGGAGGCTTACCTAAAACTGAGTTATTCTCCTTTCCTCCTCTGGCCAGCCTCTCTTCACTCTGGGGAGCTTTTACCATTTAAGGTCAATGTTACATCTGGCTCCGGAGCTCAGAGCCGAGAAGCCTCTGGCTGCAGAACCTCGGCCGCACGCCTCCTCTGAGAGGGGCTGGGACTTAGAGCCGAGAGCTCCTCTGGGAGCCCCACTCCGGCCTGGCTCGGGGGATAATGGCAGGGAAAGCCGACCAGCTGGCCTCAGGGCTCAGGGCAGGCTGGGCCTTTGGGGCAGTCGCTCACCCTGGGCCCCTCCGATGGGTATCCACACAGCAGATGGCAGTCCCCATGGCAACTCGTGCCACTGGACACTGTCCTGGCCGGACGGGAACAAAGGGACCCTGCAGATCTCCCCACCCGCCTGGAGCCTCCAGCAAGCATGTGAGCCTGGAGAAGACCCTGGGCCAGCGCCAAGAGAAACTGGGAATGGTTCCTGTCCTGGGGATTCGGGGGCAGGGGCTGCTCCCACTGCGTTAAACTCTTGGGATTGCCAGAGAGAATGGCCTGGGAGATTCAGCTACTCCCAGACTTGGCACCAGCCCCAGGGATGTCAACCTTGCTCCTCCATTAAACAGCCTGTGGTCTTAACATCGTGGAGCCTCAGTCTCCTCATCTCTAAAGTGGAAATAATAATGATAATGCCCGACTCACTAGGTAGTCAGGGGATTAAATGAGATGTTAGTCAAGTGTTTAACACACTGCCAGCATCTCATAAGAGCTAGATCAGTATGAATGAGCTTCCTGCCCCTGCCCAGGAAATCCATACCCTGTCCATACACACTCTTCACCTGCCTTGGGTATAGGGCCTACCCAAGGCCAGGATCATGGAGCTCCAAGCTGGGGGCAAGCCACATGGGGACTTCAGCCCCTTCTGTGGTTAGAGCAGCACAGAGAAACCCTAGGTAAAGTTGCTAGATAAATTACAGGACACCCATTTAAATTTGGATTTCAGATAAACACAGGACATACTTGTATTAAAGACTGTTATTTATCTGAAATTCAAATTTAATTAGTCATCCTCTATTTTTGTTTGATAAATCCGGGAACCCTAGCTTTTGGCCATCATTAGCCACCCAGAAAACATTCAGTAGTCATGGTAGAGAGCACTAGGGATTGGAGCTCCCAGGCCTATGGCCTCAAGCTCTCCTGGCAAACACAGTCCTTATGCTCAGCTCCTGGCCACAGATCAGTTGTGCAGCAGTGGCAGATGCTCTCCACTGAGCCTGGCCCACTGAGCCTCCATCCCAGCACCTTCCTCAGGCATGTGGTTCTCAGGAAGTCCTGTCTCTTCTGTGTGGTTGTTGTAAGAGAGATCACTAACAGGGGTGCAGCGCATGAAGTCCGCTACCCTCATCAATAATTGTTTTTTGTAAATGAAACCAGAGGAGGCTGTCTTGGGTACTAGCCATGCTTTCTCTCAAGTGTCCACACCTGTCCACATGGAGGTACAGGCTCCCCCCACAACCCCCGTCCCCCACAAAGCCACATGGTGGTAACTACTAGAATTGCAAGTATATGGTCTAGAAGGAACTGACCAAACTCTTCAGTGCTGTTTCTCCAACTTCAATGTGCATTAGAACCCCCAAGTGTGAAGCTCCTTGGGTTCCTCTTTCAGAAATTCTAATTCTATGGATCTGACATAGACCCAGAAATCTGCATTTTAGTGAAGGCCCTTGGGTGATTCTCATGTACTTGGTCCAAGGATCCCACATTAGGGAATGTCGCTTCAAAGGTTGATCTTGTGAGTCCAGCAGCAGGCACTACAGGGACAATCAAAATCAGAAGTTGAAATGGAACTTAGGGCTGGCTGTGTGTGTGTGTGTGTGTGTGTGTGTGTGTGTGTGAGAGAGAGAGAGAGAGAGTTCAAAATCATATATCATATTGAGTACCTACTATATTCCTAGCATTAGATTAGATGATTTACATAAAAGCACTCTATCCTCACAAGTGTCTACGCCTTTCCTTCAAAAGGAAACTGAGGCTGGAAGAAGTAAAACAACTTGCTTGATGTTCCACAGCCAGTAAATAAGTGACAGCACTGAGATGTGAATTCAGGTGGTCTGTCCCTAAAGCTCTGTCCTCTTTATCATGCTGCCTCCGTTTCAGCCAGGGTTTCTGAACCCAGGGTTCACGGATAACCTTCAGGGGTCTCTGAGCCAACTGAAATTGCATGTAAGCCACTACGTGGTTTATGTTTCTCTTGGGTAAAGACCCACAGCTTTCACCACACAAAGGCATCACCAAATAACTTTTTAATCATTGCATTAGCAATACCATTTTATAAAACACATGACTTGTCAGTGTGTAAAAATGGAACAAGTTCTATAGAGGACAACTTAGCACTATCAAGATTATACCCTTTGACCCGATTCCACTTCTAGGAATTTATTCTATAAACACACTCCCACACTTGGGAAACGACAAACGAACAAGATTATTCATTGCAGCATTATTTACAAAAGCAAAAGGATTGGAAACAACATAAATGTCTAGCAACTGGGGCCATAACAGAAGATGGAGTGCAGCCACAACAAAGGGTGAGGAAGCTCTTGGTGTACTGATCTGAAAAGATTCCAAGATACATTAAGTAGAAAAACTAAAATAACAGTGTCTATCAAATGCTACTATTTGAGTGAAAAAGAGTGTGTGTGTGTGTGTGTACATATTGTAATATGTACATATATACACGCAAATACATATATATACTTGCATTCATGTATACACACAAGTTCATATGTGAGTATGCATATCATCTCTAAAATTAGCACAAGAAATGAATAACATTTAGATTAGTGGCCAATGGGGAATAAAACTAAGTGGCTGGGGTAAAGACTGACCATGGTTACACCTTATTGATACATTTAAAGTTTTGAATCATATGAGCAAAACATGTGTTTACATTAATAAATAATAACAAAACAAAAGCATTGCTGTAAACAGGGATTTACTCAATTCATCTTCCAGCACTGCTTCCCCCAAGTGTCAAAGGGTATTGTCATGATCCTGACTAAAGGTTATTATTTTTTTTTACTTCTTACTTTGGAATAATTATAGATACACAGGAAGTTACTAAAATAGTACAAAGACTCCTACATACCGTTTACCCAGCTTCCCCAACGGAGACATCTTACATCGGTGTTGTACAGTATATTTCAAAGCCAGGAAATTGGCACTGGGATGCTACTGTTAACTAGACTACACATCTTATCCTAAAGGTTATTTTTAAAAGCATAAATTTCTCACAGCTCACTCATCCATTTAAAAATGCTCATTGGGCACCTTTAGTGTGCCAGACATCATGTGGGACAATGGGATGTGGCAGGAACACTTCAGACCCATCCCTCCCTTGTGTCAGGTAGACCAGTGAAGGCGATCCCTTTACTCCACTGGGAATAGCGTCATGGAGGCCTGGGATCCAGCAACGCACAAGGAGTGCTGACCACAGTTCTAAAAAAGGAACTGTGTCCCTTGCTATCATGGAGCTTCACAGCTTGCCCAAAAGCTGACTTTTAATCCTTAAAAGAGCATGAGCAATTACTCTGGCTATATTTATCCTTGTTCCTGGAGCCACACAGGGATTTGGCCTCGCTCTCCCAAAATCTTCAGCTTCTCACTCATTCCCATCAGAGACAGTCATGTGTCCTCCGCCTAAAAGCAGGGGCCCAGCAGAGGCAGACTGGCACATAGCTCGGGGAGGCTCTCCCAACAGGCCATTTAATCCAAGGCCAGGGAAGAAGTTTTAGAGTCTCAGGCAAAAGACATATCCTTGCACCAAGGGGAGCCAAGCAAGGAAAAACAGCTTCTTGCCAAGAATGCTGCCAGCTCTGCGATCACTTGCTCGGTTGACTTCACTGGGTGTTTTGACTTCCCTACCCCTTTTAGACTTAGGAACTCTGTGATATGCTCAGCACTCAGCCCTGGATGAGTGAGTGAGCAAATAAGAGACCACATCTCTAGGAACTGCACCCAGGCAACAATGACAGGTATCATTTACTGAACATGGTGTCAGGCACTGTCACCCACTTTACATACTGAACATGGTGCCCAGCACTGTCAGCCACTTTACATATACGGTAGAGTTCATCCTCACCAAATCCATGTGGTGTGGAGCTTCTCACCCTCACATCCTAGATGGGGAAACAGATGCAGGGCAGTCAAGATGCCTGCCGATGTCTTGCAGGGCATAAACCCAGATCTCTCTGACTTTAGAATTCCCGGGTGTCAGGTTTGAGACTACAAACTGGGAACACAGGTGTCGCTCCCTGTCCCACAACCCCATTAAAATGATAGCAAAGAACTCCTTAAAAAGGAATAAATTCTTAGCCACAGAGGAATGGAGGGAGAGGGCAGGCATGAGTGGACATATTTCTGGAAGCTGGGAAGGGCATAGAAGAGAGGTGCCTAATGAGGCAGGGAGAAGGAAGCTTCGGCCTAGCCCTAGACGACATCTAGAGAGGGAGGTCACCAGCTTTGAAACCCCTGAGAGGCTCTGGACTTGAAAAGCCAGGTGTGACAAGGACAGGAATGAGTTATGGAGCCAAACAGAGAGGGGATGAATTAAAGTTTATGGGCAGAAGGGACAGAAAGGGAATTAAATCAAGAAGCTTTTGTACTAGATTTGGACTAGATGCCATCAGGCTAAAGTCAAAAAGAACTATAAACAAATATTGAATAGACTTCTTTTTCATAGACATGTGTATTAGCAATTCTGAAAATACTTTCTTTGTATTCTAGGGTTGAACAAATTAGTAAATATTGGATAATGAGAGCAAAGTTTCTCACTGTCAAAGGAAGGAGTTACAAATATGAAAAAGTAGGGAAAATAGAATAAACTATGCAGTATTGTGTTAGAATTATAGGAACTGGAGTAAACAAGATTGCTAGATAGGCAGATAGATGGAGAGATAGATAGATAGATAGATAGATAGATAGATAGATAGATAGATAGATAGATAGATAGATATAGATGTGTATGTGTATATGCCTGCTGCCATGTAAGACATGACTTCGCCCGTCCTTCATCTTCCACCATGATTGTGAGGCCTCCCCAGCCATGTAGAACTGTGAGTCCATTAAACTTGTTTATTTCCTTTATAAATTACCCAGCCTCAGGTATGTCTTTATTAGCAGCCTGAGAACAGACTAATAATGCAAATGGGTACCAGTAGAGGGGGTGCTGCTGTAAAGATACCTGACAATGTGGAAGCAACTTTGGAACTGGGTAACAGGCAGAGGTTGGAACAGTTTGGAGGGGTCAGAAGAAGACAGGAAAATGTGGGAAAGTTTGGAACTTCCTAGAGACTTGTTGAATGGCTTTGACCAAAATGCTGATAATGATATGGACAATGAAATCCAGGTGGAGGTGGTCTCAGATGGAGATGAGGAACTTGTTGGGAACTTCAGTAAAGGTGATTCTAGCAGTGGCATTTTGCCCCTGCACTGGAGATTTGTGGAACTTTGAACTTGAGGGAGATGATTTAGGGTATCTGGCAAAAGAAATTTCTAAGCAGCAAAGCATTCAAGAGGGGACTTGGGTGCTGTTAAAACCATTCAGTTTTAAAAGGGAAACAGAGCATAGAAGTTCAGAAAATTCACAGCCTGATGATGCAATAGAAAAGAAAAATCCATTTTCTGAGGAGAAATTCAAGCCAGCTGCAGAAATTGGCATAAGCAACCAAGAGCCAAATGTTAGTCACCAAGACAATGGGGAAAATGTCTCTAGGACATGTCAGAGACCTTTGTAGCAGCTCCTCCCATCACAGGTCCAGAGGCGTAGGAGGAAAAAATGGTTTCATGGGCCCAGGGCCCTGCTGCTATGTACAGCCTAGGGACTTGGTGTCCTGCGTCTCAGCCGCTTTAGCCATGGCTAAAAGGGGACCAAGGTGCAGCTTGGGCTGTGGCTTCAGAGGGTGCAAGCCCCAAGCCTTGGCAGCTTCCACATGGTATTGAGCCTTTGGGTGCACAGAAGTCAAGAATTGAGGTTTGGGAACCTCCACCTACATTTTAGGTAAAGGAAATGTACGGAAACGCCTACAGAAGTTTGTTGCAAGGGCAGGGCCCTCATGGAGTACCTCTGCTAGGGCAGCACAGAAGGGAAATGTGGGGTTGAAGCTCCCACACAGAATCCCTACTGGGGCATTGCCTAGTGAAGCCATGAGAAGAGGGCCTCCATCCTTCAGACCCCAGAATGGTAAATCCACCAATAGCTTGCACTGTGCACCTGGAAAAGCTGCAGACACTCAACACCAGCCCATGAAAGCAACTGGGAGCAGGGCTGTACCCTGCGAAGCCACAGAGGTGGAGCTGCCCAAGAGCATGGGAATCCACCTCTTGCATCAGCGGGACCTGGATGTGAGACATGGGGTCAAAGGAGACCATTTTGGAGCTTTAAGATTTAACTGCCCCACTGGATTTCAGACTTGCATGGGGCATGTAGCCCTTTCATTTTGGCCAATTTCTCCCATTTGGAATGGGTGTATTTATCCAATGCCTGCACCCCCATTGTATCTAGGAAGTAACTAACTTGTTTCTGATTTTACAGGCTCATAGGTGGAAGGGACTTGCCTTGTCTCAGATGAGACTTCGGACTGTGGACTTTTGAGTTAATGCTGAAATGAGTTAAGACTTTGGGGGACTGTTGGGAAGGTATGATTGGTTTTGAAATGTGAGCACATGAGAATTGGGGAGGGGCCAGTGGCAGAATGATATGGTTTGGCTGTGTCCCCACCCAAATCTCATCTTGAATTATAGCTCCCATAATTCCCACATGTTGTGGGAGGGGCCCAGTGGGAGATAAGTGAATCATGGGGGCAGTTTCCCCTATACTGTTCTTGTGGTAGTGACTAAGTCTCATAAGATGTGATGGTTTTGGCCGGGCGCGGTGGCTCATGCCTGTAATCCCAGCACTTTGGGAGGCCGAGGCGGGTGGATCATGAGGTCAGGAGATCGAGACCATCCTGGCTAACAAGGTAAAACCCCGTCTCTACTAAAAATACAAAAAAAATTAGCCAGGCGCGGTGGCGGGCGCCTGTAGTCCCAGCTACTCGGGAGGCTGAGGCAGGAGAATGGCGTGAACCCGGGAAGCGGAGCTTGCAGTGAGCCGAGATTGCGCCACTGCAGTCCGCAGTCCCGCCTGGGCGACAGAGCGAGACTCCGTCTCAAAAAAAAAAAAAAAAAAAGATGTGATGGTTTTATAAGCGGAAGCCCCTTTTACTTGGTTCTCATTCTCTGTTTGCCTACTGCTACATAAGATGTCCCTTTGCTCTTCCTTGGCCTTCCACCATGATTGTGAGGCCTCTCCAGCCATGTGGAACTGTGAGTCAATTAGACCTGTTTCCTTTATAAATTACCCAGTCTCGGGTATGTCTTTATTAGCAGCATGATAACAGACTAATACAATATTCCTGCCAAAGATGCATAACCTGACTGTAATCGTGAGGAAAAATCCAAATCCAACAAAACTAGCCTGTACTCTTCAAAAATGTCAATATCACAGGAGACACAAATAGACAGAGCAGTTATTTGAAAAAAAAAAGGAGACTAAAGAGACATAACAATTGAATGCAACAAATGATCTGGGATTTTCTTTTGCTCTAAAGGACATCACTGAGACAATTGGCAACTTCTGAATAAGGTCTGTAGACAGTTCAGGGTCCGGGGTAGGCAGGAGATAGCTAAATAGATAGAAGGATAAAACAAAGTATATATAAAATATCAATATTTGGGTAATGTGGGTGAAGGATCTACAGTAATTATTTGTACTATTCTTTTTTTTTTTTTTTGAGATGGAGTCTCACTCTGTCACCCAGGCTGGAGTGTAGTGGTGCAATCTCAGCTCACTGCAACCTCTGCCACCTGAGTTCAAGCAATTCTCCTGCCTCAGCCTCTGGAGTAGCTGGGACTACAGGCACACACCGCCATGCCTAGCTAATTTTTTTTTGTATTTTAGTAGAGACGGGGTTTCACCGTGTTGCCCAGGCTGGTCTTGAACTCCTGAGCTCAGGCAACCCACCCACCTCGGCCTCCCAAAGTGCTAGGATTACAGGCGTAAGCCACCGCGCCTGGCCTATTTGTACTATTCTTGCAATGTTTCTGTAAGTCTGAAATTATGGCAAAAAAAGAGGGAGTTGGAGTCTATAAGACAAATCTCAATATAGACAAGATGTATAGACAAACATCAGTCTCCCCTTTACTCTCACCCCCTCCCCTACCTCTGTAAGCAGAAAGCAAGTTTGGCAATGAGATATTTGATTTCACAACCCCCAACAACAAGAACAATAGCAGCAGAGGGCTCTTCTCTAAGGAAATTGAATAACTTGGGATAAATTAGACCAGCTCCTATGGGAGCTGCTGCTGCCCCTAAGTAAAGAAAGCCCTCTGCAGTCCAGCATTTGGAGGTGGGATGGCAAAACAGAGTGGGCTGAAAGCGCAGCCCCATCCTCTAAAGCAGAGGTCCTTAACCTTGGCTATATGTTAGGATCACTGCTTTAACTGTTTTCAGAGATGTGGCCCCAGGCATTGGTAATTTGCTAAAGTTCTTCAGGTGATTCCAGTACTGGCCACAGCCCTGATGCACCAGTTCTCAAATTGGCTGCACAATGCTTCCCCTAGGGATTGTTTAAAACCAGTGATCAGCTGGGCTCTGTGACTCACACCTGTAATCTCAGCACTTTGGGAGGCAGGCGAATCATTTGAGGTCAGGAGTTCAAGACCAGCCTGGCCAACATGGTGAAACCCAGTTTCTACTAAAAATACAAAAATTAGCCAGGCGTGTGGCAGAAGCCTGTAATCCCAGCTACTCAGGAGCTGAAGCAGGAGAATCGATTAAATGTGGGAGGCGGAGGTTGCAGTGAGCCGAAATCGCGCCACTGCACTCTAGCCCGGGCGACAGAGCGAGACTCTGTCTCAATCAATCAATCAATCAATCAATCAATAAAACCACTGACGCCTGGGTCCTATCCCCCCATCCCAAAAAAGCTCTGATTAAATTGGCAAGATTTGTGATTTTGGAAAGCCACTCCCTAACAGAGAATTACATTAAAGTGGAACAATCCCCACCCTTGAGCAAAGCGAGCCGGCAAAGCAGGCCACCTGTGCACTCAGAGCTAACAGCTCCTCTATTGCTTCAGTCTTACCTGGGCAGCAAAGGACAACCAGGTATTTAGGAAAGCCCACCTGAAAGGAAAACATAAAACCAAACACAGTCATGCCTCAAGGTCTTTGCATTTGCTCTTCCCTCTGTCTGGAATGCTCTTCCTCTAGGTCTCCACATGGCTCACACGCTCACCTTCTTCAGGTCTCTACTCAAACATTGATTCCCAAAGAGGTGTTGTCTGATCACCTTATTCATGATACGGAGCCCCACCCCTGCCGAGGCAGTCCTATCCTTATTTTCTGTTTTACTTCACAGCACCTGTTACCATCTGACAAACTTTATATTCTAATTAATTTATTTATTTGTCTCTCTCTCTCTCTCCCACAGCCTTCCCGATATGAGTTCCATAAGGACTGGGTTTTTGTCTATTTTGTTAATCTCTCTTTTCCTGGTAACTAGAATAGTGTATGGACATAGTAGGCCTACAATAAATTTAGACTGAAGAAATGAATGAGCAGAAAAATATGGCCATGGAGAAAACAAAGATAATCCAGGAAACAGAAGATAATTGTTAAAATAATTCTAACTAGTATCCACAGAAAGATTTTTTAAAAATTGCAATCTAATTTTAAAAATGAGAACAAAAGAGAACTCTTGGATATCAAGATAATGCCAAAATTAAATTTCCAAAGGTGAGGTGGAAGAATTCCACTGCCATAAAGCAGAACAGACAGAAAAAGGGATAGGAAAGAGAAAAAATAAGAGGCATAGAGAACCAAACCAAGGGATCCCAATGAATAGAAATTCCAGGAAAAGAAAAAAAAAAAAAAGATAAAGTAGAAGGAAGGACATTATCGAAGAAATAATAGAAATTTCCCCTGGGGCAAAGGACACGAGTCTACAGACTGAAAGAACTCACACGGTGCCTCACACGCAAAAATGAGAAAAGGCGTACACTTGGACATAACGCTGTGGAATTTAGACCAACAAGGAAACAGAGAAGAAACCAAAAACTTCCAGGGAGGAGGTAGGGGTGGGGGGAGGGGGAACAGGCCACCTGCCAAGGAATGAAAATCAAAGTAGTGTGAGTGAGCTCCTGCAACATCTATCATAGTATAAAGTCAAAGGATAAAGTCTAAATCTCATAAATCACTTCTATAATTTAGAGTTATGGCAGTAACTATCCAAAGAGACAATTAAAGAGGTCCCCTTGGGATATGTCTGTAATTCATACATTATTTATATTATTCATCATTACAGTAGTATCCATCTAAAGACATAGTTAGGCTGGGCGTGGTGGCTCACGCCTGTAATCTCAGCACTTTAGAAGGCCAAGGAGGGAGGAATACTTGAAGCCAGGAGTTCGAGACCAGCCTGGCCAACATGGCAAAACCCCATCTCTACTGAAAATACAAAAATTAGCCAGGCATGGTGGCGAGCACCTATAATCCCAGCTACTCAGGAGGCTGAAGTGGGAGAATGGCTTGAACCCAGGAGGCAGAGGTGGCAGTGAGTTAAGATCATGGCACTGCACTCCCGTCTGGAAAACAGAGAGAGACTCCATCTCAAAAAAAGAAAAAGAGTAAAAAAAGACACTGTTAAAGGGGTTCCCTCTAGCAGCAGAACTTGGGGTAGGAAACCAGGACTTTTTGTTACAAGGCTTTCTCTTCTGATTCTTTTAAAAAGCAATGTGGAGGTATTGCTTTTATTTAAAAATTATTTTAAAAATAAAAAAAATTAAAATAAGTGCCTAGGTGTTCTTTCCATTAGAAGGAGGCCCTGAGGTAGGCTGGTGGGGAGAAAGAGGGAGCAAAAGGGTCTTGGCATCCTGACTGGAGGGAACAGCTACTGGAAACATTGTCATCTACTTTCTGCATTCTGCCCCAAGAGCATGACTTACCCATTCATTCCACAGATATGCACTATGTACATACCTTGTGCCTAGGCCTCTGCTAGGCAGGGAGGCTCAGAGGTGGGCAAGATATGGCTCCTGCCCTCCAGGAGGTGATAGTATAAGACTTCAACAAGTCAGTAACATCCATAATACAAGCTATGTGAAAGTGGTGTGCAAGCTCTGTTGTTGTGCTTACATGAGGTGTTGTTAGTAGAACTATTCTATAAGGAAGAACACAGTCAGTACCATGGATGGGCAGTAGTTAGGGATCACTGAGCTTGAACCAAGTGCTGCAGGAGCTCCGAGGAAGAAGTGGAGCATTGGGAAGATTTGCTTTCTAGTTGACATTTGAGGCAGTTATTAAGTCCAAACAGGTCAAGGTTTCAAAGGATGGAGAGTGGGTCAGGGAGGGTCTTCTTCCCAGGTAAAGAAGTAGTACATGCCTAGGTATGGCGAAGTGTTCAGGAATGCAGTAGTAGGGGTTCTGTTTTGGGGCTGGCTGAGTAGGTCAGATAATGAAGGAGCCTTAAACCCCAGGCTTGGGAGTTTGAACTTACTTTTATGTGGGCTGGGAGCCCCAGGAAGTTTCTAAGCCGAGAAAGTGTCTGATATGAGCTGGGCTTTGAGAAGATTGCTCTAGGGCAGGGGACAAGTCAAGGGATTATTGTAAAATGCCATGGAAAGAAAGTGGACTTTGGAGCCAGACAGACTCCAGGGAACTATGGAAAAATTAATTAACCTCTCCAAGGTCAGTTTCCTCATCTTCAAAATCAGTAACACTGGGGATTGCCTTCAAGAAAGTTGGCAACTGTTATGGCCGGGGTACTAGCCACTAAGTATGGGTAACAGTGACTGTCCTGCTAGAGCTGGGTCCTGGAAGTCCCCAGCAGTACCAGGCATCAATCCTTCAGTTGCCAAACTATGACAAGGTCCAGGTAATCCTAGGGAAGGGGCCAGGGTGACTGGGGTGATAGGGAGAGGTCTCAGGGCAGCAGCAATATGCAACTGGCAGGGAAGTACCTTAATATTTGAACAATTCATAGCCATGGTGGGGTGGATGGGCTGAACATTAGCCTGGGCGCTCCTGAAATACCCCATAAAGATGTGGCCCTCAGGAAATAAAAGGATATCCAGGATGACCAGTTGAGCAACTGATGTAAAGTAAAATCATTTATTGAGATGAGAAAGCCTGGGAGGAGCGAGCCGGGGACACAGGAGTAATGGACTCAGAGTATTATTTTGGACATGTTAAGTTTGGTTGACTGTGAAACATCCAAGTAGAGATGACACTTGGACAGTTGAACATGTGAAGCTCCACAGAGAAGTGGGAACAACAGTGATGAGGTGGGCAGATGAGAGAGAGACTCAAGAAACTTGTGCCCTAACTGCTTGTGGGAAATGGGAAGAACAGAGTGAGTGACTCCAAAGTTTTGATCTCTGGACAGGTAGAGAGAAGTTAATGCCCTGAGGAAGCCAGGAGCAGGAGTGCATTGGTTAAGGATGATATGAGTTCAGTTTGAAATGCTGGTGGGAGGCCCAGATGGAGAGGCCCAGCAAATGGTTAGAAATGCAGAGTGACAAGGATTGTGGCTTAAGAGAGGTGCAGACTGGTGACATCGAATTCAGAAGTATGGACTTCTAGGAGAGCTTTCAGTCACAGGCCTTTGTAAACTGATTAGGGTGGGTGTAAGAGAAAAGAGAGCTAAGGGAAGAAAGTCAGAAAGACAGAGAAAGAGAGAGAGAGAGGACATAATAAAGGCTTGGAAAGAGAGAAAGGGGAAAATCAACACAGAGGACCAAAAAATGAGGAGCCAGTAAAAAACTGGCAAGAGACAGGAAGTTGCTGTCAGTACATGGAAAAGAGGAGGAGGTGGCCTGTAGAGTACTGCAGGGAGCCCAGGAGATGAGGATTGCAAACAAGCTATCAGACCTTAGAAAGCCTTGTCAGTAGACCGGTGGGTTTCGTGAGGTCATGGAGGTGAAGGCTGTGAGGGTCACTTCATCATTCGCTGAGCAACCATGGACTGTCATATATGTAAGATGAACTGTGATACCAGGGAGACCTAGAAGTCCCGAAATGAGGTGGAAGCCAGGTGAGGATTTCAGAGCAGGCAGCACTGCTCTTTGGAGAAGTGTGGTAGATGAGTTTGTTCCCTCCTCTGAGCTCCCCTGCACCCTGTGCTCACACACATCATTACAGCAGAGCTTTCCATGGCTGTCTACCTGCTCACAAGGGTGAGTGAACAAGACTGTTCATGGCTGCAGGTGGTCAGCTGGGGATTGTGGTAGCCCCACACCCTACCAATACATTCAAAGAACAGATAGGAATCAGTATCTCAGCCTGTCTTTACCCCATTCGTAGCCCATGAGAATGCTGGAGCACACCAAAGAGAAACTCAGTATTGCACACCTATCGTCTGATGTTAGAACTTTATTTTTTTTTCTTTCATTATTATTATTATTATTATTATTTTACATGGACAATGGTCAGTGGCCTAATATTGGGGCTTTTCTGCCTCCTCTACCTGGTTGTGAGGTCCTCAAAGATAAGGACCCAGGCAATGCATCTTTATAATAATAATAGTAACAGCAATGACAACAGTGATGTATTGATTATTTATTATGAGCCAGGCACTGGGCTAAGCCCCTCATATGGATAATCTCATCCGATCCTCACTAAAGCCCTACAAGGCAGGCATGTTGTTGTTATGAATATCAACCCATTCTAAAGGTGAGGAAACTAAGGGTTGGGGATGATAAGTAATTTGACCAAGGTTACAGCTGTCAGAATGCAAGCTTAGATTTTAATTCAGTTAGTCAAATTCTAGAACCAGCACCCAAAACCAGTGGCTCACACTGCCTCCTGATGCAATAGCCCCAGTGCCTAGTTTAACATCTAATACATGTTAAGTGAAAATGTTGGCTGAATTAAACTGGGAAGAATAAAAAATCTAGTTACTGGGCATGGAGAGATAGGTTCCAGGTCTTTGAAGGGAGATCTGAGCTGAATTGTGCATGGAGAAAATGAGTCAATAGGGAACACCAGAGGGAACACCTCAAGAACACCAGAAACAGCATGGGAACACAGGAATTGAAATCACATCCTTGCTAAGTAAGAGGAGAGGCCCAGGTGCAGCCAGTTTGGGGTCTGAGTGAATAGAGCCAATGGCTACTTGCCTGCTGGGCTCTGCTTGGTTCTAGGCACAGACCAGGCCAGGCAAGGATGAAATGAGGTATGGACTCTGCCCACAAGGAAACCTCTACCCAGCCTGCCCATACGAAGATGGGGCAGGGCTGGGAATGCTACAAAAGCTGTAGAAGCTCAGAAGCTGTAGAAGCGGAGCTTCTGGGAAAAAGAGGTCTCTGGCTCCCGGAGTGGTCAGGAATGGCTTCATGACAGAGGGAGAAGCTTCAGTGGGGCCTTGAGTGTTGAGTTGAATAGGGAAAATCAAGGGAGGAGGAAGGGATTCCAGATTGGGCCAGCTGGGTGAGCGGACTCTGCTGGACCCAATAGCAGAATTGATGGGGAGAGTGCAGGATTCTTTGAGTTGCAAAGAACAGAAATCAACTCTGGCTGGCTCAAGTGTTAAAGGGGCCTGTGCCAATGATAACTGAACCCCCACAGAACCCAGGACTGGTAATTAAGTACACCCAGACCTTGAGGGAGCAGAGGGCTGTCAGGAACTGAAGCCCTTACTCTGTTAATCTGTGTGAATGTCTGCGTCCCTGTCTCCCACACACCATGTGATCTCACAGGCCATGTAATCTCTCTCTCTCTCCCCCTTCTCTCTGAGAATCCATTTTCTCCTCCTCCTCCTCCTCCTCTTCCTCCTCCTCTTCCTACCTCTTCTCCGGCTTTTTCTGCACACTCACATTGCTATGGCCCATCATGGCCTCTCAGCTCTAGCCTTCTCCTGCCCCGACCCTCTGACAGCTATCTCCTGTTTCAGATTAAAAAAAAGACCTGGTTTGTCTGTTTAAGCCAAGTCTCCAAAGTTACTAGCTACCTTTAAGGCAGATATCCCTCTCTGACCAGATAGCCATATCTTGGACCACGTGATAAACAGGGTGGCCGTAGGTGGGATAGGCAATAAAATATGTTAGAGAAAAGGAGCGAGGAAAGGACCTCGCATTTACTAAGCTCCTGGTATGAGCTAAGAACTGTGCCAGGTGACCTGCATTATGTGATTTAATGGCCCAGTGAGATTGATTTTATTATTCCTATTTTACAAATGAAGACACTGAAGAGAAGTTAAGCAATTTGCCCAGTCACAAAAGTAGAAGGTAGCTGAGCTAGAATTCAAATTGAAATCTGTCCAACTGCAAAGTCAATGTTCTTTCCACAGAACCACTCAGCCAGGGAATGGGGGTTATTCAAGCTAGTTAAAACCATTGAACTTAGTCTAAGGAGACCACAGGGTTCAAACCTTGCAGCTTACAGGTATTTGCTGTGGCAGACCTTCTTAACATTTTTAGGGTCCCATAACTCTGAGAATCTGACAAAAAGCTATGAATCTCCTCCCCAGAAAAATACACACATGCCTATACCATTTGGCCTGTGCTTTCATGGGATTTACAGACCTCCTGAGGCTCATCCACTGGCCCGCACCTAAAAGTCTTTGCTCTACAGCATCCCTGACTATTGATTAACTTATCCTCCATTTGAGAGAAAGGGCGAGAGAGCTCATTCCTTTATGTTAAGCCCATTCCAACCATAAAAACTTCTATGTCACTTTCTCTCCTTTAGTTCTCTCTAAGGAGTAATACAGAACCAATCTCCCTCATTCCCTGGCAAATATCTAAAGACAGTGACTACAGCATGCCCAAGGCTCCAGCTGAAGCCAAACTCCTGTTGTTTGTTTAAAACCTGTCCCATGCGGGTCTCTTCCACTGAACACCACACACTTTGCCAAAGTCCCTCTCATAATGCAATGCCTGGAATAGCATCGTGGACTGCTTGTGTCATCCAACCAGCATCCTCTTTATTCAGGGGATTCTGATTTCCTATGGCCAGTACACTAGACTACTTTGATTGTGTTTGCTCTTGTATCAGCCATGTCATTACTTGGCTCATGGGAAATCTATGGTCCACTGAGACCCTAAGATCTTTATCACAGGAGTTGAGCTATCCCTACTTTGCCCTTTCCTAAACTATCCTGAGAAACACTGTGTTTCAGCCTGTTCTTCAAACACAGGATTTTTATGCTGGTGCCATGACACAACAGATTGTTTATCTCACTAAGGAAGAGTCAAATCTTTCTCAGATTCTCCCTTCTGGCTTCACATAGTTTTTCTGTTAAATGGAAAAAAGAAAGAGATGTGGAGCAGAAAAGGATTTCTGAGGTTTTCACGTTGACATTCCACCATTAGATGAATGCTAACAAAAGCTCGATTTCACTAATCCTAAAAGGAACTTGATCTCCAGATGCACTGGCCTTGCTGGTTCAATGCCTGCACCACGAGGCCTTCTTCCACAGCCCAGAGTTGGGTGTTTTTTTCTTTTTAAAAGTCTTTGAAGTTAAAAAGTGCACATATTACTTTTAAAGAGCAAACCCAAAAGAAGCTTTGTAAGCAGATTTGTTCAAGTGAAGGCTAACCGAATTAAAGAAAGAAAAAGAAGGAGGAGGAGGAGTGGGGGAAGGAAGGATGTATCTGTTCCTCATCTCTCTCATGTGCAACACTTGGCAGCTCCAGGGCTTGGGCCCCAGACCCAGATTCTTTTCTATCCTCACTCTCAAGATGATGTTATTCAAGCTCATGATTTTCAATACCATCTGTATTCCGAAAACTCTCCAACGTTTATGTCCAGCTTGGACCTCTCCCTTAACTCCAAAGTCATACGCCCAGGTGCTATTTTACTCAATACATTTTCGGGGCATCTTATAGACATTTCTAACACGTGTCCAACCCCTAATACCTGCTTTTCCCTCAGTCTTCTCCATTTCAGTCAATGGCAAGTCCATCCTTCAAGTAGCTCAGGCACAAAACATGAGTCATTTGTGATTTTCCTCCAGTTCCCCACGCAACCCACAGGGAACTCATCAAAAAGTCCTTTTGCTCTACCTTAGAAATATATCCAGAATCTGACCATTTCTTACCATCTTTACTAGTGTAAGCAACCACAATTTCTTGCCACGTAATCAACACAATTGCTTCCTAAGTGCTCCCCTGCCCCCACAGAGCAGGCAGAGTGATTCTTTTATTTGTTTATTTATTTTGAGACAGGATCTCACTCTGTTGCCCAGGCTGGAGTGCAATGGTGACGTTCACTGCAGCCTCAACCTCCCTGGGCTCAAGTGATCCTCCCACCTCAGCCTCCCAAGTAGCTGGGACTATAGGCATGTGCCACCATGGCCGGCCAATTTTTATATTTTTAGTAGAGATGGTTGTTTCCTCCTGCTTCAGCTTCACAAAGTGCTGGGATTATGTGCCTGGCCTGATTCTTTTCCATTATGAGTTAGATCATGTCACTCCCTGCTCCTAAACTTCTTTTTTTTTTTTTTTTTTGAGATGGAGTCTCACTCTGTCACAGGCTGGAGTGCAGTGGCGCAAGCTCAGCTTACTGCAACCTCTGCCTCCTAGGTTCAAGCAATTCTCCTGCCTCAGCCTCCCGAGTAAGTGGAATTACAGGCACCCACCATCATACCTGGCTATATTTTGTATTTTTTAGTAGAGATGGGATTTTACCACGTTGGCCAGGCTGGTCTCGAACTCCTGACCACAAGTGATCTGCCTGTCTCGGCCTCCCAAAGAGCTGGGATTACAGACGTCAGCCACCGCATCCGGCCCCTGCTCATAACCTTCTAATAGCTTCCCACATCACTCAGTATGAAAAGCCAGCATCTTTTCCATGGCTTAAGAGGCCCTACATGATCTAATCCTGGTTTCCTGGACTTTATCTCCAGTCTCACTCCTCACTGCTCTTCCAAGTGATCTTCCACTCCCAGGACATTTGCACTTACTGTTCCCCTGCCTGGAATACTCTTCCCCAGTTATTATCTGCTGGGCTCACTCCCTCCATGTTCTTGAGTCTCTGTTCAAATGTCACCTTATGCAGGGTCACCTTCCATGACCATCCAATCTAAAGTATCACTTTCTACCCTGTCACTCCATCCCCTCTTTTATTCCTTTATAGCACTTATTGCTATCTAATATGTTACATATTTGTTTGTCTGTTGTCTATATTCTGCCTCAAGAATGTGAAAGCAGGAACTTTGTTTTGTCAGCTGTTGTATTCCTGGTGCCCACAACAGCACATAGGTAAACACTCAGTAAATGTTTCTTGACTGACTGACTGAATGAATTAATGAATTTATTGAGTACCTACTAAGTGTCATTATGAGTCACATTTTATAAATTAGTCAACTGAGGTTCAAAGATCTCATAGATGGTGAAAGCCAAGATTTGAACCCGTATCTAAGGATGATAACAGTGTTGGATCTGGATAGGATCATATGACCGCCCCCCTACCCCATCAGAATCTGAGATGCTGTGTCTGTTCTCGGGCTTGGGTATACCTGAGACCCTATCCCACTCACATGGCCTGAAGATTGTCCCTCTCAAAGCCAGCCTACCATGACAGATGGCACTCTCCTTCTACTTGACAGACAAGCTCTTGAGGTCCTGCATGGCTCGTGGCTTTTGGGATCATGGTTTCTTCAGGGGCCACGCGAGTGAGAGCATTCCCAGGGTCCTGCTTAGCCTCAGGTCAGACTCCTATGATTCCAGGATGCTCCAGGTCCTGGTTGGATGGCATGAAGACCACCTCTCCAGGATCCATCCCACCTGACCCACATTAATCCCTGTCTGATCCCAGGCTGTGACCTGCCTTATGCAGGAGTGCCCCTGCCCTACAAAGGTGCTCAACCCTTGGCATTTAGTCCCTGCCATGGAATCTGAATGCAAATCTTATACATTTTTAAGCTCTTTGGGTTTAATTCCTCCAAAAATTTCACAATGAAACTAGAATATTTGAAGAACTCTCACCCAGAAGGAAAATACACACATATGAAGCACCCACATGCGTCTGCCTTATTGGCACACTGATCCCTTATTATTTTCATATTATTAATTCATGCAGGCATTTATTCATCCCACAAGCATTTTCTGAGGGTCTCCTTCATGGACTAAGCCCTTGTGCTGGGTGCTAGGCATGGGGCACAAATTAGACATACTCCCTGCCTCAGGTTTATAGTCTAACAGGGGAGACCACCATCATCATCACCATCCCATCATCATCACTGTAGCCAACATTCAAATGCTACTTCTAGTGCTGGGTACTGTTCTGAGTATTTATATATATTAAGCTGTTTCACCACATGTTAATTCTGTAAGTTAAATGCTATTCTTATCTTCATTTTACAGATGAGGAAACTGACACCTAGAGGGTAGTGACTTATGCAAGGTCATGTAAGTGGCAAAGTTAGAATTTGAACACAGATAGTTTAGCTCCAGAGCTCATATTCTCTTCCACTCTACCTTAATTCCAAAAATCAAGTGTGAGTATTTATGCTGACATGCAGCTACAGACACAAAGATTTTCAGAGCCACATTTCAGAGTCCAATGGGAAAGTCATAAACATTGAAGGAAACCAGTCAGCCAGTCTTTCAGCTTCTGAGACATGCCCTCGAAAAACATCTCTCCTTTGGTGCTAAAGATGAACATCTTGGACACAAGCAGAAGTTGAAGAGGGAGATAGGAAGAGGAACAGAGGAGAAAAGGAAAACAAGCAAATATCAAAGACTTACTTTGTATAATACCAGATACCATAGAGGGCAATTTATATACATCATCTACTCTCAAAGCATATTCACAAAAAGAGTTTGGTCTGCATTTTCCTGTTAAGATAATGAAACTTAGAGAATTGAAATGCCTTATCCAAGATCATACGGGTGCTGTATGGTAGGGCTAGGCCTCAACACCCCAAGGCCCATCTCTTTCCTTTAATCCAGTTACTGACACTGAATTCAATTCTTTCCCCAAGAAATTCATTTCCAAAAGCTATCTAATCAAGTCAATGCAATCTAACGCCAAGGTCATATAAAGAGATTTTAACAAAATCAATAGTTAAGGACAAAGAAAAAGTAAGCATTCCACTTCTGCAGGTCAGTCTTCTTGACAACAGCTTACCTGGCCAATTTATTCCATTCAATCAGTAAAGCCATCCAACTCACGGTTTGGTATGTCAGGAAGAGACTTTTCATTGAGGTGTTCCGGGACCATGTGAGAGGAAGACCAAACAGGACCACATTTTCTCCCTTTCCTTGGGACACTGGGGCCTGTACTGTTGTTTATTTATTTTTTACATCATGCTAAGTGCAATGTTCCACAGCCTCACTACCTCTTTTATTTCAACAATGACAAAAATCGCACAAATATCTGAGCACATCTTTCAAACATGAAGAAATATCTATGCTTCAGAATTCACAAATGCCCCATACAAATCATTTGTTTTTGTAACCTTGAACTTTCCCATTTAAAATAAACCATGCACTAGACAAAGAATTCACTTTGGATCTGAGCCTTCCTTTGTGATCTTCCTTCCTTCTTCTAGAGTAGAAGAAAAAGATATCTTCGCAAAGCATCTAAGCCTGCTTTAGATTCTCCAAAAGTTAGTTTTTAAAAAAAAAAATCTTTTTTTTTTTAATAGAGATAGGATCTCGCTATGTTGCCTAGACTGATCTCTTTTCTTTTTCTTTTTTTTTTTTTTTTGAGATGGAGTCTCACCCTGTCGCCCAGGCTGGAGTGCAGTGGCGCGATCTCGGCTCATTGCAGGCTCCGCCTCTCGGGTTCACGCCGTTCTCCTGCCTCAGCCTCACGAGTACCTGGGACTATAGGCGCCCGCCACTGCGCCCAGCTAATTTTTTGTATTTTTAGTAGAGACGGAGTTTCACCGTGGTCTCAATCTCCTGACCTCGTGATCCGCCCGCCTGGGCCTCCCAAAGTGCTGGGATTACAGGCGTGAGCCACTGCGCCCGGCCACCTAGGCTGGTCTCAAACTCCTGGTGTCAAGTGATCTTTCTGCCTTGGCCTTCCAGAGTGCTGGCGTGAGCCGCCATGCCTGGCCCAAAAGCTAGCTTTGAGGGTGCTAGAGACCTCCCTCAGCTTTCACGGACAGGAATAATGCCTGTTTTTTTTTCTGAATGTTTAAGCATCCTGGGATTGGAAAACTGCAGGGCAGAACTCTGGGGACACAGCACCTAGGTGGTGGGTTCCTTGAGAGCAGCAAGGGCCTGAGGAGAGTGGGTAACCCCCTCAAAGGTGTATAGACTTTGGCAGCCACTTTGGCTCTGCACGTAAGCTGTCACCCCATGGCCCAGAGATTACCTGCCTGTGTTTCAAATGTGGATGTAGAGGGGTGGGGTGGGAATTCTGGTGGGCTAAAAATGTGGTGTGAGCCAAACAGGCTATGAAAAAAAATAGTGTTTGCTATTAAGCAAGACACGCTCAGACTACAAAAGGCAACGAAGTGGGGTTCACCAAAGCAGAACCAGGCTTAATACCAGCTTGAGAGTGAGCTCCAAACACACCAGAGAGCACAGAGAAAAGCAGGATGGGATCTCAGGGGCTACAGCCACAGGGACTTCCCAGGAAGAGGAAGAGTGGAGATCTACAGGGTCAGTGGAGGAGAGCAGGAAGAGAAGGGTTTTACTCTTCCAGAAGTCTGATGGCCTACCGCAGTCCCCAAGGAACATGGTGCAAGTGGCCTTTGCCCAAAGCAGGGACCCAAAGCCACAGCTTAATATCACAGCACAAAATTCATTCCTTCAATAAGCATATACTTTTTTCTACTTCCTCCCAACTAGTCTCCTTGTTTCTTGCTTCTGTCCAATCCAGTCCCCCCATAACAGCCATGGAGAGACTTCTAAAATGGACTCTGTTGCTTATGTTCTCTGGCAGAGGGGGACCAGGCATCAGGGACTGAAAGGCCTCGGCCCCTTGCATGTCTTTCTTCATGTCTCTGCCTGTTTTCTCAGATGCTCCCTCTGCTGCTGCAGTGCTGGGAACCTTCTCCAAAGGGGAAGAGGATCTCCAGTCTCCATCTCCACACCCTGAAAGTCGAAACTTAAAGCTGCCCAGTTCCAACTCAAAAGATGGAGGCTACCCTGGAGTATCCTTGATTCCATCTGCTCCCTGACCTGCTGAGAGTGGCCACCTTCTGTGACTCACTGCCTCTCTACCGTATCCCCCTCCTCCACACTGGGAGCTTCCAACTCTGCCGGGAAATGGAGCAAGAGGGGCAGAACCCCAGAAGCAGACTCTGCAGCCAGTTTGCAGTCCATGTTAACTTGACCTAATTCACAAGGAGAGGTCCCCATTTATAAAGAAACAAACCTATTCAGGGAAGACCAACTCGGGGACTTCAACACCCTGAAAATACTCCAAGTACCAGAGTCTTTTCTCTCCAGGCCCAGACTGTTCAAGGTCTTAAGCAGCCCAACACTTGGCATTTGGAAAACAAGCAATTACCATTTCATCCGAACAAATGACATCCTGAAGTCTAGTTAGGAAGACAGCCTGGTGAGAGATTTGTTTTCTGAGTTGTAAATGTACTTAAAGGAAAAAAAGTCCTGATGATCTAAAATTCATATTACCTTTGCTTTTGCATTCCTCAAGTCCCTCGTTTAAACAAAAATGAAATTATATGAAATTAGAATTGCTCCCCCTCTTCAAGTAATCTATCAAAGCAGGGTTCGATTGGTATGCCTTCTCCTAAAATAGTGTTTCTCAACATGTGGTCACCTCTGATACATACTTTAAATATACATTCCTAGATTCTACTCCAGATTGCAGACAGGGAGTGGGGGAGGGCACAGTCGTTTCTAACAGGCTTTCTAAGAAATTCCCATGGAAATTTGAGAACCACTGTCCTAACCAGTGAAAGGCAAAAAAATATATACATACAGATAAAAAATAAAGACTCTTATGAGCTTATATGAACTGGAAGTTTTGGAATCCCCCAAATGCCTGTAACTTCTCTCAAAAAATATTTCATGCAATTACTTGCAGAAGGCTGCTAGCATGTTGTAAACAGAAAAACAGATGAGAATACGAACTCCTCAAATCATAAGAATAATTTACTCCAGGAAGGTGATGGGTTGCCCTTGGTGCAGAGGTGGGATGAGACCTGTAAAGACAGAGACATTCAGGTCTGGCAGGTTCCCCTCTGGTTGCGGGTATAGGAACAGACAGGGATACTGGGGGAGGACAAACTGCCATCAGGCAGGGCCAGGAGGCAGAACAGCAGGAATGCTGAGGTGCCCCATCTTTGTTGGGATGTCCATCCTCCTCCATACAGCCTCATGCTTCACTGCATGCCTTCCACACCCCATCAGCGGCAGAAAATTGTTCCTGCTTAATTTAAGCGAGTCACAGATCCCACCCCGGTTTCCAGCCACGGGTTTAGACATGTGCCCAAACCTGGCCAATGAGATGGGAAGGCAGTGTCTGCTCAGGGACTTCTGGGAAATGACTCCTCCCTATAAAGAAGAGCTATGGGAAGAGACTATCCCTTCTTGTCTGGCACATTGTGGAGTCTGCTACGAAGCCTAGAACTGCAGCAGTCATCTTGCTATCGTCCAAGACTAAGCCTGGAACGGAAAAAAGAGATAGAGCTGAGGCCCTGAAGCTTGCAGCCAACCTGTCTCTGGCCTTCCAATTATGTGAGATAACAATAATCTTTATCATTTAGGCCACTTTGAATTGGGTTCCTGTTAAATCACATCCTAATGGCTAAACGGAATTTCTTAAAACCCCCAACCCTGCGTATGAGAAATGTGAAATCAGAGAGAGAAATTTTTATTATTGTAAGAGTTGATGCTTTAGAATTTTTTCTAGGAAGAAAATGGTTTTGTTGAGGAAAACACCTTGAGAACTATTAGGGCAAGAAGAGGAGCTTCAAAGATCTGAGTGTCAGCTGGGAAAGAGGTGTCAGGTGGGGGACAGCTCTGTGTTGTAAAGGAGGAAGGGAGACAACACTCTGGAGGAAGACATGACAGAAATAAGAAAGAGACACCAACGAGAAGGCTTTGGGGTTTGTGAGGTGACCCCCTCCCTCTGCTAAGTTCATAAATACTCCCTGTGAGTGGATTCCTTGTAGTCCTAGTGAAGGGATGAATTGTGCATACAGGAAACATGAGCATTTGGATCAGAGATGGCTTGCACAGTTGCAAGAGCCCAGAAGGATAAGCACCATGAGGAGTCACAGTAGACTTGGGGAATGCTTTGGACTTACCTAGACTGTGGAATTTGGGATTGGGAGCAATCTTTCCCAAAGCTCAAATACTAAGGGGGGACCTGACAATTAGGTTACAAGGGCAAGTTTTTCACTCCATTTGAAAAGAAGGCCAATGGCTTCATCAAAGCCTCTCTGGATTGTAGCTCATCAGTAGAGGTACAAAAATCCTAGAGAATATGAACAAAAAAAAAAAAGAAAAAAACAAATAAACCAAAACCCAATTTCAATGTCCAGCATTTGAAGAATGGAGTATCTCTGAGAGGTGGAGTAGCTGGAGATACTAAACAAATTAGAGCCATTCCTACAGAGCCAGCAATGAAGAAGCTAGTGCAGTTGGAAAAGTGTGGGCCTAGCTGCCACTGGCTTCAGGAGAAGAGGTGGGTCCTCGTCTTTTTGCCAGACCTGGCCAGATGGAAGTGCACCATCTGCCTGGCCCCTGCATCTGCATGTAACAAGGCATCTGCTGAGGCTATCCAAAACTAGCACAGCCTCATAGATGAAGCTGAGTGGCTGCCCGCCAGTCCCCATTCCTATTTCATGGGAAGAGCAATGAAATCATTAGAAGACCCAAGACATGTCTCTAAGGATGACAGAGGATCCCAAAGGGCCCAAGACCGGCTGGCACTTCCATATCTTTCTCACAACGGAATCCTGGGCCTTGGAAAATGTGGATGACTTTGGTGAAGAAGCAGTGGCTACAGAGATCAGGCTGGAGGATGGAATTTGCGATTCTTGCACCATACCACCTGAATAAGGGCAAACCTGGAAGCCACAAGCTAGCCTAGACACTGGCTGATCTGACCAAGAGACCTGAGTATGCAGCTGAATGGAGAAAATGCCTGGTCAAAGCTGCACAGCTAGGCAGGGCCAATAACAGAGCACCTGGCTCCAGGATACCTGCCTGGAGTTCCAGCTATTGCCGACTGGGCTTCCCTGCCTCATGCTCACCACTTAAGATGCTCTACCAACTTAGTTCATGCAGGTGAGGGACATGAAATAATTGTTGCTTACCAGTACATCACTGCATATACCAGCCAGAATCCTTGGTGTGACCTGCCACTGGGTCACATCCAATAGCTCCTGCTCAGCTACGGGGTAGGAGGGGGAAGACCCTTCTGCTTGTCCTGCTCTAAGTAACCATTCGTCTGCTCTTATTCCTCATCTGTGAAACCCACCCCAGCCATCTTAATGTTCGCCTCGTCTCTCTCCTGGACTGTTGCCGCAGCCCGTAATGTGGTTTTCCTGCCTCCAGCTCTACTATATAAATCCATGGCACAGAAAGATGCCTGGTGAATCTTCTGAAAGCATTCTGATCAGATTGTTAACTTGGTCCAGATCTCTAGATGTTGTCTTCGTTGCTTATAGAATGAAATCTAAATCATTCCATGGGACACCCAAGATCCTACATGATCCAGGCCCAACTTTCCTTTCGAATTTCATCTTTCACCCTATCCCTAGCACCATCCTATGCTCAAGCCACACCTGAATACCTACCCTTCTATAACGCCCTGCATGTTTCAACCTTCCCAACTTTGCTCTTTCATTCTTTCCACTCCTCCCTCTTCACTCATTGAAATCCCATCCATTCCTCACAATTCAAAACAAATACCACCTCCTCCATGGGGCTTCCAGGTGCCTTAATTGGAAGTAACCGCTCTTTTCTCTCTGCCTCTTGGTACTTCCCATCACCTAAATAGCTGCCCTTGTTGCTCTCTGCCTATGCTTCAGTGAATGCTTTTCCACGTCTTTTTTTAACCCTCACTTGAATGTAAACTCCTTGAAGTCTGGATCATATATTATTATTCAGCTGTAATTGCTAGCATGATGTGGATACTCAATAAATATCTGCTGAATCAGAGCTGAGCTAGAAGATGAAATTAGAAAGAAAATTCCAATTTCCCTTAATAGAAGAGAGAGAAGAGAGAGGCCCTGTGTCCTCCACAAAACTAGCACAGCCTCATAGATGAAGCTGAGAGCAAAGTAACAGCAGCCTCGGGCTTGGCCATTCCCCAGGGGCTCACTAGGAATCCCCAGCTGTCTCCAGCCTCACAAATCCTGCTGCAACATTCAGAGACAGATCCTTGACCTGGTGAGAAGTAGACACGACACCTTTCCAAACTACAGGTCATCTGGGTGCTGAGCTGCTGAGACATTGACACCAAAAGTGCATGTCCTAGGCTGGGTGCAGTGGCTTATGCCTATAATCCCAGCACTTTAGGAAGCCAAGGTGGGTGGATCGCTTGAGGTCAGGAGTTCAAGACCAACCTGGCTAACATGATGAAACCCCCTATCTATTAAAAATACAAAAATTAACTGGGCATGGTGGCGCGTGCCTGTAACTCCAGGTATTTGGGAGGCTGAGGCATAAGAATCATTTGAACTCAGGAGACAGAGGTTGCAGTGAGCCGAGACAGTGCCACAGCACTCCAGCCTGGGTGACAGAGTAAGACTCTGTCTCAAAAAAAAAAAAAAAAAAAGAAGTGCATGTCCCACAGACACTCAAGCTCCCCACTCTTGGGCCTTACTTTCAGAGCGGTTTTCCTGAATATGGCTCCCCTTGGAGGTGGGGGAAGGGAGAATCAGCCAAGACATTAGGCTTCAGCTAACCCTGCCAAGATGGACTGGGTGTGCAGAAGACTTATTGGTCACGGAAGCTCTTCTGTTCCACCTGCATCACACCCAGTGTCCCTTGGGCTTTCCACTTCCCCATTGCCTTCCATGTGGCATAAGAAAGGCTGCTTATCAGCTGCTGGGCGCTGCTTCTGTGGGAATCCAGCTCTCCTACAGAACAGGGAGGGAGATGGAGGCTTCCCTAGGGCTGCCATCCCCTCCACTTCTTAGGGAAAGAATTCCCAGTCAGACTGGAATTTGCAGTGAGGCATGAAGCATCTTCATAGTGGCTTGGGTTGGAGGTAGGGTCCGAAGGAGGCCCCAGACCCTAAGGATCCAACATGGGCACCTGGCTCAGGTGTAGCCTGCATGACACTTGGGAGCCCATCACTGCCACCACAGTTTAGAGAAAAAGGGGTGGGGGACTTTTTTAGCATTTGGCTTCTACACATGGACTTGGAGGCTGGTGGGGCCACCAACTGACCTGTTACTACCAGTGTGTGACTGATACAACAGATATCTCAAGGAGAATGCAGCTTACTGGAAAAGGCTGAATGGTTACCATTTAGTTCCACTAAAATCCCATCAATAACCAGGGCTTTAGTAAAACTGATGACAAATAGTGACAGCTTATTATTATGGGTTGAATTGTGCCACCCCCAAATTCATATGGTGAATCCTATCCATCAGCACCTCAGAATGTGACCTTATTTGGAAATAGGGTTGTTGCAGATGTAATTAATTAAGATGAGGTCATTAAGAGAGGATCTAATCCAATATGACTGATGGATGTCCTAACTTAAAAAAAAAAAAAAAAAGGAAATGTGGACACAGAGACACACATACAGGGAGAAGACGGCCATCTCCAAACCACGGAGAGAGGCCTGGAACAGATGCTTAACTAACAGCCCTCAGATGGAACCAACCCTGGGGACACCTTGATTTTGAACTTCCAGCCTCCAGAGCTGTGAGATGATAAATTTCTGGTTGTTTAAACGCCCAATTTGCAGTGCTTTGTTATGGCAGCCACAGGAAACTAACACACTTTAAAAATCCTCGCTGTAAATCATGCTCACTTATTTCAGTCATCCTTATGACAACTCAGTGAGCGAGATATTTTTATTTAGCCTCATTTTCCAAATAAGAACTGCGAGGCTCTGAAGAGTTAAGAGATTCATCCAGGGTATTAAGTGGATGAGCCATTATTTGAACTTCGCTGCTTGACTGTGAAGTCTGCTTGACTCTGAAGTCCCTGTTCTTTTCTCTACACCAGCCATTGCTGCCTTAGACAGAAGGGATGTCCTTATGAGTGATGCTACCATGCATCCTGGGCTCCAGTGAGCCATGCCTGGTGGTTGTACTTCCCGTGTAGATGTGCCCAATTCATTGTATTGTAAACACAAACGGGCTTCCTGCCCAGACCACTCTGGACAGACGACCACCGGCAGTTCCCAGATGGCCACACAGGAGCTGGGGCCGACAGCCCAGTGAGGGATGACAATTGTGGCCCAGCTGGTAGAAGGATGCTTGAAGGTGAGGCCAGTATTCAAGGATCTGGCAGGTTGGGTCACTGTTCTGTAGAGGGAGTGGCCTGGGCACTAAGAGAAGCCTGTGAGGATCCTGGGTAGGCAGGAGACAGGTGAGCAGTTATGTGGGATGGGGCCTGAGGAGATACAAGCGCAAGACAAGGGGCAAAAAGGCAGGATCTGGGACCCACAGAGACCAGGGAAGCTGCAATTCAAGGTCAGAGTGACCCAGGGCTGACCAGAAGGTGGGATGTGTGGGAGGCCACAGGAGCCCCTCAGGGAAGACGCTGCCCTAAAGTCAGAGGAAACTGGTCTCTGAGGATGATTCCTTGGGTCTTTGGTGGGAATGAGATAGAGAAGAGCAGGCGCTTCTTGCCTAACTTCCAGAGAAGTAACTACTGTTGGACAAATGAAGCAAAGGGGACCAACCCTGTGCAAGGCAGTTCACTCAACGGCAGGCATAGAGCTGCTGTGGGCTTTCATGTGGCTTTCGTGTGGGCTTTCACATCTTCTGGCCCTGTGATGTCTGGTTCAAGTCCAAGGATCATGAAAGGCCTTTAACGGCTGCTGGGCAGAACACTCCCCTCATTTCTCTTCTGATTCCAGGCCCTGACTTCCTGGCAGATAGCATACCAACTGGCCCAGCAGATGTGCTCCAGCCCCTTCCTGAGGTTCCCCTGCCACTATCAGCCAGCCACCATTGCTTCCTCAAGTGCCTAGGGCTTCCAATATGGGCTTCCAGGCTCACCAGATGCGACCCAGGCCAGCCTCAGGAAGTGGGTGCAGGGGACTTGCTTCCCCTCTGAGCTCCACTCACCCATCTTCCCACCATGCCAGTGGGAAGAAATTTTTTGGCCAGGCATGGTGGCTCATACCTGCAATCCCAGCACTTTAGGAGGCTGAGGCAGGTAAATTACTTGAGGCCAGGAGTTTGAGACCAGCCTGGCCAACACAGCAAAACTTTGTCTCTACTAAAAATACAAAAATTACCTGGGCGTGGTGGCACACACCTGGAATCCCAGCTACTCCAGAGGCTGAGGCACGGGAATCACTTGAACCCAGGAGACAGAGGTTGCAGCGAGCCAAGATCATGCCACTGCACTCCAGCCTGGGCAACAGAGTGAGACTAGGTCTCAAAAAATAATAATAACAATAAAGAAAGAAAGAAAAATAAAATTTCTGTAAAAGGCAACATTTCAGAATCCCATTTTAAGTTGAACCTATAGCAGGGTGGCAAATAAATCCCATCAACCATCCAATTCTGACTGATTGGTGACAGCTGCCTGTAGCACTGTGTTAAGAAGATTCCGAATCAGCTTCTGGGCTCAGCAAGAAATACTTCCGTGATCAATCAGGGACATTTGCCAAAAGAGTGAATGTGGGGAGTGGGGCAGAGGCATCACATGCTTGTAATTCCCTGTCTGTGGCTCTCCTAGTATTTGTGGCCACTCTCTGTTTTTGTTCTTGTTTTTGTTTTTTGTTTTTTGTTTTTGAGATGGAGTTTCACTCTTGTTGCCCAGGCTGGAGTGCAATGGCACGATCTCAGCTTACAGCAACCTCTGCCTCCCGGGTTCAAGCGATTGTCCTGCCTCAGCCTTCCCAAGTAACTGGGATTACAGGGATGAGCCACCACACCCAGCTAATTTTGTATTTTTAGTAGAGATGGGGTTTCTCCGTGTTGGTCAGGCTGGTCTCGAACCCCCAACTTCAGGTGATCCACCTGCCTCGGCCTCCCAACGTGCTGGGATTACAGGCGTGAGCCACCGCGCCCAGTGTGGCCGCTCTCTGTATGCATGCCTGACCCCTAAGCTTGTCGGCCCTGTGGGGCTGGGCGCTGAGGTTGATGCCTGAGTCAGCTCAGCCTCCTTGGCATTTCAGTGCAGCACAAGGGCTGGCACACAGCAGGCCGCCATATTCATGTGCTGTTCTGCCAGACGTTGTGAAGATCATCTCCATTCTCAGATTTCAGAAACGCATATCCTAAACTATGGTTTCTTTCTACCTCCCCACACAGAGAAACATAAGTAGCAGCATAATTCTTACAGACCTGGAAATAACAATTTAACAAACAACGTCCCAAGAGCTATAGTGCATCCTTGAGATATTAGGTGGGGAATATGTTCATTCATGGATTTAGTAAACTTGTTGAAGATGTGAGGGCTGTGGGGAGGACCACTGTGGGGAGGGCACTCATATTCCATCTTGTCAGCAACCTCTTCCTTCCCCCATTCTCCCTCCACCCCAGGGAGCCTCAGAAGCTCCAGATTCCCTCCCCTCTATTGGAAAGAGTAATTCAGCTCTCCATTACTCTGTCCCCAACCCTCACCATCCAAACCCTTCTAGGTGCTCAGCGGAACTCCCCATTCAACACCCATACTCTTCACTCTACAGAAGTTTCTTCCTCTTGCATATACTATGATATATTTCACAGCTCTTAGAAAAATGAGTGAGTTCTTTCCGTACATACATGAAAAAAGATGAACAGAAGAAAAAAACAGCCAGGTTGCAGGGCAACATATAAAGTGTGATACTTCTATATCCATGCGGTCTGGCAGGCTACATGTCAAACTGTTAGCCATAGTTACCTGCAGGGAGGAAATGAGACTGGGGGGTAGGCTGTCAAGAACATTGTGTTTTTACTCCATATAATTGTACTGTTTAAACTTTTTTTAGTAATGAAAATGTATTAGTTGTGTAATTAGAAACAAAAAAGACAGGATTTCAGCATGGGAAAAGCAGGTCAAGGAATGCCAAGGCCCTGCCTTCTTGAAGAAGTAAATTTCTACACTCAGCTGGTTTGCTTGAGGGCAGCTGCTCATTTATCCCCAACTGCCTCAAGAAACAGAGAAAAGGAGGGCCTTCCTGTTGGAGATGTTGCTTGGAGAGCTGGGCTTAATGCGCCTGCATTAAATGCTCTTGCATTACTGCTGGGTAACAACCCTTCTCTCTCTCGGCTGTGGGGTGCAGCCTTTCCAGATCACTTGCTTGCATGCAGGCCAACTAGGGTGGTCCAGGCCTGGAAGACTGCTTTTTGTTTGTTTGTTTGTTTGTTTGTTTTTGAGACAGGGTCTTGGTCTGTTACCCACGCTGGAGTGCAGTGGTGCAAACATGGCTCACTGAAGCTGAGTAGCTGGGATCACAGGCACATGCCATCATGCCCAGCTAATTTTTTAATCATTTGTAGAGGCAGGGTCTAGCTATGTTGCCCAGGCTGATCTCAAACTCCTGGGCTCAAGGAATCCTCCTGCCTTGGCCTCCCAAAGTGCTAGGATTACAGACATGAGCCACCATGCCCAGTCAAAGCTACTCTTTGATGAGCTCTTCTTCCTCAGGTGTGACCCGTGCCAGAGACTCTGGGGTTCACCAGGACCACAAGCTTCTCTTTGATGAGGAGAGGTAAGGGGGCTCTGAACTGCAGGTGTCCTTCCTCACCTTCCTCAGTGAGATTAGTCGGACTTGGCCAAACCAAAACCAGTAACGCTGATGAGAACAGGGAACTCCCAGCCTTAGTTCTATTTTGTCCACCCTTGATTCCTTCTCCTTTTGTGCACCATGCCTCAACTCATAGGAAACAAAGAGGATGGATGAGTCAACAGGCTGTGGTTTTTAACCACATTAATGGATCAGAGAAGACAAGAGACTTGAATGCCCTCCCACATTAGATGAGAAAGAGGTTCCCTCTCGGGAGAGGAAAATGCCTCTTAAGTTAGCGCTGGTTGGGGAAAAGAGGCCTCAGTTCCTTGACATGTAGATCCCTCCAGAGGGCTGCTTGAGTGTCCTCACAACATGGCAGCCGGCTTCCCCCAGGGCTGGTGATCCAAGAGAGACCAAGTCGTATCTTTTATGACCAGTCTCAGGGTCACGCATCACTTCCACCACATTCTATTCATTAGAAGCGAGTCAGTAAGTCTAGCCTATACTCAAAGGGAGAGGAATTAGGTTCTACTTTTTGAAGAGAGACATAGGCAGGTCTGAATGCAGTGGTGTTTACAACTGATTGATCACAACTAGTTACAGATTTCTTTTTTTCTTCTCTCCTCCCACTGTTTCATTTGACTAGCCTTAAAAAAAATGAAGAGAGAAGTATCAAAACATTTGTGGGCATGTTTTAAAACCACTACAGATATGACTTATCTGGCTTTGTACTAGGTGCTAGAGACATAGAAATGAATCAAAATCCCTGCCCTCAAGAAACTCTCAGCTTAACACAGGAGACTGATATGTTACCTGGATTACAATAAACCAGGGATCACAGGGAGGAAGTTTTCTACTGGGGTGGGGGCAGGTGACAGTGAGATAGGAGTCTCAGTGGGGACCTTGATGTGGGCCTTGGAGCATGAGTAGGAGTGTGTTAACCAAGGTGAACTGATGCTCGGCACCCATGCCTACCTCCTCCTGGTGAGCCTTCCTGCACTGCAGAGGCTCATGAAAGAAAACTACATCCCCCAGACGCCTTGCAGGCAACCCTTCCGAGAGGATTTAGGTCCTGCCAATGAGATGTGCTAAAGCAAGACATGGAGGGCAGAAGTCAGGCGTGGGCTGAGCTCCCATGCCTTTTGCTATTTCTTCTGACAAGCTCTGACGTGGAGGTGTGTGCTTTCTTGGCATCATACGTGGCAGCAACCCCATTGTTCAGATCCCGACTCAAGGGTGTCCAGAGAAAGAGTGGGACATCCTTTCACTATGAGATTGTGGCTAGTATGGCATGGCTGTGGGGTGGCACTTGTACAGAGTAGTCGGGTGGCTTCCTGAGAGTAGAAAATGCTCAGACCTGGTGGGGTGCAGTCCCAGTACTTCGGGAGGCCAAGGCAGGTGTATCACTTGAGGTCAGGGATTCAAGACCAGCCTGGCGAACATGGTGAAACACCATCTCTACTAAAAATACAAAAATTAGCTGATTGTGGTGGCATGCACCTATAATCTCAGCTACTCAGGAGGCTGAGGCAGGAACCACTTGAACCTGAGAGGTGGAGGTTGCAGTGAGCTGAGATCACGCCACTGCACTCCAGCCTGGGTGACAGAGGAAGACTGTCTCAAAAAAAAAAAAAAAAAAAAAAAAATTCTCAGACCTTCCACAACCCCTTCTAGAGTTGGAGGGTTGTGGGGGTACTCAAAGCACACAGATACCTTTCATCAAATTCTTCCTCCAATGCCTGCTTCTCCTGGCCACCTTTACTTCAACTCTTTTATATCCTTAAGTGTGTGAGGGGCATAGGTGATCTTACCTTGGAAAGTTCAGGGATTTTGGAGCCTCAGCTGCAACTGAGAGTTACACAGTTCCATTTTAACAACCAATTACTCCAAGTTAAAACTCATAAAATGCCAACCAAAAATTAATCTGGCCCCCTCCAGTCTTTTATTGTCTCCCTTACTGAACTCATCCACACACCCACACACCATGCTGTCAGCCAAATAGAAGTGTCACTGGATTAATTTCAGAGATAAATATGGGAACTTTAGAAAGTTTACAAGCTCAGCAGTTGTCAGGAACCCAGCTTTGCTTTGCCGACATTTGCCCATGGTTTCTGGCCTGAGATGTGCAGGTTAGAACAGAGCTCATCTCCCACCAGCCCTGAGCTGCTGAGATACAGACTCATGATGGGGTTTTTATTATCATTCTTGTCTTAAGGCATCACCATCACATACCAGCTTTCATGGGGCTCTCACTCTCCAGCACCACCCCCGCACACACCCACACACTGCCCTAGACACTCTTTGGAGCCTGACATCCCCACATTCACTTGATAAATATTTACAGCTTAAGAGACAGCAGGCTGGAAAGCACATGGCAGCCATGGATCCCACCCACAGTGGGACTCACTTGGTGTCGGCTTGGCTTGTAAACCTCTCTGAATGCAGGGCAAGGCGTCCTGGGGAAGAAGCTATAAACAAGCATTGCTTGGCTGAACCCCTAATTGACAGAATCTTGAAACCAGAGACTGAGTCTAGGTTTCCTGCATAGCCCATGAGCTTTAGATCTCGGTGGGTGCACACCCTCAATGGAAGACAAGCTTGAGGATAAGATGGATTTTACTTTTGAAAGATGACTCTCCTTTGCATGTAAGTCAAGAAACAATATCCAGACATCCCCCAAAGGACTTCCTCATGCAGATTCTCAACATTTTCTAGGTCCTGGACTCATTTGAGAATATGATTAAAGTTGTAGGTACTCTACCCAGAAAAAAAATGCACGAAGGCACATACACACAGCACTTGCATGTAATAACTTTAAAGATTGAAAGATGAATTAGATCCAAGCCTCTGCCTTCCAGGAGCTGACAGTCTTGCAGAAAAGGTAAACAACAATAAGCAAAATGCGTGTCAATATAGATGAGAAAGTGACTCACACTTTGAAGGGCTGTGGAGCTTATGTATTTTGAGTTCAGGGAGACGGAGATCAGGTTGTGAGGTAAAGAGCCCAGCAGAGGGCAAAGGACTCAGCCCTAATTGCTATTCAGGTGTACTCCAGCTGTCTGCAGAGGGCCTCTGCTCCTCAGTACCTAAGTGAGATGGCCTTAGACTTCTGAATCCCATGGACTGGAGATTCAACACCCTCCCCAGTACATCTGCTGGTCCCCTGGGAGGACTCGTAGTCTCCTGGTCTTTTTACCTCTCAAAACTCTGGCCTCCTCTCACATCCCTTCTGTCCCCATAGTACGTTCTCCCCAACATAAAATTCAGTCACTTCGTTCATTTCCACAACAAAAAGTTGACCACCGCAAGCATTTACACAGGCTTTGCAGAAAAATGGGGTGGAGGTGGGGTTCCTGGAAAAGGGCCATATAATACCACACCTCGCTTTTGCCATCTGCTGAGTCCTTCTGCCTTCTCTCCATACTTTTGTCTCTTTTCTCCTCTTTTTCAGGAGCAACTCAAAAAGTTCCTAAAGCTTTAGTGTGAGAGGACACTGAGGGCTGGGGTGGGAGTGAGGTGGGGGGTGTGTGAGTGGGGGGAACTACCCTCCTTGCAAGCCCTTATCAAGGCATCTTTCCAAAACACACAGACTGATTGCTCCAAGAGGAATTTGGCAATAAAAATCTCTCCATGCCACTTATATTGGTTAGCTGAAAAGACAAAATCCACTCTGGCCAGATTAAGCAAGAGAGGATTTATGACAGAGTATTAAGTGTCTTACAAAACTACTAGGAGGGATTTAGAAGAGACTTTAAGTTGAGATTTCAGCAAGGCTTACCCAAATGAAACCTGGGTCACGTGCCAATAAGGGGGCTGCTAGGTCGCCTCTGACCAGGACCGGCCCCCAGCAGAATGGATGCCCCTCGCCTCCCAACGTCATGAGGACGGTGACAGGGCTGCAGTGCCAGTCCCCTCACGGCAGTGCCCGCAGAAACAGCGGGAGCAGCAGGCAAGGGTCTTCGTTGGCTTCCGCCCAAATCTCACACAGTGCGTCTGATTCGCTGAGCCTTAACGCCCTCGGACCCCTGACCGCATGGGAATCTGGGAAACGTAGTTTTTAGCTTTCCAGCCTTCGCACTACCGGAGAGTTCACTAGAAGGCAGACGTAATAAAGGTTGAGTGTCAATCTACTGTGTACAGATAAACCACACCATATCATTTTGAATGGGGGGAGAGAGGAAGAAGGTGGGGGGGAGAAGAGAATTCGCTTTTATTAGGCACCTACTGTAAACGACGTAACTTATATCCCTCAATTCCTATAACACGATGAGTAGGCCTTATCACCACATTAAAGATATGGGAACTAAGGCTTACAGAGAATAAGGTTTTTTTGCGGGTTTTGTTTTTTTTTTGTTTTTTATTTTTTTGAGACAGGGTCTTGCTCTGTTACCCAGGCTGGAGTGCAGCAGCACGATCACAGCTCACTGCAGCCTCAATTTCTCAGGCTCAAGCGATCCTCCCACCTTAGCATCCTGAGAAGCTGGGACCACAGGTGCACACCATCATGCCCAGCTAATTTTTAAATTACTTGTAAAGATAGGGTCTCATAATGTTGCTCAGGCTGGTCTGAAACTCCTGGGCTTAAGTGATCCTCCCACCTTGGCCCCCCTAAAGCACTGGGATTACAAACATGAGCCACCACACCCAGCCCATACAGAGGATGTCACCTTTCCTCCAGTCACATCAATACAGCTGCATCCCAGGACAGTAGGGGAAACTCCAAAAATCGTACAAGCTAAGGAAAGGTAGCTTAGCTTATAGATCCATCTATTAGGAATTCCAAAAGTTCCACACGGTCCCCACTTTGCTGTCCTCTGTGCACAAGTTCCTCCTATTCTGACCATCCTGATCGTCTCAGGACCCACCTCGTCTTCCAGCTTCTGTCTGAGGCAGCCATCAGGGTGACACTCTGCTGGGCTGGCATGCCCACTGACACCCTTCCAGAAGCATAGAGGCAGCTTCTCAGAGGACTTCTTCTGGTAGGAGCTTGTGGCTGTTTCTTACAACATCATGGATGATTCAGGAACATGGGTGTGCAGTGGCTTCATAACTCCAATCCCAACCTCAGCCTCTGCAGAGCTGTCCTGCAGCCTCATTTTTGTCCCCCACACATTTCATCACAAGAGAGTAGTCTCCACCTTCCCCACTCAAGCAGTGGCTTTGGGTTTGAAGTCGGCTTGTCTGTCAGTTGCCAACCATGCTACAAACTTGACTAATCTCTGAGCTCCAACCTCAGGGCCCCCACTTGTAGTTTCTCAGAGAAGTCAGACTTGTCTTCCTCAGACGTATATGGGCCTCCCAAGTGGGCTTCAATTCCTCAGAACCTTCCTCGATGTTCTTTTGTGCAGAGAATAACAGAGGCCGGTCTCTTCACAAGCCTAACATGAGAACCTAATGGGGCCAGGCGCGGTGGCTCATGCCTGTAATCCCAGCACTTTGGGAAGCCAAGGTGGGCAGATTATTTGAGGTCAGGAGTTCGAGACCAACCTGGCCAATATGGTGAAACCCCATCTCTACTAAAAATACAAAAATTAGCCAGGTGTGGTGGCGGACACCTGTAATCCCAGCTACTTGTGAGGCTGAGGCAGGAGAATCGCTTGAGCCCAACCCAGGAGGTGGGGAGGTGGAGGATGCAGAGAGCTGAGATCTTCCCACTGCACTCCAGCCTGGGCAACAAGAGTAAAACACCTCGAAAAAAAAAAAGAACCTAATGGGATAATTATGAGATGCCCTCATACATGTTTAGACCTCAGTAAATCCCAATTGTTTGCCTCTACTCCCTTCCTGTGGTAGGCCACTTCTGAAATGGTCTTGATGATCTGGATAGTCATGAAACCGCCTTTGCAAAAATTTTAACTGAGAAATTTATGACAGTGAAAGAGATCTGACCTAACTGACTCCATCTTGCTTCTAACCTCCAAGCTGTCCGTGTTCATTCCTGGGCACAGGCCGAACTAACTTTGGGAGGAAGTCAGTTTATAGTTTAACTTTGAAATAAAGATGATAACAGCCCTTTCCCAAAACAAACCCCCTTCCTGCCTGGGAACTAGACTGCCTTTGCAGGACTAACAAATTTGCCACAAGATTAGAAATTGTGGTTTAGGAGTCATGCAGCTGGAGGCTGTAAGATTCTGAACCTTCCCAAATTGCATCCTGGGGCTAACATCACTATTGTAAAGCCTAAGATCAGTGTTTGAGATATTTTGCAGACCCTGCCCTCAAAGGATGAGCTGGTACCACCCAGATTGATAAACTGGCTCATCCAGTCATGTGGCCCCTACCCAGGAACTGACTCAGTGCAAGAGGACAGCTTCAACTCCCTATGACTTCATATCCCACCTGACCAATCAGCACTCCCCACTTCCCGACACCCTACTCGGCAAATTATCATTAAGAACCCCAATCCTCGAGTTTTCAGGGAGACAGCTTTGAGTAATAATAAAACTCTGGTCTCCCACACAGCTGACTCTGTGTGAATTAAACTCTTTCTCTATTGCAATTTCCCTGTCTTGATAAATTGGCTCTGTCTAGGCAGCAGGCAAGGAGAACCCAATAGGCAGTTACAGTCACATCTTGGTGTGTCCCCTCATGTGTGTGTGTGTGTGTGTGTGTGTGTGTGTGTGTGTACTGTACAGAGTGAGTTGCTTCTAACATAATAGGACTAAAGTGATGGGGTGTCACTTCTGAGATTAGGCTATAAAGGACTATGACTTTCATCTTCCTTGCATCTTCTCTCTCTCTCTCTCTTTCTCTCTCTCTCTCTCCCTGCTAGCTAGGGAGTCAAGGGGGGGTACCCAGGACACAGAATTGAAGAAGACACTCCTTCTCTGGCCCATGCAAGTGCAGGGTCAGCACCTGAGAGTGAGTGTCTCTTCAAATGCTGTGCCCCGAGTGCCTTGCCTGCCTCACCTTCCTTCTAGCCAGCTCCCAGGGCAGACCTGACCTGCACCCCTATCCCAGCCTTGACAATCTCTGAACAGGTCCTGGCCAAGCATGGTGATCAGATTTCCTACCTCCTCCAGCTTGATTTCTGGGCCAGATGTCAGAGATAGGGGGCACCCGGATCTCTGAGAACCAGCTCTTCTGTGCCAGGCTTCCTGGCACCGAAAAACCAAATATATTTCAATCCCTCTGTCCTCATGTCTCCATGATGGATACTGGTCTTTTGTATAGTCAGCAGGTCCTTCTCCTTTCATACCAATAGACAATGACAGAGGTAGTCCGAGTCGAAGCCCACCGCACTTCCCACCAGCTTGCTCCCAAGCGCCAAAAACAGAAAAAAGCACTGTGCATGAGCTGCTTTCCCGTGCCCTCTCAGTATGGCGTAGTATATGAGCATGGCAACGTTTACCAGGAGGGGATTTTAGAATGCCTCCGAATCTTCCAAGCACTATGTATTTTAATGTGTATGATGACAGCTATCATTTGAGGGATGCTAGGCACTATGCTAAGTGCTTTACTTGTGGTTTTTGGTTTGATTTCCTCAAAGACCTTAGGAGGTAGGTCTCATTTTTAAGGTCTTAATAGGTTTATTAACCTATTAAGTTAATAGGTTAATAGAAACTCAAGTCTTAATAGGTTTATTAACTTGTGTGAGATCACGGTTAATACACCGTGGCCCTGGGACTTGAATTCAGTCTAGCTGGGCTCTAAGCCTGTGTGCCCAGCACTATGCCACACTGCCTCCCCAGCAGAGTTTGACTTTCCAAGGCCCACTGGGCTTCTCCTTCCTACCATGATCAGAATCCTGGTATAAGAGTTTCTCTGCCAGGTGCAGTGGCTCACGCCTGTAATCCCAGCACTTTGGGAGGCAGAGGTGGGCAGATGACCTGAGCCCAGGAGTTCCAGACCAGCCTGGCCAACATGGCAAAACCCCATCTCTACTAAATACAAAATTAGCTGGGTGGCGGCTTGCACCTGTAGTCTCAGCTACTCGGGAGGCTGAAGCACAAGAATCACCTGAACCCCAGAGGTGGAGGTTGCAGTGAGCCAAGATCGTGCCACTGCACTCCAGCCTGGGCAACACAGTGAGACTCTGTCTCAGAAAAAAAAGAGTTTCTCTATTCTCCCCATCCCCCCTCTGTCACTCCCATGAAAGTTTAACTAAACATGAGAAGTTAAGTAAACATACAAATAAAACTTGCCTTCTACCTCTTTAACATGTCCCTTCCCGAGAAGCCCACCTAGACCAAATCACAGGCAGGAGGCCGCTATGGGGGTGGCAAATGGCATTCTGTTCTGGAAGGGCAACCACAAACTTTAGAGCCAAGAAGCCCTGGCTTGGAAGCCCAGTTCCACCCCTTTGTAGCTGAGTGGGTGATTCTGTCTCTGAGCCTCATTCATAATCTGTAAAATGGGGAAAGCAATGCTCACTTTTTAGGGTGCTTAATTCACTCATTAAATGAATACATTTAAATATATATAATATATACTGATATAATTGAATATATTATATATATAAATAATAATCCTGTGCCCTGAGAGCCACCATGTCAGCCTAGGTTTCCTGCTCTTTGAAATTTCCAAACATTGGCTGGAATCTCATCTTGGCCTCTGCAAGGAACAAGATCTATTTAGAGATTTGTTACAGATTTCAATTGTGTCACTTTCCTTTTTAAGGCAAAGCGGCTACAGTGGGCCATGGTTTTAAATACTATTTTCTTCTTCTCTGTTATATGCATAAGGCTCCAAGAACTGTGTCAGGTGCATGCGGTTACTTTGAGGACCAAGAGGACAAAGGAGGGGGAGGAAGGAGCAGTCCTCCTTAAAGAGGAGGCTGGACCCCTCCTGGGCTTTCCCATAAAAAAGTTCTGGGAGCAGTAGATCCATTCTGAGATTTTCAGGTATAAGAAACAGAAAATGGCCGGGCGCAGTGGCACCCACCTGTAATCCTAGCTATTCAGGAGGCTGAGGTGGGAGGATTGCTTGAGCCCATGAGTTTGAGCCTATAGTGAGCTATGATCATACCACTGCACTCCAGTCTGGGTGACACAGTGAGATGAAAGAAAGGAAGGAAGGAAGGGAGGAAGGGAAAGAAAATCCAACTTGAATGCCTTAAACAACCAAAACAATGTATTGGTTTACAAAATCTAAAGTTTAGAGGTAACGTGGGCTTCTGGCACGGGCTGTTGAGAGCTCCCAGTGTTTTGGGGGCTGCAACTCTGCTTGTCTGAAAGTTTCTCACCTCTGCCTCCCAGTCAGCTTTTTCTAAACCAGCCTTTCCTTGAGGTAGCACAAGGCAGCTGACAGCGTCCAGGGCTCAGCGCTTCCTCACTCATGTCTGGGGGATCAGTGTGGTTGTATGCCCACCCCTAAAACAATCGCAGTGGCCAAGGGAATGCCAAGGGGGCAGGGATTATGTTGATGGGTTTAGGCCAATTGGAACTGACCCCTGAAACTAAGAGTTGGTTTGATCCTAGACTTAAACCACAATAGGATGGGGGAACCTGCAATGGCAACTGCAGATATTCACCCCAAAGACCCTTCTTCAGTGTGGGTGTGGGTGTGGGTGTATTGTGTTGTGTCAGTGTGTATGTGTGATGTGTCAGTGTGTGAGGTGTGTGTTTGTGGGTATGAGAGTGTATTGTACACATGATGTGACTGTGTAAGCATGTATGTTGTGATTGTGCATATAAGTGTGTGTGTATGTTTGTATTAGTTGAGAAGACCATATGCTGGACTAAGTGTGCCTTGCATTATTTTTTAAAATTTTATTTTATTTTATTTTATTTCAATAGTTTTTGGGGTATAGGCGGTTTTTGGTTACATGGATAAGTCCATCAGTGGTGATTTCTGACATTGTATTGCACCCGTCACCCCAGCAATGTACACTGTACCCAATATGTAGTCTTTTATCCCTACTCCCCTCCCAACCTTCCCTCCACCCCCACCAGTCCCCATTGTCCATTATATAATTCTTGTTGGGGCCTTCCATTCTGACTCTGCTGCTACCACCTTGCTGGCCCCCAAGGGTCTCCCCCATCCCCCAACCCTCGCCCCCGTTTATGAGCAAAATCCCTTTTCCCCTAAGCATAGATGATAGGGTGGAAATTTTAACAACTTTCCTAACGAAAAAGGAGAAGAGAAAGGAAATCCATTCAGAGAGCATAAGAAACCTAGAAAATCATTTCTGACAATGTATGTCCCTGAACCAATTATGACCTCCTATTTCCCCCACTCAGCTGTCTCAGAGCCTTCCCAGCTCCCTGCCTGGCGCTAACTGCTGGAGGCCACCCTAGGACGTTTGTCCCCTAGCAGCCAAGGCCAAAAATCTCATTTGCACATTTGTACTCACCATTCCACCTCAGGGCCCTCCGTCACCCCCACCCCCGTCCTCTGTCCTCTCCTCCCGCCTCCTTGGAGAAACTTAGTGACATTTCCAACAAGGGCCCCACGGTAAGAAAGACGGCTTCCTTATACTCTGTGGTGAGGATCAGCACATGTAAACACAAATAGGAACGTTGCCTCAAGCGCTCCATCAGCGCACTCTAGAGTCCTACAAAGGATTAGACAAAACAAGGTCATCTCCCCGAGTCCCAGCCCAGTGCCTGGCCGCCCACCCCTTGCTCCGCCCAGGGCCTGCTCCCTCCGGTGATCCCAGTCCAGTGCAGCCCTCTGCTGCCCTCTGCTGGGCCCTTGCCTACACAGCCCCGGGGCTCACCAGCCACCAAGAACACCGGGGGCTCTTGGCCAACCTTTTCATGTTCCTCTGTGATCTGGAGGCTGGAACAGGTTCACCAATACTTTCACCCACCCATCACTTCTCAGTGTGCTGGAACCTGTGAACGGTTTCCTAGTCGTTCAGAGTCTCATGTCCTCGATTTTTTTTTAAAGCAAAACAGAGGTTATAATCCCTACCTCACAGGACCAGGGTGAAGATTAAAAGGGCTTATTCATTCATTTATGAGTCATATGTTTATTGCACCTCTACTATTTGCTAGGCACTGGGTTGGTACTAAGGATACAAAAAGAAACTATCCTTGCCCAAATGGCGCTCACTGTTCTGTATACACAAATACACAGTTGTGAATCATGATAAAGGAACTCAGTAAGATGCTGGGATAGACTAAGACAAGGGGAAGCTTCAGGGAAGATAAGGAGGCAACTTAAGCATGAACACGAGTCACATCCAAGGGATAAGGGGTTTGGGGTGGGTATTCCAGGGAGAGGCACAAGAAGGCTGTCGTGAAGGTCCCAGAAAAGGTGATAGAGGTAGGGAGTAGCTATAGCTGGAGGTTAGCCAGAGGGGGCAGGGCCTCGATGAGAATGGAAAGGGATTTGGACTCTATTCTAAGTGCTGTGGGAGCCATGGAAGGGTTGAGAAGTGGGGTTGTGAGGCGTTGGCTCACACCTGTTATCCCAGCAGCTTGGTAGGCCGAGGTGGGCAGATCACCTGAGGTCAGGAGTTCGAGACCAGCCTGGCCAATATGGTGAAACCCCCGTCTCCACCAAAAAAATTAAAAAATTAGCTGGGCATGGTGGCATGTGCCTGTAGTCCCAGCTACTCAGGAGGCTGAGGCAGGAGAATTGCTTGAACCCAGGATGGGGAGGTTGCAGTAAGCCAAGATCACTTCACATCACTGAGTGACAGAGGGAGACTCCGTCTCAAAAAAAAAAAAAAAAAAAAAAAGGCCCGGCATGGTAACTCACACCTGTAATCCCAGCACTTTGGGAGGCCAAGTCAGGCAGATCATGAGGTCAGGAGTTTGAGATAAGCCTAGCCAACATAGTGAAACCCCGACTCTACTAAAAATATAAAAAATTAGCCAGGCGTGGTGGCAGACACCTGTAATTCCAGCTACTCAGGAGGCTGAAGCAGGAGAATCGCTAGAACCCGGGAGGTGGAGGTTGCAGTGAGCAGAGATCATGCCATTGCACTCCAGCCTGAGTGACAGTGTGAGACTCAATCTCAAAAAAATAAAAATAAAAATTTAAAAAAAGAAGAAGTGGGATTTGGAGATCATGCCCTCCAGCTCTCCGTACCACACCAGCTCACCAGTGTCCTGCAGACTTCTTCACCTCCACCCATCTCGAAATGCTGATGCTCCTCTGGGCCTGGTCCTGGGCCCTCTTTTCTTCTCTCTCCACACTCTACTTCTCCTCCATCATCTCCTGCATTCCTGTGATTTTGAATAACATTCCTATTTGGATTGGTGTCTCCACCTAGACCCCTCCTTCTGGCTCCAGATCCACACATATCAAAGAACCACCTGCCCACTCTCAGCTTTTGGATTTCCCAGATCTGTCAAACTTAGTGTCTCAACCCTGATTTAATCCTGGCTCTGTCACTCCCAAACCTGCCTTCCCCATCTCAGCAAATGTATCACTTGCTCACTTGCTGAGACTTTATAATATAGATAAGCCCAAATATTTACACATTTACGCACACACACACGTTTTTTTGTGGAGACAAGGTCTTGCTAAGTTGTCCAGGCTGTTCTCAAACTCCTCAGCTCAGATCATCCTCCTGCCTCTGCCTCCCAGAGTGCTAGGATTGTGGGTGTGACCCACTGCATCCAGCCGATGATATTTTTTAAAGTTCCACATCTGTCCCCTCCACCTCCACATAACAGCCAGAGTGACGATGTCATCCTCTGGGAAATTGGAGTATGTCAGTTTCCTACTTCAAATTCATTAACTGCTTCCCTTTGTGCTTAGGACAAAACCAAGCTCCTTACCATGGTCTACGAAGTCCTACAAAATCTGGCCTAGCTTCCCCATCCCATTTCACATCCTTCTCTCCCTCGTTTAATGTGCTCACCACTGGCCTTTTTTTCGTTTAACCTCCTGTATGCATGCCAAGCTGTTTTCTTCCTCCAGCTCTTGTACATGCAGCTTCCTCTACCTGGAATGCTCCTGCCTCATCTCTGTAAAGCTGGTTACTTCCTACTCTTCAAACGTCAGCCTACCTGTCACCTAGTCAACAAGATCTTCTCCATTTGCCCCATCCAAAGTATGTCCACTTCCAGGTCTACCCTGATATCAAAACATATTTTGAAACTCCATTAAGTAAACCAATTTGATATAAGAGAAGAAATCAGTGGAACCAAAGAAAAATCAGAAGTAGACTCAAATGTACAGGGAATTTAGTGTAAAGTAAAGGTGAGATTTCTAATTACCTGGGAAAAGAGAGATTAGTAAACAAATGGTGATAGTACAGCTGGTCAGTACCTGTTAAGATGACAAGGGCGAGTTCCTCTCTGACTCCTTAGCCTAACAGTGTTAGTGAATCAAATACTTGTAAAAAAAATCATAAAATATCTTAGAATGTGGATCAATTTATTACAAATCTAAGAAAGGTGAGGACTTTGTTTGAAAAGCCCAAAACTCGAAGCAATAAGGCAAAAAATTAATAAGTTTGTCTAAGTAGCAATCTAACTTTGGTACAAAAAAAGAAGGAAAAATAAAACAACTAAATCAAAAGACTCAGTTCAAAAATAAGGAAAACAGTCCCAGCACCTTGGAAGGCCCAGGCAGGTGGATTGCTTGAGCCAGGAGTTTGAGAACAGCCTGTACAACACAGTGAGACCCCCTATCTCTACAAAAACAAAAACAGGGAAAATATTGAAAACATATTTGTAAAAGAGCTTTTTTTCTTAACATAAATAGAACTGACACACATGAATGCAACAACAACAAAAAAGAACAAACTAATAGAAAGTTGTGCAAAGGATAGAAATGGTTTATAGAAAAACAAATTCCAAAGACTGTAAACATATGGAGAGATGCTCTACTTGAGGTATAGTAGAAGAAATGCAAATCAAAATAGTGAGAAAACGTTTTCTTTCCACTTAAACTGGTGAAAGTCTTCCCGAGTGCTGGCAGGAATATGAGGGAAGGAATACCGCCACCCACTTTTAATGAGAGGGTAGTACAACTGATGCGATCTTATTGCACGTTACTTTGACAAAATCTATCAAAATGTAAAAGGCACATATCCTTTCACATAGCAAAGAATTTAGAAATAGTTTATTATAGCTACAAAACTGAGCCATATATATGTACAGGAATCTTCATGGCAGAATTTTTATAAAAGCCAAACCCAAAGTGTTCATCAAAAGTACCTAAATGATCCATCATCCATCATCCACATGACACAATACCATACAGTGATTAAAGAGAATAAACTAGGCCAGGCATGGTGGCTCACATCTGTAATCCCAGCACTTTGAGAGGCCAAGGTGGGAAGATTCCTTGAGGCCAGAAGTTCAAGACCAGCCTGGGCAACATAGTGAAACTCCCATCCCTACAAAAAATTATTTTTTAAAATTAGCCAGGCTGGGCATGGTGGCTCACACCTGTAAACCCAGCACTTTGGGAGGCCGAGGCGAGTTGACCACTTGAAGCGAGAAGTTTGAGACCAGCCTGGCCAACATGATGAAACCCCATCTCTACTAAAAATACAAAAAATTAGCCAGGTGTGGTGGCACACGCCTGTTATCCCAGCTACTCCGGAGGCTGAGACACAAGAATCTTGAACCCGGGAGGTGGAGGTTGCAGGGAACTGAGATTGCGTCACTGCACTCCAGCCTGGATGACAGAGCAAGACTCTGCCCACCTTCCTCTCCACAAAAAAATTAGCCAGGTATGGTAGCACATGCCTGTAGTCCCAGCTACTTGAGAAGCCAAGTCAGGAGGATTGCTTGAGCCCAGGAGTTCAAGACTGCAGTGAGTTATGATTGCACCACTGCACTCCAGCCTGGATGAGAGTGAGACACTGTCCAAAAAAAAAAAAAAAAAGTAGTTCTGGATATGTGATGTGGAAAGATTTTTAAGATATGTTAAGTGAAAAAAAAAAGCATGGTGTAGAGGACAAATTATCCCCTTTGTATAAATTATAACACTGACACATAATGTAGGTAGATGCAATTTTTTTTTCTGGAAAGAATCACAGGAAAGTATGCTTTTAGGGAGAGAAAATTGGATGAGAGGGAAGAAAATTGAGTCTCTGTTTTCATTTTCTATCTTTCTAAAGTAAAGTTAAAGGATTTGAAAATTTTTACCTTGGGTTTATATTATTTTTTGGCTTGAATTTTTTAAAAACCTGGTGCTCAATTGTTCAGTATCAATTTATTGCCTCTCAGCTCATGGAATGAGCCTTTCAATGTATGCTCTGCCCTAGGCAACAGATTTCCTCTAAGTGTCTCTCCCTTAAAGTGGGCACGATGTTATGCTTTCTCAGTTGGAGGCTGGAGGGATGTTGCAGGAGGAAAAGGCCTTCCTGCCATTTTGCCAAGGTCGAGGGTTGGTGGGGTGAGCATGAGGATGCATGGTGTCTTTGCCCCAGTCAGGCACTCAGAGCACTATGTCTCTGCAACCCTGCAGCTCGACCTACCCACAACCTTTCCAGAGCCCTCTCGGCAAAAACCAGAGCCCCTGTGAAGCCCCTGTGTGGCTCACATGCTCTGAAGGCCTCCTGCCCAAACCAGTGCCCTGACCACCCAGGCCACCACATGCTGATGGCCTGCACATCTTCCTGCATTCTAGGGGTGGCCAACTGCTTGTCCAGCAACTCCAGCCAGCTCTAGCCTGACCTAGCCAGACACTGCTCTTGGTGGCTAAAGCACACCTTCTCCAGTGAGATCCAAATTACTCCCAAGGTTGGCTTCTTTCGGTGCCCTGCCTCAGCCCTAGGGTACCGAGCAGAGTTTCTTTACATAGTTTAGTAATCCTTTCAGCGCAGTTAATAATTCCTTATATTATCCTTAGCCAACTAGCACAGGAATAAAAAAAACAAATATCCCATGTTCTCACTTATAAGTAGGAGCTAAATGATGAGAACACATGGGCACAAAGAAGGGACCAACACACACTGGTGCCTACTTGAGGGTTGAGGGTGGGAGGAGGGAGAGGAGCAGAAAAGTATTGGGTACTAGGCTTAGTACCTAGGTGACGAAATAAGTGTACAACAAACTCCTGTAACACGAGTTTACCTATGTAACAAATCTGCACAGGTACCCATGAACCTAAAAGTTAAAATTAAAAAAACAAAAAAATAAAAAAACCTTTCCCTGTTTGACCTACCATGTGCCTCCATTTCTTTATCTGTAAAATGCGGACTATAACAGTACCCACATCACAGGACTCTTGTGAGGATTAAATTAGTTAATATATATATAAAGCATTTAGAAGAGTTCCTGACACATCATAAGTACTGTATAAATGATGTTGTGTGAGGAAAGGCCAAGGGGAATAAAAACAGTCTAGAGGTTGGGTGCTGTAGTTCATGCCTGTAATCCCAGCACTTTGGGCAGCTGAGGCAGGTGGATCACCTGAGGTCAGGAGTTTGAGATCAGCCTGGCCAATAAGGTGAAACCCTGTCTCTACTAAAAATATAAAAATTAGCTAGGCATGGTGGCACACACCTGTAGTCCCAGCTACGTGGGAGGGTGAGGCAAAAGAATCACTTGAACCCAGGAGGCGGAGGTTGCAGTGAGCTGAGATTGCACCACTGCACTCCAGCCTGGGTGATGGAGTGAGACTCTGTCTCAAAAAAAAAAAAAAAAAGCAGTCCAGAGTCTGGTGGAATGAGTACCATTTTCAAACATCTGAAGGACTGTCATGTACAAGACCCTTTTACAGAAAACTAACAGAAGTGGAGGCTTGGCTCTTCATAAAGAATCGGAAATGGTTTGAGCTGCCCTAGAGTGACCAAACATTCCCAGTGTGCCCAGGACTGTCCCGGTATTAAAACTGAAAGTGCCATCTCGGAAAACTGCTAGGACCCAGGCAGATGGGGCCAACAGATGGTTGGTCACTCTAGCTGTCCCCCAGCAAGATGTCCTTCATGAAGCAGAGAGTACCTGTAGCTGATGGATCTGAGCAGAAGCTGAGGAATCGTGGTTCAGGGTTGGTAGAGCAGCTTTCCCTGCATGAGGAAGGAACTGGGACTGGATAAGATTTAATCCAGATAAAGCGCATTTTTATGGAAACAACTTGGATCTGTAGAGAGAAAAAACCCCACTTCAAATTCTGTCTCTGCCACTTACTAGCTTTGTGATCTTGGATAACTTAATTTTTTGAGCTTCAGTTCCTTGATCCATAAAATAGGAATAATCATTCCCAACTTGTAAGGCTATTGTATGGATTAGACATAATGTATGGGGGGTGACTTGCACAGTGCCTGGCGCAATGTAAGCATCCAAGAAGTTATAACTTCTCCCTCCAAGGTCCAACTCTAGGATTCTAATCGCCAGGTTCTCTAAGCCGTGGTTCTCAAACCAGCAGCATGGGCAGCACCTGGGTACTCATTAGAAGTGCAAATTATCCACTCCACCCCATACCTACTGAATCAGAAACTGTGAGCGGGGCCCAGAAATCTCAGTTTGAGTCGGCTCTCCAGGTGATCCTTGTTACCCAAACATTTGAGAAGCACTGCCTGAAGGGACTGTCCTATCGCTGAAATCAAAAACATGGGAAGTCTCTCCAAAACTTGAAAAGCTCTCCCTTTATTCCACTGTAAAATAAAGTTATTTTAAAATGCTATTACCACTGGAACATAATTTTTTCAAATAAAACAAAAGGAATTAAAAATAGTGCTGATCCCAATGCCTTTTTTTCCTTTTTTAAATTGCCTTTGTAAATAGGCCTCACATGCGCCAGCTGTCTGCACTCTGGCGTAGATAAGTCAGTATGACCTGGCTTTGACACATCCTCAGATCAACAGCACTGATAAGTTGACTAAGTTTGGTTACGCTGTGTTAGCCACTAATGTGGCCAACCATAAACTACACAGTCAAATTTATTTTCCACACTAACTGAGGGAGCAAGTGGGTAGGACATTTGGGAAAGAATTTCTTAAATGGTTTAGCATACTTCTTTAGGCATAAAAGCACCCCAGGGGTAAGTAAAAAGAATTCTCATTGGAGTGCAGGTTAATTTTTTTCTCTGCCCTGACAGGTCCCAGAACACAGTATGTTTATAACACACATAAAGATAGAGAAAGAGGAAAATAATATTTTAAAACAGTTCTAAACCCATTTTATAAAGATCTTTTAATATACAAAATCCAAGATCATTCGGTCAAAATGACCCATCTATTTTTTAATTTGAAATATTTCTTACAACTTTTAGGAATGAATGTGAAGAATAATCTCTTCAAGGTCCTGAAAATATCTTCAAAATATTTACTTAACACTGAGGCATAAAGTTTCATCTACACAAAGCAGTAACGTGCAAAGTCTGTGTGTACATTTGTAGGGTAAATGCACCTGTAGCAATAACTTAAGCATACCTTAGAATGACTTTGTATGGTAGATACACCTGAAATGTGTGTGTTTCCGAGCTAGGCAATCCGTGTGTGACCAACCTGGAGAGTCTTTCCTTGTCAATGAGGAACATCTGAGCCCCTGGCCCAACCAGTGGAACACAGGCTGCACGGGAGATTGAGGCCCTGAGTTCTGTGTTAAATGAAGGTTGCCAGATGGAGGTTGTTAGCAGGAAAGTGTTAAGTGAAAATGCTGTATAAACTGCATGCTGTTTGCAAGCAGTTGTGGTTTTCCTGCCCAGCCCGCTGCCTCCGCTAGGTCATGTGGTTATGCGGTCCATCCCGCCGCTGGACCGCTTCTGTAGGTGAGGCGGGTCTCCTGCCCAGCCCACCGCCACTAGACTCTCTCCCCTGTATGTGAGCCCCTAATAAAACCTCATGTCTCCTTTGCTGGCTCTGGGTCTCTTCTTTGGCCTCTTGAACCTGGTGCTTTCCCTATTGAGGTTAATAGGGGTTCCACACAACATTTGCTTTTAGAAACAAAGTTCTTTACTATGTTTCCATTTTTTTATACACAAGAAAACTCAAAATTTATGTAATGAGCATTTCCAGCATCCTTACCCTGGGAGAGGGGGTGTTTGGAAAGTATCTCTTCAAGAAGGACAGAGGCAGAGGGAAGACAAGACTACATACAGAACAATGTATTTTAAAGAGAAAAGGATAAATATCCTGTGATATACTGTTCTCCGAAGCTGAATATAGTTCAATGCCAAGCTATCTTTGGAGATGATAAGAAAAATATAAAGGCGAGAGTCCCTTGTGGAAGGATGATAACAAGGAAGACTTCCTGGAGATGGAACACACAACGGATGTCAGATAATCAGTAAATTTTAATGTTATGACTTGTGCTCTTGTTGCTAGCCTTAAAGAGTGTTCTTGTCAAGATTTTGCTCATGATACCCTTTCTGCATAAAACATCCTTCCCACAATTCTGCTTATTCAAATCCTACCCATCTTTCAAGGCCTACCTGAAGTTCTATCTTCTTTCCTTCCTTCCTTCAATAAGGATCAATAATAAAGTCCTTCAGGAGGGAGGGGCTGGGTGTAATGGCTCACACCTGTAATCCCAGCACTTTGGGAGGCCAAGGCAAGAGTTTTTCTTGAAATCAGGAGTTCGAGGCCAGCCAGGGCAACATAGTAAGACCCTGTCTCTACCAAATATGTATATATATATATACACACAAGAAGGGAGAGATCATGTGCTTCTTGTCATTGGGGACAAGAAAGAGAGGACGAGAAGAGTTGGAGAGTCTGTGTTCCACCTGAAGTGAGAAAACTCCAAGGGATAGAGTAGTGACTGCTTCCAAAGCAGTGACTGCATCTAAAGCAATGACACATACACATTGACCTAACACCTGACACCCCGTCTTATTTTCTACACCAATCCTCAGAGACAAATATGACTACCCCACCCCAACCTCACTCCCACCCTTGTCGTCTACACTATTGACAGATTACTGTGCCCCTGTTATAGGGTTGTTCTGAGGATTAAATGAGTTTCTGTATGTAAAATTCTGACACAAGTAAATATTCAATACCTGTTAGGTGTATTAAGTGTAGATGTTAACTTTCTGTTTAATTACTACTAGGGGAAGTAAAATCAATCAAAAAAGTAATTTGCTCAGGCATCCCAAAGATATGACATACTTAGGGATAATTTCCATGCTAATATCTTGCCTTGGGGATTCACAGACCAAGTAGACAATGTTAAACACCAAACCCATCTGAGATACAGACCTGTGGTTATAAGTGCTTAGGAGAGACTATTCCCCCATTGCACCATCTATACCTTTTACACCCAGAACATCTGTGTTGGTGGGATTTTTTTTTAGTTCCCCCACTTTTACTTAGGGTGTAATCTTTTAAGGGTTCCAATGTGGGCCCAAAGCCTCTAATCCTGTTTCTGTGTGAACATTAAGACACAATTCACTGGAATATATCAGCCACCACTACCTGGGTAGTCTTAGCATGGGCTTAAATGCCTGTTCTTCAGATTATTAGATAGCTCAGCTATTCATTTATGAGGACATTTACTGTGTGTGTGTGTGTGTGTGTGTGTGTGTGTGTGTGTTTTCAGACCTGCAAATCTAGGTGTTTTTAGCAGGAGGGTTTTCTGGTTATTCAAATCTGCCAGAACTAAGATTTCTATCAGAGTGTTTTACTGACAGTCAAATTAGGTGTGTTGACCTTTATTCCCAGTTCTTACCTAAAGGAGCATTTTATGTAATTTTAAATTCCTGAAACTATAGTGATGTTTTGGAGATGAATATTTATTGAAACCCCAGAGGAAACTATGACACAGAGTATTCTAAGACAACTGCCCAGGCAACTGTAATGATAAATTATAACCCTAAAACTTTTGCCTAATGATGATTTATCCTAATATTTCATAAACAAGCCTTATTTTAATAATTAATGGGGAAAAGTATAATTTAAAAATTCAGCTGCAACAACAGGGGATACTCAGCCATAAAAAGGAATGAAATAATGGCATTCACAGCAACCTGGATGGAGTTAGAGACCATTATTCTAAGTGAAGTAACTCAGGAATGGAAAACCAAACGTCATATGTTCTCACTTATAAGTGGGAGCTAAGCTATGAGGACACAAAGGCCTAAGAATGATATGATGGGCTTTGGGGACTCGGGGGTGGGAGTAGGGTGGAGGGGTGAGAGACAAAAGACTACACATTGGGTACAGTGTACACTGCTTGGGTGACAGTTGCACCAAAATCTCCAGAATCAACACTAAAAAATTTATCCACATAACAAAAAACACCTGTTCCCCCAAAACTATTGAACTTTTTTTAAAAAGGAAAATAATAAAAATAATTCAGCTGCAGAGATGTGTCCTGCTGATAGGCCTCTGCTACAGGCCGTACTGTGTTCCCCTCAAAATTCATTTATGGAAGTCCTAACTCCCAGTACCTCAGAATGTGACTATATTTAGAGACAGGATCTTTAGAGAGGTCATTAAATTAAAATAAAGTCATTAGGGTGAGCCCTAATTCAATGACTGAAGTTTTTATAGGAAGAGGAGATTAGGATTTAAACTCAGAGAGAGTGAAGAACATGGGAAGCCACAGAGAGAAGACGGCCATATACGAGCCAGGGAAAGAGGCCTCAGGAGAAACCAAACCTGCCAATGCCTTGGACTCTCACTTCCAGCCTACAGAATTGTCAGAAAATACATTTCTATTGTTTAAGTCATCCAGTCTGTGTACTTTGTTATGGGAGCCCTAGCCCCAGCAAACTAACATAGCTTCGTATTGTTTCTTAATAATTTATACAAACTACTTAAAACACTTAAAACACTTCAATTTGTGTCCTGCTATTTAAAAGATATCTAACTTAAGATCTAAAATATTATTTAGGTTGAGCGTGGTGGCTCATGCCTGTAATTCCAGCACTTTGGGAGGCAGAGGCTGGAGGATCACCTGAGCCCAGGGAGGTCAAGCCTGCAATGAGTCATGACCACATCACTGCCCTCCAGCCTGGGTGACAGAGTGAGACCCTGTCTAAAAAAAATATATATATATATAATATATTATATATTTATATAATTAATTATATTTATATAATTATATATTTATATAGTATATTATATATTTATATAATTATATATAATATATATTATATATTTATATAATTATATATAATATTTTATATATTATATATAATATATTTATATATTTATATAATATATATTATATATTATATATAATATATATTATATAAAATATATTTATATTATATATAAAATATAATATTTATATTATATATAATATATATATAATATATACACACATAATTATATATAACAAATTATATGTATATTTAATTTGTTAAGATCAACTTTCTTCACTCCTTTTTAATAATTAGCATATTTCGCCAGATGTGGTAGTGTCTGCTTATAATCCCAGCTGCTTGGGAGGCTGAAGCAGGAAATTGCTTGAGCCCAGGAGTTTGAGGCTGCAATGAGCTGTGATGGTGCCACCGTACTCCATCCTGCATGACAGAGTGAGACCCTGCCTCAAAAATAATAAATTAATTATTAGCATATTTTATCAACATATAAAATAACTTACTCTTCAGATTGGCTAAATGTATATATTTACCAACATTACAGACAACTGCAATACCAACAACATAAAAGTAAGAATCTTAACAATCTATTTAGAACATGTACTCAACAAAACCCACACTGGCCAAATACACTAACTGCTTTGCCTTGATCTGGTGCACTCAGGCCCAACATGGGGCATGGTGTTTTGTGAATGGACATTATGCAATCATGCCAGTTGAAATAAAATCTTTGAAATTGCTCCAAAACTGGTTCTACAGCTTTAAAACATCTAATTTCATCAGTGCCTGCTACATTTAGGGAAAAACAAAAGGCTGCTTGTAGCAACCTGGTACCAAGAGTGTAGTTTAAGTCTCAATTGTTGCCAGGCCCCTGATAGGTGATTCTCTCTTCATTGTCCTTGCTGATTCCTTGCAGGCCACCTTCCTCTTCACACCCTCTGTGTGCTAGAATTCCTCAGGCTGGGAACTAGGCCCTTCTCTTGTCACTCTCCATTCTCTCCCTAGGTTATCTAATCTAATTTAATCCCATAGTTTTAAAATTCATCTTTATGCCAATAGCTCTCAGACCTATTTCTCCAGGTTAGAAACTGTCTTCTAAATTACAGATCTGTAATTTAGACTATCTGAAATCTGCATCTGGCTGTCGCAGAGACAGTACAAACTACAAACAACACATGTGAAATCCAACTAGTGGTCTACCCTTGCCCAAATGTGCTCCTCCACTAATCTTTCCTATTTTAGGAAATGACACATCATTCACCCAGTTGTTCATGCCAGAAACTGGACGTCCTTCTTGACACTACTTTTTCAGTGACCCCGGCCTATATCCAATACATTGGCAAGTCCTAGTGACTAAGGTATCAACAGATGATTGATAGACAGATAGATAGATGATAATCTTAAATCCATCCACTTCTCTCCACCTCCACTGTCTTAAACCTATTCCTATTTATCATCTGTGACCTAGACAGCAGTTTCCTAAGTGGTCTGCCCACATCCTCTCGAGACACTTTCCAATCCATCTTTCACAACATAGCCAGAACAATCTTTTAAAACCAATTCTTTTTTTTTTTTTTCAGACAGAGTCTCACTCTGTCGCCCAGGCTGGAGTGCACCGGCATGATCTTGGCTCACTGCAACCTTCACCTCCGCCTCTGGGGCTCAAGTGATTCTCATGCCTCAGCCTCCTGAGTAGCTGGGATAACAGGCGTGCACCACCACACCCAGCTAATTTTTGTATCTTTAGTAGAGACAAATTTCACCATGTTGCCCAGACTGGTCTTGAATTCTTAAACTCATGTGATAGGCCACCTCGGCCACCCAAAGTACTGGGATTACAGGCATGAGCCACCGTGCCTGGCCAAAACCAATTCTCTTTTATTCTTTCTCCCTCTCATTGACACATACACATCACTTAAAGCATTTCAATCACTTTGCATGTAAGATAAAACCCCAAATCATTAATATATACTAAGTCAAAAGAAATTCTGAAGGACAAAAGCATTTAGAAAAAAAGTTTACTTACAAAAACACTTGCAAAAGTATACAGGTGAATTTACGCTTTAGAAGGACTGATACATCAAATGAACACACACCAAGGTTTACAGTTAGTTGCTTCATGGTGAGAAAAGAGCAATTTTCTCATATGATTGCCATATGACCCCAAGCTCCCACATATCTTCAGACTGTAGCAGTACAAAAGTCAGCAATTAAACTGTAAGAGAGTCAGTAATATATGGGAAATGCTGAAAGTTTTGTTCACTTTGGAGACTACAGAGTGTGATACTGTTGTTTCACGGTTTATTTCAGAACACAAAGTATTTTGTTTTTCCTGTGGGAAGTAATATGTACACTCACTCATTTTGGAAACAGGACAAGATGTCAGTTTTGCTTTATAAGCATAAACCCCAGCATGTCTGGGTACTTCTTATATCAGCTTCAACTCATGCCACTCTCCCCCTCATTTTCTACATTCTAGTCACATGACCTTCTTGCAGGTTCTCAAAGCTCTTCCCCAACATGCCGTCCCCTCTGTCTGGTACACATTCCCCTACATACTTTACCTGCCAAACCTTACTCATTTTCCCAGATGCAACTTAAATGTCACTTCCTCCAAATCCCACTCTAAACTGAGTGCCCCAACTATTCAATCATAGCACTCTGCATTATCAGGTATGATGCCTTTGGATGCGAATAACTGAAAAACCAAACCTATCAATAGAGTTTTTAATATCAGGGAGGCTTTTGGGCATGGAGAATAACAATCACCACTATGTGTACTTTTGTTTAATGCTTACTTTATAAACTTTAAAATATATTAAACAGTATTTCTGGGAAATACTGTCTGATGCCATCCAATGCAGTATTCACTAACCACATGTGGCTATTGAACACTTGAAATATGACTAATCCAATTAAGGAATTTAATTAGGAATTTTTTTAATTTAAATTTTGGAAAAACTAAAGTGTGTGAACCTATTTTTTCAACTGCAAACTTTATAAAATCTAAACACAGATCCAATATTTCCAATTAAAATCAGGCAACTGAGATCAGTGTATGCATGTGAAATACATATCGAATTTTCAAGACTCAGTATAAAAAAATGTAAAAATTATCTGAATTTTTATATTGACTACATGTTGAAATGAGATTTTGGATATATTACGTTAAATAAAATATATTACTAAAATTAATTTCCTCTTTTTTTTTTTTTTGAGGTGGAGTCTCGATCGATCCCCAGTCTGGAGCGCAGTGGCTGATCTCGGCTCAGCGCAACCTCCGTCTCCCGGGTTCAAGCGAGTCTCCTGTTTCAGTCTCCCTGGTAGCTGGGATTACAGGCGCCCACCACCGCGCCGGGCTAATTTTTGTATTTTTAGTATAGACGGGTTTTCACCATGTTGGTCAGGCTGGTCTCGAACTCCTGACCTCAGATGATCCGCCCGCCTTGGCCTCCCAAAGTGCTGGGATTACAGGCGTGAGCCACCGCGCCTGGCCTCATCTGCAATTTTACTTAAATCACAAATATACTAGATCTTCTTACATGCTTCGAAGAACTAAAAAAAATAAGACATGAATTATCACAATGATTACCGAATTAATTGTAAATTTTTTTATTTAAACTAGTCACAAAGGTATCACAGGTATGACTTACACCTAACGGGGGCCAAAAGATGGGTTGCGAAACGAATGACTGAATTATCCCTAACAATCTTGGGAAGAAAACAGGATTGGCCAGGCCCATCCCGAGAGGTCCACGTCAGGCAGGGGCCCCGCCCACCGCGGGACCAAGCGGCTACGCCTTCCAAGTTTTCATTCGGGGCCGCGCCAGCGCTGAGGAGAGTCAGACGCCAGATGGTTCCGAAGGTCCTGCAGGCTCTCGGGGCACCCTACAGCCGACACGCCAACAAAAGCTTCGGAGCCGCCAACCCCAAAACGGAAACACCGGAGCCACAAGCTGAGCTCGCGTAGGGCACGCTCCCCCGGGAGTGCTTCCGGGACAGGGGGCGGGGTCGCCGGAAGTGGCCGTCCGCCGTCCGCTGCTCGTTGTTTAAGCGGCTGACGGGAAGGAGAAGCCAGAGCTCCAGCGGCGCCGCGGGGCGGCAGTCAAGACCAGAGCCGGAGCCGTCACTCACCTCTGGATTAGCCTGAAGCGGAGACTACCGGCTGCGGAGCGGCGGGGCGAGACACTTGCTCGCCTTTTGACCCCATCATGTCGCGGGGCTCCATCGAGATTCCCCTCCGGGACACTGACGAGGTAAGTGTCGTGTATGGAGGCGGGTGGGGGCCATGAACTTGTACGATCGCCCCCACCGACTTCGCTCGACTTCGTTTCTGAAGCGAGAGCATCCTCCTTCCCTAAGAGCCCTGATCGAAATACCTGGCCAAGGTCTGATCATCATCTTCTTCAGCCCCTGTGCCCTCTCAGGCTGGGGGCACCGCGTCTCTGCAGCCTCAGGGCCACTCGGAGAAGGAGTTCTTGAAAGTTCCTCTCCAGCCTGTTCGAATTTGACAGTGCGCTACTCTTTTCCTAACCAACCCACGGGAGCAGAGGTGTGAGAGTACCCGATAAACTGTAAAACACCTCGCAGATTACAGAGGTGGGCGCTGATGTTTCCGGGGTTTATATGCTTGCTGCTCAAACTCGAGATCTTTCCCTGGGAATATATAGGAGGTCGCCTCTTCTCCCTTAGAAACTCGAGTCTGTCATGGTGCGCTGTGTTCTCTACACCAACTCTCCTTCAACGAGATATCCCAAGATTTAGCCGCCCCTGTGTGCTGATAAAATTTAACCTCCTCTCGCTTACCTATGTCTCATTCATGGGTGGCCTGTGGCTTGTCTGAGTAAAGCTCTCAGCTTTGATGTTCAGTCTTCTTGTATATCTTTTATTTTTATTTTTTTTGTTTGAGATATAATATTGAGGTATAAAATTCAGTGGTTTTTAGTGTATTCGCAAAGTTGTATAGTCATTACCTCTAATTCCAGGACATTTTCCTATTATTATTTTTGTGCTTACAGTCAGGACTGTCTGTTACACGCAGGTGCCACCTCCATGATTAATGTGTGCAGTGGCATTCAACTTTGCATGGCTTGTAGGGTCATGCATCTCAAGGAGTCAGACCTATGGCATAATAGTCTCTAGGGTGCTTATCTGCACTTTACTTGGATTCTATGTTAAGTAGGATTTTGTTTTGTTATTTTTTAGTAAGCAGACCATTTCTAGTATTTTATAGTTCCAGTGATCTGGGGACAAGTAGCAGGGTTTGTTTGCTTCTCTGTGCTTTAACTTTATTATAGTATAACCTATTCGTCATGTGCTCCTTAAACATTAACATGGATTAGCTCAACCGTATTGAAAGTGAACACGTACTCTATGTATATGCATGTTGATTATATTCACGAAAAGCAGCAAAGATGAAATGTGAATTTTAAAGTGGAATAAGAGTTAAGACCTACCTTTTGTATTTTAGGTCATTGAACTTGACTTCGATCAGTTACCGGAGGGAGATGAAGTTATCAGTATTCTGAAACAGGAACACACACAACTGCACATATGGATTGCTTTGGCGGTCAGTATTCATGTAGCAAATATTTTTTATTTGTTGACTAGGAAAATATGTAGTTTCTGTTTTCAGATATAGTAATAGCCAGCTTGGCTGCATGGTAGATTAGTTATACCATGTGTATGGAAGTTAATTGTGTTAATAATTTATGGAACAATAAGGCCGTTTTCCTAAATGATATGCTGCTCTACTGGTGAATTAGTATATGTTGGTAAAGGCAAAATTCATTTAAGTAGTACTCTATATTGAATATTTTATTATTTAGTGCTTGTTCAGTGAAGGCTGGCTTATGGTTTATAGATAAGCTGAAAAGAAGCGAAGTGCTTCTGTGTGAACATTGCTGCTTAACATTGTTTCCTATAACAACAAAACACTTCCCTTAAAATATTCTAGAATGTGATTAGGTTCTGGGAAAATCACTTCACCCAAAATCACAAAAGTTCTTTTGGGTGAAGTTTATCTCAGACTTATGTTTTTTGTCCTATTTAGTCTCCTTCAATGTGAATCTTACTGGAGATTCTCAAGAAAATCCAATCAGAAACCCTAAAATTCTATATCCTCTACTTGCCAGCATCAGCTGCATAATGATGTTTTCTTTTTATAGGAATAGGTAATATAAATGTTACAGTCATTATTCCTAAGTAGATATGCCACATTGCTTTCATACAAACATACAGAAGAGGCTCCTAATATTGTCTTGAAGAGTCAGAGAAATAGGTCTGGAATTGGGCTTATATCCAGTGCTCAAGACTGCTCTAAGAGTTTCTTCCTTTTAGATGTGGATTTACAGAGAAGTATTTTCAGTGACAAGCAGTGCCTTCTTGACTTGAAGTGCCAACTTTTCTTATTCCATGGAGACCAAGCCTCCTTGTCACACACATTTTTTTTAAAACCAGATGGTAATTTAGATGTATATATAATATATATTATATATATATATATTTTTAAGTACATATGCCCTCCTTAACAGCACTTAAACAAAAATTAGAATATTGGAGGATTAGCATGGCACCTGTAGTAGAATAAATTAATGACACATTGTGGGATATAGATTTTTACAGGGAAAAGAATGTAGGCTTTGGGGTTAGATCAAGTCCCGGCATGGCTGCTAACTAGCTATGTGACCTTAGACAAATGATCTAACTTCTGAGCATATGTCCTCATTTAAAATATAGAGATGTTAGCATCTACCTCATAGAGTGGTTGTACAGATTAGAGAATATGTGTATGAAATTCCTTTCATGGTATGTGACCAATAGTCAGTGGTTAATAAGTGGTGGATATTCCACATAGAGACAGAGTCTCTCTATTTTGCCCAGGCTAGACTCAAACTCCTGGGCTCAAGCCATCCTGCCACTACAGCATCCCAAGTAGTAGATTACAGGTACATACCACCACACCTAGTGGATATTTCTTTTATTATTTATAAGTCAAACAGATGCCTAGAGAAGTTGTTAAACAGGCCCAAATCACAGATAATTTTTGGTAGATCTAGAACCAGAACCCAAGTTTTCTATTTAGAATTCTTCATATCTTTCACTATTGTTTTCTCTCTTAGGCTCTACTTATCTGAAAATTTTAGTTAGAAATCAACTAGATAAGCAGCAGATTGGGAACATTGTGAATGATTCCAGTTTTTTAAACAGTTTTATTAAAGTCTAATGGATTTATAATAAACTGCACATATTTGACATTTACCATTTGATAAGTTTTATCATCTGTATATACCTGTGAAACCATCACCACAATCAAGATTAATGAATACATTCATCACCTTCTGAAAGTGTCCTCTGTACCACTCCCCACAAGTCCCCCACCCCACCCCTAATCCCTGTGCCAGACAACCACTGGTCTGCTTTTTGACACTAGAGATTGTTTTACATTTTCTAGAGTTTTATATAAATGGAATCACACAATATGTACTCTTTTTTTGGTCTGATTTCTTTCATTCAGCATAATTATTTTGAGATTTATCCATGTTGTAGCATGTATCAGTAGTTCATTCCTTTTCATTGTAGGATAGTATCCATTTTATGGATACACCACAGCTTGTTTATCCATTCACCTGTTAATCAACATTTTGATTGTTTCCAGTTTTTTGTTATTACAAATAAAGCTGCTGTAAACATTTGTGTACAACTTTTTATATGGACATATGCTTTAGTGATTCTAATTTGTTTCATTACCTTATAGCTGGAATACTACAAGCAAGGAAAAACAGAAGAGTTTGTAAAATTGTTGGAAGCAGCACGTATAGATGGCAATTTGGACTATAGAGACCATGAAAAAGACCAGATGACTTGCTTGGATACATTGGCAGCGTATTATGTACAACAGGCTCGGAAAGAAAAGAATAAGGACAATAAAAAGGATCTTATTACACAGGCCACCTTGTTGTATACAATGGCCGATAAAATTATTATGTATGATCAGGTAAAAATAAAGTCAAATTTCTTTCCATTTATGAAGGGAGAAAAGCACATGAAAGCAAAATGTGTGTGATAGCAGATTTTTTGAAAGAGTTTTTCTTCAAGTAACATGGTTGATAGAGTCAAAAAGAAGAAAGGTTCCTCATTAAAATCGGAATGCTTTGGTTTTTGTACTGTTTAAGTAATATGGACAAATGTAGTACATAAAACTTGCTCCAGTAATTTTATTATCTCCAGGTGAATTTCAAGGATATTTTAAGGAATTTAAATTTTTCTTTTGGTTGTTGTTATTGGCACAGAAGACTTACATTTCAGGATAATTTCTTATTTTGTAATTAAGAATTGCTTGTTAGTAGCTTAAGCACGTTACATTTGATAGGGGAATTTGCACTGTGCTCCACCTCCTTCCTATTTGGTTTTCACTTTAGTGTTACATGTTCATGGTATATAGGGGTAAAATCTAAGATAATACATTACTTCATAGAACCATTTGTTGGGAAGAGCCTGCTTCTGCCTACTTGAGGGTGACAAAATGGATCAAGCTGATGCACAGTTTCATTTTGTACTCAATCAGTCTCCAAATAATATTCCAGCCCTTCTTGGTAAGTGGTCTTTGGCAACATGTTAGGAAACAGTTGTTTTCAGCATATGCCTAGAATATATCTCTTGGTAATAGCTCCTTAATAACTCAGCTAGACAGCAAAGTAGAAGAGCTTTATGTTGTTACAAATGAAATTACCTACAACAAATATTGTTGAAATTGTAGAAATAAAATATATACCAGTTAAGAATAATTTATTATTTAGGCCAGGCATGGTATAATCTCAGCACTTTGAGACCCTGTCTCGTTATACCTGTAATCCCAGCGCTTTGAGAGACTGAGGCAGGAGGATCACTTGAGGCCAGGAGTTCAAGACGAGCTGGGGCAACATAGCAAGACCCCATCTCTACAAAAAATAATTTTTTCAAAAAAGAGTAATTGGTTATACACTTCTGAAGAGCCAATAAACAATCTCTACTTAGACAACTTAAAGTTATTTCAATTATTACTTTATAACATTTTTTAAACTTTTATTGAAGTTCAGTGGTACAAGTGCAGGTTTGTTACATAGGTAAACTTGGTCATGGGGGTTTGTTGTGCAGGTTATTTCATCACTTAGGTATTAAGCCTAGTACCTATTAGTTATTTTTCCTGATCCTCTTCCTCCTCCCACCCTCCACCCTCCAAAAGGCCCCAGTATGTGATGTTCCCCTCTGTGTCCATGTGTTCTCATCATTTAGCTCCCACTTATAAGTGAGAACAGGCAGTATTCAGTTTTCTGTTCCTATGTTAGTTTGCTAACTTTATAACATTTAACATAAAAATAGGAAGTTTTATTTTTAGACATAAATTAGTATACTTTTATGAAAAACAAATTTTTAATATGAAATTTTGTTCTGTGTTTTCAAGTATTTCTCACTCAGAGATGTATTTAACTTAGATAAGTTAGTGTAAAACATAATAGACTTGTAGCCTTTAATCAGACACTGTGTTTATTTTTAAAAATCATTACAGGTAAAGCTTGCATTTCCTTCAACAAGAAGGATTACAGAGGAGCTCTTGCTTACTATAAGAAAGCATTGCGTACTAACCCAGGATGTCCAGGTAAGAGAAAAATTTTATTTTATGTCTAAACTGTGTATTACCCAGCTTAAAGCATTGAGGATTTGTCAGTTGCTTATGAAGTTATGAAAAGATATTGTTGGATTATAGAAATGTCAGAATCAAGTTTTTTTTTTGATGCTATGTTTGAGTCAAAAGCTGGATAGTAAGGCCAGGTGCAATGGCTCATGCCAATAATCCCAGCACTTTGGTAGGCAGAGGCAGGACTACTTGAGCCCAGGAGTTTGAGACCAGCCTGGGCAACGTAGTAAGACCCTGTCTCTACAAAAAATAAAAAAGTTACATGAGCATGGTGGCACACACCTGTGGTCCCAGCTCCTTAGGAGGCTCAGGCTGGAGGATCGCTTGAGTCTGGGAGGTTGAGGCTGCAGTGAGCCATCATTGTGCCATTGCATTCCAGCCTGGGCAACAGAACAAGACCTTGTCTCAAGGGGAAAAAAAAATAGATAGGGTCTGGCTGCACTGGTTCACACCTGTAATCTCAGCACTTTGGGAGGGTGAGGTAGAAGGATTGCTTGAGCCCAGGAATTTGAGACTAGCCTTTGCAACAAAGGGAGACCCCCATCTCTACAGAAAATCAGCCGCACATGGTAGTGCTTGTGGTCGCACCTACACAAGAGGCTAGGCAGGAAGATCACTTGAGCCTAGGCATTTGAGGCTGCAGTGAGCCATGTTCATGCCACGGCACTCCAGCCTGGGCAACAGAGCCAAGACCCTGTCTCAAGAAAAAAAAAGTCTGGATAGTAGATTATAATATAATCTTTTTGCCCTATACTATTTTTCTTTCCAAAATGTCATTCATGTAGCAAATTTTTACTGAGTACCAACTATGTGGCAGGCAGTGTTCTAAACCCTGAGAATGTAGCAATTAACCAAAGAGACAAAAGTTCCTGCCCTCATGGAGTCCAGTTTTCAGTGGGCAAGATAAATAGTAAAGTATGTATGATGTGTAAGCTACCAGTAAGAGCCAAGGAGAAGAATAAAGCAGAAAAAGGGTATGAGAAGCATCAGGAATTGCTTAGAAAGGATGACCAAGGAAACTCATCAGAGATAGTGACATTTGTGTGAAGACCTAAAAAACAACTAGCAGCCATGCAGATATATAGGAGAAGACCACTCCTAGAGAGAGAGCATAGAAGGTACAAAGGTCCAGAGGAAAGAGAGTGCCTGGTAAGTTTAAGGAAGAGTAAGGAGGCCATTGTTTCTGGAATAGAGAGAGAAAGAGTTGGGGGGAAAGTAGTAAGAAATGGGGTCAAAGCTATAACCAGGGACTGACTAATCACGTAGGGCATCACAGATTATTGTAAGGACTTTAGTTTTTACATCGACAGAGATGGGAAGCCATTGGAGGGCCTTGGGCAGCAGAGTGACGTGATCTGACCTATATTTAAAAGGTTCGTTTGAGCTTTGGGGTTGAGACTAGAGTGGGGCTCAAGGGGAGGGGGTCAAGGACAGAAGTAGGGAGAGCAGGGAGAAGGCATCTGCAGACAGGCAGGTCAGAGGTGATTGTGGCTCACACTAGGGAGGTAATAGTGGAGTTGGTACAAGTGGTCAGATTCTACATGTATTTTGAAAGGAGAGCTGATGGAGTACCTATGATGTATAAGACAGAGAGGAAGAGTCAAAGATAACTCCCTTGCACAAGCAATTGGAAAAGTAGAGTTATATTTTACTATATTTGGGAAATAGTTTAAGTGGAACTAGTTTTAGACCTGAAAAGTTTGAAATACCTTTTAGACATATAAGTTGTCAAATTAAGCAGTTCAGCCTTAAAGCTTTTAGAGCTTTATCCTGAGCCTTGAGAAGAATGTGGCTATACAACCTGAGTCACGTGGCATGCAGTTGCAATTTCTGCCTTTTTTTTTCTGTAAACAATTAAGATCAAATGGTGCCAGAAATAAGATCCCCCTCACATGGAGCAATAAAATAATCTTTTTAGAATATAGCAATTTGTAACCAATCAAATTGCTGTGACATAGGCACCTGGTGTTATATTTTAGAATGTTACAATCCTACTAGAACTTCTCTATTTCCCCCAAATAATTAAAACCTTAACTTTTTCACTTTGGAAAATGCTGATATCATTCATTTGGAGTCAGTACTTTTCTGGTGGCCATTCTTACACCTTGCACTCCAATACACTCTATACTTAATCATATTTTCCAAATCCCGTTATTTAAAATTGACAAAGTGAAGACAGCAGAAAGGCTGGAATTCAGGAAAGAGGTCTGGGCTGAAGTCATCAACATATAGATAGTGTATAAAGCTGTGAATGAGTGCAAATAGAAAAGAGGTCTAGAGGTGGAGCCCTAGAGCACTCTGATATTAAGAGATTAGGGAAATGAGGAAGAATCAGCAAAGGAGACTGAGAAGATAATAGCCAGAGGTATAGGAGGAAAATAGGGTAAGTGCATTGTCTTTAAAGGCAAATGTAAAATGTTTCCAGAAGAAGATGATGACCAACAGTGTCAAATTCTGTTGTTAGGTCAAGTAAAATAGGGACACAGAATTGATCATTGGATTTAGCACCATACAAATCCATAGTGACCTTGATAAAAGCAGTTTTACTGGAATGGTGGGGTGAGAGCTTCACTGGAGTGTATTCAAGAGAAAATGGAAGGAAGGGAATTAGACATAGCAAGCGTAGCTAGATCATTCTGGGAGTTTTGCTATTGAAGAACAGACATGATCGACAACTGGAAAGGGATATAGAATCAAGAGAGGATTTGTATAAGATGGCAGAACGTTTATGTGTAGATGAGAATGAATGATCCAGTAGAGAGAAAAAATAGGGGAGGGTTGCTGGAGCAGTATTCTTAAATAGATAAGAGGGCATCTAGTGACCAGTATGGTGATTGGCTTTAGATGGGAACTTGTTTGTGTTTTGGCATGGCCTTAAATGAGGTAGCACATATGAGCATAGCTTTGAAAGGAACAATGGTATGTGCCCATAATCAGTCATATTATTTAAGGTCTTAGTGGAACTTTTGTTCTCTGTTTAAAAATTGTTCTTCAATAATGAGAAATTGAAGGTATGGTTAGCAGCGATGTTAGAAGACAAGAAGAATACCAGTATTATAGGTGTTCTGTTCTATAGTGAGAAATGTGTCAGTGATAGAGGAGAGGGTTGGAATATGGTATGATGTAGCCTCCAAGGAAACCAAGTTTGTGATAGGTCAAAAGATTCTGTAGTGTAGTTATACTGAGGTTAATTTTGGGGATTTTGCAACTCATAAATAGAGAATGTTTAAGCATTTTTGTAATTGAACTCTAAAAAATGCCCTAGTTTGATAGATTGAATGACTTCATTTTATAGCGGAAGTTCGTTTAGGAATGGGTCATTGCTTTGTGAAACTTAACAAACTGGAAAAAGCTCGTCTGGCATTCAGCAGAGCCCTGGAACTCAATTCCAAATGCGTGGGAGCATTGGTTGGACTGGCTGTTCTAGAACTCAACAATAAAGAGGTATGTAAATGAAAAAAGTATCTAGCTCCTAACTGCTTTGTCAGGCCCACAGCCTCTTATCTAAAACTCTTGGAGCCAGATGTGTCTTAGAAATTAAGATTACAGATTACAGAAGGGTACCTGTACTTTGTAATGTATAACACCTAGTTATTGGGGCACTACCCCAAAAGCAAACTTATATTTCTGTGGCAAAATGATAGACTGTTTACACTAGTAGGATAGGGTTACAATTCAGGTAGTATTGCCACCAAATAAGTTTGCTCCAAGATTACCAAAAAAAAAAAAACAGAAAACAAAACTTGTTTTTTAAGGCATTTAGATTTCAGAATCTCAGATAAGGGGTCGTAGACTTGTATATCAGTTTGGAATGCTTTCATTGCACGTAACAAAAAACACATCCCAGTGCCTTAAACATAAGGGCTTTTAGTGTTTACTAAACCAGTTGTCAAAGGTCTCAAATTTGATAGGTCCTTGTCGTCAAACCTATGATTTTATATAATTCCGTCCTCCCTTCCTTAATGTGCAGCCTTTCTTCATCATGTCTGTCACCTTATAGTCACAAGATGGCTGCAGCATCTCCAGCTTCTCATTATTACATCGGTCTTATAAAGAGGGAGGAAAGAGAAAGGATAAAAAGGCTTTCTCTTAGAGAAGCCCTGTCTTATATTGAGAAGGAAGCTCTCCATCATGCTTCCCCTTATGTATAATTGTCCAAAACAGGGATACCTGGGTTTCTCAGCCTCAGTACTATTGATGTTTTGGGCTGGATAATTCTTTGTTGTGGGGAACTGTCCCTTCCATTATAGAATGTTTTAACAGCATCCCGGGCCTCTACCCACTAAATGCCGATAGCGTTCCTCCAATTGTGATAACCAAACATGACTTCATCCCCAGTTGAGAACCACTACCTTAGGCCAGAGGAAAAGATTATCTGGACTGGTGTAGATCAATCATGATTCATCCCCCGGGCCTGGGGAAGGGGGGAAGGGAACTTTCCTTCCTAAACTCAAAAGATTTTCACAGGCTACAAAATCTGGATTCTGTTAGCAGGATGTTACCAACCCAAATGGCTGTTGGGTAATCCACCAGTATCAGTCACACGAAGAAAACAGCTCGGATCAATAAAACCAAAGGTGGTAGAGGCCAGGCATGGTGGCTCTCACCTATAATCCCAACACTTTGGGAGATCAAAGTGGGAGGATTGTTTGAGCCCAGGAGGTCAAGGCTGCAGTGAGCTGTGTTCATGCCAGTGTACTCCATCCTGGGCAACACAGTGAGATCCTGTCTGAAAAAAATAAAAATTAATATAAATAAATAAAAACAAAGGTGGCTCTTTGTGGGAGAAGTAGGGGCAGGGACTAATAAAGTAGATGAGATAAGTCTCAAGCAAGAACTGAACAAGAAAATAAAAAGGGGAAAAAAGTGACACACAAAAAAATTAAGGATTAAAAGAGAGATTTAATTACAAATGCAATATAGATATTTAAAATCATAAGAAGCTTCTAATCCGTTTTAGTGTCTGATCTTAGGATTTATAACTTATTTCTTGTGACTAAAGAAAACTTCTTGAAAAGTGCTAATTTAGTATTGTTTTCACTCCACCTTGTTGCAATGTTTTCTTTTAGGCTGATTCCATTAAAAATGGTGTCCAGCTTCTTTCCAGAGCCTATACTATTGATCCTAGCAACCCTATGGTATTGAACCATTTGGCAAATCACTTTTTCTTCAAAAAGGTAGAAGTCATTTATTTTTAAATTCTGATTTTTGTTTTTCTGTACTGCAATTGATATTTTATTTCTTTTTTAAACTTGGAAAGAAATTTGAAAATGTCAGATTTTTTCCCCCCTCCAAATTATAGAGTTTGTTGTATTAGTTACCTGGGGGTACCTACATTTGTTTATTCATTTATTTGCTTAATATTTATTGACCCCTATATACTGTACCCAACACTGTGGTAGTGATGTGAAGATTAGTAAAACATGGTGTCTGTACTCAAGGAGTTCAATTTCATAGAAAGAGCAGCCATGTAAACAAATGTAAGTGTAAAAATAAAGGTATCTACTCATTTATGGTAGAGAAATGAGGAAGTGGTCAGATGGCTTAGGTGAATTTTCACCAAGGCTGCAGAGCTTTTGAACTAGGTTTTTAGGAAGAGGTCACTAGAGAGTTGAAAAGGGAAAGACACACAAATCTATGAAATAGTGTATAATATACTTATGGTAGGCAATGCTTTGGATTCAGATAGTGGAGCATTTTTGTAATACCAGAATTTGGACATGCTATGTAGGGAACAAGGAGTCACTGACATTTTTATTTTGCATGTTAATCATGTTGTATTTTTTAAGTTGCCACTAATTCTGTAGAAGCAGTGGTATTTTAGGTTTCTTAAAATACTAAATCTACTGGGAGTAGTGGCTCATGCCTGTAATCCCAGCATTTTGAGGGGCCTAGGTGGGAGGATTGCTTGAGCCCAGGAGTTCAGGACCAACACTGGCAACATAGTGAGACCTCATCTCTACAGAAATTTTTAAAAATTAGCTGGACATGGTGGCACATACCTGTAGTCTCAGTTACTCAGAAGGCTGAGGTGGGAGGATCACTTGAGCCTGGGAGGTCGAGGCTGCAGTGGTGAGCCATGATGGCGCCACTGCACTCCAGCCCATGCAACAGAGTGAGACCCTGTCTCAAAAAAAAAAAAAAGTGCGCTTTATGTATTTACTTATGTAATCTTCACAATAATTCTATGATGTAGGTAATCTTATTCCCATTTTGTGGGTGGATAAGTTGAGGAAGAGTTAATAGTCTAAAGTCAGTAATTCACTATGAAAGGGGAGTATGTTTCTACAGCCAGAGAGAGTAAAGCACTGTGGTTAATAGTTATGTGACCTTAGACTAACCACAGTGCTTTACTCTTTCTGGCTGTAGAAACATACTCCCCTTTCATAGTGAATTATTGATTAGGTTATAACTGTTATAGCACTGAAAGGCAACTATTTATGAAGAAGATGGAAATGTATCTTACAGGTAAACGAAGTGTTAGTCTAAGATAAAACAGCTATGCAAGCTAGTCTTATGAATTCACTCAGTTGACTTTCTGATCTTTGTTCAGGATTATAGTAAAGTCCAGCATCTGGCCCTCCATGCATTCCATAATACAGAAGTGGAAGCTATGCAAGCAGAGAGCTGCTATCAGCTAGCTAGATCATTCCATGTTCAGGTAATTTTATAACTTCTCTAAATGTCTAATCTTTTTACTTATAGTGTTTTAAGTCTTTCCAATACTTTTGTACATATTGGTCTTTTTTAATTTTCATTCTTTAGGAAGATTATGACCAAGCTTTTCAGTACTATTATCAAGCCACACAGTTTGCCTCATCCTCTTTTGTGCTCCCATTTTTTGGTTTGGGACAAATGTATATTTATCGAGGTGACAAAGAAAATGCATCTCAGTGCTTTGAGAAGGTTTTGAAAGCTTATCCTAATAATTACGAAACTATGAAAATTCTCGGCTCTCTCTATGCTGCCTCAGAAGATCAAGAAAAACGAGATATTGCCAAGGTACATCTTTTTTTTAAAGTCTTAGCTGTTTTCTGTTAGCTGTCCCAAAACTCCCATTTCTCATTTCCTGTTATTGCTAGTAGAAATATGATAGAAACAGTTTTGTTAGCTGAGCTTGTTCCAGTTTAGATAACAAACAATGGATTTATTAAACAGACTTACATAGCCCCCACTTTTTATTTTGACAACCTATAGATGGAATACTTCAGCTTAACAATCTCTTTTATCCCAGGGCCATTTGAAGAAGGTCACAGAACAGTATCCCGATGATGTTGAAGCTTGGATTGAATTGGCACAAATCTTAGAACAGACTGATATACAGGTATTTTAGTAATGTTTTTTAATCTCTCATATGATGTGTTTTTTGTAAGCCTGGTGTAGTGTCTCTCTTCCACTTACACCTTTTTCTGTCAATCATGAAAATACAGGGTGCCCTTTCAGCCTATGGAACAGCAACACGAATCCTTCAGGAGAAAGTGCAGGCCGATGTTCCTCCAGAGATTCTCAATAATGTGGGTGCCCTCCATTTTAGACTTGGAAACCTAGGGGAGGCTAAGGTAGGAAAATAGAAATATTTCCTTCTTTTATACTGAATCAAGTTGCATGCACACCTTTTTAAAAAGTGTATAAACTAAATCTTTTAACAGTGTGATTTTTCTTTCTCATAGAAATATTTTTTGGCGTCATTGGACCGTGCAAAAGCAGAAGCGGAACACGATGAGCATTACTATAACGCCATTTCCGTTACCACGTCATATAATCTCGCCAGGCTATATGAGGCGATGTGTGAATTCCATGAAGCAGAAAAACTGTATAAAAACATCTTACGCGAACATCCTAATTATGTTGACTGTAAGGATTTTAAACTTCTTTATGTAATGAAATCCGTTCATTCCCACAAGAGCAGCAAAAATTTAGCCTGAAAAAAATTTAGAATTGATAGTAAAAATTGTTTAAGGTTCTAATGTCCCCATTTCTCCAGGGCAAATTTGTGGCCTTAAAACAAAGGTGCAGCTTTACTTACATTTGTGCTAGAAATAAGCAACTAAAACCAATTGGACCGTATTTCAATGACTAGGTTATCTTCAGTGGGTCAGCTACCTTTGTTAGGCTTTTAACAACTCCTTGGCATATCTGATAATGCATTTACCTTTGAAACATCCTTCTTTGATTTCATATGAACATTCTTACAATGTTTATAATAGTGAGGAAGAAAAGTGCTTTTCCTTTAAACAATTATTGCTAAAATGTCCTAATTTGAGTTTCGCAACCTATACGTTATAAAATAAGGAAAGTTTTTAATTAAAAAATAATTTAGGCCTGGCATGGTGGCTCATGCCTGGAATCCCAGTACTTTGGGAGGCCACTGCAGCGGGATCGCTTGAGTCCAGGAGTTCAAGACCAACCTAAACAACCCCAGTAGCAAGACCCCATCTTTATATTTTAAATAATAATAATATACATAGTGTACTTAATTTTATTTGTGTGTATGAGGGTTTTTTTGTTTGTTTTTGTACTTTCTTTAAAAAGAACCTAAAGCATGATGTTTTGACTCTAGTAAATCAGGAGGTTTTTTGTTTTTTTGTTTTGTTTTGTTTTTAAGATGGAGTCTTGCTCTGTCACCCAGGCTGGAGTGCAGTGGCACAATCTCGGCTCACTGCAACCTCTGCCTCCCGGGTTGGAGTGATTCTCCTGCCTCAGCCTCCCGAGTAATTGGGATTACAGGGGCCCACGACTACGTCCGACTAATTTTTGTGTTTTTAGTAGAGGTGGGGTTTTGCTACGTTGGTCAGACTGGTCTAGAACTCCTGACTTCAGGTGATCCATCCACCATGGCCTCCCAAAGTGCTGGGATTATAGGCGTGAGCCACCGTGCCCGGCATATCAGGAGCTATTAACTTGGTGCCTATCATGCTGTTATGGATGCAAAAGTGATTTAAAATAAGCAAGATTTCAGTTGAATGCCAGACTGAATTTGAATTGATTTGATAGGCAGTAGTGAACCATTATTGGTTTCCTGAGAGAAGTGACATTTCCTAGAGAAAACAACAACTTACATTTGTGTAGCACTTCACTATTAATTAATGGAAGAACCCCAGTTAGAGCCCAGATCTTCTAAGTAGTAATACCTATTCATCAGACTTTCACTGTTTTGCCGTATTACAAGCAGCTTTTTTTAAAAAAAGGTAACTGACAATGGTGTGCATTGGAGAGAAATTAGAAACAGGCCGGTTCCAAGCTTTTAAAATAACTTAGCTTGAGATAAGGACTTGGACCAGGGAACTAGCATTGGGAGTGGAGTGGCAGAGGTAAGTCTTAGATTTCAAACAGTAAGTCTAGATGGTGACAAAATTATTCTTTAACTTGTTGGATGGATGATTGATATTTTTTCACCTTTGGGACTTTTCTGTTCCTTTTATGGCGGTATTAATGAAAAAAAATTGTTTCAAAAGTATGACTTTAAAATTATGATCCTTTATAGCTAATATTTGGGATATAAAAACTTTTAAATATGTTTTCAGGCTATTTGCGCCTAGGAGCCATGGCTAGAGATAAGGGAAACTTTTATGAGGCTTCAGATTGGTTTAAGGAAGCTCTTCAGATTAATCAGGTTGGTAATATTAACTCTTAGGTTTGAGAAATAATTATTTTCACTTTTCCTTCCCCATAAATCAGTTTTTCCTTTTAATGGCTACATCTTCCTGGTTTTGTCATTTTTTGTTTTGTTTTCATTTACTTGTTAGATACTAAAAATGTACTAGGTTGCATTATTAATCATGTTATAAATAGGGACCATGTTTTTTTATGTAAATCTTTCCTATTGTCTTCCTTTTTCCTTCTTCCCTTCCCCCATCCCATCCTTTCACTCCACTTCAACAAATGTGACCTGACTCCTGTGTTTTTTACTCTCACTAGTTTACTTCACTTTCAGTTTAGTTAGTACCATATGAGAGAACTTTATAGCATAGTATCTTAGGATTTTGTATGGAACCATAGCTATGGTCATCTAAACGTTTTGAGGGCCCACAAAAAGAAATAGATTTCACATCATAGCCTAGTACACACAAATGTATATATAGACAAACAACTGAAATGAAAGTTTCACAAATCATTATTTGCTTTTGCCAATGGGCGATACACTGATATTTTTACTTTATTCCATTCTGTTGCATTTACTATGCAGATAACTAAAGACTAACTAAATGGATTTTACAACTTACTAATGGGTATCAACTCAGTTTGAAAACCACTCATGTGGGGGTCTACAACAAGAAGTGTATATTTTCAAACAATTTTTTAATGATTTAACAATTTTTGTAAATCATTTTCAGGCTTCTGCAGCTGTAGATTCTCACTGTGAATCCCATGCTTGCTCATGCCTAAGGGTATTTGCAATACCAAATATAGTTTAGTATTTTTGCCTGTTAGTGATGGTTCCACGTTTGTAACGTTTTGGTTGAGATTTTAAATGGTGGACAAGTACTGTGGATGTGAATGTGGGGAACTAATTTTAATCATATGTAATTGGTCACAAGGCCTAATTTGCAGTAACTATTGCTGTTTTATTTAACAGTGCCTTGTTGCTTTGTATGCATTTATGTCTGGATGTAAAGATTGTGTGTCTATCCAACAGGGAGCCACAGTATTTAAATTGACCAACCTAATGTTACAACTACTTTGAGGTGGCCAAATGTAAACTGAAAGCATTAATTAAAGTGGTGCAATTTTGTATAACTTAGCTTTAGCATTAGTAGTTCGATAAATTTGGATTGCCATGCAAAAAAAAAAAGAAAGAAAGAAAAGAAAGAAAACCACTGTTGTAATATAGTTTGTAAACCTCTTCAGTAATCAGCTATTGTGGGAAGATGATTGATCTCTGTCAAACTAAACTGCAGATTTTCCTTCTTCATGTATGTATGTTTCAGGATCATCCAGATGCTTGGTCTTTGATTGGCAATCTTCATTTGGCAAAACAAGAATGGGGTCCTGGGCAGAAGAAGTTTGAGAGGATATTAAAACAGCCATCCACACAGAGTGATACCTATTCTATGCTAGCCCTTGGCAACGTGTGGCTCCAAACTTTACATCAGCCCACCCGAGATCGAGAAAAGGTAATCTCTTTTTGTCCTTTTAAACAAAACTGATACTCTACATTCTCGTTTGAATCTTTTTTAAGAGCACTTGTTTCTATAGGAAAAGCGTCATCAAGATCGTGCTCTGGCCATCTACAAACAAGTACTCAGAAATGATGCAAAGAATCTGTATGCTGCCAATGGCATAGGTGATTATAAGACTTGAGTACCCATAACAATTTGTTTCAAATGAATACTTTCAGAGGAATGTTTGTAAATCAGAATTTTTCTTAAAATGTGATCAATGTAGTTGTTTTAAAATAGAATTTTTAGTTGTTTTTCTGACTCCAATTAGAAAATTGTTAAGTGTGAACCTTTTTATATCTTTAGGAGCTGTTTTGGCCCACAAAGGATATTTTCGTGAAGCTCGTGATGTATTTGCCCAAGTAAGAGAAGCAACAGCAGATATTAGTGATGTGTGGCTGAACTTAGCACACATCTATGTGGAGCAAAAGCAGTACATCAGCGCCGTTCAGATGGTAATAGCTTCTCTTTCAAGATATTTTTATATCTTGTTCATTGTTAAGCAGATGTTTTCTTAGCCATTCTGGCCCTGTCATGGAGCTGCATGCTATCTCTTGTGATACTGTGTCTATTTAGAGATTTATAATTATATAATGCTAAGGCCAGGCTTTGGTATCCAGACAGAGATGTGAGTCCTGGTTCCACCACTAATTACATGCCTCAGGCAAAGGACATCCTTTCTGAGCCAGTTTTCCTATCTATAAAATGGAGATAATTGTACCTTAACTTCATAGAATTTTGTGAGGATCCCGTATGAAAACTACTTGGCACTAGCATGCCTAGCATATTAGTAATACCCAGTAAGTAGTAGGATTGAATATTTATTTGTGTATTCAGTTTCTGAAACTGAACTGTGAGTTTTAGAAAGGTTAAATGACTTATTTAAAAGAAAACAGGCCAGGCATGGTGGCTTACTCCTGTAATCCCAGCACTTTGGGAGGCTGAGGCGGCTGAGGCGGATGGATCACGAGGTCAGGAGTTCGAGACCAGCCTGGCCAACATGGTGAAACCCTGTCTCTACTAAAAATACAAAAATTAGCTGGGCATGGTAGCACGTGCCTGTAATCCCAGCTTACTCAGGAAGCTGAAACAGGAGAATTGCTTGAACCTGGGAGGCAGAGGTTGCAGTAAGCCAAGATCCTGCCACTGCACTCTAGCCTGGGCGACAAAGCCAGACTCTGTCTCGGGAAAAAAAAGAAAAAAGAAAACAAAACAGCGATAAGATTTAATGACTGTAGAATTTTTTTATGCTTACATTTGTTGAGTGCTTGAGCTCGAAATAAAAGTCATACTCAGCATCCATAAAATTAAAAAGTAAAAAGGATCTTCGGCTCTGTGGGATATATTATGGTCAGAAAGGAAAAGCTTACAAAAAGTAGACAAAAAGAGCAGTCCAGGCTCCTGAGAAGTGGTTTACCTTTTTCTAAAATGGGTGGGTTATTACCAATATTCAGAGTACTGGAAAGTCAATAATCACAGAAACTCACAGAACCTAGATTGCATATGGAGCTTCAGAGGTTGTGTTTTGTGAGGCTGGCCTTCCTGATCTGCTGAATGATAATGTTGTCTTTTATAAATGCAAATTAACTACTAGGGATATTCAGGAAAAAATGGTCTTAACCATTTTTCATGAAAAAGGTCTTACCTATGACAAGAGGTATTCCATGGTCAAAAAGTGCTATGTTCATGTCACAATTAACACTAGTATTGTATTGGTTTTACCAAGAAGTTAACAACCAGAACTGTAAGACTCCTCATGCTCATTGCCAGTAGGTTCTGCCCATTGTTAAGAAAGGTGTAGATGGTAAAACGCAAAGGACAACGGTGTATGACTTCTCATCAGTGGTCAATAAGCTGATTCTAGATAGTATTGCTAAAAGTATGAAAAAGGCTTTCCAGTCTGTTTACCCTTTCTTTCAATGTTGGTCCAAATTTCAAATGGAAAGAAACCATTTCAAGCATCTAGTTTTTCTAATGGTCAGATTTTTTATGTTGTGAAAATGTATCCTGATGAATGTCAAAAATCATTCCCCAAATTATTCTCTGAAATTAACCATTCAAAGGGTAAAACACCTTTTTACAGAGCTTTAAAATTGCAATGCCATTTTGCTACAAAATGAAAATGTCATTTATTCTTTGTTGTGTTTTAATTAACTTTTTTCTTTTACTGTAGTATGAAAACTGCCTCCGAAAGTTCTATAAGCACCAAAACACTGAAGTTGTACTCTATTTGGCCCGGGCCCTCTTCAAGTGTGGCAAGTTACAGGAATGCAAACAGACTTTGCTGAAGGTAAAAAGGAGAGATGTTATTCCCATCCATTTCTGTGCTACATTGTATTTTTTAATTCTTCGTGATGCGTGTTCACATACCTACTACTTAATAATACTCTGCTGTCTAAGATCCTTTTCATGTCATTTGAACATATGAAATATTTATTTTTTATTCACAGGCTAGACATGTGGCACCCAGTGATACAGTTCTTATGTTTAATGTGGCCTTGGTCCTGCAAAGATTAGCTACCTCTGTCCTGAAAGATGAAAAAAGTAATCTGAAGGAAGTACTTAATGCTGTGAAAGAACTGGAGCTTGCACATAGGTAAAGATTTTGTAGAAACAACCTATGAAATGCTTTATTTGGTCTATGACCATACCATCTTGAACTCTCCCGATTTTGTCTGAAATGCTTTGTTTAAAGCTATTTGTCTCAAGCTGCTGAAAATCACTTCCTTCTAAAGGTGGTCTATTAGAATCATTCCAGCAATAGTTAAGCCAAAGCAGATAGCAGCTGCCACCAGGTGGTGCCAAACTATAGTCAGGATCCTGCCAGATTTGGATCTTGTAGCTTGACCTCTAGAACTGGCTGGCTAGCTTTGCAAACTTGCCATAGATTTTTTATTAATCTGACAGTAATGTGACCCAGCATTTTACACATGTGAAATTTTTTGGACACTTACGTTGGTCTTCCATTTTACACCAATGTGTCTTTTAATGGGATGTTGATTTTCATTGAACTAGGATTAAGGTTTTACTTCTTAAATAATGCTTAATAGTTTTATTCAGTTCAGCTCAAAATTTATTTAGCCATATAGTATTTATATGGTGAGTCAGTGTGTGGTGAAATTAAAACCTGTCATCTCTTCAGGTTTTGTCCAACTTAATATTTTTATTCTTGTTTAACAATTCTTGCCTTGCCTGGTAAATTATAAGTGCTTTCATGGCCTGAGCCCCGTAACCTCCATCCTGACATATTTAGTAAATTTCATGTTTAGTAAATACTTGTTGCTTGAATTGCTTTGTGGTTATTTGTGAATTTACTGATAATATTAAATATAACTTAGACCATCTTGATGAACGTGTCTATTAAATGTAATGAGTGGCATAAATTTGTGTAAATCAGTCAATATGCAAACCTTTTCTCAGACTTTGTAGCACAGATTAAATTTTTTAAGAGCTTTATTTCATTAGAATCTCTTTTTTTAAAAGTGAAGTATTTTCTCGTTTCATTTAGATACTTCAGTTATTTGAGTAAAGTGGGAGATAAAATGAGATTTGATTTGGCCCTTGCTGCTACAGAAGCCAGGTAATGTTACTATTTATGGAAGGTGACTTTGGGTGAGGCAGTGATATTTACATGGGCTGGGAAAGTGCCACAGTAGGGAACAGAGGTTCCTGACCTTCCACAGGTCAGTCTTTCACACTTCTCTTGGGGACTCTCTAATCTTTGCCAGGACTTTTTCCTTTCAGGGAATTGGACAAAATTGCCTTAGTACAAGTACTTGAGTTCTGGGGGAAAATACTTTTCTATTTTACTTATGTCAGCTATGTCAGCCTAGTCAAGATAAAATTCATGACTCTGAGTTATATGTAAAGATAATGTTGGAAATCTTTTTAGCTGTGCTTTGAGAGGACATTTATAGTTTGGAAACTTAACATAGTTGGCAGTATTGGCTTATGATAAACTAAGTTAATTTTGCTAATTAAGACTCCATACATTGGTATGGTATGGCAAGTGTAATGCAAAAAAAAAAATTTTTTTTGGCTGGGCGCAGTGGCTCACACCTGTAATCCTGGCACTTTTGGAGGCCTAGGTGGGCGGATCAGCTGAGGTCAGGAGTTCAAGAGCAGCCTGACCAACATGGAGAAACTCCGTCTCTACTAAAAATACAAAATTAGCCAGGTATGGTGGTGCACACCTGTAATCCCAGCTACTCGGGAGGCTGAGGCAGGATAATCACTTAAACCCGGAGGCGGAGGTTGCGGTGAGCCGAGATGGCACCATTACACTCTAACCTAGGCAACAAGAGCAAAACTCTGTCTCTTAAACAAAAAAGGAAGAAAAAAAACATTTTTTTAAAAAAAGACTTCACATAGATCAGCTAATGGTCCTGCTTCAGATTTTTTAATTTGTATAAGGAAAATAGATGTGCTGAGTTTTTTAATATAGTAGTTACATTCATGTTTCTCTAAACCTGAAATGTTCTAGGCAGTGTTCTGACTTACTGAGCCAGGCCCAGTACCATGTGGCCCGGGCACGCAAACAAGATGAAGAAGAGCGGGAGCTGCGGGCCAAGCAAGAGCAAGAAAAGGAGCTGTTAAGGCAGAAACTTCTTAAAGAACAGGTATCTTGTATTTTCCAGTTATACTGGAATTAATGAATTGTGTGCATGCATACACTTTGTATGTTTAAAAAAAAAAGTCCTCTGCCAGGCGTGGTGGCTGACACCTCTAATTCCAACACTTTGGGAGGATGAGGTGGGTGGAGGGCGGATCACTTGAGGTCAGGAGTTCGAGACCAGCCTGGCCAACATGGTGGAACCCCGTCTCTACTAAAAATACAAAAATTAGCCAGGAGTGGTGGCATGCACCTGTAATCCCAGCTACTCGGGGAGCTGAGGCAGGAGAATCACTTGAACCTGGGAGGCCAAGGTTGTAGTGAGCCGAGATTGCACCACTGTACTCCAGTCTAGGCAACAGAGTGAGACTCCATCTCAAAAGAAAAAAAAAAATCCTCTGCTTAGGATGGTAGCCATTAATTTTTCATCATAAGAAAATTTGCAGTGGGGTTTCTTTTCTACCATTTTTCCTCATAGGAAGAGAAACGTCTCAGAGAAAAGGAAGAGCAAAAGAAACTTTTGGAACAGCGGGCCCAGTATGTGGAGAAGACCAAAAATATTCTTATGTTTACTGGTGAGACTGAAGCAACAAAAGAGAAGAAAAGAGGTGGTGGTGGTGGACGGGTAAGATATAATTCCTGCTAGCACAAGTGACCTCATTCTCTGTCTTTTGGCTTTGAGAAATGAGGATAATTGGTTAAATTCCTTCTGTACTTACTAGTTTTGACTTCCTCTTTTGTTAAGAGACAGTCTTCTAACACAGAGAATGATTTAAATGGTATCCAGTATTTAGCAATGCATTCCAAGGTTTGCTAAGTGTATTTTACCTTGTAGTTATCTTTTAAATAGTTGATTTTTGCAGTTTTAACCAGTTGAGACTTTCGTCTCAATTAGAAGTCTAATTGGGCCTAGCCAAGAACCTCTTCCACGTGGCTTAGTAAAAGATCCTTCATTTGGGCCGGGCACAGTGGCTCATGCTTATAATCCTAGCACTTTGGGAGGCCGAGGTGGGCAGATCACTTGAGGTCAGGAGTCTGAGACCAGTTTGGCCAACATGGTCCATGTCTCTACTAAAAAGTACAGAAATTAGCCAGGTGTAGTGATGCATGCCTGTAGTCCCAGCTACTTGGGAGGCTGAGGCACGAGAATCACTTGAACCCAAGAGGCAGAGGTTGCAGTGAGCCGAGATTGCCCCACTGCACTCTCGCCTGGGCAAAAGAGTGAGACTTCATCTCAAAAAAAAAAAAAAAAAAATCCTTCATTGTCAAATGACAATGGATATGGCCCCTTTCTGTACCTTAGCATTCTAACCACATTCCACCAACCAGGAAATAACTGACTATAGTGTTGTTTGGATTTTAGCGTTCTAAGAAGGGAGGAGAGTTTGATGAATTTGTCAATGATGACACTGATGATGACCTACCTATATCCAAAAAGAAGAAGAGAAGAAAGGGTAGTGGCAGTGAACAAGAAGGTGAAGATGAGGAGGGTGGTGAGAGAAAGAAGAAAAAGAGGAGAAGGTAATGTCATCATTAATGTGCTTTAAGTAACCTCATAAAAGTGGTGAAAGACCTTTTACCTTCTGAATCTTTTGATGTTTAGAATTGATGAACACTTGATCCAAACAGTGAAGCTTTTTGTGCCCCCACTTCCTACTTTAATCCTAAGATAGACCCCAGTACAAAATCCACTGAGTACCTGGGATTTCCATACGTCTCCACAGCTTTCCTTCTAAGCGCTGCAAGTTAGTCATAATTGCCTTTCTTGTGTCTCTAAATATTTATTGGAAAACATGTGATTTAGAATAAGACCTGGATTGTGTCCACACTAACTGTGCATGTGCAATCTTGGAAAAATCACTAAGCCTCAGTTTCCTCTCTGTCGTTGGTAACAGCAATGCCTACCTCATGGTTTTTGCTCAATGCATAAGATGTGAATGTGTGTAAAAGTGCCTTTAAAACCACCCAGTGTTCTCTGCTGTTAAGATCAAGGATGCCCTACCCATTTCTCATGCGGAGGTGCCTCCTAAGCTACTTTGGCCCTCTCTTGTTGTGCTATCCTGTCCCCAGGAACCTCCATTCAGTTATCTTACCTAGACTGCCCTTCCCAACCCTTGGCCGACTATATTTGGGAAAGAACCTGCTACTACATTAAGACACAGACTTGTGGAATTGAAGCTGTGGTGAGGATATTAGTAGCAGCCCTGGAATCAATAGTTGGGAAAGAAGGAAGAGGAAGGGAAAGACGTTGAAGTCTGGAGCCTGGGTCTTTTCTCATCTTCTCTGTCACTCTACCAAGTGCAAGATTCAAATGCAAATTAATGAGAGCTCAGCAGTGACTAATCAGCAGACATTGCATAAATACATAGTTTTTACATTTCTGAGCCACGTGCAGCAAGAGTAAGTTATGTCCCCTGCCCTTGAGGAGTGTACAGTATGATTGAGGACAGCACCCATATAGAAGAGGATTCAGAATGAATAATAATTTAATGGCAAAGTAGTCTGGAACTTTATAGGTAGGCTCTTGACAAACTCTCTCTTGGTGTTCACTATTTAAGACATCCAAAGGGAGAAGAAGGATCTGATGATGATGAAACAGAAAATGGCCCCAAACCAAAAAAACGACGTCCACCAAAAGCAGAGAAGAAAAAGGCTGTAAGTTTATAGTACTGTGTTTTTCTGTCCCCTAGTAGATGTGAAAGATTGCAGTACACTAGAATACATTCTTTCCTTGCAGCTTTCTCAAGCACAAATGCTTGTTTTCAAAGTTCATCAGTGGCTGTTTGATTGTATCATTGTAATGCAAACCCAATTTAACAAGATGGCCTAATGTAAGAGTCTTGACTAATCTATTATGTTTGACATTCTTTAGCCCAAGCCAGAACGTCTGCCTCCATCAATGAAGGGAAAAATAAAATCCAAAGCCATAATTTCATCAAGTGATGACTCTTCGGATGAGGATAAACTTAAAATTGCTGATGAAGGGTAGGATATTTTCTCTTTGTAAATTCTTCTCATGATGTAGATAAATCAAAAGTGATTACTAATCAGCCTGTCTGTACTAAGAAAAATATACTTTTCTTTCTTTTTCTTTATAAATAATAAGAGGGGTGGGGACAGACTTGAAAATTGGAGGAAATAGATAACTGGGAGTGTTGCTGTGCCGAAATGGCTTCTCCCCAGCTTCTTAGAATCTGAGAGCTGGAAGAAACTTGACCCTGTCATTTTGTCCTACTACATCTTTTCTCTCAAATAAGAAAAGCTTTTTTGAAGTCTCATTTCTTCATGGATGTTAGCTGAAATTTCCTAGATGACATCCTTCTAAATGAAATGTATCATTTTGCTGCCCTACTGTTGACACACTAAAAGTGTTACAGATAGCCAGGTCCTGGTCATATGGAGATAGGCTATTTCTTTTTATTATTTATTTATTTATTTATCTATTTATCTATTTTTGAGACGGAGTTTCGCTCTTGTTGCCCAGGCTGGAGTGCAATGGCAATCTTGGCTTACCGCAACCTCCACCTTCCGGGTTCAAGCGATTCTCCTGCCTCAGTCTCCCAAGTAGCTGGGATTACAGGCATGTGCCACCATGCCCAGCTAATTTTGTATTTTTAGTAGAGACGGGGTTTCTCCGTGTTGAGAGAGGCTATTTCTTGACTGTTTTCTCCCCCGTTGTGCGGTGGTAAGTCAACAGTACCTGCTCCGTGGAGGACTTATCCTAGACTCCTTCCACAAGACTCCTTTAGTTCATGGCCCACCCAGTGAAGCAATACTTGATTTTATTTGTCCTAAACTTGCTCCTCAAGCTCAAGTTGTCCCCCATTTGGATTTCTCAACCAGGTCTCTTAATACTGTACTACACTGTGTTCTTCTGTAGCCATCATTTTCATTTATTCATTCAACAGACATTTGAACATCGAGTGTGTGAGACAGTGTAAGTGCTGGGAATACAGAGAGAAAAGATAGGCCCATAAATTCTCCAAGGAATTTCTGCTTCAGAGGCAGTGGAAAAGAACAGATAAACCAAAACCATGTTGTAGGCTGGGCGCAGTGGCTCACACCTGTAATCCCAGCACTTTGAGAGGCCAACGTGGGCGGATCACTTGAGGCCAGGAGTTTGAGACCAGCCTGGCTAACATGGCAAAACCCCATCCCTACTAAAAATACAAAAATTAACCAGGCATGGTGGCGTGTGCCTGTAATCCCAGCTACTAGGGAGGCTGAGGGACAAGAATCACTTGAAACGAGGAGGCAGAGGTTGAAGTGAGCTGAGATGGTACCACTGCACTCCAGTCTGGGCAACAGAATGAGACTCTTGTGAAAAAAAAAAAAAAAAAAAAAAAAAGCTCACATTATAGTTGGATTAATGTATCATGTAAATTTGCATTATTGTTCTCCAGGAACCATACCTAGTCTTGAGTTTGGGTGGTGGTAGGAGTTGTAAGAGATGTTTTTTTCTAAAAGAAAGGGTGTTTGAGTTGAGTCTTAGAAGAATTGGGATTCCTGAGGCAGAGGTTAGCATGTTGAGGAGGCTAAGGCTTCTGGTGGGGATTGGACTCATAGGGAGGTAATCTATAAAGAACCAGATTTGCAGTTCTGGCCAGGTGAGGTGGCTCACGCCTATAATCCCAGCACTTTGGGAGGCTGAGGCAGGAGGATCACTTGAGGCCAGAAGTTTGAGACTAGCCTGGGCAGCACAGTGAGACTAGCCTGGGCAGCAAGTGAGACAGAAATTTTATAAAAGCAAAATAAACAAACAAAAAAAGATTTGCAGTTCCCTTTTCCTCTGAAGGCACCGGCTGACACATCTGGATTGTTTTTCCGTAAAGCACTGTTTAGCCCTTGTCCCCATAGTGTTACCCAGGTCTGTTTAGAGACATGCATGATCAGTGTAATGAAATACGTGGTTTTCAAAGACTGAGCACTATTAAATGTGTTGGCAGAAAGGTCCATTGTGAGAGGCTGAGCTGCTGCCAAATCTGTACCTGAGGTCAAGGCCAAGTTTGTTTGAGCCACTTGCATCAGTTAAGCTTTGTCCTGACCATCATAAAGTGTGTTTGCTTATTTGGCAAGATGGAATGGAGTGAATTGGATCCCAGGGAAGACCCACAGGTCTTTAATATGTATACAGAAAGAGAGTAATATATTTCACCTCCCTCACCGTTCCTAGACCGAACTCTGTGGGATTCAGTATTCCTTTATTGGAATATCTGTCATGAAAACCAGAACTAAGGAACGTGCCAGAGAAGTGTGCCTGCTCCAAAGGAGCGGTCACCGTGGTTAAGGGAATGTTCTTTCCTCAGAGCCTCCAGGAAGCCAAGACTCTGAGGGTGCTGCCACCATTCTAAGCATAAGCATGACTTCCCCTTTCCTTTCACTTATCAACTGACAAGTAGAGGGGAGAGCTTGGGAGCAAAGGGAAATAAACCAAAGGGCCCCTTTAGCCCCAGTTCCCTATCTTGAGCAAGTCTGGTCATGGTGGAGGGGACCTAGTGCAGTAGCAAATCTTAGGACAGGAATAATGACCTCACTCTTCAGGTACCTGTTAGCACCGATGGCAATAGGACAGGGAAATGTCCTTTGAAACCCTTTTCTGCCTTTGGAAAAGGGTTAATTCTTCAAAGTCTTCAAGCCAGTTGAGATCCTGGATTTCACCTTTGTTGCTGTTAATTTGTGTACAGAGATAAACAAATGTATCCCTTCCTTTTCATAATTTTATATATGAAATTGGGAAATGCTTCATTCTGATGAAAAGTGTCCAGTGAGTCACCATCCCTGTTTATATTTTGACTTATAGCTAAAGTGCCTTATCTTTTTTTCCTTTTTAAACCTTTTTGAGTTGTGAAATATATCACATTTACAGAATAGTACACAAAACAAGTATCACAGAATGATACCTGTGTAACCACTATTTAGGTCAAGAAATAGAATATTAAATGCCCTTCTGTTTTAAAAGCACATTGTCTGCTCATCAAGGCCCCAGTTAGCCAGAATCCTCAGCTTCTAACCAATGATCATCTTTGCCAGACATCCCAGGAACAGCAACAGCAACAGTGACTCAGACGAGGACGAACAACGAAAGAAATGTGCCTCATCAGAGAGTGATTCCGATGAGAACCAGAACAAGTCTGGCAGCGAGGCCGGCAGTCCCCGGAGGCCACGAAGACAGCGGTCAGATCAGGACTCAGACAGTGACCAGCCATCCAGAAAGAGAAGGCCCTCCGGTTCTGAGCAGTCTGACAATGAATCTGTGCAGTCAGGGAGAAGCCACTCAGGAGTTTCTGAGAACGACTCTCGCCCAGCTTCTCCAAGTGCCGAATCAGATCACGAATCGGAGAGAGGATCTGATAATGAGGGTTCTGGCCAAGGCTCTGGAAATGAATCGGAACCAGAGGGATCCAACAATGAGGCCTCAGATAGAGGCTCAGAACATGGGTCAGATGATAGTGACTAGGTTTTATTTCATCAATAAGCTTCATCTCTGGAGGAAACTTTTTTAATATATGAAAGCTGTGATAAAAATGTTTCAGATGTTTAGTCAATTGTGAAATTTTTCTTAAGGCAATTTTCTTTTCTATCAGTTTGTATATTACTAAGCCCCAAGAGACATTTCCTGTGCTAGAGTCCAATATTTGAGTCTCTCGTGCAAATGAGACTATTCTTTGTGGTACAATTCCACCTATCATATGTGAAAACTGCAGTAAAAATAAACCCAGATGCTAAATCATTCCTACAAAGGTTTGACTGAAACTGTGGCAGATGTCTCATCTTCTTTATATGTTAAGCAGCATACTCTTCTGATTTTTATTGCAATCTTTTACCAAGTGGTGCACAAACTTGGTATTGATGTCTTTATTCCATTTTGAGTTTAGATTGAGAATATTTTTATTTTCTGAAGGCAGAGATATCTACTGTATAATTGCACCAAAGTACATTTGAAAGGAAGGTTTTCAATAGTGTAATACTGCAGCGATGTAGATAAAATCACAAATGTATAATGTGTTAGGTTGAATAAGGTGTGGAAAATGCTTTTCTGTTAGTAGAATGCAAAAACCTACCTAAGCCACATAATAATAAAATTCTTTTACCAACTTTTATGGGTAACTTCGTGTCTTTTTTTGTTCGATATATTTGTGCATGGCAGTGTAGCATAAATTATGCAAATATTTGAAAAATCCTACATTAAGCCTCAAGACTTTTATAATTCTTACAGATTCGTGGAGTGTTTATTTTAAAGATGCAAGAAAACTAAGGTACCAGCATGTATTTTTATTTTCAGTAATTCAGTAATTAACACTAATATTTTTATGTAGTGGTTTGTAAGAGCTTTAATTATTGTAGTCAACAAGTATTATTAAATGTGCTATATTAGCCATTGAGGTGAGAATGCAGAGATAAAGTTCCCTTCTTGTCTTCAAAAATTGAGTAAAGATAAATTTGTTGTTCCTGTGGTGTGAGAAATAGGGTGATGATGTTTGCACAGGTTGTGGGAGCAAAAAGGAGGTTGGAAGAAGCAGTGAAGACAAGGTTTCTTGAAGGACAGGAGTCCTGAGATGACTCAGCCTGAGCCAGGGCTCCTGCCTATACCTCAGGATCAGCCTCCCATTTCTTAGTGGAGTTGGTGTCAGCAGGAACAGGCAGCATAGATAATGGGCCTAGTGCAGTGGCTCGTGCCTGTAATCCCAACATTTTGGGAGGCTAAGGCAGGAGGATCGCTTGAGGCCAGGAGTTTGAGACCCTCCCTGAGCAACCTAGCAAGGCCCCATCTCTACAGAAAAATTTAAAAATTAGCCAGGCGCCGTGGTACACACCTATAGTCCCAGCTACTTGGGAGGCTGAGGCAAGAGGACTGCTTGAGCCAAGGAGCTCTAGGTTACAGTGAGCCGTGATTGTACCACTGCACTCCAGCCTGGGCAACAGAGCTGAGAGCAGAGATACTGGAACCCAGGAGTCCAGGACTGGAATCTCACTTCATGACCCTAACCAACCATGTGACTTTGGGCAAGTTACTTCCCCTATATAGGCCACGTGCCTCATCTAAATCAAACCATTTCTCCACTGTTAATCTTTGAAAGCCTCAATTCAATGTCACAATTAGAGAATAAGACTTGCATTGTCTTTGATGTTCATTTGGAACTAGACCAAGCACCACAACCATAAAATTAGAGCTATTTAATTAAAAAATAAATTTTGTTGAAATTTACACAAGAAAAACCATTCTGAATCTGAAGCTTTAAACCCCTTCCCCACTGAAATTACTTAACAGTCTTTTTAAGCAGACTATCCCGTTATAGCAAGACTATATACCCAACTCAGGAATGTTGTGAGGATGATGAGTTAAGGTAGGTTAAGTGATGAATGCATTGTAAATTCCCAATAAAATTATGCATGTGATTGAATTGGCTCTGAATGTTTGGCACTGTTCTTCAAGCTTGGCTCGTTTAACCTAAGTGGGGACTAGGTCAGTTACTCTTTCACAGGTCATCCTTTAAAAAATTCTTCCTAGTTCCCTTTGAGAAAAATATTTTGAATCTCCAGGAAATGTGACTTTCCTGGAGCTTTTAAAGTATCCCTTGTTTTGGTTCCACTAATGAACAATTTCCATCCCTGGGAGTGTCATTAGCCAAAAGAGGCAAGAAAGACCTTTTAAAGGATAATAATATCATCTCGAACTGGAATTTGGAGCCTATGATCAGTGCAACTTTTGTCGTAGGGGTAGTTTCTGATGCTCTGGTCTTTTGGGTATGCTAGGAAGTATGGGTTGGTGGCAATGCTTCCTGTAATGGCATTATGGGCCCAGGAAAGGGTATATGCTACAGGCAAATCAAATGCGTCTAGACCTCAGTGTATCCTCCGATTTGGGGCCGGGCAAATCAGACTGCAGCTAGAGTCAGAGATTCTCACTTTGGATCAGCCTCTAATGATAGGAAGGCTGCCCTGGCTCCTAGTTTGACTCTGACACTCGATGTGACAAAATGCTTCACTTTTCAGCCTCAGTATCCCTATCTATAAAATAAGGTTGTTTATGATCCTTTTAACATTCTGGGGGCTTTCTAGATTATTTTATTCATTTATTTATTTATGTATTTATTTTTGAGACGGAGTCTTGCTCTGATGCCCAGGCTGGAGTTGAGTGGTATGAGCTTGGCTCACTGCAACCTCCACCTAACTGGGTTCAAGCCATTCTCCTGCCTCAGCCTCCCGAGTAGCTGGGATTACAGGCGCTGGTCACCATACCTGGCTAATTTCTGTATTTTTAGTAGAGACAGGGTTTCTCCATGCAGGCCAGGCCGGTTTTGAACTCCTGACCTCAGGCGATCCGCCCAGCTCGGCCTCACAAAGTGCCGGGATTGCAGACGTGAGCCACCGTGCCCAGCCAAAATGATTTTAAATACAGTGTCTCTACCTCAACTGCATTTTTAACTTGAGGTGTTTCTAGTAATTGAAAATCTTGTCTGCTATTTTAAGCCTAATTTCTTATAGATACAGATATATTTGCTTACGAAATATATTTATTTGGGCCAGGTGTGGTGGCTCGTGCCAGTAATCCTAGCACTTTGGGAGGCTGAGGTAGGAGGATTACTCGAGGCCAGGGGTTCAAGACCAGCCTGGGCAATAGAGTGAGACCCTGTCTCATTAAAAAAAAAAAATTTTTTTTTTTGAGACTTAGTTTTACTCTTGTTGCCCAGGCTGGAGTGCAATGGCGCTATCTCGGCTCACCGCAACCTCCCTCTCCCGGGTTCAAGTGATTCTCCTGCCTCAGCTTCCCAAATAGCTGGGATTACAGGCATGTGCCACCACTCCTGGCTAATTTTGTATTTTTAGTAGAGACAGGGTTTCTCCATGTTGGTCAGGTTGGTCTCGAACTCCCGACCTCAGGTGATCCGCCTGCCTCGGCCTCCCAAAGTGCTGGGATTACAGGCGTGAGCCACCGCACCCAGCAAAAACAATTTAAAAAATTTGTTTTAAGGAAGTATATTTATTTGGCTCTTGTCTTTTGCTGCTTTTTGTTTTGTTTTGTTTTGTTTTGTTTTTGTTTTTGTTTTTGTTTTTTTGAGACAGAGTCTCGCTCTGTCGCCCAGGCTGGAGTGCAGTGGCACGATCTTGGCTCACCAACCTCCACCTCCCGGGTTAAAGTGATTCTCCTGCCGCAGCCTCCTGAGTAGCTGGGACTACAGGCACATGCCACCATGCCCAGCTGATTTTTGTGTTTTTAGTAGAGACGGGATTTCACCATGTTGACCAAGCTGGTCTTGAACTCCTGACCTCATGTAATCCACCTGTCTCGGCCTCCCATAGTGCTGGGATTACAGACGTGAGCCACTATGCCCATCCCCTTTTGCTGTTCTTTATTCTGCTTTATGGCAGAGGTATTTTGATAACATTTTTTCATTTTTAAAACAGTGAGTTTTGGAAAATATCTCAATTTTTGTGCATATGCCTTGATATAGCTGATCAATTCTGGATTGCCACTACTCTAACACTCTGAGGGCAAGTATATTTGTTCATGAAGTCCACAGCTAAATAGTGAAGAGAACACTTATTAGCAAGGCATGTGGGGCTGGCTTTTCAGGTATCTTCTGCAGAAGTCACTCAAGTTGTGAATTTACCTTCTTTTTAATTCTGTCTCCTAAACAGACCTCGATCCAGTGGGTTCCCCAGAGTGTTTTCCAGGACATGCTAGTTCCAAAAGATACTCCTTAAAAAAGAGTTCGATAGTCAAGTAAGTTATGAAAATGCTATAGCAATTAGGAAGTTTTGGTGACAATTCACAGAAAACTCTGTTTCAAACTGATTTAGCAAGAAGGAAAGACTGGGCACAGTGGCTCACGCCTGTAATCCCAGCACTTTGGGAGGCTGAAGCAGGTGGATCACCTGATCTCAGGAGTTCGAGACCAGCCTGGCCAACATGGTGAAACTCCATCTCTACTAAAAATACAAAAATTAGCAGGGCGTGGTGGCACACCCCTGTAATCCCAGCTACTCGGGAGGCTGAGGCATGAGAATCACTTGAACCCAGGGGACAGGTTGCAATGAGCCGAGATTGCACCACTGTTCTCTACCCTGGGCAACAGAGTGAGATTCTGTCTCAAAAAAAAAAAAAAAAAGGAAAGATAATTGTATCCTATAACTGGACATCTGGGGGGATTGCCGAAAGGAAGCTACAGTTCAATCAGAAGTTTCAGTATTATGAAAGACTCAGTTTTATTCATTCTTTTTATCATGCATATAGAAGAGTATATGATGTGATAAATACAAACTAATACCTCTATATCCCTTCTAGAGCCCTTTCCTGTGTGCCTCTTGTGTGCCCTTTCCCAGTTGCACCCCTCTCCTTTCCCATATATGCTATGTTCGAGCAAAGTGTTTAAACCTGTCTGGGAGTTTAGCCCCTTCTGAGGATGTAGGTCATAATTTGAACATTGCTATCATTGTGCTTTACCGTAGAAAGTGAGGTGTCAGGCTCCTTGCCTCTGCCCTGCGTGACCCCTTAGTGTTGATTGAAATGATCTATTTATCCCCACCAGACCATGAACTTGAGGACAGAGCTTATAGTGTTTCCATCTATTTCCAGGGGCCAATCATAAAGCCTGGCAAGAAGTAGATGCTAATTTATATTTTGAATATAAATTTAAAACTGAATTAACTAAACATGGAGGTTGTGGCAAGGATTGGACTCTGCTCTGAGGCCTCTGCAGCTCCATCCTGCTCTTCTAGAATGTGTTTTAGCAAATGCATTTTGTGGGAGTCAGGTTTCCACTTGAACTCAGTGGTAGCATGTGGCATAAGTCCAGGTCCCCTTCACAAACGCAGCCACAGCAGATGCACTGCCAGACTCTCCACGTGGCTGGAAATGGTCAGGCTGCTGTTTCTTACAAACTGTCCTTATGCCCACCAGCTTTTCTTCTCATATTGACAATTGTGAAGGCATTGAATGTCCGTCAAACTACTCAAAGATCACTACTCTTGAGCATAATCTCAATAAATGAACATGTAGGTTTGTCTTTAGTCCCAGACAGGGTGGAATGTCTGTGATATTATCTTCTCCAGAGGGGGATCAATGCCAAAACCTTTGTTCTCTTCTGAACTGCTTTGTTCTTTGAAACAATACTGTTTTGATCTCCCATGGGAGCTGCTGCTCCGATTTCCTTAACTGAAAAGAAGTGGCGACTTCAATTCCTGCCTTAGCCCGCTGCGGATTGTCCTGGTCTGCGTGTGTGTGCCTGTGCCTAGGTGCAGACACGCTCCTTACTTATCTCACTTCCTGCTGCTTCCAGCTTGGAGTGGCAGCTAAAGCAATTAGGCCAAGGAGGTGGGAGAAGGGAGCATCAATATATTCCTTGGCCAGAAGCAACTGTGAGGGGCAAACGCTGGGGCTAGTTTCATGGATTTAAAACCTTGCTTCCACAGCCTGCAACCTTCTTGTTGGTTCTAGCTGAACTCTGGCATGGGAACCATGCACCTCCTTCTTTTTCATGGTTTATAGAAATTTCAGAACTCGGGTTCCCACCCTTTTGATCCTCCAGGAAGCCTCGGGACCCTCCCTTCTGGAATCTCACATTGCAAACAGCTGATCTTGTTCTAAACCCCTATTCAAGGCAGCTCGGAAGTTCTCAGTAGTCACATGAGCTGACGGTGTGCTCCCCTTGACAGCTGTGGTGTGGCTGGTAGGTCCTTGTCCCTGTGGCAGGGATGACAAATGCCTTATAGTTATTTGACTCTAGGCAATGGGGTTGGAGCATGAGGAAAGGGTTGGCCTTTGCAAAGAGCTGAGTCCCTTCATCCACAAAAAAGGAAATCATGTGTCAGTGCAATTATTAGCAAGTCAGTAGCTTAGATGGTAGGAAGATTTAGGGGATGGAGTTGCTTCTCAATGAGGTAGAAGCTGAGGCCCAGAGTCACCGTGGCTGGGAAGGCAGTACAGTCCTTGGTGGTCAGCAATGGGGCCTGGGCGGATTAGGGTGGATATCAGGGCTCATCAGATTTTAATGGGCTAATCACCTACAGATTCTGATTCAGTGGGTCAGGAGTGAGACCAGACATTCTGCAGTTCTAACCGGCTTTCAGGTGAAACGAATCCAAAGACTACACTTTGAGCCCGGGAGGTTGTATAGCATTACAAATGTGCCCTTTCTGGGAGAACACCCTCAACTTTTCTTTCCTTGAGGCTTAAAAGCCTGACAAAGCAATTTCAGCAGGTAGGGGTGGGGTGTGGAGAAGCGGATATTACCAGGGGCAGGAGGAATGAGTGAGAGGAGGCTCAGGGAGGAGACGATGTGAAACAGCTCTTGTGAAGAGTGGGCAGGTGAGCACACCGGGGAGGTGGTGAGGTCCGACGGCACAAATTTTAAAGGACCTGGGCCTTCAGAAGAAAGAGGTGGACAGAAAGCAGAGTGGACACTGGCCACGCCAAGGCCACTGGGCATGAGACGCAAGGCAGCAGGGGAAGTGATGATGTCACAGGACAGCCAGGTTTCCTTTAGAGCAAGAAGATGACAGAACTGTCCAGAGAAGATATTGAGGATGTGGGAAATTTGCTGCTGATAGACCGTGAGGCCCAGAGGGTGTGGAGGAAGGGTTGGGGAGCGGGGAGAGGGGAGGAGAGGGAGGGAGAATTGGGGGCACATTAGCAGGTGTATGGAGAAGTTCAGCGTGAGGTCCAGGTCCATACTGGGGCCCTTGGACTTCCCGTGGGCGAGGCAGGGCTGAAGCAGGCTGGGAAAACAGGTAACCAGTTCCAACTGCACAGAGTAGGGCCTTTGGGGATGCTCTTTCCTGCACTCGGGTGATGCACTGATCCTGTTTTTGGAGGCATGAGGGAGGGGCAGTAGAACTTCAGGAGAGGCGTCACTCCTGGGACAGGAAGCTGGGGTGCCCCACTCCAGGGCCCAGGTGTCTCAGCCATGGAGTGGAAGCCCCATGCACGCGACCTTGTCTCTCCAGGGCATGTTGTTATGGATGCTGCCTTTTTAGAGCAATGTGGTCAGACAATGCTGTCCCCACGCACTGGTGACTTGGTGGTTACAGCTCAGCATTTCCAAAGATAAAGCAATAGTTGTGGGTTTTTTTGTTTGTTTGTTTTTTGAGACAGAGTCTCACTCTGTTGCCCAGGCTGGAGTGCAATGGCATGCTCTTGGCTCACTCAACCTCTGCCTCCTGGGTTCAAGCGATCCTCCTGCCTCAGCCTCCTGAGTAGCTGGGATTACAGGCACACGCCACAATGCCCAGCTAATTTTTTGTATTTTTAGTAGAAACGGGATTTCACCATGTTGGCCAGGCTAGTCTCAGACTCCTGACCTCAGGTGATCCACCTGCCTCGGCCTCCCAAAGTGCTGGGATTACAGGTGTGAGCCACCACGCCTGGCCAATAGCTGTGTCTTGAGCTTCAAATATCATAGATGCCTGAGTATAAGGTGTCCTGAATATAACGTGACCCCATGCCCACTGTAAAGGTTCTCTGTCTGCCCAAAAGATTTTTCACTAACTTAAACTTACAAACTTTGGGGATGTAGATGAAATAGTTCAATGTCTACTAATAATACTTATTAAATTTAAAATGTGTTTAAATCACACATTCATAAAATGTTGAGAACAAGTGCTTTCCTCCATTCATATTCCATACAATAATTTCACTCAAATTTATCACAGAATCTTTGTCCATTGTACTTGAGCCACTTTCGGAATCATCTAACAGTTTTCAGGAGAACGTTGCCTTCCCACCCATCGTGTTGTTTGAGGTCCAGGCTTGAGAGTCCATGGCCCTGTGGCTGAATGTGTTGTCCTGAGCTGCCAGCACTCCTCTGCATCGCATTAGAACAACAACTGGCCTTCCCATTTGTCCCGTAGGTGGCTTTTCCCATCTTCATTTGATGTACTGCTCTTTCTTTTTTGTGTGAGAGAGGTTCTCGCTCTGTCAGCCAGGCTGGGGTGCAATAGTCAGATCATTGCTTACTGCAGCTTCGACCTCCTGGGCTCAAGCAATCCTCCTGCCTCCCCTCCCTACCAGCTAGGACTACAGGAATACAGCATTGTGCCTGGCTAATTTTTAAAATTTTTGGAGAGACAGGGTCTCACCGTGTTGCCCAGGCTGGTCTCAAACCCCTGGCTTCAAGTGATCTCCTGCCTCAGCCTCCCAAAGCAGTGAGATTTCAGGCTTGAGCCACTGTGCCCAGGCTAATGTACCACTTTTTAAAGCAATCTTTAAAATGCTTGTTTATAACTTTTGCAAACTCTTGAGATTTTACAACCGTGTCCCCAGGAATAACAATTAAGTCTGTATTCAATTTCTTTGACACCAAGCCTCTCGAAGGCCTCCATAAACATCAAAAACTAGCTATTGATTGGGATCACTTCAGGTTAATGTGTCATCCCCAAACTGTAGATTATTGTCCAAACAAATGTAATTGACAGGGCCTCATGTAATTGGAAATTGTCAGGCAATTATCGTGTGTCAATTAAAAGTAATAAAAGTAAAAAACATAAACAAAACTAACAACACATGTATAAGATATGTATTCTAAAAATTACACAATGATGAAAACAATATCAAAGAAGACTCAGGCTGGGCACAGTGGCTCACACCTGTAATCCCAGCATTTTGGGAGGTCGAGGTGGGAGGATCGCTTGAGCTCAGGAGTTCAAGACCAGCCTGGGTAACATGGCGAAATCCCATCTCTACAAAGAATACAAAAAGTTAGCCAGATGTGGTGGCGTGTGCCTGTAGTCCCAGCTACTTGGGGGCTGAGGCAGGAGGATCACTTGAGCCTGGGAAGCAGAGGTTGCGGTGAGCTGAGATGGCACCACTGCACTACAGCCTGGGTGACAAAGTGAGACCCTGTCTCAAAAAAAAAAAAAAAAAAGAAAGTCTTAAATTAAGAGATATATCATGTTCATGGACTGGAAGACTCAACATAGTGAAGATGTTTCTCTACAAAAAAAAAAAAGAAGAAGAAAAAATTGTTAGAGCGAAAATGTCAGGCTTTTTTTCAAGAGGATAAAAACTGCAGGTATTGGCTAGGCACAGTGAAACACGCCTCTAATCCCAGCACTTTGGGAATCTGAGGGAGGTGGATCACTTGAGCCCAGGAGTTCCAGACCACCCTAGGCAACATGGTGAAACCCTGTCTCTACAAAAAATTAGCCGGGCATGGTGGCCCACCTGTAGTCCCAGCAACTTGAGAGGCTGAGGTAGGAGAATCATTTGACCCCAAGAGGTTGAGGCTTCAGTAAGCTGAGATTGTGCCACTGCTCTCCAGCCTGAGCGACAGAATGAGACCCTGTCTTCAAACAAAACAAAAGCAAAACAAAACAAAACCTGCAGGTATTTATAGTTTGCCACATTTTGTTTTATTTTCCCCATCTTTGGAAATCAGCTCCAATTTTGACTGCCGTGTAATAGAAAACATGCGGACTTTAGAGTTATTCGAACTCTAAATCCTAGCTCTTCCTCTGACAAATGATGTGACTTTGAACAATGGCTCCATCCCCCTCAGCTTCAATTTCCTACTGTTTAAATTGGGATAACAATGTCTACATCCCAGGACTATTCTGAGAATAATATAGTCAGAGTTCAAAAAGGTTAGTCTTTTTTTCCCACTGATTTTTTAAAGAGCTTTTTGTGGTTAACCCTTGATTGTGCACATGCAAATATTTTAATTTATCCTTTATAACATTTTGGGACAGATTAATAGGCAAATCTGTCAACATTTCCCTTCATCGTTTCTGGATATGTATATTTTTTTCACAAAGAGATAGATGTTCCATGAAGTTAAAGCTTAGGCATCAGGGTCCCTCACTTGCCTGGGCCTCTTCCAAGGCTGCACCTAATTTTTCATTTGTGATTTTGTTTTCTTTTTCCTAAAGAGACCTCCACCACCCCTGCCAAATTATGTAAACTTCAGGCCCTACAGAATCTGGAACTTTCCCGAGTAACGTGCTTAGAAAAGTCACGTCACCCTAGGCCGGGCACGGTGACTCACGCCTGTAATCCCAGCACTTTGGGAGGCTGAGGCGGGCAGATCACCTGAGGTCAGGAGTTCAAGACCAGCCTGACCAACATGGCAAAACCCTGTCTCTACTAAAAAATACAAAAATTGGCCGGGCGTTGTGGCAGGCGCCTGTAATCCCAGCTACTCGGGAGGCTGAGGCAGGGAGAATTGCTTGAACCCGGGAGGTGGAGGTTGCAGTGAGCCGAGATCATGCCATTGCACTCCAGCCTAGAAGAAAGAGGGAGACTCTAAAAAAAAAAAAAAAAAAAAAAAAAAAAAAAAGAAGCAAAGCAAAGAAAAGAAAAGTCACCTCACCCCAAATTATGAAAAATTTTAATAGGCTTAGCTTTATATCTTTTCTTTTGGCTTATTTTCTAATTTTTTAGTACTAAAGTAGATTACTAATTTTCTTCAAAGAATTTTTCTCAGAACAAAATAGAGCTCCACTGCTCATTCATTCACTCATTTTATTTACTGGTTCGTCCAAGCTCTTCCCTCACCTTTCTGTACCTAGCTGAGTTGTGAAGCAGCTGGTGGGTTCAGGGGAGGAGAGAGGAAGGGACAGAGCTAGAGGGCACGGTGGCCCTGGATGGAAGTGATGGTACTGGGGTTGGGGGCAATGTATTAGTTTCTAGGACTACCGTAATGAAGTAGCACAAACAGGGTGTCTTGAACAACAAAAACATATTCTCTCATTGTTCTGGAGACTAGAAGTCCAAAATCAAGGTGTCAGCAGGGCATGGGAAGGCTCTAGAGATAATCTGTCCATGTCTCTCTCCTAGCTGCTAGCATTGCTGGCAAACCTTCGCAGTCCTTGGCTTGTAGAGACGTCACTCCAATCTCTGCCCCTGTCATCAAATGGCACTCACCCTGCATGTCTGTGTGCCACTTCTCTTATTATAAGGACACCATTATATCAGATTAGGGCCTCCTCTAATGACTTGCTTACATCTGCAAAGACCCTATTTCCAAATAGGAAGATCACATTCACTGGTACCTGGAGTTAGGACATCAGCATATATCTTTGGGGGCTGGGGACATAATTCAACCCATGACAGAAGGATTAGGGGGCTGATTCTTCCTCACCTCCGGTCCTACACCCCAACCCTCAGAAGCACCTGCCCCTCCCTACACTCATTCCGCCCTGGTTACACTTCCAAGCATGAGGAGCTCATTGCCTCTGCAAAGGGTCCTTTACTTTCTCTCTTCAGTTTCTGTCCCCTACCCCAACATGCATTTTGGTGTATCTGGTATGAGCACCGGCTCCTGAGTTACAGTGTAGGGCTTGAATCACCACCCCATGACTTAATAGATGTGTGGCCCAGTACTTCAAAAGAGCATGCATGATATGATGTGGCTCTGTGTCCTCACCCAAATCTCATGTCATCTCAAATTGTAATCCCCATAATCCCCATGTGTCAAGGGAGGGACCTGGTGGGAGGTGATTCGATCTTGGGGGCGGTCTCCCCCATGCTGTTCTCATGATAGTGAGGGAGTTCTCACAAGGAGATCTGATGGTTTTATAAGTGCTTGACAGTTCCTCCTTCACACTCTCTCTCTCGTTGCCTTGTGAGGAAGGCGCCTACTTGCCCTTCACTTTCTCCCGTGATTGCAAGTTTCCTGAATTCTCCCCAAACATGTGGAACTGTAAGTCAATTAAACCTCTTTTTTTTTTTTAATAAATTACCAAGTCTCAGGTATTTCTTTATAGCAGTGTGAAAACAGCCTAATACAATGCAGAAAAGGCGTTCATAGCTACTTGCCAAATACATGAAAGATCTTGGGCAGGTGCTTTGCTTCTCTGAGCCTCAGTTTGGGGCTCAGACATGGGGATAGTGAAGGGGGATAGTGAAGCACCTGCCTCAAGGATGTTGGGATGATTACAAGGGATGACTACCTTGATGCATTTGGTCCAGCCTGGCATATGCTAACTCCTCGGCAAACATTAGCTACAATAATCATAATATGTCCTAGCAGAGCTCAGGATGCAGTGCAGGCACTGCACTGGTCTTAATGAGGGATTGATATTAACAAATGATAAAAAGCAATCCTCCAAAGGCAGCCCATCTCACTCAGCATAAAAGCCAAAGTCCTTACTGGGTCTGACTAGTTCTCTGCACTGGCCGGCGCCCTTCTCCTCAGCCTCAAACCCCCTTGCCCTCTGCTTGGCCAGATTGTTCCTCAGACAGGCCAGGTGCGTTCCCAATCTCAGGGCCTCCAGCTTGGCCTCCCCTCTGCCAGGAATGCTGTTCCTCCAGATGGCTGTGGAGTTCACCCCCTGGCATCTCTTAGATCTTTGCTCAAAGGCCACCTCCTCCTGAGGCCATCCCAGAACCCCCTCTTTCAAGCAGCACTCACTCCACTCCCTAGCCCTTACTCGCATCCCTGCATACAGCACTTTTTACTGCCTGGCACTGTACGTTTGTTGATTTACTGTCTCTCTGCTATCACCCAGAACGTTGCTTCCAGAAGAAGACTGTCTCATTACTGTTACATCTCTGGCCCTGGAGTAGCCCCTGGCAAATATGTACTCAGTACATGTTTGCGAGACGCATGGACTTGTAGAACAGTTCCACAGCTGTCCATCACTGATGTTCCATACCTAGCGATGCGGCCCCTCGAAACGCACTGGAGAGCTGGGCAGACCAAGGATAATTTCACAGGTAAGTCAGATAGAGCCTGGGGAGGTGCAGCGATTGGCCTAGGCTCCGAGACTGATGACCCGGGAAGCTGGGGCCTGCGCTCTGCTCTGTGGCTCGGCATGCTGTGCAGCTGACCTGAGCAGCTCTTGAGGAGTCACTGCTCATTTACCAGTCACATCGTCGTGTCATGCACCGTTGACAGGAGACCAAGCCCAGGGCAACATTCTCACTTCCCCCTCTCCATGAGCGTGACCAGTGGGTCTCGGTCTTGCCTCCGCGTGGGCCGTACAGGACAAGGGCCAGAGCCTTGCAACCCGACCCACCTGCCAGGGGTGGTCTCCCAGCATCCCGGCAGAGGGCGCTGTGGGACAGCGTTGCTGATCGGTCGGGGACCTGGGTCCAGCTCAGCCTCCTGCGCTCCCCCTGGGTCAGGACGGGCAAGGGCAGGGCTGCGGGGCGGGGCAGGGCAGGCTGTGGGACTTGAATGTCCTGTGTCCGCTACTCTCTGCCCTGTGCTCAGGTGTCTCCTCGTCCAGGGCTCTTGCATATTCTTGTAGGACTTTGCTTGGAAAATTGTCTAGTGAGAAAGTGATTCGTTTTTGGTTTGCATGAGGCTATGGTTGCAGAGTTAGAAAGGGAGGGAGTGTTGGTTTGCGGCAAAAAGTTTAGGGATGAATATTGAGTTTGAAGTGCTGTGGCACATTCAGAAATATGTCCAGGGGCTGGTTGGATGTGCGAGTTAGACATTCTGGAAAGGGGTTTGGACTCAAGATACAGATGTCATCAGCAGATAGCTGGTAATCGGATCCACAGAAGTGAGTGACAGTGTTGAAGGAGGGAGGCAAAACAGCAACATTCAGGGGCCAGGTGAAAAAAGAGGGCTTTTAAAGGAGACTGAGGAGAAGCTGGGAGAAAAACAAAGTGGGAAAGAGGAAAGTCAACTGGCAAGTGCTTTTGATTGATCAAATAAGACTGAGCTATACCCTTTAGTTATATCTAGCCAATGATCTTGTTAGTTCAGAAGATGGAAGCAGTTCTCCTGGGGAGGAATCTTAGAAAGGAGGGTGACATTCATATCTATTGGGCTGCTATGTGGGATGCTTTCCCTAGTGACTTTTACATATTAGCTTGTTTAGCTCTCATGACAATCCTTAAGTATTAACCCTGTTTTCTTTCTTTCTTTTTTTTTTTTTTTTTAAATTTTTGAGACAGGGTCTTGCTCTGTCTCCCAGGCCGGAGTGCAGTGGCACGATCATAGTTCACTGCAGCCTCAAACTCTTGGGCTCAAGCAATCCTCCCACCTCAGCCTTCAGAGTAGCTGGAACTACAGCTGCACGTTAGCCACATTTTCATTCATTCATTCGAGACAGGGTCTCACTCTGTTGCCCAGGCTGGAGTGCAGTGACGTGATCATGGCTCACTGCAGCCTCGACCTCCTCGGCTCAGGTGATCCTCCCACCTCAGCCTCCTGAGTAGCTGAGACTACAGGTGTGCATCATCACACTCAGCAAATTTTTCTACTTTTTTTTTTTTTTTTTTGTAGACACAGGGTTTCCCCACGTTGCCCAAGCTAAATTTTCTAAAATAATTTCTAAAATAATCAAGACTCAGATAAAAAATATCTTACCTAAGATCACCCTGCTTGTGTTAGAGATTAACCCTAGATCGATCTACAACTCGAGTCTGAGGTCTTCCCACTACTTCCTTCCTCTATGTCCACATCCTGCCATGTAGGGTAATTTTATTAATTCATGATTTGGTTGAACAAATATTTGAGTTTACCGGGCACTGGGCACTGTTCTAGATGCTGGGAATACAGCAGTGAAAAAAACTGTCAAATACTTCATGCTCTTCACATTCTAGCAGGAATCAGATATAACCATGCAGTATGTCATGTAATGAGACATGGAGATACAAAAAGGAAAGAGGGATGAGGATGTGTTTAGAGTTTTTAAATATATATATGAATTTCTTTCCTGCCCCTTAAGATCTGCAGGAGGTTATCAGAATTGACAATGAGGACTTTACTAATAAAAGTGACATTTGAAGCTGGGCGCGGTAGCTCACGCCTGTAATTCCAGCACTTTGGGAGGCCGAGGAGGGCGGATCACGAGGTCAGGAGATCGAGACCATCCTGGCTAACACGGTGAAACCCCGTGTCTACTAAAAATACAAAAAGTTAGCCGGGCATGGTGGCGGGCGCCTGTAGTCCCAGCTACTCAGGAGGCTGAGGCAGGAGAATGGCGTGAACCCAGTAGGTGGAGCTTGCAGTGAGCCAAGATCGCGCCACTGCACTCTAGCCTGGGCAACAAAGCGAGACTCCGTCTCAAAAAAAAAAAAAAAAAAAAAAAAAAAAGTGACATTTGAGCCAAGACCTGAGGAGGGGGAGAAAGCCAGTCATCCAGTTATCCAGAAGAAAGGAGGAACATAAAACCTCCAAAGTAAGAAGATGCTTGGCATGTCCCAGGAGCAGCAAATCCAGTGTGGTGGGAGCAGAAGGATTAAGTGCCAGCAGTAGGAAATTAGATCAGAGAAACAGGTTGTGGGGCAAGGATGGGGAGAGGGCTAAGAAAATCAGATGTGGGGTGATGTAGACCAAATTAAGTATTTTGACATAAAAATCCCACTAGGTGGGAAGCCATTTGGCGGGTTTTGAGCCAAGTGGTGCTGTGTTGAGACGACAAAATGGAGATGAGGGCTAGGCAGGGAGGCCAGTTAAGGCTACTGTGGTACCTAGGTAAGAAATGAGGGTGGTGGTTGAAGAAATGAGTTCTTCAATTTCTAAAATGTTTGGAATGCAATCAACATGATTTGATGCTAGAATGGATGCAGAGTATGACAACAACTGAAAAAGTGTTGAGATCAGGCATCTCCCATTGGAAACTGAGAAGAAAAAGATGTCCTGGGAACAAGTTAACACTTTCAAGGAATGAGTAACTTGTCAAATGCTGCCTACAGGAGGATCAAAACCTACTGGATATAGCATTGGAGTTACTGGTGACCCTAAGAAAGTTTTGGTGTGGGGAACCAGGGGAGTGAAGCCCTACTGAGGCTTCAGAATGGGGAAAATTAGACAACTCTTTCAATTTTGCAGTAAAGGAAAAAAAAATTGGGGGCAGTAAAGACATGCAATCTTATTTTGAAGTCACCATGAAGTGAATGAAGATTAGTCACTACATGCTGATACTAAAGAAATTGGCAATCATGCAAGGTACATCCCAGTTATACCCAGATACTGCCATTCCACAGTATGGTAGATTATAAAGTACACTGTTAGGTGTCTTTAGAACAAGGTAGCAGCAGTATTATACATTCTCTATGGGTTGAATATTTTGAGTAGCTCTTGACATGTTTGGGGTGGGAAGATTAAAGCATGATTCTGTAAGCAATGACAAACCACTGCGTACCGGGTTTAGTTCATTTTTTATTGAGACGGAGTTTCGCTCTTGTTGCCTAGGCTGGAGTGCAATGGTGCCATCTCGGCTCACTGCAACCTCCGCCTCCCAGGTTCAAGCCATTCTCCTGCCTCAGCCTCCCGAGTCACTGGGATTGTAGACATGCACCACCACACTCAGCTTTGTATTTTTCTAGAAGAAAATAGGGTTTCTCCATGTTGGTCAGCCTGGTCTTGAACTCCGACCTCAGGTGATCCGCCCGCCTTAGGCCTCCCAAAGTGCTGGGATTACAGGCGTGAGCCACTGCACCCAGGCCCAGGTTTAGTTCTAAAACTTCCTTTAGCCTGATACCCTGGCTGAATTAGGCAAATTCTGGCAATAAGAATTGACTAGCTGATCCACCTAACCAGTTGCTCCTTTTGCTAGGTTAAAAATTAGTTTCCTCCCCTTCGTGGGGAGGGTTGGGCAGAGAAACAATTTACAGCCCCTTTAAAATTTAGGTAGGTTCATACAAATCTGTTTAGCTTTAAATTTTGCTGTACTCAAAGTACCCAAAAGCTTATGACTTGTTAAAACTTCAGGGGAAGATGAGTGCCATAATGCAAGATTTAGCTTCCCTGGCCCAAATAAGACAGACACAAAAACATTGATTGGTTCTGCCTCCCACCCACTGGAGCATGTGCAGGCAGCCTCTTCTGACTTCAAGGTTCTAATGGGTTCGGCAGTATGATAGTCTGCCTTGAGGGTCTCCCCAATCACCAAGAACAGGTTCTTAGGTGTTGACATCAACCAGGACTCCAGTAGCACACTTCAAGAGTCCCCATCCATGCCAATGTTAGAAGTAATCCTAGGATTGTCAGAATGTTCCAGGGCTGGAGACAAATCCTTCGTGTGTGTTTTTGGAAAACATGCAGAGGTTTAGTTGAATGAAGTCAATTTTACTGGGACACTGGAATTTTTCCAGAGGAAGCAGGGATCTTCCTGGACATTTGGGGCAGCTACTGGGAATGATGCTTGCAGGACAGCTAAGCTTATCCAGAGATCACCATGTATTTCAGTCTGACAAAAGATAAATTGTCACCAAATTTTAGTTGCTATGTGTAGCTATGTTCCTCCAAATTCATAAGACTTGTGATCTTTGATCATAAAAATCGTTTATATTGGTTAGTTTCAGTAACTCAAAGGAAATAAACACCTTAAATCTTGTGTCTCATCTTGAAGAGTCTAAAAATTCCTTCTGGAACCCAGGCTTGTACAGCAGAAAAACAAAAATTGGGAAGTCCTTAAGTCAAACTAAGGTGGGTCTCCTATACCTCAAAAACAAAGCTGACAATTCTCCCAGACTATGGATGCCATTTACAGCCACACATCACTACATCAAGTATCACAATGTTTATTGATAGATACAAGTATATAAAATCAGGGCATGAACATGACTTGATAAATTAAGTAGACTTAATTTCAATACTATAATAGGAGGGACCAATTCAAATTCTCACCATTTGTTTCACACCCACAAAAACCACTTCAAGGGCATTAACGATCTCTCAAAACTGATCAGTTTTGTGCAAGTAAACCATGTTTCTTTTAAAAAGACTTGTGCACTTGCCCAGGCTCAAGGATATTAAAATCTAGCACATAAAGCCCATTACTAGAGGTAGAAATACAGGCAATATACTATTACGGCAACAACCATCAATTACAGTTAAGAATTTTTCTGTAACAACCAAATGGATAATCAAATATTGCAACAACTCAAGTATTACTGAGCAAAGTGCATTTCTACAGTATTCAGTGTTGCTATTCAGTTTTCTAACTTAAAACAGCCTATGATAACTGGCAGCAAAGAAGGTCCTTGCAATAGACTGCCTCTGCTTGAGAACTTATGATGTAATTATTGCATGCTGCTAATATACTATCTAAACATTAAAGATACTCCTAAAATATTTGATGGTAGACTATGATTAAGACATTACACTACAAAAAAACCTTATGCAGAAGGAAATCCTAACTGACGTGCTTCTGCTTTAAATATTGTGAAAACATTACAGCGGAATGAATTTTCGCAGTGGTTAGGTCAAATGCAGTTACATCATAGCAACAGTATGTTTTGCACAATTTAAGGCTTTGGCTGGTTCTTTAGTCAGCTTCTTCCTCTGATTCTTCTTCTTCAGCAGTTTCTAACCAGGTTAGCCACTGATTCACCTATAAATTAAGATTTGTAAATTAAAATAGTTCATGATATAAACAGAAATCCATCCAAAAAGTTTTAGGTGGTACTACACAGTTTTAGAATATGAAACAAGGATATCCCTACCAACAATTTGTATATTAAGTTAACGAACAGTGGTATATTATCCAGATTTGGGACAACACAGAGCTAAAGATTTAATCCTGCAAGGATGATCCTCGTGAATCTTGTTTATCATCAGCAATAAAAAGGTAGGAAGATGCTGCAGGACCAATGTTTCTCAAGCCTGGGCCCCCTGGAAAACTAGTAGCATGAGAAAGAATCACCTGGATTTTGTACCACAGACCTACTAAACCAGAATCTCTAGGAATAGGCCTGGAACCTGCTTTTTAAACTGCTCTTCAGGTGATTTGAGAGAATGCCCTGATGTTCTTCCCCTAGGGCTACAAGTTCATTCAATAAGAAAAAATCAAATTGTGAGAAATCAGAAACATCTCCTCTTTTTAGAAAAATATATAGTATTTAAACTTTTTTTCTTTTTTTGAGACACAGTCTCACTCTGTTGCCCAGACTAGAGTGCAGTGGTGTGATCTCAGCTCACTGCAACCTCTGCCTCCTGGGCTCAAGACATCCTCCCGAGTAGCTGGGACCAGGACCACAGAACATGTCACCACGTCTGGCTAATTTTTTGTATTTTTTAGAGACAGGGTTTCACTATGCTGCCCAGGCTGGTCTTGAACTCCTGAGCTCAAGTGATCCTCCCACCTCAGCCTCTTAAAGTGCTAGGATTACAGGCATGAGCCACGTGCCCAGCTACAATTTCCTCTTTACTGATGTTTTTAAAAAAGCTTAAATCGAAACTTGTACAGTCACTCCCATGTATATAAGTAGCTATACTCCTTGAAAAGTTAGCTACCTCTAACATCTTATACACCACTAGAATTGATTCATTGTGTAGCTTTACTTAATAATAGCTTCAAATAGTGCAGAATGAAATGTACAGGTGAAGACAAACTACTAACTAGGACTACCTTGCCTGTATTTCAGTTGAAAAAGGCTCTTAACTTGAAGTTAATACCAAGCAAACTGAAGTAAGCAGACCAAATTTTTAACAAAAGACTTACCTGGAACAAAGCCTTGCCTTTTCCCGGAAACTCTTGGGTTATATCTTCTTTCCAAGCCAAGAAAGCTTCTTCTTCAATAATTTCCATGTCATAGAAGTGCACAAAAAAGCGAAGTAACATGCCTTAAAAAAAAAAAAAAAAAGAAAAAAGTAATAAGCCCATTATTTAGTGTTCTGTTTAAGAACTTCCTCACGCCGTTCTTCTGATACAAGTCCTCTCACCTTTTGGGAAGTTGCTGTTATAGCAGTGCACCTGGAGAGCATACAGGGCACTGACTTGTAGATCAACGTGATCATGAAGAAATTTCTGCATTACTGGCTTGAAAGATAGTAGTAGTTGTTTTTCCTGCTCTAACTGTTCTTTGGAAGGAGCAGAGGATGAATCTGTTTCATCGCTGGGGGGGTTTACTTCACTAGAAATGTACTGTAAGAAGCTGGACAGAAAGAGGTCTTGTTAGAACCCAACAGTGAGTTTTCTTGCTCAAGAGACAACTCTTAGTCTCCTACGCTTCTTTTCCAGTACATGAAACATTACCATATGCAGAAAACCATTCGTCTTACCTAGTCATTAAGATGTTCACAAATCCTTTATCTACATGAAGTTTGGGAGAGATGTTATCTTTAATCCATTTATATATGGTTTGAGGGGATGGATCCAACTTTATTTGCTTCAACAGTTCCTTCTCCAATTTGAGGAGTGGGAATAAGAAACTCAGTCCCTTTCCTTCCAAAATCTCCAACATGCGGTCCTTATTCTGATCAATTTCTGAAGAGACAAAGCCACCTGCATCATCTAATAGTTCATTTTACCAAGTTGTCCTGTCCAGAGAGCAGAGCTTCACAAATGATGTCCCCAAGTATGTAAGATCCATGTAGCAGAATAGAGAACCAACCCAGCAAATGAAAAAAACTCAACATACGGATCAAATGAAAGTAGTTAAATTATAAATCTCTCTTTATAGGTGAGATCTGTGGTAATGTTTATCATTATCTGAGCAGGACAATCAGACTGTCTGACCTACATAAATCCACTCAAGGTACCTGAAATCTCTAGATATAATATTAAAAAAACAAAACAAACAAGTCAGCATTCTCTTACCTGGGAGCATTTTCTGCATATTGACCTTGCTTTGTTGAAAAAGTTCTGTTAACCATTCTCGATCTTGTAATTTAGCTAACTGCTGAAGACAAAGTAGGAAGAGAGGAAAATGGGTGCCACTTTCTAGTGGTTGAGCTAGTTCTGAAATGCTCACCAGCTCTGAAATGATGGCACGAGCTGCAAACTGTGCTAAATAGGATTTCACCAAAGGGATGTCAACCTCCAGTTTGGGACACTGGTCCAATACATTCAGGAAAGCCTTGAAAGAAATATACAACAGTTTATCAGTTTTCGAATTTGAGTGGTAAGAGTTCTTACCACACAATCAGTAAAGTGTCCTACCTGCATGAAGTTGTCACTTGTGGCTATCCCTTCCTGTTTGAGTAAACTGATCAAAGAACTTGCTTTTTCTTTATCTTCATCGCTTCTATCTAGTGACAGGATGATTACTTTGCTTAACATCTCAGGAAGAAAGTGTTTAGGAGCCCTCATTTCTCTTACACCATTGACAGCCTCATTTGCATTTCCACTATTTAGATATTCAGTCACAACAGTTTCCTGTGAAGAACACAAGTATCTTTAATGTATTCTCTATCTCAAATACAGGCTAATTACACTAAAATGGGATATTTGAAACTTACAGTTAGTTTAAGGAGTTCTTCCTTTGACGGTGGTGGCTTTTTGCTGGTCTTGGCAGGCTTTTCCTGGATAAGCGGTGGATTAGTTTTGAGACCAAGCTGAGGTGTCTAAAAAACAAGCAATGACAGACTTTTTTTAAAAAGAGGACTATGAAATTAGGGGGAAGAACACACTAAATTTAGAAAAAAGTCTTCAGATATCTTTAGAAAATGCTGTCCTACTATGGTCTGTACCTGTCCCAGAGGTGGTGTTTGAGTGCGTGGTGGTTGTGCACTAGGAGGAATCATAGTTATCTGGGGCTGAAGCTTTGGCACTTGATTTTTATTCATTAGGAACGACTGAGCAGGCCTCAGGCTAATCTGGAATTGAAAACAAAATATATCTAAATTAACAACATGCAGTTGGCGAACATATTAAATACAACATTCTAAAATCCTATACAGTGACAGAATCTAGGGAAACATTAAGCTTTTTGAAAAACTAAAGAAGGTACTCCACATTAACAGGTTTAATTTTTGGCAAAAAATTTAAAGATCTGATGCATACAGTAGTAAGATACTATTATAAATCTTACATTCTCTTAGAATTAGCATGACTAAAATATTCAAATAAAAAACTGCAAATTTAACTACAGTTTAGAAAATGCCCTGTTTTATCCTTAGTTAAATCACCCTTACAAAGAAAGAAACCACAATATTTTGACAACCAGTTTTCTTGCTCTAACAGACTTTAGGAGACTTGCCCTCATATCTCATAATCTTCGCTCACAGGACGCTGGACATTCAAAGAAAGAAAAAGAAGTATAGAAAAGAGAGAAAAACGTCAAGAACTCCAGCATAAAGTCCTCTTAATAACGCGTCTTTTTATAATCATCGGGCAATAAATTTCTGAATGGACAAACTATGGTATATAAGTAACATAGGCAAATGTACCTCATCTGCATTAAGCTGTCCTTTCTTAGAAAACCGAGGTGGCATATCCTTCGACTGTCCTTGCAGCTGGGATAAGAGTCCCTGACTCTGGTTATGGTAGAGCTGGCTTAGCCCCTATTTCAGAAAAGGAGAAAGAAAGTCTAGATAAAAAGGGGTCCACAAATTATGGTAATCAAGTACCAAAGGGATGAGCCAAGCCATAAAGTTAGTTTAACTGAATTTGCCCAGAGAAAGTAAAAGATGAAACAGGGAAGAATAAAAATCTAACCTATCAAATAAAGTGATGTGATTTTACTAATACTTTACTAATCTTAAGGATAAACATTTCAGTTTGAAATAAATGTTGCAGATAAGGTTTAGAAAACATGCACACTCAAATATTACTTACCTGGCTTTTCATAAACTTGCCTCCCATCTCTCCAAACTGCGATTGTGTGGGAGGCATGATGTGTCCCCCATGGCCATTGAAGAGTTGATTTGAACGATGACGTCCCATGGTGGGTGAAAATCTATCCTGGATAACTCCTGGACCAGTACCAATTCCGCTACCTTAAAATACATATACGGACAACTCTCAAAACTAAAGTTAACTGATTTTTCAGCTTAACGCAACCATTGTTTTTTCAAAATTACCTGGCATTTGTCCAAACATATCAGCAAGTCCTCCAAGTGGGTCCCTATCCATTTTCATCCTGGGTGGCATGAACGGTCCCTCCAGAAAGAAGTCACTTCTCATCCCTTGAGCCATAGGAGCAGGAATAAACACCCCTAGATCCTTTAGAAATGAAGTGAATATGCACTTTTTGTCTCTGGACACTATTTCACTTAAAACTAAAATTCTTGCAACTAGGGGGGGAAACCTAGAATATTAAACCATAATTTATGTTATTTCTGTAAATAACTTCTTCCAAAAATGGCAGACAAGGCTGGGCATGATGGCTCACATCTGTAATCCCCCGACTTTGGGAGGCCCAAGCCTTGGTTTGCATGAGGTCAGGAGTTCAAGACAAGCCTGGCCAACATGGTGGAACCCTGTCTCTACTAAAAATACAAAAAATTAGCGGGGTGTGGTGGCGCACGCCTATAGTCCCAGCTACTGGGGAGGCTGAAGCAGGAGAATCACTTGAACCTGGGAGGCAGAGGCTGCAGTGAATCGAGAATGCGCCACTGCACTCCAGCCTGGGTGACAGTGCGAAACTCCGTCTCAAAAAATAAAAAAATAAAAGTGGAAGACGAGACACTAAAAACATTAAGCTCCACCACTAAGATGAGACAGACCCCTCAAGCGTTTGGGGTGGGTGAGGAGGAAACCCATTCTATTCTACACACACAGAGTCTATGTGACAAACAAAACAAAACCCAATCTTACTTTTACTGCATCTTGACGAATTTGATTGATCGTCTTTGGTCCATTGTCAAGAAAAGCCTTGCGAGGAACCCAATGGTGTTCTCGCAACTCTACGGTATCCTTTAATTGAAAAATAATTTTATTTTAATATTCCTAAACCAAAAACTCAGCTTACCAACAAATTTAAAGAAACCAGTATTACCTGCAGCAGGAAACGAATCCTTGCTGGCAATTCCTTACTTAACATCAAGGAGCACATTCGGGCAAAGTACTGATCCATTAAGGACTGATAAGAGAAGAATACATTCATTGGAAGAGCTAAAGCAAATGTGTTCAATTTACAGCTTTAAGACTTCTAAAATTATAACCCAGTTAATGGCTAAATATGGCAATCCCTTATGATGTCACAAAAATCAATAGCTTGATTTAAAGACAAACTACTTGTACTACTTTCATCAGCTACACACGTACCTTGGCTCGTTCATGGTCTAATCTAGGTCCCACTGTCCTCATTATCTGACAGAGGCACTCCAAATCCTCTCCCATATCTTTGAGTTGGACTCTCTTCTTCTTTTCCAAAAGCTACAAGAATAAAAGGCCATGGTGACAAAGTTTTAGTTACTCTGGTTTAGGCGTAGTACTTTCTTTCCCTTTATGTTTGCACTGACTCATTCACAGTTCCTACAGAATCTAGTATAGGGCTTTCTACCAGTCTGGTTGATCAGTTCTAACTCTACTTTGTCAAACACACCACGTATTTCAAATTATTCTGTTTAGTAAATTTTGTTGCACATCTGTATTTAACTAGTCAACCTCCCTCTTAGATGAATAATTGACTCATTTCCTCCAAACGACTGACTACATTCGCCTAACTTCCCTGTCACACTTACTGTTTTGATGCACTTATGAAGGATAGATTCGTGAATAAGATCAAGCTTGCCAAGCTCTCCAATGAATTTGATGTTTCCCAACATCTTGATCTTAGCAATGGCTCTCTGTTCCTCCTCCTCGGGGAGGAGGGGATTTTCACGCTTATCATAGACTGAAAAAGATACCAATGAAGTAAGCCAACATTCAGAATTAAGCTGAAAATATACAGTAGTACTTATTATCAGCTATAAGTCTTACCATCAACATTTCTAGTTCGGTTTTCAAATTCATCTTGTAATTTGGAAATTAGGAGGCGTCTGAATGTCTGGAAAAGAAGACATTGTCATGCTTTATTAAGGAAATTTTTCAAGTCAACTTTAAAACAAGCAAACAAAAACTACCACTTACGGTGCTTTGCTTCTGTCCTGGTTGACCCTCTGCTGCTGGGCCATCAAAGTTTGGTGCATCTTCTGCCAATCGCAGACATAGCTGAGCATACAGTGAGCTATACTTTGGCTCTTCTAGGGCTTTGTCCACAATCTACAGAAAATGTCATTGCTTAAACTAAATATGAAAACTTCTCCAAGAACCCTTCCTTTAGGAAAAATACAACCACCTAAATGTTAGCTATTACAGTCTACCAAAAATGTCCAGTTATACAGATTTCATCTAGTCACATCCATCTCCTGGGAGTCAGAAAATGCCATGGATATCAAAACTTTCAAGTCTACATAAACTGTCATACAATGCATTTCCAAGACCTAAATACGGTGTTTTCCACAAAAGAAAAAGAACAGCTTGCTAAGCACTCCCATTTACCTCTTCAACCATACCATGAACTTAACATTTACCTCTTCAATCTAATGCTACTAAAGTCAGTGGTTCTTTTTAATCACCATCAGTATTCAAAAATACATACCTATCTAACTCACACCTAAGGGTTTTAAGTAGTAATCCAAGTGTAAAAAAACACAACTTGAGTTTGTTAAACAGTTCCCTCTCCCTTTTGAGTTAAGCCAATATTTAAAACTTACCAGCAGTATGACCCCTTTAAGGATGAGTTTAGACTCTACACCCACATTGAGGAGCTCAAGGCATAGCTTGTCAAACTTTTCAGGAGTAAGCTTATTTAGTATGCTGGAGAAAAAGGAATTACATTTTAAGTGTTAGCTAATACACAGAATTTGAATTGAAAAACTGCTTTTAAATTATACTGATTTTTCTTCTAACTTGCTCCCTTTAAAAAATCAAGACATGTTTTCTTACTCATCTAAAACCAAAGGGATGCTGAAATAAACCTGTTATTTTAATTACAATGATTTGAATTGGACTGGGGGGTCCCCAGCTGTTTGACAAGAATCCTTTCTCACTTTCTCAAGGTTAGAGCGCAAAGATCTCATTATCAAGGCTAGACCATGAACTAAGACCATTATATTCCCTGCCTCACTGGCTTAAATAACATAGCACTTCCCTTAGTCAAGGGAAATGCTAGCATGACAGGATTATGGATTGCAATCCAATGGCTGAAAGCAACGGGAAGCCCCAAAATATGACGTGCTGTTCTTCAGTTCAAGATACATTTTTTTTTTTTGAGACACAGTCTTGCTCTGCACCCAGGCTGGAGTGCAGTGGCGTGATCTCGGCTCACTGCAACCTCCACCTGTGGGGTATTCAAGTGATTCTCCTGCCTCAGCCTCTCTAGTAGCTGGGACTACAGGCGCCTGCCACTACGTCCGGCTAATTTTTGTATTTTTAGTAGAGATGGGGTTTCAACATGTTGGCCAGGCTGGTCTCAAACTCCTGACCTCAAGTGATCTGCCCACCTCGGCCTCCCAAAGTGCTGGGATTACAGGCGTGAGCCACAGTGCCTGGCCAGTTCAAGATATTTTTAAAAATTGCTACCATGAGGATTCATTAAAACATACATACTCTGGGCATGAACCTTGCCTTCTTAGTAATACAGCACACACACCAAACACAGCTAATCCACACTTCCCATCTTTTAGTAAAACAGACCTTGAAACTTACCCTCTTACTTTCCTGAAGATTGCATCATGTCGTTCTTTTTCGTTTGCGGAGTTGTTTGCTGCGGAGTTGTCATCTCGTCTAGTGCTTCGTGCAGGAATCCATTTCTGAGCGTTTTGCCCTGGGGTTTTCCCCAGGAACTCGCTGATTAATAAAAATCAGCAAAAACACTTATTGTCACACACCAAATGTTAAACATCATAAATTCTCTTACATAGAAAAAAGTAATTTAGGCTTTCTCGACTTCCCCTCCAAGAAAGCCAACTCTGGAAATTAGTGCTTCTGGAACAGTAGTGTGCATCAGAATCACCTGAAGGGCTTGTTAATACAGATTGCTGGGCCCACCCAGTTTCTGCTTTCACTGGTTTGGGGTGGGGCCTAAGAATTTGCATGTCTAGTAAATATTCCCAGTATCAACGCTGTGGAACCACATTTTGAAAATTAACATTTTTTTTAAGAGATGGGGTCTTGCTGTCTTGCCCAGGCTGATCTCAAACTCTTGGGTTCAAGCGACCCTCCCACCTTTGCCTCCCAAAGTTGTTGTTGGGATTACAGGTGTGAGCCACTGTACCGGCTGCCAATAAACACTTTCTAATGTTTTATTGACCATGTTGAGTGCGTACTACTTTACTAATAACAATCAGTAGGAATAATAGCTACTGATTTCAGAAAAACACATTAGTAAAAATAACCCAAAGAATAAGGAAAAAAATAACAGCTTGAGAGTCTCAACTCACTTAGAAAATTTGGCTAAGGAATAATCAGGAACTGATATTCTGTATTTAGGATACCCAACAGAAACCACGCCCCTTAAGATTAGGAGTCTTGATGGCTATTGCCTTAATTATACCGTCACATGGGAAAGACTTTTAATCTGTTAAATAAAGCTCACTGTTTTTTTACATGTTTACCACACCTGTTGCCAGCAGTCTTGGGATAGTGCTGAGGTGCACCCCTACTTCCTCCTCCGCCCGAAGAAGCACTATTTAAAAGAAAAAAATTGTTTACTGTATCCCAACTATGTCTCACTCAAAAAGAATAAGCATCTATTTTGTGTTTTGCTTTGCTTGTAGAGATGGGGGTCTCGCTATTTTGCCCAGACTGGAGCCAGGCCTGTATTTTAGTGCTTGTATATTATGCTACAAATGAAGACTGAACTCGGACCCAAAGGAAAGGCAAATAATTGATTTTATTTATTCTTCAGATGGCAGTTCTTAGAAGGCTGTCAATGAAAACTTAAGAACTTTTCAAATGAAAATTGCAGCCCATTAAGTCGGACTTATTTGCTGTGTTAACTACTTTTTGAGACTGGCCTTTTCAAAAGGATTCCCCAAAATAAATCTACAAGTACCTGAAACGAGAAGCACCCCCTTCTGCAATCGCACTCTCCACTTTGGCGGCTTGACAACGAAGAATCTTCAAAAGAATAATATTAATAGATGGGGTGGGGAGGGGAGGGGACAGGAGAAATGAAATACCTGGAACGAGAAAGAGCACCAAAATTAGACACTGCTAACATACAGATCTATAAGCCTTCATTCAATTACAACGTATTTCAGATCCTGGCACTGTCACTGCATTGCAGATCTGTAAGACTAACCTAAAATGTACTCAAAACACTGACAATTACATTTTGTTTAGCCACCTGGAAATTCCCCGGTGTTCAAGGATGCAAAGAGACTTCGTAGAACACAAGAGCATTTTAAACGGCTCAGAACGAATCTTTTGAAAAAGCCACATTCTACTATCTTTAAAACTGAGCACTGAGATCAATAGAAAAGTCTAACTACAGACACGAGCAACATCACGTGGAAAATGTCTGCCCTAGGAATTTTTACTGCCTTGACGAGGCCAGCGACTAGATGAGGTCTCTCCGAAAGCTCTTCAGCAGTTTTCCCCTGTCCACCCTTTCGCCTCCTCCCCGTGGAGAGCTCGTGGAAAGACGCGCGAGAGGGGGCCGGGTGTACAGGACTAGCACTTGCAGGCGGAAGACCAGGGCCACAACATGGCAGCAGGAACCTCCGCCCCGTTTTTCCCTTCCTGGGAACAAAAGAGCGGAGCATTCCTCCCACCCAGGCGCAAGTTAGGGAAGTGCTTCCGACAACCTCCCCGCGAGGCCCGGGTCGCTCGACGGGGAGGAGCAGCTGAGGCCACCCCCGCCAGCCCGGCGCCCAGCTCTTTGTTCTCCAAGCAGGAAGGCGGCCTCCTGCCCACCCGCCGCCTCCAAGCGGGCCCCCTCCTGCACCATAAATCCCCCCGGGACTGACAACCGCCTCGCCACGGCCTCCTCTGCTGACAAAAGGGGCAGAAATCATCACTCTCTCTTTCCTCCCCGACGAAGGGCAGCCCCTGCCGACTCCAGGTCCTACACACCTCCCCGCCGGGAGGCCAGGCTCCGGGACGCCTGCGGTTCCCTGGTCCCGCGCCAACGGCCTGGCCTTCCCTGCCGGCCCGCGTGCCTCCCGCCACGGCGCTAGCGGTCCGAGCCACGCTCCCTCGCCGTCCGAGCACAGCCGTGCCTCGGTCCGCCACGGCCTCGTCCCTGCAGGCGTCGGCCATCCGGCCATGACCGCACGGCGGCCTGGCCAACACTGACGTTTTCCTTCTACTCCGTCAGCAACAGGAAGAGAGAACAAAAGCCAAGACTTTCCAGGTATCTGAAGCGCAGAGGAAATGCTAAAAAAGGGTCGCCCCACCCGGCTCCGCCTGCGGCCGCCATTTTGTACCACTCGAGAAGAAGCGACCAGGGACGGCGGCCATTTTAGAGCGCTCCACTCGGCGGCGGCAGCGGCTCAACTCACCTTCACCGAGAACTCAGCAGCTGCCACCGCAGCTGCCTCCTCAGGATCCGGTCGTCGGGGATAGGGAAGGGAGGGGAAAGGGGAACGGAAAACAAAAAAAAGGGGGAGGGAAGGGGGAGGAAGGAGTCGGGGACGGCCTCAAACTCAGCTCAGAGGAGTCGCTGCTGCAGCCGCCACTCGGTACCCGCTGCCACCTCCATAGAGCTCCGACTCACTGCTGGCGCTAAGGCGTGTCTGAAGCCGAACTTATCACTCTTGGGGCAGCCGAACCCACCAGAGTCTCCCCGAATGGCTCCTTCGCCGCCCAATCAGCGGCCCGGTTGCCGTCTGCCACCAATCCGCGCAGGGCAGCGAGGAGGAGCCACAGGGCTGAGCTCGGTTGCGGCGCAGCCCCGCCGCAGTGCGCAAAGCCATATTCGCGAAGTCTCTGAGGCTGAGCCAGTGGCGTAAGGGGCGCCGAGCGCTGTCGAGATGAGGGTTGCGTGCGTAAAGCCGGAGAGCCCTTTTGAGTCTGCGTTGGCGTGGCTGCTGCTTCTTGCTCCAGTCCCTTTGTTCACTGAGTCCATATGCCATGCTCCAGTTGTATCATCCCCTTTTCCCTCGACCTCGTTTTCTCACCGGGAATATGGGAAGAAAACGCACCCTTACCTCCCCCGAACCCTGTGCGTGGCGAGTGAGCATTGCTTTTCTTGGCGCCCCTTGGAGCTGTGGCTGCCCTCGCGTGCCTGGCCTCTCCCGGGGCTGAGCCCTTCGGGTTGAGGCCTGGAGCCCCCGGGCGCAGCGCCGGGACACTACCCGGCTCCAGGTCCTCGGCTTCGGCAGCCTTAGGGAACCCAGAAAGTAGTGGGGAGGAGGCGAGACGTGCGCCCGGATGCCAAAGGGGAGCTTCATTCAGCTCCTTATTGGCCCACCCCCTGCAGAGTGAATGAGAAAGTGATGAAAGGAAGGGGTTGATTTTCTTCGAACCGCACAGAAGAAGCTGCTTTTCCCATAGGAATGTCCGGCTGGCGGTCACCGAGGAAAACACCCTGTGTGTCAGACTTCCGCGGGTGTTTGGAGGATTTCGAATTGCTAGCTCCTGTTTTTTTTTGTTTTTTGTTTGTTTAAGTGCACGTTAAACATTGTCAGTTGTGTATTTTCATTTTATTTAAGGTTCACCATAAGAAATAGGATTAAGCTTTTCAAAGCCGGCAAGTTGAACTATTTATACTTACCAGGTAATGTATTGATGAGTACCTTATTCCATCGTTTGCGACATTGTAGCTATACTAAAATGGAGTCATACTTCCATAAACTTAAACAACAAAAATGTCCCCATCTCCATTTTAACATGTAGTACTTTTACAGTGTATAGTCAAAGGCAAGAATGTGTGTGTTTTAACATGAATGACTTTTAAAGTGTTCAGTAAGAGGCAGGATTTTCAAAGACCCAAACTTAACCTTTGATGTGTCAAAACAGCTCTTGGTATTAGAGCACCTGGTCCTTAATACAATTTTCCGGAAAATTGCAGTTTTTCCTACGACATTTAAATGTAATAGAAGGCTGTGGTGTGGCTCTGAAGGTTTTTAACACAATTCCAACATCTGTAGATCTTTGCTATAGAATAGTCACCATTCCCTACTTTACTGTTACTACACTTATTGCTATTACATCAATTTTACTTGAACTTTAAAACTTGGAAGAGATATTCTAAAAAAAAAAAAAAACTATTTTGGGGTGGTGGTGGTGGTGCAAGTTTTGTTTTAAATACAAGAGGTTTCACTTTGTATTTCTTTGGACCCTTCTAGCTTCATGATAACACGAGAATAATGTTTCTTTATAATTTCTGTAGGGCTTTAAGGTTTGGAAAAATGCATTAGTATATGTGATATTTTTACATAACTGGTTTACATTCCATTTATCTGATAATGAACGAATACATTAGTTTACTAAGAAGAGTAGTATTCAAAAACTATTGTCTAGACTTCAAAGAGAATATTCACCTAGCCGTAAAAGTCGGATGTTCTTATAATTAAGACACTTAAAATTCAGTAATTAAAAATTTAAAAAAGGTTTTACTTAATATTTTATTTAATCTTTGCTAATTGGGAACCCTTTTGGTATGGGCTTTGCAGATATGAGTTTATGTGAGAAATTGACCTGGAAGGGAATAACCTAAGGTAGAAAAAGTAAAAATATTGATAAAACAATCTTTCAATTACCTTTCTCTCACTTAAATAGAAAGATTTGAAGTTGAAATCGTACCTGCAAAGCCCATTGCAGAAGGGTTCACAATTAGCAAAGATTAAATAAAAACATTAAGTAAAACCTTTAGAAAAAAAAATTTTTTTTTGAGACAGAGTCTCACTTTGTCACTCAGGCTGGAGTGTAGTGGTGTGATCTCTGCACACTGCAGCCTCCACCTCCTGGGTTCAAGCAGTTCTCGTGCCTCAGCCTCCTGAGTAGCTGGGATTACAAGCATGTGCCACCACGCCCAGCTAATTTTTGTATTTCTACTTGAGATGGGGTTTCACCATGTTGCCCAGACTGGTCTCAAACTCCTGACCTCAAGTGATCCACCCGTCTGGGCCTCCCAAAATACTGGGATTACAGGTGTGAGCCACTGTGCCCAGTGTAAAAAATTTTTAATTATTGAATTTTAAGTGTCTTAATTATAAGAACATCTAGCTTTTAGGGCTAGATGAATATACTCTTTGAAGTCTAGACAATAGTTTTTTTTCAAATCGAAATATATTTAAGTGAGGGAAATAAACATTGAAACTTTCTAAATGTTTCCATCACGTCATGGATATATGAAAATTCAGCAGCACTTTTGGAGGCCAAGCTGGGAGGATTCTTTGAGCCCAGGAGTTGGAGACCAATCTGGGCAACATAGGGAGACCCCCCCATCTCTAAAATTAAAAATTAATCCAGATGTGGTGACATGCATCTGTAGTCCCAGCTACTTGGGAGGCTGACATGGGCGAATCCCTTAAGCCCAGGACTTTGAGGCTGCACTAAGCCATGGTCACGCCACTGCACTCCAGCCAGGGCAGTAGAGTGAGATCCTGTCTCAAAAAAAATAAAATGCTAGGCATGGTGGCTGATGCCTGCAATCCCAGCTCTTTTGGAGACTGAAGCAGGTGGGTAGCTTGAGCTCAGGAGTTTGAGACTAGCCTGGGCAACGTGGTGAAAACCTGTCTCTACAAAAAATACAAAAATTAGCCTGTGTCCCACATGCCTGTAGTACCAGCTACTTGGGAGGCTGAGGCAGTAGGATGGCTTGAGCCCTGGAGGTCGAGGCTGAAGTGAGCCATGATCATGTCACTGCACTCCAGCCTGGGTAACAGAGCGAAATCCTATCTTAAACACACACACACACACAGAGTCATTGTCTGGAATTTAGCTTTTAGTTCATTGAAAATTGAATTTTAAATATACCCACTTAAGTCTGCTAGTTTTCCACTGCTAGTTTTATCAGTTTTCTCTAAGTCCTGACTAACTTGTTAACTCATATATTTTTGCCTTATTTTAACTAATCATGTCAAGTGCTGGTTACTATTCTAACACATACTGTTTTGGAAGCATCTACCATCCTCTCTGTGCTTATGAATTCCCTAATCATTTACCTTCAGCCCAGATCTCTCACTTTACATCCAGTTCTGAATTTCCAACAGCCTTTTGCTCAGAGATGCAAACTTGAAGCCATAGTTTGAGCCACAGTAGTTTTAAACACTTGAATTTGATATTCACACAAATTTTTGCATACAAATCCAGATTTCCATCTTTTCATGAAAAATCTTAAAATATGGCAATACTGGGCCTGAAATTCTCATAGGGCAACATTCAAGCATAACTAAGTAGAACTACCTTCTCTCGATGTTTTGATTTCTCCACAGTTGCATCTGACTTGATTCACTCATTTATGTTCCCATCTGGCCTCTATAGCCATTTTGCTTTTTTGAGTTGTTTGCTCAAATTCAACAGATTCCATATGTAAACTGGTCATCTTCCTATGAGGAAAAGTAGTTAGACCAGTTGAGGTCAAATGTCTTCTCTACCATTTACTGTGTAACTTTGGGCAAATAATTTAATTACTCTTACTCAGTTTCTAAAACTGTAAAATCGGAATGATAGTAGTATTTATATGGTGGTTGTAAAGATTAAATGAGATAATGTATGTAAGGCACGTAGGTTAGACCCCGACTTAGAATTTAATGTTAGTTTCCATATTCTCAATAATATTGATTAACCAGCTGTTTCACAACTACTTTAATTTTGTTAAGGAGTCTATTATTCTTCTATGCTAGAAACTTGACCATATTTTTTTTCCTTTTGCTCAGATTTAACATTCAATCACTTACTGAATCCTGGTGCTCCTTCTCTCCAAATGTTTCTTGCATTCATCTTCCTCCCTACAACATCATTGCATGTATGCTAATCCAGCCCTTACTAAACTTTTCTCCTGGATTATTGCAAAATTCTAGTTGATCTTCTGTAGTCTTTCCCTACTAGTCTGTATATTCCTGTTAGTCTTTCTTAAAATACCTTTTTTCAGCCAGGCGCGGTGGCTCATGCCTGTAATCCCAGCACTTTGGGAGGCTGAGGCAGGCAGATTACAAGGTCAGGAGTTATAGACCACCCTGGCCAACATGGTGAAACCCTGTCTCTACTAAAAATACAAAAAATTGGCCAGACGTTGTGGTGCGCACCTGTAATCCTAGCTACTCGGGAGGCTGAGGCAGGAGAATCGCTTGAACCCAGGAGGTGGAGGTTGCAGTGAGTTGAAATCATGCCATTGTACTCCAGCCTGGGCGACAGAGCAAGACTCCGTCTTGGAAAAAACAAAAAAAACAAAAAAACTAAACTAAATTTTAACATATTATTACCATGCTTAAGAATCTTAGTGCTTCACTATTTTCTACATGAGTTGATCTCAACCTTGGCTGCACATTAGAATCACCTGGAGAACTTTTAAATATCTCAGTGTCCAGGCTGCACCTAAGACCAGATAAATCTGAATCTTTGGTAGTGAGATCTAGCCATCAGTAGCTTTTAAAGCTCTCTAGGTGATTCCAGTGTGCAGTCAAGGTTTCAGAGCCACTGTAGCAGGTCAGAGCATTATAGAAAATTACAACATTTATAGCTGAAGCAAATCCCAGGAAAAGGAAACTGGGGTTTAAAAAAGATAAGGGGAGTTTCTCCAAGTAGGGAAACAGTTATTAGAACCCAGGCATCCCAGTTTATATGCTTTTACCTGGCTTTCAAGCCCTTTATATTCTGTCCCTACCCTACCTTTTCTGTTGGCCTTATTTTTTGCCTCTCCCAAACACCCAGTCTTCTCTTATGCAGCCAGTTAGGCTGGTATTGCTGTCCCTAAAAATTCAGTTCTAATACTTCATTGCTTGCAATTTTGAGGGTACCCTCATTTATCCCCTCTACTGATTCATTCCTGAAGTACAAAATGAATATATAAGTGCCCTACTCAAAAACCTCAATAGCTCTCCTCTAACAATAATATCTGAACTTCTTAGTTTGGCATAAAAGGACCTTTATCATCTGGCTTCAGACTACTTTCCTATTCCTAGGTGTATCACTCCTTCATTCCTACAGTTATCCCTAATCTGGTTCTATGGTACTCAAATTTTGCTCCATTGTTAAGATATATTTTGGAGATAAAGCCATTAAAACTTCTGATGGATTGAATATGGAAAATGAGAGAAGAATCAAGAATGATTCATAGATTTTGGCCTTAAGCAACTGGCAGGTAGTAAACAATGGAGGAAAAACTATTCTGAATATATTAAACTTGAAATGCCTATTAGATATTCAAAGGGACATTTCAATAGGCAATTCAAAATAGATGATATGCATCTATAGCTTGCATGGGAGGAAGGGTGGATCAGAGATGGAGATATGACCAATACCAGTGTTCTGTATTACATGTGACTACAATTTGGAGGTCTTTGTTCACTTGGCAGAAAAAGAAATAAAGTTATTGAGTTTATATGCATAATACCTGTTTCCAAGGATCTCACAATCTAGACAAAAGATAAATACACCAATTATATAAAAGGCAGGGAAGGGTGGAATCAGTGCTAAACCAAAGATACCATAAGCTTTCATAAAGGGAATAATAGGGAGATGAGGCTGTGGCCATTCTTCCTTAAGTGCCAGAATGATGATTTGGGACTTGACTACACAGACAAAGTTCTTGAACTGATCAGAACTCTGATCAGTTTTAGTGTAAAGCTGATCAGTTTTAATTGATCCATGTACTGTTTTAGAAAAACTATCCTTACAGTTTGTGTAGAATGGATTGAACTGGGGTGTGGTGGTTCACGCCTGTAATCCCAACACTTTGGGAGGACGAGGTGTGTGGATTTCTTCAGCCCAGGAGTTCAAGACCAGCCTGGATAATATGGTGAAACCCCGTTTCTATAAAAAAATACAAAAATAAGTCAGGGTGTGGTGGTGCACCTGTGGTCCCAGCCACTCAGAAGGCTGAGATGGGAGGATCGCTTGAGCCCAGGAGGAGGAAGTTGCAGTGAGCTGTGATTACGCCACTACACTACAGTCTGGGCAACAGAGTTACACCCTGTCTCAAAAAAAAAAAAAAAAAAGAAAAGAAAAGGAGGGCAAACTTGGAGATAGGGAGATCATTAGTTAGAAGGCTAAATAATTTATTATTTTTATGGGCTTATTTTTATCTCCCTTCCAAAATCATAAGGTTCTTGATATCAAGTACTTCTCTTGTATTACCAATAGAATTATTTACATACACAAGAGCTGAGAAAATATTTGTGCATATTATCTTGCTGCCATTTTATTTATTTTTTCTCTAGAATTTCCTACTGCCTTTACCAATTCAGCTCAGTCTTTGCTGGGTTCTCCTACTCTGTTTGACCTATAAATATTGAAGTACCACCAAGGATTTATTCTGGGTCTTTTCTTCCCTCTGAATACTTTTCTCCGAGGTAATTCATCAATCCTATGACTTTAAATCCCATTTATATGATAAAAATTTCCAAATTCATGTCTCTATCTCTTATCTACCTTTCCCCCCATGCAAGCTATAGATGTATATCATCTGTATTGAATTGCCTACTGAAATTTCCCCCTGAATATCTAATAGGCATTTCAAGTTTAACATGTTCAGAATAGTTTTTCTCCATTGTTCACCACGGTCAGTTACTAAGGTCAAAAACCTATGAATCGTTTTTGATTCTTCTGTCCCTTCTATATTCAATCCATCAGAAGTTCTGTTGGCTCTATCTCCAAAATATATCTTAAACTGGTCCACTTCTCTTGATCTACATTTCTATCACTTTAATCTAACCACCATTCTCCCTAGCCTGGATTACTGCAATAGCCTCCTAGAATTCATCCCTCAACTTCATCTCTTGCTGTCCAATACATTCTCTACCCAGAACCAGTAATCTTTAAAAAATGTAAATCAGATAATGCCACTTCCATGCCTAAAACCCTCTAATCATGGATATACATAATATCCACAATAAAATCCAAACTCCTTAGCGTGGCCTATATGACCTTACATGATCTGGCCCTTGACTATCACTCTGACTTCAACTCCTACTATGTTCCCTTTGATCTCTATTCAGTCACACTGGCCCCTTTCTACAAATATGTTAAGCTCATGCAAAGCTTTCTATTCCTCAAGTATGCAAAAACTATGGCTATTTCTTTTTTTTAAGTTCCACTGCCCAAAAGCTCTTATCCCAATTTTTTACAGAATGGCTTTTTGTGTGTGTATAATTTAGATTTCAGCTTGAATGGCCACCTCTCTAGAAAAGCCTTCCCTGATCATCCCATGTAATGTTGTTTCCTCTTCTAGATACTCTATTACATTTCCCCTCTTAGTTTTTTTTTGTTTTTGTCTTTTCCATAGTCCTTCTTACTATCTGAAATGATTTTTTGCATTCATTCTTGTGTCTTGTCTGCTCACTGCATTAGGATGTTAAGCTGAATGGCAGCAGGAACTTTATCTGTCATGTTGTATTCCACAGATTTTTTAAAAAGATGACTGGCTTCTGGCAGGGCACAGTAGCTCATGCTTGTAATCCCAGCAGTTTGGGAGGCTGCGGCAGGTGGCTCACTTGAGACCAGGAGTTTGAGACCAGCTTGGCCAACATGGCAAAACCCCATCTATACTAAAAAATACAAAAATTAGCTGGGTGTGGTGGCACACACCTGTAATCCAAGCTACTTGGGAGGCTGAGGCATGAGAATTGCTTGAGTGCGGGAGGTGGAGGTTGCAGTGAGCCAAGGTTGCACAGCTGCACTCCAGTCTGGGCAATAGAGCAAAGCTGTGTCTCAAAAACAAAACAAAACAAAAACACACACAAAAAACTTCACATTAAAAAGATGACTAGATTCTGGATAGGGAATGTATTGGACAGCAAGAGATAAAGAGCTTAGAATAGTTCCTAGCATATACTAGGCATCATTAAATATTTATTGAATACAGGAATATACATTATCTCAATTGAGGCTCACTACAAACTATTTGGAGGAAGTAGAGATGTATTATTTCCCCCACTATATATATTGGGAAATGGAAAGTTTGGTGACTTTTCTAATGCAATTCGTTAATATGTGGCAGCATCTCATACTTTCCCAGGTACATCAAGCTCCCCCACCCCACAGCAACATGAATAGCCATAATGGGAATATTCCTTTCTTATCACTTTTGCATGAATAAGGTGCTTGCATTAGTTTCCTTTGGCTGCCATAACAAATTGCCACAAACTTGGTGGCTTAAAACAACCCAAATTAATTTTCTCACAGTTCTGGAGGTCAGAAGTCAAATCAAGGCATTGGCAAGGGTGCACTTTCTAGGGAGGCGCTAGGGGAGAATCCAACTCTTGCCTCTTCTAGCTTCTGGTGGCTGTTGGCATGCTTGGCTTGTGGCCACATCTCTCTGCTCTGTCTTCACATTGCCTTTCTGTGTGTGTGTGTGTTGTGTACATTCCTTGGCTGTGGCCACATCTCTGCTGTCTTCACATTGCCTTTCTCTGTGTGTGTCTGTGTGTGTGTTGTGCATCCCCAAAACCCCTCTGCCTCTCTAAGGATACATGTGATTGTACCCAGATAATCCAAGCTAAGCATCTCCTCTTAAGACCCTTAATTTAATTACATTATTTGCCATATAAAGTAGTATTCCCACATTACAGGGATTATGACATGGGCATATCTTTTCGGGGGTACTCATCAATTCAACCCACTACAGTGCTCATACTATTTTACTGCAGTACTAAATTCTCAGAACTCTATCTAATGGGCCAGTCTCTTTACTGTTTTACTGCAGAACTAAATTCTCAGAACTCTGTCTAATGGGCCAGTCTCTTTATATGGCTCATCATTCATTCATTCATTTAACAAATATTTAGTGAGCACCTAATACATGCTGTGCACTGCTAGAAATAGGGTATATATTGATAAACAATAGTAAGCACTTTATGTGTGGGGTGAAAGAGGGTGTTACTAATAATTACATTGGGATAGCTGACATAAACCAGGACTATACCAGGCAAACCAGGTCCTGTGACCACCTTACTTATGATGCATGTTGTTAGGCCAGGATAATGAACTAGACCAAGACCTTGCCTGCTAGTATTTCTCCCTTTGCCATTTTTCTTTTCTAAGTCAAACATAGTGTTTAGTTTTTAAAGTTTTTAAATGAATAGCCTGCATAGTAGCATGATTGAAGTGATTTTACTGGACTTCATCAATATGTAGATCAGTTTTACCTTTGGATATTGGACTTGTAACCTGGGAGTAGAAGGCCCATTCCAGAGCAAAATTTTCTATACTAGATAGGCTAGAGACACACTTGAGCCTTAAGCAGGGGAGGACAACTGGTGCTTTTAGTTCACTGTACAGTTGACTCTTGAACAACATGGGTTTGAACTGCATGAGTACACTAATAAGTGGATTTTCTTCCACATCTGCTACTCTTGAGACAGCTCCAATGAGGTCTTTGACAGCAAAACCAACCCCTCCTCTTCTTTCTCCACTGTAGCCTACTCAGTGTGATGACTACAAGGATAAAGATTTTTATGATGATCCACTTCCACTTAGCAAACAGTAAATACATTTCTCTTATGACTTTCTTGTTAACATTTTCTTAAATTTTTTTTTGGCTGGGAGCAGTGACTCACACCTATAATCCTAGCACTTTGGAAAGCCAAGGCAGGAAGATCACTTGAGCTCAGGAATTCAAGACTAGCCTGAGTAACATAGTGAGACCCTGTCTCTACGAAAAAAATAAAATAAAATAAAAATTAGCTGGGTGTAGTGGCGTGCATCTGTAGTCCCAGCTACTTGGGAGGCTGAGGTGGGAGGATCACTTGAGTCCAGGAGGTTGAGGCTGTGGTGAGCCATGTGGTGAGATCGTGCCACTGTACTCCAGCCTGGGTGACAGAGCGAGACCTTGTTTCAAAAAAAACAAAAATTTTTTTTTTACCTTTTTTTTAAGAGACGGACTCTTACTATTTTGCCCAGGCTGTTCTCGAACTCCTGGCCTAAAGCAATCCTCCCGCCTTAGCCTCCCAAAGTGTTGGGGTAACAGGTGTGAGCCATCACACTCGGCCCATTTCCTTTTTTCTTGCTTTATTGTTAAAAAATACAGCATATAATACATATAACATACAAAATATGTGTTAATAGATGGTTTATCAGTAAAGTCAACAGTAGGCTATTAGTAGTTAAGTGTTTGGGAAGCCAAAAGTTATACGTGGATTTTTGACTGTGCGGTGAGGGATGTGTTGATGACCCCTAACCTCCACATTGTTCAAGGGCCAACTATATTTCATAATTCATTTAATTTAGAAAAATTAAAGTTAGAGAATGGGTGATGTTCATCTGTAACACTCCTGAAAGGTGACCAAGATTACTGGCAGCAACTTAACTGAGATAAACAGGCTTCAAGTTATGTGCAATACCCAGTGTTCCTTGCTTGCTAAAGTAATAAAAGCATATATGAATGCAAGGTACTGAGAATATTATTATAGGGATAATATTGCATCCACTCTCATTGATTGATTGATTGATTGAGACGACGTCTTGCTTTGTCGCCCAGCCTGGAGTGGAGAGGCGCGATCTTGGCACACTGCAACCTCTGCCTCCCGGTTTCAAGCAATCCTCCTGTCTCAGCCTCCTGAGTAGCTGAGATTACAGACATACGCCACCACGCCCAGCTAATTGTTTTATATTTTTAGTACAGATGGGGTTTCATTATGTTGGCCAGGCTGATCTGGAACTCCTGGGCTCAAGTGATCTGCCCGCCTCAGCCTCCCAAAGAGCTGGGATTAAAGGTGTGAGCCACTGTGCCTGGCCACTTTAATTTATTAATAAAATCATTTGCAAATTTTGTTTATTCATAATTTTTATTAGTGACAATATTTATTTATAATATAACCCCATGGTGGCTCATCATACCTGTAATCCCAGCACTTTCAGAGGCTGAGGCGGCTGGATCACTTGAGGTCAGGAGTTTGAGACCAGCCTGGCCAACATGGTGAAACCCTGTCTCTACTAGAAATAAAAAATGTGTAGTCCAGCTACTCAGGAAGCTGAGGCACAAGAACTGCTTGAACCCAGGAGGTGGAGGTTTCAGTGAGCCGAGATCGCACCACTGCACTCCAGCCTGGGTAACAGAGCGAGACCCTGTCTCAAAATAATAATAATAATAATAATAATAATAATTTATAAACAAATGTAATCAAAATGCTAAAACAACACAGTTAAAGAATCACTGTTCTAGAAAATGCAAATTATTTACCTGGAATAGAGAAATGTAAGTGCAATAAACCAAGTTTTTCATCTTGTTTCAAGGGGCAGAAAGCACATGTCCAGAGCACAGGTTTAATTCATTAACAATTGTTTATAGAATGATCAAGTTTACATTTTAAAGGATGCTTCCATATGCAGGGGAAATATCTTTATTTCCATTTTATGACTGAGGTTTGGAGAAACTAACTTACCTCTATCTTTTTCTTTCCCTTTTTTTTTTTTTTTTTTTTTAGAGACAAGGCCTTGCTCTGTTACACAGGCTGGAGTGCAGTGGTGTGATCATAGCTCACTACAACCTTGAACTCCTGGGCTCAAAGAATCCTCCGGCCTCAGCCTCCCAAGTAGCTAGGACTACAGGCACATATTACCATGCCTGACTACTTTTAAAACTTTTTTTTTCCTAAGAGATAGGGTCTAGCTATGTTGCCCAGGTTAGTCTTGAACTCCTCACCTCAGCCTCCCAAAGTGCTGGGATTACAGGTGTAATCCCACCACACCCAGCCCCATATCTGTTTTTTAAACTTTTTTTCCAGTGATCTTTCCTTGACTTTATACTTTCTCTCTTAATAGAGCACAGAGTGAGCAGAAGTAAACAAAATAGACACTAGAAAAACACAGAAAAGATCAATGAAACTAAGTGGTGGCTTTTATAAAAGCTAAAAAAATCAATAAACCTTTAACTAGACTAGCAGAGAAAAAGAGAAGACGTGAATAAAATCAGAAATGAGAAAGGAGACATTACAATTGATACAACAGAAATAGAAAAGATCATGAGGCTACTCTGAACAATTATAACCAACAAATTGGATTAACTAGAAGAAATGGATAATTTCCTTGACACATAAAACCTACCAAAATTGAATTATGGAGAGAAAGAAAATCTGAATTGACCAATAACAGGTAGGAGACTGAATCAGTAGTAAAAAGTCTCTCATCAAAGAAAAGCCCAGGACCACATGGTTGCACTGGTGAATGCTACCAAACATTTAGAGAATATTCCTTGTTTGAATATTTTTGATTAGTGATTCAAACTGCTTACTCATTATTGGTCTATTCAGATTTTCTATTTTTCATGGTTCAGTCTTCCTAGGTTGTATGTGTCTAGGAACTTAACCATTTCTTCTAGGTTATCCAGTTTGCTGGCATGTAATTGTTCATAGTAGTCTCTTAAGATCCTTTGTGTTTCTGTGGTACCCATTGTAATGTCTCCTCTTTCATTTATAGTTATTTGAGTCTCCTGTCTTTCTTAGCCTAGATAATGCTTTGTCAATTTTCGTTTTTTAAAAAAAATTTAGTTCACTGATCTTTTCTTTTGTTTTTCTAGTCTCTATTTCACTTGTGCTCTAATCTGTATTATTTCCTTACCTCTGCAAACTTAGTTTGTTCTTGTTTATCTAGTTCCTTCAGATGGAAAGTTATTTATTTAAGATCTTTCTTTTTCTTAATTAGGTATTTATTGCTGTCACTTTCCCTCTTGAACTCCTTTTGCTGCATCTCATAAATGTGTGTGTGTGTGTGTGTGTGTGTGTGTGTGTGTGTGTGTGTGTGTGATAGATCTCACTCTTTTGCCCAGGCTTGAGTGCAGTGGTGTGATCTTGGCTCACTGCAACCTCCGCCTCCCAGGTTCAAGCAATTCTCCCACCTCAGCCTCCCAAGTAGCTGGGACTACAGGTGCCTGCCATCACGCCCGGCTACTTTTTGTATTTTTAGTAGAGATGGGGGTTTCACCATGTTGGCCAGGCTAGTCTTGAACTCCTGACCTCGAGTGATGTGCCAGCCTTGGCCTCCCAAAATGCTGAGATTACAGGCATGAGCCACTGCACCTAGCCACATCCCATAAATTTCGGTATGTTGTGTTTCCATTTTCATTTGTCTTAAGATATTTCTGATTTCTTCTTTGACCCATTGGTTGTTCAGGAGTGTTAATTCCACATACTTGCAAATTTTCCAAGTTTTCTCCTGTTAATTATTTCCAGTTTCATACCAGTGTGTGAAACCTTTCCTTGATGTAGTAATAGATATAAATACACACATATGTATAGGTTTCCATCTATGATTCCTGGCTCATAACTCCCAGAGTCCTTGTTACAGTCTTTTGTTACAATGTTGGTATGTTAGGCCTCTCTGACTTTCTCCAGTGTTCCTTTCACCTGCCCCAAGGCAGGTCTGTAATCTGATTGTGGGTCATAAGACCACCATTCCAGAGAGGGTCCCATCCCATACCCTGGGGGAAGGAATGCTAACGTCACGAAGCTTCTATAAAAAGCCAGGATGACTGGATTTAGAGAGCTTCTGGATAGCTGAACACATGCAAGTTCCTGGAGGGCAGCTCGCCCAGGGAGGGCATGGGAGTTCTGTGCCCCTTCCCCCATACCTCACCCTGAGCATCTCTTCATCTGTATCCTTTGTAATAAAATAAATTGGTAAACATGTTTCCCTGAGTTCTGTGAGTCACTATAGCCAATTAATTGAACCCCAAGAGGGATTGTGGGAACCCCAACTTGAAGCCAGTTGTCAGAAGTTCCAGAGGCCCCAGACCTGTGACTGGTGTCTAGCAGTGTTGGGAGAGGGAAAGAGGACAATCTTTGGGGGGCTGAGCCCTTACCCTGTGGGATCAGACACTATTTCCAGGTAGATAGTGTTGGAATTGAATTGGAAGACATCCAGTCAGTGTTTGTTGCCAAACTGATTGCTTGCTTGTTGCTAGGGAGAAATCCCCACATAGTTTGGGGTCACAGAAGTCTTCTGTGCTGATTGATGGTTCTTGTGCTGGCATGAGAGCAGAGAAAAATCAGTTTGAGGGTTTTTCCAAAACACTTGGCTATAAAAACACACTGTTCTGGTTGACAGTTACATTTTATTGTGACTGATTAGATAAAAGGTGGAGAAAAAGAGAACATTTGTGAACCAACAAGGAACTCAAAACAGAAAGCAAAAATACTACGGTAAAACAATGTCACCCAATGCTGTCTCGGAGACTAATCTTGGCCCTAGAGCACTGCACATCTCCATTATCACATTTCTACAGTGGAGCCTAGGGCCTCTAACTACTTCCCTCCCTTAGAAGAGAAAGTGCCTGTCAGAATATACAAATATACAAATATCCCTCCATTTTGGGGGGAGAATGGTAAACCAAACAAAGAACTGTCTTTTATTTTTAGTTAATTCACTGTATCTTTTTAAATTCTTTTTTCTGTCTCAAGCATCATTTTTACTAGAACTTCATGTTTTTTTAGATAGTGTTCTTATTCTTTTCTGGACAGAACATTTTAAAAGTCTGTGTCTCCTTTTTGCATTCTTTCACCGTGATCACAAGTCAGATATAAAATCCAGCTGGATCTGGCTAACAACTGTTGAGAAACGGACTTAAATGAAGACATTTCAATGGTAAATTCGGTGATGTCTTTCTGGTTACAGCTCACCTTTCTACATTTATGTGTAGCCCAAAGGCAAACACATATATACTGACAAACCACCAAAACAAAACCAGAGTAGGGGCAGGGGGCAGGGGCTCACGCCTGTACTCAAAGGGATACCAAGATTGGAGGAAGGCTTGAGCCCAGGAATTTGAGGCCAGCCTGGGTAACATAGCAAGACTCCGTCTTTACCTATATATACACATGTATTTCATATAAAAGCCGGATGGGGGTGGAACAGAGTCATCATTTCAAGGTCTGAAGTTATGATTTCTGAGAACTTGGAGAACTGAGAATTTAGGAAAAAGATAAGGTATGCAGGAAAATAGGAAAAGATATAATTTTGACAATCTGATAAGGGAGACAAAGATGATCATGATTGATGTTTACAGCATGTGCTTCTGATCTTTTGAAGAAGAGAGAATATAAGATAATATTAGAAGTCAAAGGGCAAATGTTCTTTCTTGCATTCAAGAGTCAATAGAGGCAACAGTAAAGAACTACTTTTTTTAAGAGATGGGGTCTGGCGATATTGCCCAGCCTGGTCTTGAACTCCAGGGCTCAAGCAATCCCCTCACTTCAACATCCCAAAGTGCTGGGATTACAGACGTGAGCCACCTCATCTGGCCTATAAATGATTATTTAAATAAAAAGCTACTCCTTTGCCATCATTACTATCTATAAACCAAATGTTGCTCATTGAAGTTAGCATTAGTTTTTGCTTCATCTCTATGTTCTTCCCAGCATAGTGTGTGATACATTATGGTCATTCAATAAACATTTGTTAAATTATTAGGGTGGTAGAAGTGACGTGGGTCTCTCTCCAACAAGATCATGGGTGAACTCATAATCAATAAACACTAAGTGCTTACCATCTTTTATACTTTTCTAAGTGTTTTACATGTATACACCACCACAGGAGATGGTTGATATTACTATTCTCTCTTTACAGACAAGGAAGCTGAGGCACAGAGAAATGAGTACATGACAGAGTTGGGATTTGAGACTAGGCAGTATGGGTTATAGAGCCTATATGCTATACTAGCACTCATACGATCTCAAGTCAATCAGAAAAATGCCCCAGGATAACTCCACAATACATTAAACCAGAGCTAGATATCTGCCCGACCCAAGAACCAAAAACAGGAAGTGTCACACTAGGCTGGAGAGTCACTATACACGTATAAATTGGCAGTGGGCTAATAGTAAGCCAGGAATCAGGTAGGGCCTCTGCTAGCCTGTAGACTGGGGCAAACTCACTCACCAATACCCAAAGCTTGTTTAGTGGATATGGTACAGTAGATTTCAGAAGATCTTAAACCCTTCACTGGGTGCCTTTATGCTATGCAAAAATTGCAGAGAGTGTAAGCAAGAGCGAGACCAAGAAGAGAAGGAGGAAGAGAAAGATTAAAAGCCAAGGACAAAAATAGGCATGGGAGGGAGATGGGGGTGAGGAACAGATGGATCCAGAAGGCCAAGTTCAGAAATTGATAAATCAATTGTGGTCACACCATGCTTCAATCAAGAGAATTTTAAAACTTCCCCCTAACTCCACCCATCAAATCCTGCTCCTAAAAAGCCTGTTCCTTTTGATCAAAGGAATAATATAAATACTGACAAGTAACAATAAACGTGGCCTATTATTTTTATTTTTCATTTATCATTTTTTTTAGAGACAGCATCTTTCTCTGTTGCTCAGGTTGGAGTGCAATGGCATGTTCATAGTTCACTATACCTTCAAACTCTCAGGCTCAAGGGATCCTCCTTCCTCAGCCTTCTGAGTAGCCAGGGCCACAGGTACACGCCACCACACCCAAACTGAGAATATGCCTTAAAAAAAACAAAAAAAAAAACCAAAAAAAACAAGAAAAACACCTCTCTGTTACGGTCTGAAAGCTTGTGTCTCCCCTAAATTCATACGTTGAAATTCTAACCCCCAAGCTGACTGTATTAAGAAATGGGGGCCCTTAGTGGGAGGTAATTAAATCCTGAGGACAGAACCCTCATCAATGGGATTAATTATCTCATGAAAGAGGCCCGAGGTGCTTGTTTGCTCCTTCTGCCATGTGAGGGTACATCAAGAAGGCACAATTTATGTATCAGAACAAGGGCCCTCATCAGACACTGAATCTGTTGGTGTTTTTTTTTTTTTTTCTTTGAGATGGAGTCTCACTCTGTAGCCCAGGCTGGAGTGCAGTGGCATGATCTTGGCTCACTGCAACCTCTACCTCCCAGGTTCAAGCGATTCTCCTGCTTCAGTCTCCTGAGCAGCTGGCATTACAGGCGCCCACCACCATGCCCAGCTAATTTGTTTTGTATTTTTTGTAGAGATGGGGTTTCACCATGTTGGCCAGGCTGGTCTCAACTCTTGACCTCAAGTGATCCACCCACCTCAGCTTCCCAAAGTGCTGGGATATAGGTGTGAGCCACACGCCCAGCCTGTTGGTGTTTTTATTTTGGATTTTCCAGCCTCCAAAACTGCCAAAACTAAATTACTGCAGCTTAAAAGCTACCTGTTTTATGGTATTTTGTTATAGCAGCCTGCACAGACTAATGCACTTTCAAACCAATCCTTTATAACAGAGACTAGACTAGCAGGTGGAGTGATATATTGATATATGAAATTTAGCTTGACTTTAATTAAAAATTTTTAATTTGGCATAATAATCTCTCCAAGGGAGATTATTAGGAAGAAATGGTACTGATTAGACAAAAGTAGTACACAATTTTTTCCTCACTGACTAAAGATGCTTGCCATTTTCACTGGTCCCACTACTACAGATAGATGCACAGAAAGATAAACTGCTAATAGGCACAAGGAGAAGAGTAAGAACAACAGTTCATCCAAAAAAAAAAAAAAAAAAAAAAAAAAAGGCCCATCATCCCATTCCTGTGCAATTTCTCCCAGGACTTACATACCTGAGACCTCAGGGAAGAAAGGGGACAAGGGAAGAGCACACTAGGTGAGTGGCAGCATCGAGCAGGATGTGGAACAGACATCATGAGCCTGGGCATTAATCAGTATGTGTCAGAACAGAAAGCTATACTGAAAAAAATAAATTTTATTAAATAAATCTGTATTTTTGAAATTTGAATTTTCTTTTTTGTAGTTTGTTTAACTTCCTTTTGGAATCCATAATGTTTTAATAAAACTCACTTTGAAAAAAATCTCAAATACACTAACAAGGGAAATACATTTTGTTATTTACAAATATGGGCCAGGGAGAAATGTGAGACAGTGTAACTTGGGGCCAGGCACAGAGTTATTCATTTATTCAATAAATATTTACTGAATGCCTACTATGTGCCAGGCATTATGCTAAGATGCTGGGGATATACCTAGTAATGAAGAAGGAAGAAATTGTCTCTGCCTACATGTAACTAAAAGTCCTTGGGAGAAGAAAGATAGTGAAAAATAAATCCAAATGCGATGTGTTATGAAAGAGGAAGTATAAAGTGCCATGAGTATGAGTGGAAAGAGCAGTTAAAGGTGAGCAGAGGAGCAGCTCTCAGTGGAAAGAAATCAAAAGCTAAGATAAAAACCAGTAACACTCTGGATGGGTGGGAATAGATTGAAATCCATAAAGCCAAAGAGATTTGAATTACTTGACTTCAAATAGGTTGAATATTTCAGTAAGGTAAGGACTCTATTCTTTTTCTTTCTCGGCCTTTGTCCAGAGAGTGGGAAAAGTTTGAAAGATTTGGTCTGAATCCAGGTTTTAAAAATTATTTTTATGGATTGATTAATATTGTTATGCACAACAGGACTACAGAATGTAGGAGATGGGGTAACTGTCCCCAAAAGAGGTCATAGCCTTGTTGGAGAGACAACATATAAACATAGAAAAAAATAAAAGAGGTCTCTTAGGAGACTATAAATGATTAAAGCCTTAATGAAGGCAGAGGAAGAAGTTTCTATGGGCACAAATAATAAGTAATGATGTCTTGCTAGAGATGTCCTATTTTAGAACTTATTGGTGAATTATGACATTCTAAGATAGGCCTAAGTGTACAAGACTTAGGTCTAAAATTAGGCATTAGAAACTGCCTCCCTGTTTGGCCTGGCTGATGGCAGAGGAAGGTTCAGAAATACAGGGGAGATTCAGTAGCCAAAGATGGGTTCATCTATAGCTATGATGAGATAAACAGTTTACACCAAGATTATACATTCTGGTGTCTAGAAGGGGGATCTTCGTGTATTCATCCATTCTCACACTGCTATAAAGATACTACCTGAGACTAAGTAATTTATAAAGAAAAGAGGTTAATTGACTCACAGTTCTACATGGCTGGCGAGTCTTCAGGAGACTTACAATCATGGTGGAAGGTGAAGAAAAAACAAGGACCTTCTTCACATGGCAATAAGAGAGAGAAGGGTGAGCAGGGGAAATGCCAGATGCTTATAGAACCATCAGATCTTGTGAGAACTCATTCACTATCACAAGAACAGCATCGGGGGAACGACCCCTATGATCCACTCACCTCCCACCAGGTCCCTCCCTTGACACATGGGGATTATGGGGATTACAATTCAAGATGAGATTTGGGTGGGAACACAAAGCCTCCATATCATTCCGCCCCTGGCCCCTCCCAAGTCTTTTTCTCTCATTTCAAAACATAATCATGCCTTCCCAACAGTACCTCAAAGTCTTAACTCATTCCAGCATTAAACCAAAAGTCCAAGTTCAAAGTCCCATCTGAGACAAGGCATGCCACTTCTGTCTAGTAGCCTATAAAATCAAAAGCAAGTTAATTACTTCCAAGATACTATGGGGGTATAGGCATTGGATAAATACTCCCATTCCAAATGGAAGAAATTGGCCAAAACAAAGGGGATACAGGCCCCACGCAAGTCTGAAATCCAGCAGGGCAGTCATTAAATCTTTAAGCTCCAAAAGGATCTCCTGTGACTCCATGTCTCATATCCAGGTCATGCTGATGAAAAAGGTGGGCTCCCATGGCCTTGGGCAGCCCTGCCCCTGTGGCTTTGCAGGGTATAGCCCCCGCCCTGGCTGCTTTCATGGCTGGCATTGAGTATCTGCGGCTTTTCCAGGCTAATGGTGCAACCTGTTTGGAGGATGGTGGCCCTCTTCTCATAGCTCCAATTAGGCAGTGCCCCAGTGGGGACTCTGCATGAGAAATCCAACTTCACATTTCCCTTCCACACTGCACTAGCAGAGGTTCTCTGTGAGAGCTCTGCCCCTGCAGAAGACTTCTGCCTGGACACCTGGGCATTTCCATGTATCCTCTGAAATCTAGGCAGAGGTGCCCAAACCTCACTTCTTGTTTTTCTGTGCACCCGCAGGCCCAACACCACATGGAAGCTGCCAAGACTTGGGGCTTGCATCCTCTGAAGCCATGACCCAAGCTGTACCTTGGACCCTTTCAGCCACAGCTAGGATGAAGGGTGCCAAGTCCCAAGGCTACAAACAGAGCAGCAGCGGGGCCTGGCCCACAAAACCATTTTTTCCTACTAGGCCTCCAGGTCTGTGATGGGAGGGGCTGCCATGAAGGTCTCTGACATGCCCTGGAGACATTTGCCCCATCGTCCTGGCTATTAACGTTTGGCTGCTGGTTACTCATGCAAATTTCTGCAGCTGGCTTAAATTCCTCCCCATAAATGGTTTTTTCTTGTCTACTACATGGTCAGCTGCAAATTTTCCACATTTTTACACTCTGTTGTCCCCCCCCTTTTTTTTTTTTGAGATGGAGTCTCACTCTGTCACCCAAGCTAGAGTGCAGTGGCGTGATCTCAGCTCACTGCAACCTCCGCCTCCCAGGTTCAAGTGATTCTTGCACCTCAGCCTCCAGAGTAGTAGCTGGGATTACAGGCACCCACCACCATGCCTGGCTAATTTTTGTATTTTTCATAGAGACAAGGTTTTGCCATGTAGGCCAGGCTGGTCTCCAACCCCTGACCTCAAGTGACCCACCTGCAATTGGCCTCCCAAAGGGCTGGGATTACAGGCATGAGCCACTGCGCCTGACCCCCTTTTAAAAATAAGTTCCAATTTCAAATTATCTCTTTGTGAATGTATAAGACTGAACACTTTCAAAATCAACCAGGTCACCTCTTGAATGCTTTGCTACTTAGAAATTTCTTCTGCCAGATGCCTTAAATCATCTCTCTCAAGTTCAAAGTTTCACAGATCTCTAGGGCAGTGGCAAAATGCCAGCAGTCTCTTTGCTAAAGCATAGCAAGAGTGACCCTTTGCTCCAGTTCCCAAGAAGTTCCTCATCTCCATTTGAGACCACCTCAGCCTGGACTACATTGTCCACATCATTATCAGCATTTTGGTCAAAACCATTCAACAAGTCTCTAGGAAGGTTCAAACTTTCCCACATCTTCCTGTCTTCTTCTGAGCCCTCCAAACTGTTCCAACATCTGCCTGTCACCCAGTCCCAAAGTCGCTTCCAAATTTTCAAGTATCTTTATAGCAGTGCCCCAAACTCTTGGTGCCAATTTACTGTATTAGTCCATTCTCTCACACTGCTATTAAGAATATTACCCGGACGGGCACGGGGGCTCACACCTGTAATCCCAGCACTTTGGGAGGCCGAGGTGGGTGGATCACAAGGTCAGGAGATCGAGACCATCCTGGCTAACACGATGAAACCCCGTCTCTACTAAAAATACAAAAATTAGCTGGGCGTGGCAGCTTGCGCCTATAGTCCCAGCTGCTGGGGAGGCTGAGGCAGGAGAATGGCGTGAACCTGTGAGGCGGAGGTTGCAGTGAGCTGAGATTGTGCCACTGCACTCCAGCCCGGGAGACAGAGCCAGACTCCGTCTCAAAAAAAAAAAAAAAAAAAAAAAAAGGATATTACCCAAGACTGGGTAATTTATAAAGGAAAAAGTTTAATTGACTCACAGTTCCACATGGCTGGGGAGGCCTCAGGATTTACAATCACAGCGGAAGGTGAAGAGAAAACAAGGACCTTCTTCGCATGGCAGCAGGAGAGAGAAGAGTGAGCAGGGGAAAGGCCAGATGTTTACAAAACCATCAGATCTCTTGAGAACTTCCTCACTATCACAAGAACAGCATGGGGAAAATTGCCCTCATGATCCAATCACCTCCCATTGGGTTCCTCCCTTGACATGTGGGGATTATGGAGATTACAGTTCAAGATGAGATTTAGGTGGGAACACAAAGCCTAACCATATCACTTGGATTCCAGAATGTTGGGATGAAAACTTCCCTTTCAGCAGAAGGCATATAGGAATGACTTGTCCTTGAGACAATGATCAAGACAAGAAAGCTATTCTGGGCCAGTGGAACAGGAAAGATACACATTTAGTCTCATGCAAGGGAAGATAAGAAAATCTCAAATAAGCTTCTATCAGGGATCTGAGGTGCAACTGTGTCAATATATAGGACATAGTGTATCAACATGTATAGGAGATGAGCCAGATAAGCTGGAGTAGGTAGAAACAGGAGACGTGAAGCTTCACCTCCTTTGGCTTTCAGCTTATTAGTATTATGCAGCTGGACTAGATAAACTCTTATGTTCTTTACAATTCCAAAATTATATTTATGAGGTGGAGGAAGACATTTTAATAATCGCATAAAGTGTCTACTATGTGCCAGGTACTTTCATACACTATCTCACATTATCCTCACAACTTTGTGAGGTTAATTATTACTATCCTAATAGTATAGCTAAGGTTTAGAGGCATTAATAACTTACTCATGATTATATAGCTAGCAAGTAGATAAGCCAAAATTCAAACACAAATTTGTCTGATACCCAAATCCTTAATCTTTCCAATCACCATGGTATTTTCTAAGATGTGATAAGAAATGATGTGGAGGAAATTTCAGTTTCAGCCAGGGGTTGAGTGAAGGCAACGAGTTGCATCTGGCAGAAAAAGGGAATCATGCAAGGATGAGTCTTTACTTACATACATAAAGGTTCTTAGTAAGTATTAATACAAATTCATAAAATAGTATTGTGTTGGCCGGGCGCGGTGGCTCACGCCTGTAATCCCAGCACTTTGGGAGGCCGAGGCGGGCGGATCACAAGGTCAGGAGATCGAGACCATCCTGGCTAACACGGTGAAACCCCGTCTCTACTAAAACTACAAAAAATTAGCCAGGCATGGTGGCAGGCGCCTGTGGTCCCAGCTACTCGGGAGGCTGAGGCAGGAGAATAGCGTGAACCCAGGAGGCAGAGCTTGCAGTGAGCCAAGATCATGCCACTGCACTCCAGCCTGGGTGACAGAGCAAGATTCTGTCTCAAAAAAAAAAAAAAAAATAGTATTTTGTTTGTGGCATTGCATTTGAGGGAGGCACTGGTAAATGCTGGGTATTCTAAATATGAATAAAATTTTATCTCTGTTTTAAAAGAACTCTCAATCTGATAGAATCAATTCTACTAACCAATTCTATAGTACAATATTTGATCTGAACAAAATGTTTTGAGAGCTATGGACTGATGCTCAATCCATTTCTAATCTGCAAAAGCTGGAAAGCTAACAAGTGACATTTACCAGAATCCCTTTCAGTGAGCATTCCTGCCATGATTTGGTTCAGTACATCTTGTGAGAAATGAATTCAGAACCGAGTCATGTCAGGAGAGAGGAAAGATGCATGGACTCTAATTTGCCATGTGGATTGGCAGAGGTGATTTGTATGATTCTGGAGCAAGTAGTTTCCTATAATAGCAGCAGCAGAAGAGGTAATAAGTTGTGTGGTGAGCAAAAATGGCAGCAGATTCCTACAGCAATGGTGGCATGAGCTATTCTTTTCTCTCTCTTTCTTTCAAGACAGGGTCTCACTCTGTGGCTCAGGCTGGAGTGCAGTAGCACAATCACAGTGCACTGTAACTTCAACCACCCAGGCTCAAGTGGTCCTTACCCCTCAGCCACTGGAGTAGCTGGGACAACAGGTGTGCCCCAACACTCCTGGCTTTTTTTTTTTTTTTAGAGATGGGATTTCACTATGTTGCCCAGGCTGGTCTCAAACTCCTGGGCCCAAGCGGTCCTCCTGCCTCAGCCTCCCAAAGTTTTGGGATTACAGGTATAAGCCACCGTGCTAGTCCAGTGGGAGCTTTTCTAATCATGGTAGAAAGAGTTGTGAGTGGTGGAAGTTGTGAGTAGTTGTAAGTGGTGGAAGGTGTTCCAAGGAGTTGGACCTACAGCTTTGCTCCTCTAGTCCTTTCAGTAGTTTTGTACACATTCAATTCCTTGCTTTAAATCCCTTTATGCTTAAACTTGACCAGATTCTCTGTTATGCAACTGAACACGGATTGATGCAGAAATAAGAAAAGTTGTAAGCAATAAACTTTCCACTTGTATCTGAAGGCAGTGAGGAGCTTGTTACTATTAGAGAAAACTTGGCTGGGTATGGTGGCTCACACCTGTAATCCCAGCACTTTGGGAGGCCAAGGCAGATGGATTGTATGAGGTCAGGAGTTTAAGACCAGCCTGGCCAACATGGCAAAACCCCATCTCTACTAAAAATACAAAAATTAGCTGGGCATGGTGGCATGCGCCTGTAATCCCAGCTGAGGCAGGAGAATAGCTTGAAACCGGGATATGGAGGTTGCAGTGAGCCGGGATTGCACCATTGCACTCCGGCCTGGGCGACAAGAGCGAAACTCCATCTCAAAATAAATAAATAAATAAATATATATTTTTTAAAGAAAGGATCATCTCTGGTCATCTGGAATGAAGTGTCTATTAAAGTCAAGGCTTTGGGGCTGGGTGAAGTGGTTCATATCTGTAGTCCAGGGCTTTGGGAAGCTGAGGTGGGAGAAGTGCTTGAGGCCAGACGTTTGAGACCATCTTGGGCAACATAGTGAGACCCCCATCTGCATGAAAAAATAATAATAGGCCTGGTGTGGTGGCTCATGCCTGTAATCCCAGCACTTTGGGAGGCCGAGACAGGTGGACTGCTTGAAACCAGGAGTTCAAGACCAGCCTGGCCAACATGGTGAAACCCCGTCTCTACTGAAAATACAAAAATTAGCTGGGCATGGTGGCATGCACCTGTAATCCCAGCTACTTGGGAAGCTAAGGCAAGAGAATTGCTTGAACCCAGGAGGCGGAGGCTGCAGTGAGCTGAGATTGTGCCACTGTATTCCAGTCTGGGCAACAGAGCAAGACTCTGTCTCAAAACAATAATAATAAAATTAGCCAGGTGTGGTGGCATGTGCCTGTAGTCTTAGCTACTTAGGAGGCTGAGGTAAGAGAATCGCTTAAGCACAGGAGATGGAGGCTGCAGTGAGCTATGACCACACCAGTGCTCTCCAGCCTGGGTGACAGAGCAAGACTGTATCTGAAAAAAAAAAAGAAAAAAAAATTTTTTTTTAATTTGAAAAGGAAAAGGCAAGGTTTTGGTGGACCAGCTGGCTGCTGGGAGGGACTATTATGGAAGGTACAAGGAATATAAGGGCAGGGGTTGTGCTGGTTGCTTCTAACTATGCTAGAAACGTTAAAGAAAATTATAGGCCCAAGATTTCAAATTTTTAACTCAGCACTTCAGAAAACCAGGGATTTTCCATGATTGCCCTAAAAAATCCCGTAAAGCCACAAGTCTAACACATCAAAAATTAGAAGCAGAATCTGATTCAGTAGAATGCTGAATTATGACCAAAGTAGAATTAATGATTTTACTTGATCTCTGATTGTGGAAGTTAGGGCAGCGACTGAAAAAGAGTAGGGCTATAAAAATGGTATCCTGTGCTCCCGAAATCTACTGAATGTCCCATGCCTACAGAAGCAGCCTGTTTACTCCTCTGATGAGGCTGGTCTTGCCTTTGCTGAAAACTGTATTAGTCCATTCTCATGCTGCTATAAAGACATACCCGAGACTAGGTAATTTATTAAAAAAAAAAAGAGGTTTAATTGACTCACAGTTCTGCAGGGCTGGGGACACCTCAGGAAACTTACAATCATGGTGGAAGTGGAAGCAAACATGTCCTTCTTCACAGGCAGCAGGAGAGAGAAGAATGAGAGCCAAGCGAAGGGGGAAGCCCCTTATAAAACCATCATGATCTCGTGACAATTTACTTACCATCACAAGAACAGCATGTAGGAAACTGCCCCCATGATTCAATTATCTCCACCTGGTCCCTACAATTCAAGATGAGATATGGGTGGGGACACAGAAAAGCCATATCAAAAACCATATTGTGATCCTTCAGTAACCAGTCTCCAAGAAGGCCCCAGTGATCTCCACTTTCTAGTATTAAATGACCTTATGTAGCCTCCTCCCATACTCATTAGGGTTGACCTGTGTAACCTATAGAATATTGCAGACATGATGGTGTGTGACTTCTGAGGCTATAGATATCATAATAGGTATTGTCATTTCTGCCTTACATCTGGAGAAAGCCAGATGCCATATTGTAAAGACACTACAGAGAAGTTCAAATGGCATGGAACTGAGGCCTGCTACAAAGACCCAGCACAAACTTGCCAAGTATGTGAGTGAACCATATTGAAAGCAGATCCGCCAGCCCCAGTCAAGCCCCAAATGACATCTTGACACCAACGTTATGAGATAACCTGAGCCAGAATCACCCCCCTAAGCCAATTCTAGATTCCTGACCTAAAGAAACTGTGTGAGATAATGCTTGTTATTTTCAGTTGCTAAATTTTGGGTAATGTGTCACACAATACAGATAATAAAGGTCTCATCTTGCACAGGGATGGCAATTTTCCTCTTCTCTATCCTATCTCCTATAACTAACTCCAGATTCATATATTGAGTCAGATCCTCACATGCTGTAAGGCAGAGGTCCCCAGCCTGTTAGGATCAGGCTGCACAGCAGGAGGTGAGGGGCAGGTGAGTGAGTGAAGCTTCATCTGTATTTATAGCCATTCCCCATTGCTTGCATGACCGCCTGAACTCTGCCTTCTGTCAGAACAGCAGCAGCATTAGATTCTCATAGGAGCACAAACCCTATTGTGGACTGCACATGTGAGGGATCTAGGTTGCATGCTCCTTATGAGAATCTAATGCCTGATGATCTTCACTGTCTCCCATTACTCCCAGATGAGACCATCTAGTTGCAAGAAAACAAGCTCAGGGCTTCCACTGATTCTACATTATGGTGAGTTGCATAATTATTTCATTACATATTACAATGTAATAATAATATAAAGTGTACAAAAAATGTAATGAGCTTGAATCATCCTACCCCTACCCCTCCCCACCAATCCCCCATACTGGTCCATGGAAAAACTGTCTTCCATGAAACCAGTCCCTGGAAAATGTTGGGGACCGCTGCTCTAAAGGACCAACAATAAAGTAAGTTTGGGAAGAGAAAGATTACATGTCAGAAGAATGGTAAGATTTTGCTAAACTGCATTGGCAAAAAGCTGGAGAATATATGTAGAAATAGACTCTTGAAGATGCAAGATCAAGGAAAAAGGAACATAATTTTGGATTGGGCTGAATGTATTGATATGAGAACATTTGTCTAAGATTCTGGTACTAGTTCAGGTAGCTTTGAGTGTTCTAGTTATGCTCGGTTGATTAATTAAAAACTAGACTCAACTGGTGACTGAAACCAAATAGGATTGGGTTGGCAATAATTTTTTTTTTTTTTTTCTTGAGACAGTCTCACTTTGTCACCCAGGCTGGCGTGCAGGGGCTGGTCTCAGCTTACTGCAACCTCTGCCTCTTGGGTTTGAGTGATTCTCCTGCCTCGCCTCCCAAGCAGCTGGGATTATAGGCATGCACCACTAAACTCAGCTAATTTCTGTATTTTTAGTAGAGATGGGGTTTCTCCATGTTGGCCAGACTGGTCTCAAACTCCCAACCTCAGGTGATCTGCCCACCTCGACCTCCCAAAATGCTGGGATTACAGGCATGAGCCACTGCGCCTGGCATGCCCCAAAATTTTGCTTAACTTTTATTTTAGATCCAGGGGTACATGTGAGGTTTGTTATATAGGTACATTCATGTCACGGGTTTGTTGTGCAGATTATTTTGTCACCCAGGTACTAAGCCAATAGTTATTTTTTCTGCTCATCTCCCTCCTCCCACCTTCCATCCTCAAGTAGGCCCCAGTGTCTGTTGTTCCTCTGTGTGTCCATGTGTTCTCATCATTTAGCTCTCACCTGTAAGTGGGAACGTGCAGTATTTGGTTTTCTGTTCCTGCATGAGTTTACTAAGAATAATGGCCACCAGCTCCATCTACGTTCCTGCAAAAGACATGATCTCGTTCTTTTTCATGGCCACATAGTATTCCATGGTGTATATGTACCACATTTTCTTTATCCAGTCTGTCACTGATGGGCATTTAGGTTGATTCCGTGTCTTTGCTATTGTGAACAGTGTTGCAGTGAACATTTGTGTGTATGTATCTTTATGGTAGAATGATTTATATTCTTCTGGGTATCTACCCAGTAATGGGATTGCTGGGTTGAATAAATGTCTTGATATAATGCTGAAGATAAGCTCCAAAGGCTTAGGAAGAAAGAAGAAAGCAAACTCAAAGTGGGTTTTTTGTTTTTTACGACAGAGCCTTGCTCTGTTGCTCAGGCCGAAGTGCAGTGGCACAATCATAGCTCACTGCAACCTTGAACTCTTAGGCTCAAGCAATCCTCCTGCCTAGGCCTCCCCAAAGCTCTTGGATTACAGGTGTGAGCCACTGTGCCCAGCCTGAAATGGGTTGTTATTTGCATTGGATCATCAACCCCCGTGTCCCCCAAAGGACCTAGAGCACATTATCTTCACACCATAGCATAAATAAATAGACTGGTGAGTATAGTGCAAGTGCCCCTGAACATTACTATAATGGCTGTCCTCTGGGGATAAAGGTTGCATATGTTGGCACTGAAATGGCCTTCCCCCCTCCCCCTTTCTTGTTCTTTTTTCTTTTCTTTGAAATGGGCTTTCCACTTTCAGTGATGGTGAGGGATCCTGAGGTGGTAGAGGCCAGACAGGAGAACATAACTGCCATAGTAACATTATGCACAATTACCAAGAGTGGTAATTGAAAGGTTTGACCTACAGAGATCTTTGACGGTTGCTAATTGATCATAGTTTTTAATACTGAAACAGATGTGTAGCTCACTAAGGACTTAAAGATTTGTGCAAATGAACAAACTCTAGATTAGGAAAACACAGGCCTGACTACAGACACCACTAAAAGTCAGAGCCCACATCTATTTCTATTCCTGGGAAGTTCAGAGACTCAGAATACAGAGTATACTATGTACCTTTGAGAAAGAACTGTGTGATTACATCAAAAGTATCTTTCTCTCAGCCTTCAATCAAAAGGACATATAGCTATTTGCTAGGGTAAAATTGTGCACAGGAGGAAATATCTTGACCTTTAAGGGATTATCAGACACAAGTGTTAATCCTTGGTGACCCAGAATACTATGCTCACAGACTCACTGGTCTTACTGTACATTCCATCATCCAGAAGCAGCTGGTCTTCAGAACTCTTGAACAGCTTTTTGAAGACTCAGTTCCAGCTGTTCCATTTTGTGACTCAGGTACTAAGCCAACAGTTATTTTTTCTGCTCATCTCCCTCCTTCCACCTTCCATCCTCAAGTAGGCACCAGTGTCTGTTGTTCCTCTCTGTGTGTCCATGTGTTCTCAACATTTAGCTCTCACCTGTAAGTGGGAACATGCAGTATCTGGTTTTGTTCCTGCATGAGTTTACTAAGAATAATGGCCACCAGCTCCATCCACGTTCCTGCAAAAGACATGATCTCGTTCTTTTTTATGGCCATTTAGTATTCCATGGTGTATATGTACCACATTTTCTTTACCCAGTCTGTCATTGATGGGCATTTAAGTTGATTCCATGTCTTTGCTATTGTGAACAGTGCTGCAATGAACATTTGTGTGTATGTGTCTTTTGTTTCCCAGCAGGGAAGGAATGCTTTGCAAAGTTAGGATGTCGCCCTATAGCAGAGATTAGCAAATTATAGTCTGAGGGCAAATATGCCCTAAATCCTATTTTTGGACAGATTTTAAGAATTTTTTTTTTACACTTTTTAAGGGTTGTAACAGTAACAACAAAAAAGAATACATGACAGATATCAATCATGTGTGGTCTTTAAAGCTTGGAATATTTATTATCTGGTCCTTTACAGAAAAAAGCATGCCAACTCCTGTGCTACAGCAATGTGCTGTGAACCAGCAACCAACATAAAGCGCGGTTTTTCCCTTATCTATATCTGCTGGGAAACCCAGGCTTGAGATAAACACTTCCCACTACGATACCCACTGATGCACTCAAAATGTTTTGCTTTCTATTTTCACAACTTTGAGCTTTGCCTATGTAGAACTCTTTATCTAAGGGAGACATGCTCTAACCCAGAAAATCCAAGAATGGTTCCTCTTAACTGGAAGTTTATTAACCAGCTGCAGATGCTGGCAGTATGAAGATGGAATAGATAATGAAGGAAGGATATTCTAGTTTACGAGACCAGTTGTAGAAATAAAGATGTAGTAGCTACCCATCTACTTTATTCTATTTTGTATGTATCTATATAGGTTAATCATTCCCATTGACTTGTTTTCTCTCCTCATTTATATAAGGTGTATTTGTAATTTAGCTAATGGTATTGTACTTATGTTTATTAATTTTGATAATTATGCTATAATTATATAATACGTTGATATTAGGGGAAGCTATGTGAAGGTATTGGTACTATTTTTGCAACTTTTCTGTAAGTGTAACTTTATTTATTTATTTTTGAGATGGAGTTTTGCTCTGTCTCCCAGGCTGGAGTGCAATGGTGTGATCTCGGCTCACTGCAACCTCTGCCTCCCGGGTTCAAGTGATTCTCCTGCCTCAGCCTCTTGAGTAGCCCGCCACCACACCTGGCTAATTTTTGTATTTTTAGTAGAGATGGGGTTTTGCCATGTTGGCCAGATTGGTCTCAAACTCCTGACCTCAGGTGATCTGCCCGCCTCAGCCTCCCAAAGTGCTAAGATTACAGGCATGAGTCACCACACCCAGCCAGTCTAACTTTATTTCAAAATAAAAAGTTTACGCTGGGCATGGTAGCTCACACCTATAATCCTGGCACTTTGGGAGGCCAAGGTGGGAGGGCTGCTTGAAGCCAGGAGTTCAAGACTGACCAGTCTTGAACACAGTGAGACCCCATCATAGTGAGACCCCATCTCTATTAAATATATATATATATATATATATATAAAGTTTAAAAATGAGCACAATTATGCAAACATAAATATATGATTTAGAAACACATGAAGTGATGAAATTTTTGATGCAATGTGGAATAAAAAATAAGATGCACTAAAATAATGTTTGCTCCTTTTTTAGATGCAAATGACATTAAATAAATCTTATAAATTACACTAAAGTAATGCCAGGAATTTTTCTTTATAACATTTTAAAAATACATATATATTTAAAAATAGAGACAGGGTCTCACTGTGTTGCCCAAGCTAGTCTTAAACTCCTGGGCTCAAGCGATCCTGCTGCCTCAGCTTCCCAAAGTGCTGGGATTACAGGTGTAAACCGCTGCACCCAGACATGGACTTTTCTTCTATCACTTCTTTAATATTTCCTCCGTAAAATTATTTCATGTGTCTCTCTTTGGAACTATGAGTTACTGGAATCCCTGCATTTATTTTACATGTCTCTGAAATCACCCTCCACCATTATCTTTGTTCTTTTGGAGTAACTCTTTAGCTTACTGTTCCAGTTTTGCTAGTTTGCTCTTCATTGAAGAAGTCCATTCACTGTTTAGTCCACCTTTTAATTTTTAAAAATTATATTGTATTTTATTTATTTATTTTTTGGAGACAAGGTCTGGGTCTATGCCCAGGCTGGAGTGCAGTGGCACCATCTCAGCTCACTGCAACATCTGCCTCCTGGGCTGAAGCCATCCTCCCACCTCAGCCTCCTGAGTAGCTGGGACTACAGGCATGCACCACTACCCCCAGCTAATTTTTGTATTTTTTGTAGAGACGAGGTTTCGTCATGTTTCCCAGGCTGGTCTCAAACTCATGAGCTCAAGCAATCCACCCACCTCAGCCTCCCAAATTGTTGGGATTACAGGTGTGAGCCACCACACCTCGCATAATTTTTTAAAATGGTAACAATCTATTTAACTGGTTCTTTTTCATCATTACAATATTCTCTCCTATTCCTCTGGGGATATTCTGTATACAAACTAAATTTAAAAAAAACATGTGAGGTGCTTAGAAGAATGCCTGACACCACACCAGGATGCACTAATTATTAATAATTATCATTTCACAGATCCTCTTCTGTTTACTCTGAAAACTACTTGCTTTTTGTTTGTTGACTGCTGTCATGCTTTCATGGTACTGGTCTTCCTCCGGCATTTGGTTGTTCCTAATTTTGTTCTCATCTTGTTATTTCCTGTTCTCTGTGTATGAGGCCATTTCTGTTTATCATAGTTTGCTCTAGTGATTGTGAGGGGATAAAATGTAATCCTGGACAGGGTATGCCAGTAGCTAACATTCTGAGTGTGAAATGAGGCTTCCTTTCCTGGACACAGTGTAGCCACTGGGGTACTGCCTGGCTTATTGGCCCCAAGTTTCCAAAGTCACTGTGCTAGCTAGGGGCAAATACCATTCTGAGGTACCCTTGGCTTTGAAGAATGAATGAGGGAAGGAGCCAACCCAACCAGAGGTTTCAAATTCCATTCCCCAAAAGTTATCCTTTATAGTTGCTCTAGGACGCTATGCCATCCCCACCCCTGCCTTCTACTCCCCTACTCCATCTATCTCTTTTCTTTAATCTATCACTTCTGAGCCTGAATTATTACACTGCCAATTTGATCCCATCTCCCTTCTTTCAGAGACTTCTCAAAATTCCAAGTCTGCTGGTAATTTGGACTCTGATAATCTTTAATAATCTTGAACAGACTGGGCGTGGTGGCTCAAGTCTATAATCCCAGCATTCTAGGAGGCCGAGGCAGAATTCCTTGAGGCCAGGAATTTGAGACTAGCCTGGGCAAAATAGCAAGACCCTATCTCTACAAAAAGTTGATAATTAGCTGAGCATCGTGATGCACACCTATAGTCCTAGTTACTCAGGGGGCTGAGGTGGGAGGATTACTTGAGGCCAAGAGTTTGAGGTGGCAGTGAGCTATGAAGGCATCACTGCACTCCAGCCTGGAGTGAGATCCTGTCTCTTAAAAAAAAGGGAGGGCTTTAAAAAAAAAAAAACACAGTGCCTTGGCCACCTGATAAATTCAGATTCATGGTTCAAGACTCAAATACAGCATTTATCTCTATGAATTTGTCTTTGACTCATACTTCATCATATTTTTCTCTGAACTTACATAGATCCTTGTATAAATCTTTATTGTTATTTATAAATGTCTGTCCCTGTACCCCATTAAACTGTGAATAAATTAACAAATGAAAAAAATGCTCTCCACAGGTCTATTAGTAATACTAGCATATCCACCAGATTATTTTCCTTAGATGGTCTTGCTGACAGGTAACTTCTACTTTGTGTGTTTTTAAAAATATGAACTAAAACTTGGAATTTATTATCACAGACCAAGAATGAAAAAGATTTAACTGTCCCTATCTATTAAGAAAATTGATTAGGATGAACAATCCTAAAAAACATTAGAATGAAGGTAACTTATTCTATGACACAAAACAAACTTTTTTTTGAGAGAGTCTTGCTCTGTTGCCCAGGCTGGAGTGCAGTGGTGTCATCTCTGCTCACTGCAACCTCTGCCTCCCGGGTTCAAGCAATTCTCCTGCCTCAGCCTCCTGAGTAGCTAGGATTACAGGTGCGCAGCACTGCACCTGGCTAATTTTTGTATTTTTAGTAGAGACAGAGTTTCACCATGGTGGTCAGGCTGGTCTTGAACTCCTGACCTCGTAATCTGCCTGTCTCGGCCTCCCAAAGTGCTGGGATTACAAGCATGTGCCACCGTGCCTGGCCAAACATTTTTAATGCTTTAGAAAAATTCATCTCTAGTCAAGTTTATGCTAACCATAAACATAATATAAAAATTACATACAATTCTATGTATTCACTGAGAGAAGAGCAACAAATGGAAATACTGTGTGCTTTGAAGTCAGACAGATGTAACCTGGAATCTCAGGTTTGTTACTCATTAGCTTTGTAAAACTGGATAAACAACTTGAGCACCCTGATCCTGAGGGAGACGCCTTCTAAAGTGGCTCACTGTGATTTCCGCCTCCTGGTATTCACACTCTTGCATAATACCTTCCCCTTGAATATGGGCTGGACCTAGTGACTTGCTTTTAATGAATAGAACATAACAAAAATGATGGGATGTCACCTCCAAAACTAGGTTACAAAAAATTATGATTTTGGTCTTACTGGTGCTTTCTCACTTGTTCACTTTGATGAAACCTGCTGGAATGTTGTGAGCTGCCCTGTAGAGGTCCATGTGTCAAGGAACTTCCAACAGCCTGCAAAAAACTGAATCCTGCCAACAGGAGTAAGCTTGGAAGTGGATCCTTCACTAGTGGAGTCTTTTTTTTTTTTTTTTGAGACGGAGTCTCGCTCTGTCGCCCAGGCTAGAGTGCAGTGGTGCAATCACGGCTCACTGCAAGCTCCGCCTCCTGGGTTCATGCCATTCTCCTGCCTCAGCCTCCCAAGTAGCTGGGACTACAGGTACCTGCCACCATGCCCGGCTAATTTTTTGTATTTTTAGTAGAGACGGGGTTTCACCGTGTTAGCCAGGATGGTCTCGATCTACTGACCCCGTGATCCTCCCACCTCAGCCTCTCAAAGTGCTGGGATTACAGGCGTGAGCCACCGCGCGCGGCTCTAGTGGAGTCTTGAAATGACTGCAGCTCTTGCTAACACCTTCATCGCAGCCAGTGAGAGACTCTGAAGCTAAGCTCCACCTGATTCCTGACGTATAGCAACTGTGAGGTAATAAATGTTGATGTTTTAAGCCACTATGTTTTGGAGCAATTTGTTAAGCAATAGGTAACTAACACATAGCCTTTGTTTCTTCATCTCTAAAATGGGATTGATAGCTTACCTCACAGAGTTGTTATCATGATTAAATGAAATACATATATAAAGCATCTGGCATCCAATATGTGATCAAAAAGAACAAAACAAAAAAGGTAACTATTATTAACTCAAGTCTACTAAAAATCTCTACCAGGTAATATTGTGTTATAACATTGTTAGTATTAAAATAATGATATTTGATAATGCTATAACATTTTACATAGGGATTTTACATGTATTACATTATTTGATTCTCAGAGCAGGGCTGTAAAACACAGAATAAAATATTATTCCTCTTAAAAGAGAGGAAGAAACTGAGGGTGAGAGAACTTAAGTGACTTGAACAATGGTCCAGACTAGAAAGTGTCAAAGAGTTCAGAGTCAAACCTAGTCCTTTTCCCACCACTAACATATCGATACTAAACACCCATTTAATGAACTATTAGGCATCAGGCATTATTTTAGGCCCTGAGAATACAGAGGTAGATAAGAAAGTCAAGGTTCCTGCCCTCATAGATCTTACATTCCCTGTTCTACTCTATAGAATTGGAAATAACAATTTAAACTTTTCATTAAACATTTCTTTAGTCTGAATTAGCATGTTTTAAAATATTTTATGACTTGGAAATGCTACACTAACTTTGTCCAGATTCCTAAGTCCATTTCACTAGCAGTGATGTAATACAAGGCAGAGGCATGGTTGTATGTTTCAGTGTTTGACTGGCTAAATACCAAGTAAATGCTCCATACATACACCAAACAATTGTTCATTGATTTTCACAATAGAGTTTGTGTCTTGAACTTCAAGCCTTAACAAAGGTTTGATAAGCACTATTCATCTCTCATCTTCTTGCATAAAGTTTAGTTGGTGAAATTCTGCCTTTTTTCCTAGAGTACAAAATTAAGCAGAAATAGAATAGGTAGAGTTTAGGGTGCTGCACTATTTAGGAATTGCTGGAATTACTTGATGCATGCAGGAAAAATGTGAGAACTTCATAACTGGTAGTCTATTGTGAAAATATTATTGTAGTAGGACTCAAAACAGACTAGAGTTCTATATTATATTTGACTGGATACTGAAGCCTGAGAGCAGCTTATTTTCTAAAATAAGTACACAGTATGACTGTCAGAAGTGTTTGCCCCTCTCCAAAGTCTTTTTCTGAAAAGGAATGTTGGCTTAGTTCCTGATGACAGCTGAGTGGCCAAATTATGGTGCTTTAATAGACCATAAATATTTTAAAAAGCTGAGATGGGTATTTGCAAAGTGAGTTTCTGTTAAGGTACATGTATTCTACAGCCATCTTCACTCCTGCCTTTCAAAACAGGCAGTTGGTTGAGGAAAAAAAAAGATGCATAAATGTTGCTGAATGAACCTGGGAAAATCTGTCAAGAATTCCAAAAACTTTGAGACTGACAATACACCATTTTTTACATCTTAGAGTATAAGAAGTGATGTCTAACCTTTGCATTTATACATCTAAGAATAGCAAAAACACTTTGCACTTTAAAGGCCTCCTATAAAGTCCCAAAGTGCTTCCGGACGGTTAGGTGATTCTTCCATAGCTATAAAATGGTTGTTAATTGCCTAACAACTAGCAAGTGCTCTGGAAATGGACATCCAGAGTGATCCTTAAAATATTATTTTAGTAGCATTGAGAAAAGCCTTGAAAAATAAAATCTTATTCTGTTATTCCAAGCTTACTCAGTGCTATATTATTCAGATCAGGGTTCCCCTTACACACTTTGGGCAGGATGATAGGGGCTACTTCTCTATATGAAGTCTTGAAATCATATGATTCAAGGTGATTCAAGGTGGAGGGAATTTAAAAATTAAAAAAATAATTCCAACAGTGAAATTCCTAAGGGTGAGTCTTTGCTCTTCTACCCACTAAGAATTCCGGCTTCCTCTTCCCAAAAGAACAGAAGAGTGGGGAAAGATTTGTGACAGCCAAAAGGACATGGTGTAGCAAGCCAACTTGGAAGAGTTACTGGAGATGGCTTAGCAAATATTCATGCCTTTACTCAACTAAAACAAAAACAAAACAAGTCAAATTTGGGCATTTTTTATAGATCACAGGCTTTTGTTTGATCAATGCACTACATTTCTTTATGACAAAAGGTAACGACAATGATTTTGCATATTCCCAAATTTGGATAGTTGTCCAATTTAACAGTCTCAAGGAGCCTAACATGGTGCTGTGTGGGATGAAAAGAGGTTCAAAGTATGATCCCTGTCTTAAAATTAAGATACAGAATCTTCCAATTAATATGTATATTTTCTAAAGTGGAGTCCTTAAACTGCTGGATCTCCTCAGAAGTCTTTTGAGGGTCCCAATATCATCCAAGCTTTGAGTTTCTCAAAAGAAAGAGTATATGATACTAATAGGTCTACAATACTCGTTACAATAGCTCTTCCCTCAATTCCCTTATACATTTCTAAATACTCCCTAAAGGAGGTAACCTAACCCTCACCCCTTCCCCGTGTTTAAGAACCACAGTGGCTTCCCAACACAGTTGAAATAAAATCCAAACCCCTTACACTGGCCTGTAAGACCCTCAGTGCCCTGCCTCCTTCCTACCTACTGACAATTTCTATGATGCATTCCTCAGACACACCTCACTCTTTCCTGCATCAGGGTATTTGTACTTGCTTTCTTTCCCTCTGGAATATTCTTTCCCCAATCTTCATTTGATTGGCTCCTTCTTATTACTGAGGTCTCAGCTCAAATGTCATTTCCTTGGAAATACCTTCTTAGATCACTCGCAGTAAGGACCCTCCTTCATTTACTCTCTTTTGAAAAAATTTCCTTGTAGCACTTATTATTGTCTGTCTCTCCCACTAGAATGTAAATTCTTTGAGAGCAAACATAACTTTTTTGCTTCTTGGTGTTGCTATAGATTTAGTCTAAGTTTGATATTTCTTTCAGCATGCCTGAAATTTTAGCAAGTTAGAGACAAATGTAGGCACTCAGGTTACCATATAAGGCCTCTGCCCTCTTTGTTGTGTTGTGGCTTTAACCACTAGCTGGGTAGCTAGAGTGGCATTATTCTTGCTCTCACATACACAGGACACTTATCTCTTCCTTAAGAGTGAGGAAGCATCTTTTTTTAAAGCCCCCATACTATTGCCCTTGCTTTTCTCTGGTTTGTATTGAGTCACATAGTATTCCTGGACCAATTCTGTGGTCAGAGTAATACCATACCTCCAGTAGGCTTTTATCCAGGTTTCTCAACAATTTTTCTAAGGGAAATTGCATTACACTCATCAGTGTCTTTCAAACAGTGGTCCATAACCTGAGAATGAATTAGGAAATTAACTCTTGGGTTATAACCATTACTTAAAAAATTAGACTATTAAATTTGAAACTGCATAACATATATGACGAGTTAATACTGTTTTATGAAACTTTGGTGTATACACACAAACACACCTGGATCACCATATAAAATCTACTTGTGGATTGGAGTCAAAAAAAGCTTGAAAGCTACCATCTTGGACAAAACAGGTTGACTCCTAAAGCTGGAGTAGGGTCAGCTTCAGATTATGTAGGGAAAGAATGGACACCTGAAATAAAATCAGGGTATGATTTAGAAGAGGAAAATACATGCTGAGGAGATAGCTAACAATTTCCGCTACAGCCTGCTTGATACTTTAGTTACTGTATTCCAATACAGTCATAACCAAACATTTTCATTTCCCCTCCAATGTCTTCTAAATTTCAAAGTATTTATCCATTCCAAAAAAGCACTTCATTCTTTCCATCCAACAAGTATCCATGATGGGGCAACTCATAAATTTTATCATTTGGTTGGTGGAAAGTGTACATCTTATCACCCTAATCTTTACTTATGTTTAAATTTTGATCTTATGTGATAGGAACTTTAGAACTCAGCCCATTTATTTATTTATTTTTTTGAGACAGGGTCTCATTCGGTCACCCAGGCTGGAGTGCAGTGATGCAATCACAGCTCACTGCATTCTCTATCTCTTGGGCTCAAGTGACTCTCCCGCCTCAACTCCTGAGTTGCTAGAACCACAGGCATGCACCACCACTCCTGGCTAATTTTTTTATTTTTGTAGAGACAAGGTCTCGCCATGTTGCCCAGGCTGGTCTTGAACTCCTGGGCTCAAGCAATCTTCCTACCTCAGCCACCTGAATAGCTAGGAATACAGGTGCAAGCCACCATGCTCAGCTAATTATCAATTTTTTTTTTAGAGATGGGGTCTTGCTATGTTGCCCAGGCTGGTCTTGAATTTCTGGCCTCAAGGAATCCTCCCACCTCAGCCTCCTGAATAGCTAGGACTACAGGTGCAAGCCACCATGCTCAACTAATGATCATTTTTTTTGTAGAGATGGGATCTTGCTATGTTGCCCAGGCTGGTCTTGAATTATTTTTGGCCTCAAAGAATCCTCCTTTGGCCTCTCAAAGTGTTGGGATTACAGGTGTGAACAACCACGCCAAGCCGAGAGCTCATTCTAGTTCAACATCTTTCACTTAAGAAACTAAGGCCTAGAAAGGGGAGTGAACTTACCTAAGGCAGTTAATTAGTAGCAGAACACGTCTCTTGACACCCACTTAAGAATTCTTTCCATTGTACTAATTAACAGTATACTTATGCCAACTTTTAAAAATAAAGGTAAACAAACATGTAAGTTCCAGAGGCAGCTAGGTTTACATAGCTAACAAATTCTTTCAAGAATTGTAGGTGACTTATATTTGGGGCAGCAAAGCTGCATTTTTAAGGCAACAGGGGAATTTATTAAAGAAATGCTGCTGGCTGGTGGCTCATGCCTGTAATCCCAACACTTTGAAAGGCTGAGGCAGGAGAATGGCTTGAGGCTAGGAGTTCCAGGCCAGTCCAGGTAACATACCAAGACCCAGTCTCTGCAAAAATAATAATAAAAAAGCTAGGCATGGTGGTCCATACCTGCAGTCCTAGCTGCTCAGGAGGTTGAGGTGGGAGGACACCTTGAGCCCAGGAGTGAGGTTACAGTGAGCTATGATTGTGCCACTGCACTGCAGCTGGGATAAGAGATCCTGTCTCTAAAAAAAGAAATATTGCTTTTGAAGTGTTTGAAGGGCAAAGACTAGTTACTGCCTTATCTGTTTAAGTGAGGTTAAGGCAACCAGCATGCATCACCACACACAGCTAATTTTTGTATTTTTTTGTAGAGATAGGACTTCGCCATGTTGCGCAGGCTGGTCTCGAACCCGTGAGCTCAAGTGATCTGCCCATGTTGGCTTCCCAAAATGCTGAGATTAGAGGCGTGAGCCACTGCACTGGGCCAAAGTTAATTTTCGTAATGTTACATATAGTAGGAATTGTGTTTTACCTTAATACTTCACTTTTTAAGCTAGGAAACTCAATTCACTGTTTACTTTTTATATTATTAGAAATTTACCAAGATTTATGAATGACACATCATACCCACAAAAAGCTTATGGTGTATTTTTGTATGTGGGGTGGTAGGGCAAGTCTAACTTATGAAATAATCATAATTAAGAAATCAAGGCAATTTCAATTATTGTAAATATAGGGATTAAAAGTGGGAAAGTCCTTTTGCGTTGGACACAAGAGGGGCATTTTACTGTTTTATGCATGAGTTGGAAGAGTAGCTATCATTTGAGGGTGCCATGAGAATGTAATTTAGTCCCCAAATAGCTCTTCCATTTATTAAATGGAATGCCATTCATTTCTTCCTCTAAGAGTTGTTCTCTCTTTTATGTGAAAGGGTTTGTCAGAGGTTTCCCTCCAGCTCCAGAGAGTGCTTCATTATTACAGTCTCAGGGACATTACAGTGGCAGAAGGGTAACCAAAGGGCTTTGGAAGTATGGAAGAAAGGGAGGCTGGCAGTGCTTGTTACTTGGTTTCCTTTGGTTTTATTTAGAGAAAAAAAAGCCAATTCTGAAGGGTAGGTAGGGTTTAAATACAAAGGAAAAGAATCTTCTCTTTGGGATTCAGTCACGGTAACTACATTTAGGTTAGGGTAATCTAGAACTAGTTGCTATCTGGAACTCGACTTGTCTGTTGTCCACCAGACCCACCTTCACGTACTAAAAGTCCATTCTCACTAGCTGTGCATGGTATCCATAATTTAGTCCTGATACGTTACAGATGAGGTGAACAGCTGGCATCAAGAACCAAAATGGGTACGGTCAGCATTAAAAAGGTCTAGTAGCAGACAGCAGGGTCTCAGATAATGGACTTGGACTTAAGAGCAGGAATCTAGTCTCCAAGGAGGTTAGGGGAAAAGGACTGGAAAACAAGAATGGTTTTATATTTTAAGAGGCTGACATCTTGGACAAATAATCTAATGAAGGGCTCGAACTCAGCAATCGCAGGAGTCTAGTTACCAGGCTTGAGGTATATGCTGGACACAGATATTAAGGAACTGCACATCCTTCTCAAACTAGGGTATAATTCTGGGACTAGTAAATAAAAAGCATTGCATATATAAGAAATTATGATACATCTTCTAAGGAATTAGTAGTTGACAGCAATTTACTCTATATTTTACATGAAAATTAGTCATATTTTAAATTAGCCAATTTCGGTGAATTTAGAAGTAAACACAAGACTTCAAAGAAATGTCCAGATTCTAGTAGGCAGTTTCAGGCTGTACTTCCAAGTCACTGTTTGTCTTAGAAAAGTTCAGAAGGCAATGATGGGAAAAAGCTCTGTATTTGGGAAAGACTTACTTTAAACTAAATCCTGCTAATTACCTATGACCTAGGTCAAGTCCAAAAATGACTGAATCCCATAAGATTGTTGTAAAGATTATAGATAAATACAAAGCAACTATTAAAGTGCCTGACAGGCTGGGCGCAGTGGCTCACATCGGTAATCCCAGTGCTTTGGGAGGCCTAGGTGGGCGGATCACCTGAGGTCAGGAGTTCAAGGTCAGCCTGGCCAACATGGTGAAACCCCGTCTCTACTAAAAATACAAAAATTAGGCCAGCTGTGGTGGCTCATGCCTGCAATCTTAGCACTTTGAGAGGCCGAGGCGGGTGGATCACCTGAGATCAAGAGTTCGGGACCAGCCTGGCCAACATGCAGAAACCCCGTCTCTACTAAAAATACAAAAATTAGCTGGGTGTGGTGGCACGTGCCTGTAATTCCAGCTACTCGGGAGGATGAGGCAGGAGAATCGCTGGGGGATGGGGGGCGGGCGGGGGGTGGGGACTGAAGTTGCAGTGAGGTGAGATCACGCCACTTTACTCCAGCACAAACAAAATTAGCTGGGGGTGGTGGTGCACACTTGTAATCCCAGCTACTTCGGAGGCTGAGGCATGAGAATTGGTTGAACTTGGGAGGCAGAGGTTGCAGTGAGCCAAGATCGCGCCACTGTAATCCAGCCTGGGTGACAGAGCAAGACTCTGTCTCAAAAAATAAATAAATAAAATAAAGTTCCTCACAGACAAATAAGTGCTTAATAAGGCAACAAGGAGGAAAAACCTGGGCTAGAAGTATGTAATCTTGTTGCCTTGGATCAGGAAATGTCCCATGGTCTAGTAAACTGTTGAGTCTCCAGAGAATAAAAATCCAGATTAGAAGTGTGAAGTGTAGACTCAACTTTAACTGGAACATAGTTGGATATGGCAGAGAACTAATATATGCTGTACACCTACTCCTGATCATCAACTGTTAGGAGCTTTATATTTATACATTCACATTTAATCTTGATAACAACCCTTCAAAGGAGGCGTAATTGTAATTTTATAGATGAAACAACTGAGGTTCAAGTTCAGATTACCGTACATTACAAAGTAAAGTAGGTACTTGAACCTAGTCATTTTACCACATTCTGCCTTAATGGTGGGGGGTGGTACCTTTACTCCCTAAAATGGAAGTTTCAATAAATGAGATTAAATAATGGTTATCTACAGTAGTTCTTGACTACAGGAGTAACAAATATTTAACACTGAGTTGGTGAACTGTGTTGCATGACGTGATGTAGGAAAAGTAGCCCAGAGACAGGAAATTCAGTCAGGAAATTTTTACAGTATTATAAGAACAAACTGATTTCTGGTCTAAGCATCTCTGACTACAGTAAAGTCTCATTAATTTATACTGCATGTGGAATTTACAATAATCTATATAGGAACTGAGAAAAAAACAAAGTATCTGAAAATACTCTTCACACTTCATCCCCTCTCCCTCAATAGTTCAGCCTGAATCATAAAACTATGACATTCCTCGATGACCTCTGCATAATGGCCACACTGAACTCTAGTTAATAGAGTAAGTGAGCCAAAAAACCCAAAGGGTAGCAGTGTGTACACCTGCTACCATACCAATCAATGAATGTAGGAAATCCCCCATTCCATTTTTTGTTGGTTCACTTTCACCAACATGTTTTTCCTTTACTGAGCATCTAATTTAGTAAAGCCTTTTTCCAGATTATGGAGACACAGATTTGGATAAGACTCAATAAGACTCTCTAAGAGCTTAGTCTGAAAACATTGGGAACCGTGAGACCATCAAGGAGTTCACAGTTGAGACAGACACAAACATTAAATACAAGTGTGAAACAGCATCAAAATAGGAAGATACAGAGAATGAAAGTACCTACAAGTCAAAGTGTTGAAGCAAATAGGAGCCTACCAGAAAGTAAGATGGGGACAGAATCGCTTTTTGAGACCTGAAACGATAAAACAGTGTGATATGTTTAGGGAATGGCAAGAAGTTCCATGGGATTGGAGAGCTGCAGAGTAGACACGGAAAGATTGGTAGGGATTAGATCCTGAAGAGATATGTTAAGGGACTGGGACTTTATCTTGGGGATCATTATTTCCCAGTTATGATCATGGAACTCTTTAAAATTACAATGTAAAGAAATACCAATAATAACACAATATGTTTAAAACGTTTGATTCTTTAGCCTTCTTAAAATCTAAATAGTATAAAAAAATGGAATCATTTTATTTAAATCCCCCAAATACCAGAGATGAAGTAAATCATCTTTTATTTTCATCTTACATTTGGTTATCATGAGACATGCAAACTCCTCCAATTTTAATGAGAACAGTGTTTTTGTGTCTTTTTATCACATATCCGCTTAATATTAGGTGTAATATTGCTAAGTCGGATTCGCATATGAGGTGCAGCATCAAGTCTTTTCCTATATTTTGTTTTTGTTGCAGCGTAATATGAAAACCCCGTTTCACACAGGTGCATTGTAGCAAAAGGAAGAAGTACACGCACTGCACGCCTTGCAATGCTTGGGTATTCCTGAATTAGGCTACTCCAAAAATCATTTAGTGAAAGTTCACTAAAATTTTGCTTCACTTGAGAATCAGATGTTAAATCAATCAGGCTCTCATAGTCCCGTGCTACTAATGAAGCTGGTTTAACAGTAACTGTAAATGGATTTCTAACCCAAGCATTATTGTCATTTGTTACAGGAAAGTATTTTAACAGAGTAGCGCGCAAACCCCTTAGGTGCTGCACAATGGCACTGCAAATATCTTTATCAACTGTAGAATTAATTTCAGTCAAAAAATCACTGAGTGTAGGAAAACAATCAAAGTTTTCTTCTTCTACAGATGAGGCCCAAAATTCCAATTTTCTTAACAATGACGACATTTTATCAAATACTGTAAAAACGGTCACATTTTTTCCTTGCATTGACAAATTAACTTCATTTAATTTAGTAAAAATATCTGCAAGATATGCAAGTCTTAGCAGCCAAGATGAATTTGTTAAACAATCAGATAGTCGAAAAGCAGAATCCATGAAAACCAAAAGTTCACGACGAAGTTCAAAAAGTCTTACAAGAACTTTACCTCGAGAAAGCCACCTCACCTCTGTATTTAGAAGAAGTGCTGTGTGCTGAGCACCCATTTCCTCACATAAAATTTTTAATAGTCTGGATTGATGTGGTCGAGCTTTAATATAATTGATGATTTGTACTGCCTGGTCTAGCACATTTTTTAGAGATGTAGGCATTATTTTAACTGCCAGTGCATGTCTGTATAATAGGCAGTGACTACTGGTGCTTTCGGGAGCCACATATTTTATTAAGGTGACAGCTTCGGCAATTTTCCCATCCACTGCCCTAGAAGCATCACTACAAACATCAACACATTTTTCCCATTCAATTTCATGTTTCTGCATAAAACTGTTGATACAGTTGAATATTTCTTCACCGGTAGCATTACTTTGCAAAGATTCACACAGGAGTAGGTCTTCCTCAATAGACTTATTAAACCTATAACGAACAAACACAAGCAGCACAGCAAGTCCTGAAACATCAGCTGATTCATCTAGTTGCAGTGAAAACCCATCGCAAATTTTCAGTCTACAAACAAGCTCTTCTTCAATGTCAGCAGCTAGATCCTTAATTCGACGTGCAACAGTACTGTTTGATAGCTGTACTGCATCTATTTTTTTACTATATTGTTCATCAAACATCCGCATCACTACATCTTTTGCACAAGGTTTGATAAGCAATTCTCCAATAGTATGAGCCTCTCCACTCAGCGCTATATGGTAACTTACATTGTATGATGCTTCTGTAGCACTTTCATTATCTGTATTCACAATTTTAGGTGTTGGGGGTTTATTATTTTCAGGTGAATCGAGATGTTGCTTGAAAAAGCTTATGTCTTTGTCTTTATATGCAGCATGTTTAGTTTCCAAATGTCTTCGAAGCTTACTAGGGGCTAAAGAGCTATTTGATAAAATTTTCTTACATAATACACACTGAGCATGAGGTGCATCTCTATTTCCGAAGTAAGTAAATCCAAAAGACAAATAACTTTCATCATATTTTCTTCTTTTTGGTTTTTTACTAAATGTTATTTTGTTGGAATTGGATATAAATTTGACCCTGGAAAGCTCACCTTCTGATTTTTTAGAAACTGAAGGTTGCAACTGCTTATCTTCACTTTGTAATATTCCAACCTTCTGATCATTTGATTCAGACACAATCTGATAACAGAAAGATTCCACTTCTTGTTTAAGACTTCCTTGTTTCAGCAACAGATCCATGGGCAATGAGTTTGTGGTACAAAACATGGTTAATTTAGAATAGACATTGAGTATCGCAAATGTGTTGAAATTATAAGACAGGATACAAAGAAGAGGAGCAATCATCAAAGAGATGATATACAGCAACACATCAGTTAATTTGTAAATGCTGCCTATTCATCAATGCGCAGATGGAACATCATACGTTCATGTATCAGGTGATCTCTCATGCGACTTCCTGGTGCTCTCAGGTATGGTACACCTTTTCTTAAAGGTAGATTATCACATAAAAATAAAAGCTATAGAAATGAGTTTAGCAGTCTTAATCTCATATTTAAATAAACATATTAAAATCAACCATAAAGAAAAACCAATATTAGCATCAATCATTTTCTCAAAACATTTATTAACTTAGAGAATATTAATATTCTATAAAACATAATTTGGGAATCACTGAGCCAATAAATTATTAAGAGTTGTTATACATATTTTTAAGAAAGGGACCCTGAAGAATATGTCCCATGGCAGGGGTTGGCAGGCTTTTTTTGGTCAAGGGCCATATAGTCTCTGTTGCAACTACTCAACTCTGTAGTTGTAACATGACAGCAGCCATAGACAATACATGAAAGAATGGACACAGGTGTGTTCCAATAAAACTTTACGTACAAAACCAGACAGCATGGGCCATAATTTATCAGCCCTGTCTCATGGTATGTAGTATTGTGAAATCTCTTTTAGCTTTTGATGCCTACTGTCATTAGATGTATTAGTTGTTGATACTATTATATATCTGAAGTCCCTTCAGGGCTAGCAACAATTCTGAAGAAGTGAATTAAACACACACACAGTTCCAAGTTTTGCGAGATACATAATTCTACTGTATCCTAAATGTTATGCGTTAACAATGAAGAATAAATTGTATATCAAAAGTTAGGTACTGTTTCTCTGGACTTAAATTATATAAACGTTTATATTATCCAAATTAAGACTCAATGAAAGTAATGTATATTTTTACAGATAACTCTGCATTCTATTTATACAACAGGTGACGACTTAACCAGGACCTAAAAAAAAAAAATAAACTCTCATTTAAGAGGTTTATTTCTCATATAATAAAACAAATCAAAATTAAAAGGATAATGCAATCTAAGGATTGCTAAAGAATACTATTAACTCTATAAATCAAGGCATACAAATTATGTCTGTCCAAATATAGCTACTTTTGATTTAAACTTTATAACCTGGCTATAGAGTAAGTTTTGTATTCTCATGTTAGATCTTGAGTCAAAATGGTTCTCCTATTAAGGGGTAGAGGATAAGATACCTGAAATAAGGTGTTCTCCTTTCTGTAATCCCTCTCTCCACCTTGGCAGCTTGAAATGCACTCTTCAAAAGAATAAAATTAAGGGATGGGGTGGGAAGGGGAGTAACCAAAAGCCTAGAATGAGAAAAATTAAAATTAGATACAGTAACAAGCAGAACTAACTATAAACCCGTAAGATGGGTTTATTCTTTCTGGATCTAAGCAGTGAAAATGATTCTTTACTGCAATGCAGATCTTGGACTGAAAGAGAAGACGCCTAGCATAGTAAAAATTCTAACATTTTCATCCTGTTCAATATCTTGGCAATTTAGATGCTTTGAGATGTTCCCCCACCTACTGACTTCATAGAAACATGTTAAAACAACACCACCACCACACTTTCTAGAACTTGAAACTAAGCCTAATTTTTAAAAGTACAACCTCATCAATGTCTCTAAAACTAGGTCTTGAATCTAAAATGGAATTATACATAGAACTATTACATGAAGCAGTTCTTTCACTACAATCATTTTTAGCCCCCCAGTGACCAATCTCCTCAGGTAAACAATGTCTAATGACTGATGATTGTTTACTGTATGCCAATTACTGCTAAATCCCTCATATAGATTATCTCATCTATGAAGACACAAGGATTATTAATAACCCCACTTTAGAGATAAACAGACACAGGTTAACACATCTCGCTAACACCTCTTGTAAGTGAAAAACCAAGTTCAGAGCCCAAAAAGTTTGACTGCATAGCCCATGTGTCTAGCCATTACTTGGGTGTTCCTGAATACTTTTAATTCCCCAACTACTAAAAAATCTCGTTACTAGGAGTTGGGTTATGCAGCGAAACGGATGAACAATGGATTATAACTGCCAGAAAGTCGAGGGTCTCATACTAGCAACAGCATAAAGCCCTGCTTCTTATTGGGAGCAAAAAAGCAGATTCTCCTTCCACAGTCTCCTTTTGGATTTTGCAACGGAGAACTCTGTGGAGCTGCTGGTTCACGTAAAAGATCAGGATCCCTCTCGTTGCCAGAGGACACAGAAGAGTAGGAAGCTTTTGTTTTCAGAAAGAAGGTCCTCAACCCCACCTCTTCGAAGGTGTTTCCCCGAATTTCTCGAGGACAAAGAATCTGGACTCCTTTGAGAGTAAAGTTTCCTTTCCACTCCCTGAAGAGCGGGGAAAACTTCCGTCTTTAGTCTCCTTCCGGTTAAACTGACAAGTATCACAATCCTTTCTCCCCTATCTTCGGGCGGTTCCGGCTGGGAACAATACCCTCAGGGTCAGGAGGACAGGATCTGAGTGCAGGCCAGCCAAAAAGGTGGGAACAGATGCTCCTTCCAACACCTAAATGCTTTTTTAAACGGTCACCTGGATGTGCAGCCAGGGCCAACTATCCCTCAGCTCCTCCCTGTCACAGGTGCGCGCTGCCCACAGATTGCCACGACTGGGGGGCTCCCTACCAGTCGCAGCCCACCCTCGCCTCAGGTCTTCTCTCGCGTCCCCGGGCGGCCGCCTGCGCTAACGACCACATGAAAACGTCTCAGCACCCAACACCATCTCTCTATTTCATCTCCATCAGCGATGGAGAGAACGGATTTTGCCGCGGCTGGGCTGCACAGCAGCGCCGCGGTCCACAGCAGAGCCCGCGACCGCCATCTTAGGCAGTTCCAGGAAGCGGCCATTTCAGAGCGCACCGCTTAGCCGCGGCGGCGGCTCTGCTTCTCACCTTCACCGAGGCCTGAACAGGGTCAACAGCCAGTCGTCGTGGACTGGAGGGGGAGGGGAGAGAGGGAGGGGAATGAAAAACAAAACAGAGAGGAAAGAAGGATTCGGGGACAGGGTGATGCTCTCAGCTCAGGGATATCGCCTAGGCCATCTCCATAGAGATCCGATTCGCGGCTGGCGCGGTCGCCGGTCTGAAGATAAATTTAGCACTCTAGAGCACCCGAACCCTACAATCTTCACGAGCGACTCTGCCGCCGCCCAATCAGCGCCAGATTTGCGTCCCGCCACCAATCCGCGCTGAGCAGCGGGGCGGGACCAAAGGAAAGGACCAAGCTCGGTTGAGGCGCGGCCCAGCCGCAGCCGCAGTCACAGCCTCAGCCGCAGCGGCCGTGCTACCTAGGTGATAGCGGAGCGGCTGGGTAGGAAGCAATTGTTCTCAAACTTCACTAGCCCCGTCGGCGCGGACGCTTGTCGAGAATGCAGATTCCTGGGTACTGCCAGATACGGTTGGTGATCTTGTAGGGCTGGAGTGGAAGCCATGAATCTGCATTTTCATCATTTCTGGCCCTCTGCCCGGGCTGGGGTGATTCACGGGGATTCGTAGTGGCCCCAAAGGAGCACGCAGAACCTCGGCTGCTGTGCATTTATCACCTCTTTTGTTCCCGGAGGCCGCACCCCAGGTCCAGTTTACACAGCTGCCAACTCCTTTTCTTGGTTCCCACTGGAATCTAGGAAGAAAACTCGCCCTTTACTTCTCCGCCCCACACCCGACGACGGAGTGTCTAGAGGTCTGGTCGGCCTTGGCTGTGCGGAGGGCTAGGCCTGACGAGCGGGCGCTGATGCGGCGCAGACCCCGCCGGACCTCTTGGTCGGCCCGGGGTAGGCTGGGGAGCCGCGGGAACAGGACTGGATAGGGAAAGCGGCACCGCAGCGTCCACGGGCAAGCTGAAAGTCCGCTTGATGTCTTTGCATCACAGTGGCGCCCTCCCCGCAGGAACGCCCGGCCGCCTGCACCGAACGTTTGCCTGCAGGGAACGGCCAACCCGCCCTGAAATACTCTTTTTGTGGGCTGCAGCTTTCGGGTATTTTAAGCCATGGTTCTGTGCCCTTCCTTGTTTTCAAAAACACCACAGCCAAAGGCTGCGGGTTGTGTGCTTTCATTTTGTGTTAAGTTCTGTGGTGGAGACCTGGAGTCTGTTTTTCCAAATAGGCACCTTGAAATAGATACGCTTCTTAAGCGGGGAAAGTACGAGTAGGTCCTATTATTTGCAATGTTTTAGCCTTTCCAGACTCCGTACAAATGACTAAATGAAGATTGGATCGTATTTTCAGGCACTGCACCAATGATAGAAAATTCTCAACTTGGGGTCAAAAGCAAGGGCAGCTTTCGTTTTTCTTAAATATGCTTCTGATCAAATATCTAAAGTGTTGAAAGAAACCTAACCCTTAATAGCACAATTTACAGGAGTGCATAATTTCCTAGGACTGACATTTAGTTCCAAATGTTTTAAAGTCAATTACAACATCATCTCACCCTATAGTAAGCTGTCCATATATTCTCATTATTATTTTTAAATTATTTCTATTAAATCAGCTTCATTTGAACTTTAACCATAAATGCATAAATCGTTTTTGGGAAGGGGGTACAGTCGCGCTTGAAGAGCAAGGGATTTTGTCATTGCGGGAGTTGTCTGGCTTCAGAATAATATTGGAATAATATATTTTCGTGTTTCATATTTTAGAAAAACCTTTTACATATGTGCTCCCAAACCAATCTTTTTTTATTTTTTATTTTTTTTATTATTATACTTTAAGTTCTAGGGTGCACAACTTGCAGGTTTGTTACATATGTATACATGTGCCATGTTGGTGTGCTGCACTCGTTAACTCGTCATTTACATTAGGTATATCTCCTAGGGCTATCCCTCCCCCCTCCCCCCACCCCACGACAGGCCCTGGTGTGTGATGTTCCCCACCCTGTGTCCAGGTGTTCTCATTGTTCTATTCCCACCTATGAGTGAGAACATGTGTTTGATTTTCCTGTCCTTGCCATGGGCTCCCAAACCAATCTTTACACATCTTGTTTACATCTTCATGAAGAGGGAAAACCCAAAATATTAAACTGTTAGGCAGAATAGTGTTTAAATAAGTACATCTAAAGTTTAGGAATTAGGTCCTGATATGATTTGACTCTGTGTCCCTACCCAAATCTTATATCGAATTTTAATCCCCACGTATGGAAGGATTAAAGTGATTGGATTATGAGGACGTTTTCTCCCATGCTGTTCTGATAGTTAAGTGAATTCTCACACGATCTGATGGTTTTATAAATGGTAGTTTTTCCTGTGGTCTCACATGCTCTCTCTCACCTGCCGTCATGTAAGACCTGCCCTGTAAGACGTGCCTGCTTCCCCTTCCTCCATGATTGGAAAATTTTGTGAGGCCGCCCAGGCATGTGCAGCTGAGTCAATTAAACCTCTTTCCTTTATAAATTACCCAGTCTCGGTATTTCTTTATAGCAGTGTGAGAATGGATTAATATAGGGCCCCAAATCTGAAGTGTCTCATAATTAAAGTTCATGAAACTTAACTTTTTTTGTAATCGTTTTGTCAAATTATTACAGAATGTTGATGGGACAGATAAGAAAAAATACAGACAATGTAGAACTCAGACCAGTAATACATAGCTAGCATTTATTGAATACATAATGTAGGCCGGGGAGCTATTGTATACGCTTTTTTTGTTTTTGTTTTTGTTTTTTTGAGTCAGGGTCTCACTCTGTTGCCTAGGCTGGAGTGCAGTGGCACGATCTTAGCTCTGTGCAACCTCAACCTCCCGGGCTCAAATGATCTTTCCACCTCAGCCTCCTGAGTAGCTGGGACTACAGGTGCATGCCACCGTGTCTGGCTAATTTTTGTATTTTTTTATAGCGATGGGGTTTTGCCATGTTAGCTAGGCTGATCTCAAACTCCTGGCCTCAAACGAGTCACCCGCATTGGCCTCCCAAAGTGCTGGGATTACGGGTATGAGCCACCAGGCCTGGCCTATACACTTGTAAATTTATTAAGTCTTTTACTGTTCACAACAATTTTATCAGTTGATTAACCTTATTTTACAGATAAGGAAATTAAGCACAAAGAGGTAAATAACTTGCCCCAGTTCCAAGAACTAATTAGTGGCAGAACCTGGATTAGGTGTGATGCTGGTTGTGGGAACTACAAACTGTGTTTATGTGCATACTTGATTTATATTAGGCAGAAAACTATTGTGAATAATATTACAGTAATGTATTAGGTAAGGAGGCTGAGCCTTACCATTAAAAAGGACCCTGATCAGCCACCAAGAAGTCCTTGGCCAGGCATGGTGGCCAATGCCTGTAATCCTAGCACTTTGGGAGGACAGGGCAGGAGGATTGCCTGAGCCCAGGAGTTTGACACCAGGGCACCATAGCAAGACCCCATCTCTATAAAAATAATAAATGCATAAATAATACATAAAATAATAATAACAAGAAAAAGTCCTCCATTGTTCTAATCTCTAAGACCAACTTTTCTCTCCAATTCTTCTGCCATCACTCTGGGCTTACTATCAATTTCCTTAACCAATCTCTTAGCTACCAGACAATCTCTATCAAATTTATCCTACACACAGAAAAGCACTTTATCTAAAATACAGACATTAAAGTCTTTTTTTTTTTTTTTTGAGATGAGGTTTCACTGTTGCTCAGGCTGGAGTGCAGTGATGCCATCATGGCTCACTGCAGCCTCAACCTCCTGGGTTCAGGTGATCCTCCCACCTCAGCCTCCCGAGTGGCTAGGACTACAGGCACGCACCACCACCACCACACCAGGCTAATTTTTGTATTTTTTGTAGAGATGAGGTCTCGTCATGTTGCCCAGGGTAGTCTTGAACTCCTGGGCTCAAGTGATCCTCCTGCCTCAGCCTCCCAAAGTGTTAGGATTACAGGTATGAGCTACTGTACCCAGCCTAAAGTCATTTTTTTACTCAAAGTTATCCCCTTTTTGGCATGATCAACTCTTTAACTGGGCATTTAAGGTTTTCATTAAACTGGTTTTGCTTTTCTTTTTTACTTTTTACAGAGACAGGGTCTTGCTATGCTGCCCAGGCTGCTCTCAAACTCATGGGCTCAGGCAATCTGTCCGCCTCTGCCTCCCAAAGTGCTGGGGTGGCAGGCATGAGCCAGCCACCACACTGACCCAAAACTGTTTTTGCTTTTAAAATTTGTTTTCAATGTTACACAGTGACAGTGCTAGGTGGGAAGTAAGGCAACTATGGACAGGAATGTCTGGAGCTCCCTCTCCTTAGCTAGTGATCTTGTGATGTGTAGTTTACTTGTTCTGGCTTAAAGGCCCAAGTTTGAGGTATTCTTTTTGTTGTTTTGTTTTGATTTTAATTTTTATCCAAGCAATGCAAGCATAGAGTTTAAAAATTCAAGTAGAACTAAAAATATTATAGACAATAACAAAAAAACATTTCTTGGCTCCTTCTTCAGATGCAATCCCTTGTAACATTTTATGCCATTCAGGAGTTCCAGACCAGCCTGGGAAACATAGCAAGACCCTGTCTCAAACAACAACAAAAACAAATCCAGTAACTCTTAGGTTTGTGAAAATTGTCAGAATCAAGATAGAGTCACTAGTGTGGGGGAAAAAAACAAACAAACAAAAAAACCCAGACAAATAGAACCCAGGAAGGCCATTAAGAGGATTCTCATGCACAGATGCCTGCTAACAAAAACTGTCACAAAACACTGCAAAACCACAACCTTGCACAAACGCTGTCAAAATCTTAGACAAAAAATAGTTCTTCAAGGACATCTCCCCAGCAACTCCCTGTGCAGTCTTGGGCTGCTGTCACCCTTGTTACTGATCTTTGTAGCCAAAGATAATTATCTCAAAATAATTATTATAATCCTCCACATTTTTTCCTTTAAAAACCTTTGTCTTCCCTTACCTCCCTGAATGTGCACATAGTTTACTATGGCACACATATTCCCACTGGAATGCTGTATTCCCAAATAAACATCGTTTTCTTCTAGAGAGCCTCCCTCTGTTATTTAGATTGAAAGATTAATACTACTGTTTTTAGTTTCCACTTCCCTGAAGCAGGAAAAAATTTATATTCCTCTACTTGTGTAAGAATTTGCCTATGCAAATGTTAATTGGCTCTATAGTTACTGATTATTCCAGTGATATTTCAGTGCCCCTTTCAGATAAATGATTTGGGCAACGCCCCAACTGCTTACCTTTTAATCCAGATCTGGTTGTGGTTAAAAAAAAGAGCAGGAATATACAAAAATTAACTGGGCATGATGGGGTGCAAGCCTATAATCCCAGCTGCTCCGGAAGCTGAAGCAGGAGAATTGCTTGAACCCAGGAAGTGGAGGTTGCAATGAGCTGAGATCACACTGTTGCACTCCAGCCTGGGTGACAGAGCGAGACTGTCTCAAAAAAAAAAAAAAAAGGCCAGGCGCAGTGGTTCATGCCTGTAATCCCAGCACTATGGGAGGCCGAGGCAGGCAGATCACCTGAGGTCAGGAGTTTGACACCAGCCTGGCCAACATAGTGAAACCCCGTCTCTACTAAAAATACAAAAATTAGCTGGGTGTGGTGGTGCACGCCTGTAGTCCCAGCTACTCAGGAGGCTGAGACAGGTGAATCACTTGAACCCAGGAGGCAGAGGTTGCAGTGAGCTGAGATTGAACCATTGCACTCCAGCCTGGGCAACAGAGTGAGACTCCGTCTCAAAAAAAAGAAAAAGTCAGGATTGGTGTGTACAGCAGGTACAGCAGAAGGTGAAGGAGGGCAGTTCACTCAGAAAAGAACTGTGGCAGATATTGCAACATCTCTAGTGTAATTCTCTTTGATTTATAAAAGGCTAATTACTTTGTTACTTTAAATCATGAAATCATGACACACCTCACAAATAAATGTCATATACTCCTTTTCTAAACCCTGTAGTTGAAACTATTGGTCTAGAAAATAAACTAATTATTGGGCCCCAAATTGAGAGGCTTGAATATTACAAATCAGACACTTTCTCATATTTTCGGGGAGAAGGACAGGTTTACTTGTATTGAGAACCCAAGTTTCAAATAATAATAATTTAATTAAAATAATTTTTTTGAGATGGGGTCTCACTCTGTCGCCCAGGCTGAAGTGCAGTGGCACAATCTTGGCTCACTGCCACCTCCGCCTCCTGGGCTCCAGTGATTCTCCCACCTCAGCCTCCCTGGTAGCTGGGACTACAGGTGCCCACCCCCACTCCCAGCTTTTTTTTTGTATTTTTGGTAAAGATGGGGTTTCACCGTGTTGCCCAGGCTGGGCTCAAACTCCTGAGCTCAAGTGATCTGCTCACCTTGGCCTCCCAAAGTACTGGGATTACAGGTGTGAGCCACTGCACCTGGTCCATTAATAATCATTTGTCTGGAACATACAGAGTACCTTCACAATCTCTCTCTCATTTGAAACTTGAGACAACTTATTTAATTAAGCAGGGAGGTATTCTTATCCCTATTTACAAGGAATGAGGAATCTCAGGTTTAGAGAAGTTGATGGGTTTATGCAAAACTATATGCAACATACAGTTTTTGGAATAGACAGTGCTTGGATCAGTTTTCCTGATTCAGATCAGTGTCTTTTATACTTCCTTTTCTTAAGAAAGTTTTCAGGATTGGGATAATGCAGTTACAAAGTACTTCTGCTAAGTTATTGATCTTGGGCTAAATAATATAGTCAGAACTGTCATTTGGAAAAATAGTATGTTCTTCCAGAGTTGCCCTCTTACAGAAGGTGAAAATTAATCTTACTCCCTTAACTTTCTCGGGAAGGTTGATGTTAAACTTTTAAAAGCCATCCCTTTAAAAAGAATGCTAGATATAGACAATTTTTAAAGCCAAAGTGAAGGTTTACAGGTCATTTAAACACTCAATTACTTGGGGAGAAACTGAAATGCCAGCAGATGGGGTTATTTATAGCACTGTGCTGAGAGCCAGTATATATATTTATTTGTACGAGAGTGGAATCCTGGCTCTGGATCATTTCCTGACTTGTTTGAGACTCTAAGCAAGTCATTTATTATGTCTGTATTTTGGAATTATAGCCTTGCCTCAAAGGTGTGCTCTGTGATTAAATGAACTTCTATTTGTAAATCTTGTTTAAATTTCTCTGATGAAAGGCATATCAGTGTTGATAGCTGTGGAGGATAAGAACGCTGACAATAATAATGAGTACGATAATATCAGTGCCTTGGATTTATGCAGTATCATTACTTCGGGGCTTTGCGTGCCTCCTATGTAGTATGTAGTCTATAACAAAAAACTGTAATTACAAACATTTCACAAGAAATCATTCTTATTGTGATATTTTTATTACTTGCAGAATTGAGCATACCACAAAAAAGTTCTCATTTTGTGTCCTCCCATCCCATTCTCCTCACTAACCAAAGGTAACCACAGTTAATTGTTTTTTATATATCCAGATGTATATGTATATATATTAGTGTATATGACTGATATATTTTATAAATTATTCCACAATTTATAAAATATTTATAATATTTTGGCCTTATCAATATGCCTTGAAGAAATTTTCATGTCAGCATGTAAATCTTTCTTTTTAATAGGTGCATAGTTTCCCAGTTGATTTATTTAATCATTCCCTTATGAAAAGATTCTTGAGTTGTTTCTAATTTTTCAACATTAGAAACAATGCTACAATGAATGTCCTGTATATACATCATCTTTGCACATCTATGTGTGTACTTCTGTAGGTTAGATTTCTAACATGGCTTAAACTTTCAGGCTGAAAGGATATGTATTAAATTGTACCCCAGAAAGCCTTACCAATGTACACTTCCATAAATAGTACACAACAGTATCTTTCTCCTATGGTCAACGTTGCTTTGTATAGTATCAGTCTTTCTAAATTTTGCCATGAAGATTAAAAACTCATTTTAATTTTCTTAACTACTAATGAGGTTGAGCATCTTTTTGTAAGTTTATCAACCATTTACATTTATTCTTCTGTGAACTGCCTGTTCAGAGGCTTTCCCATTTTCCCTGTGGGGTGAGTTTCTGTTTCTGTTTCTCTTTCATTCTTTCTTTCTCTCCCTTTTCTCTCTTTCTTTCTTTCCTTCTTTTTTGTTTCTTTCCTTCTCTCTTTTTCTCTTTCCTTTCCTTTCCTTTCCTTTTCCTTTCCTTTCCTTTCCTTTTCCTTTGCTTTCCTTTCCTTTCCTTTCCTTTCCTTTCCTTTCCTTTCCTTTCCTTTCCTTTCCTTCTCCTTTCTTTCCCTCCCCACTTCCTTCCTTCCTTCCTTCCTTCCTTCCTTCCTTCCTTCCTTCCTTCCTTCCTTCCTTCTTTCTTTCTTGACAGGGTCTCACTCTGTCACCCAGGCTGGAGTGCAGTGGTGCAGTCATGACTAACTACAACCTCAATCTCCTGGGCTCCAGTGATCCTCTTGCCTCAGCCTCCCAAGTAGCTGGGATTACAGGCGCATGCCACCATGTCTGGCTGATTTTTATTTATTTATTACTTCCATTTTTCTGTAGAAACGAGGTCTCACTAAGTTGCCCAGGCTGGTCTGTGTCTTATTGATTGTAAAATCTCTTAAAATATTTTGATTATGAATACTGGGTTAGGTATGTTTCCCACCTTGCTGTTACATTGTTATCTTTTTTCTTGCTGAAGAAAAAGTTTTTAATATTTATGAAATCAAGTCTGGTGTGGTGGTGCACACCCATAGTCTCAGCTGCTTGGGAGGCTGAGGGGGGAGGGTTGCTTGAGCCCAGGAAGTTGAGACTGCTGTGAGCCATGATGGCACCACTGCACTCCAGCTTGGGTGACAGAGCAAGACCCTGTCTCAAAAAAAATAAATAAAATTATGAAATCAGTCTTTTCATTTGTCAGGCTTTTAAATAATTTTTAAAAAGTCAGGCTTTTAAAGAATTAACGTTAGTTAATTCTCAGAAGTTACAATGTTAGTTTTATTCAGAGTCTTACTGAGCACTGCAACCCGGGAGAGTCTTTCAGAGAGTCTCTGTTAGACTGCTTCAAAGCAGCGTTTCAGCCCTCGCTTCTATACAGGCGGTGGAGGTTCTGCATGTGCTCGGAAGTTACCTAAAGGTGCTCAGAGGTTACATTAGAGCAAAATCTCATCAAAGTCCAGGAGCGAGAGTACGTCTGGTTATAGATTACAGAGGTATATTCATTAATCCTGTCAGATGTTATCTTATGGATAGGAAAAGGCAACGGCTCATTGAACTTATCTTTTCCAAAAATGCAGTGATTCAGACATGGGAAACTGTGCTCTATCCTGCTTATGGTCTTCAAGCATTTTTACAGAGAGCTGAGCTCAGTCACTGAGTCAGGGGTTTGGGAGGTTTATGCTGACAAGCAGAATGAGCAAACGTGGTTCTTCACAGCAAGGGCAGACGGTGTGGCTAGCCAGAGGCAGATGTTTGCTACTTTGCCTCACACATTTATGACTTTTGGGATTTGTGTCTTCTTAAGAAGGACACTCTTCAACTACCCCTACCCTAAGATTATAAAATAGTGTCCTTATATTTCTGCTATTTTTAAAAGCATCAGGTGCTCTTTAATCCTTGTGAGGTGCATTCTGAATAGCTGTGAGAAAGGAACCTATTTTATTATTTTACCAAATGTTTAGCCAGTTGCTTCAAATGTGCTAATTAGTTCATTTTAATCCCAGTAATTTGAAATGCCATCTTTCAAAAATATCAAACATTTGTAATTCTTGATTCTGTTTCTAGACAGAGCCATTTGCCTAATTCAGTATTAATATTGCATTATTTAATTTTTACTATTTTCTGCAACTGCATAATCTATCTTGATATCTGATATACAATGTTTTCCCTCATTCTTTTTTTCCCCCCAGAATTGCAGGGCAAAATCTTGTGCATTTTTTCTTCAGTAGTAACATTAGAATGAGCTTTTTAGACTCTATAAATAATAACACTGGGATTTTGGTTAGGAATTATAGATTAAATGTAGGAGAGTTGGCATTTTTATAGTAGTGAGTCTTTTCAGTCTGGATCATCATGTGTTTTTCCATTTATTTAGGCCACCATTTAGGTCTGCTTTTGTCTTTTTTTTTTTTTTAGGATTTTCAGTATATTTGTGTAATTTTCTTTATCTGAGTTTATTACAAAGTTAATTCTCTGTTATTTTATAGTTATGGTTTTTATCATGAATACAGTTGTAAAATTCTATTTTCTAATACTTAATTATTGATGAGAGAAGTTATTTATTATTAATATTTTTTCTGTATCCTACCTGATAATTTAATTTTTCTTTTATTATGGAAGATTTCAAATATATACAAAGTAAACAGAATAGTTATGAACTGCCACGTACCCACCCCAAAGTTTCAACAATGATCAACATTCTGCCATTCTTGTTTTGACTCCCTTCCTACTTTCCACTCCCAAAATTGCTCTTACTTTTTACAGTTCTTTTTTACCTCTTAGATTAAAAAAATTTAAAGTTTATTTTGAGATAACTGTGGATTCACATGCAGTTGGGAGAAATAATACAGAGAGATCTCATGTACCCTTTACTCACTTTTCCCCAGTAGTAAAGTCTTACACAACTCCAGTACAATATCACAACAAGGATGTTGACATTGATACAATCAAGATAAAGAGAATTTCCATCACCTCAAGAATCTCTGGTGTTGTCCATTTATAGTTACACTCATTTCTCTGCCACTCCCACTTAACCCCTGGCAACCACTAATCTGTTCTCTGTTTCTGTAGTTTTGCCATTTCAAGAATGTTATATAGGCCAGGTACAGTGGCTCATGCCTGTATTCCCAGTACATTGGGAGGCCGAGGCAGGCGGATTGCGTGAGCTCAGGAGTTTGAGACCAGCCTGGGCAACATGGTGAAACCCCCATCTCTACTAAAATATAAAAAATTAGCCAGCGCCTGTAGTCCCAGCTACTCAGGAGGCTGAGGGTGGAGAATTGCTTGAACCCTGGAGGCAGAGGTTGCAGTGAGCTGAGATCATGCCATTGCATTGCAACCTGGGCGACAGAGAGTGTTATATAAATGGAATCATACATTATTAGATAACTTTATGAGATTGAAGTTTTTTCACTTAGCATAATTCTTTGGAGATTCACCCAGATAGTATAACAATAGTTCATTCCTTTTTATTGCTGATCAGTATTCCATGGTATGGGTATACCACAATTTGTTTAACCCGTTACATGTTGAAGGACATCTTGGTTATTTCCAATTTTTGGCTATTATGAATAAAGGTGCTATAAACTTTTGGGTACAGGTTTTGTGTGAACATGAGTTTTCATTTTCCAGGATATAGGCCTAAGAGTGCAATTATATGCATGGTATAATGGATGGTAATTGCATGTCTAACTTTTTAAAAAATTGAAAAACTATTTTCCAGTTTGGCTGTACCATTTTACATTTCCATTAGCTATGTATGAATGATCAGGTGTTTCCACATTCTTGCCAATATTTGGCATTGTTACGATTTATGTTTTAGCCATCCTAATAGGTGCATAGTGATATCTCACTGTAGTATTAATTTGCGTTTTTCCCATGGCTAATATGTTTGAACATCTCTTAATGTGTTATTTGCCATCTGTATATCTTAATTGATAAAATGTCTCTTCATGTCTTTTTGTTTATTTTCTGATTGGATTTTTTTTTTTTTTTACTGTTGTGTTTTAGGATTTTTTTTTGTTTTGGTGGGGGCACAGGATCGTGCTCTGCCACCCAGGCCGGTGTACAGTGGTGCAATAATAGCTTACTGGAACCTTAAACTCCTGGGATCAAATGATCCTGTGGCTTCGGCCTCCCAAGTAGCTAGGATGCCTGGCTAATTTTGTATTTTTTTAGAGACAGAGTCTCACTATGTTGCCCAGGCTGGTCTCGAACTTCTGGTCTCAAGCAGTCCTCCCTTTTTGGCCTCCTAAAGTGCCGGGATTATAGGCGTGAGAATTCTTTACATATTCTAGATGCTAGTCCTTTGTTGAAGTTTAATATTTTCTATTTGTCTATTTTGGTTTTTGTTGCCTGTGTTTTTGAAGTTTTAGCCATAAATCTTTGCCTGGACTAATGTTCCTGAAGCATTTCCTCTATATTATCTTCTAGTATTTTTTATAATTTTGGGTCTTAAGTTTATGTTTTTAATTCATTTTGAATTGATTTTTGTATGTATGATGCCTCCAGCTTTGTTCTTCTTGCTTAGGATTGCTTTGTCTATTCAGGATCTCTTTTGGTTCCATACGCATTTTAGGATTTTTTTTTTTTTTTTTTTTTGAGACAGAGTCTCGCTCTGTCACCAGGCTGGAGTGCAGTGGTGCAATCTTGGCTCGCTGCAATCTCTGCCTCCTAGGTTCAAGTGATTTTCCTGCCTCAGCCTCCTGAGTAGCTGGGACTACAGGCACCTGCCATCACGCCCGGCTAATTTTTGTATTTTTAGTAGAAATGGGGTTTTACCATGTTGCCCAGGATGGTCTCTATCTCTTGACCTTGTGATCCACCTGCCTCAGCCTCTCAAAGTGCTGGGATTATAGGCATGAGCCACCGCGCCCAGCCCAGGATTTTTTTTTTCTATTTCTGTAAAGAATGTAATTGGTATTTTTGTAGGGCTTGCATTGAATCTGTAAATTGCTTTGAGTAGTATGGCCATTTTAACAATATTAATCCTTCCAATTCATAAGGATGAGATGTCTTTCCATTTTTTTGTGTCCTTTTCAATTTCTTTCATTGGTGATTTATAGATTCCCTTGTAGAGGTCTTTCACTTCCTTGGCTAAATTTATGCCTAGGCATTTTGTTTGTAGCTATTGTAAATGGGATTATTTTATTGATTTGTTTTTCAGCTAGTTTGTTATTGGTATATAAAAATGCTACTGATGTTTGTATGTTGATTTTGTATTCTGCAACTTTACTGATTTCATTTATTGGTCCTAAAAGTTTTTTGGTGGCATCTTTAGGTTTTTCTATATATAAGATCATGTTGTCTACAAAGAAGGACAATTTGACTTCCTCTTTTACTTTTTTTTTTTTTTTTCCTGAGAGAGAGTTTCACTCTTGTTGCCCAGCCTGGAGTGCAATGGCGCGATCTCTGCTCACTGCAACCTCTGCCTCCCAGGTTCAAGTGATTCTACTGCCTCAGCCTCCTGAGTAGCTGGGATTACAGGCACATGCCACCACACCTGGCTAATTTTTGTATTTTTAGTAGAGACGGGGTTTTGCCATGTTGGCCAGGCTGGTCTCGAACTCCTGACTTCGGCTGATCTGCCCACCTTGGCCTCCCAAAGTGTTGGGATTATAGGTGTGAGCCATGGTCCTGGCCACACTTCCTCTTTTTCAATTTGGATGCCTTTTATTTCTCTCTTTTGCATGATTGCTTGGGTAGGACTTCCGGTACTATGTTGAATAAGTGTGGTGAAAGTGAGAATTTTTGTCTTCTAGTTCCTAGAGGAAAGGCTTTCAGCTTTTCTCATTGAGTAGATTAGCTGTGGGTTTGTCATATATGGCCTTTAGTATGTTTTGGTATGTTCCTCCTGTGCCTAATTTGTTGAGAGTTTTTATTGTGAGGGGATCAAATACTTATCTACATCTGTTGAGATAATCATATAGTTTTTTTGATGTAATGCAACTGTTAATGTAATATATTAATTCAACTGGTACCATAACAATCAATGAGTGGTAGGAAACTCCCTATTCCATTTTATTTGTTCACTTTCATCAACATTTCTTTTTTTAATTGGGCATCCAATTTAGTAATGCCTTTTGCCAGATAATGGAGATAACATTATTCTTTATCTGAGGTGGGAAGATTGCTTGAGTCCACGAGTTTGAGACCAGCCTGGATGTCTTAGCAAAACCTCATCTCTACAAAAAATACAAAAATTAGCCAGGCATGGTGGTGTGTGCCTGTAGTCCCAGCTACCCAGGTGGCTGAGGCGGGAGGATTGCTTGAGCCTGGGAGGCAGAGGTTGCAGTGAGCCGAGAACAGGCTGCTGCACTCCAGCCTGGGCAACAGAGTGAGATTGTCTAAAAACAAACAAACAAACAAACAAACAAAAAACAAAAGTTATTATTGATATGTGAGAACTTATTTCTGTCATTTTGTTGTTTTCTGCTTGTCTGTATATCCTTGGTCCCTTTCTTCCTCTTTTACTGTTTACCATTGAGGTTTAGTGGATTTCTGTAGCAGTAATGTTTGACTTCTTTCTCTTTCTTATTTATATATCTACTGTACCAGTTTTACATTTGCATGGGTTTGCTTGTTGGCAAATATTGTCCTTTTGCTTTCAGATATAGGACTGACTTAAGCCTGTCTTGTAGGACCAGTCTAGTGGTGATGAATTCCCTCAGTTTTTGCTTGTCTGGCATTTTATTTCTCTTCATTTTCGAAGGATATCTTTGCTAGGTTTAGTATTTTTGGCTGGTAGTGTTTTTCTCTCAGCACTTTAAACATACCATTGTATTCTCTTCTGGCCTGTAAAGTTTCTGCTGAGAAATCTGCTGTTTGTCTGATGGGGATTCCCGTATACATGACTTGATGCTTTTATCTTGCTCTTTTTAGAATTCTCTTTGTCTTTGACTTTTGATAGTTTGACTATAATATGTCTTGAAGAAGACCTTTTTGGGTTGAATCTATTTGAGGATCTCTGAGCTGTATCTGGGATGTCTAAATCTCTTGCCAGACTTGGGAAGTTGTCAGCTATTATTTTGTTAAATAGATTTCCTATGCCTTTGCTCGTTTCTCTTCCTTCTGAAACTCCCAGAATTTGAACATTTGGTCACTTTGTGGTGTTCTATATGTTATGTAGGCTTTCTTCATTTTTTTTTTCCGAGTTGTCTTCAAGTTCAGAAATTCCCTCCCCTTCCCCTTCCCCTTACCCCTCCCCTTCCTCTTTCTTTCGTTCTTTCTTTCTTTCTCTCTCTTTCTCTCTTTCCTTCCTTCCTTCCTTTCTTTTTTTCTGAGATGGAGTCTTACTTTATCACCCAGGCTAGAGTGCAGTGGTGCAATCTCAGCTCACTGCAACCCCCGCCTCCTGGGTTCAAGTGATTCTCCTGCCTCAGCCTCCTGAGTAGCTGGGACTACAGGTGTGTGCCACCACGCCCAGCTAATTTTTGTATTTTTAGTAGAGACATGGTTTCACCATGTTGGCCCAGCTGGTCTCGAATTCCTTACCTCAAGTGATCTGCTCACCTCGGTCTCCCAAAGTGTTAGGACTACAGGCATGAGCCAATGTGCCCAGCCAGAAATTATTTCTTACGCCTAATCTAGTCTATTGTTGAAGTTGTCTATAGTATTTTTTATTTTATTCATCAAATTCTTCAGTTCCAGGATTTCTGTTTGTTTTTTCTTTTTTCTTTTTTTTTGAGACGGAGTCTCGCTCTGTCGCCCAGGCTGGAGTGCAGTGGCGCGATCTCGGCTCACTGCAAGCTCCGTCTCCCGGGTTCATGCCATTCTCCTGCCTCAGCCTCCTGAGTAGCTGGGACTACAGGCGCCCGCCACCACACCTGGCTAATTTTTTTGTATTTTTTAGTAGAGACGGGGTTTCACCATGTTAGCCAGGGTGGTCTTGATCTCCTGACCTCGTGATCCGTCCGCCTCGGCCTGCCAAAGTGCTGGGATTACTTTGGCGTGAGCCACCGCACCCGGCCACCTGTTTGTTTTTTATTAAATGATATCTATTGCATTGTTGAATTTTTCATTCAGATCATAAATTGTTTCTTTGATTTCTATTTTTTACCTGTGTTCTTTTGTAACTCACTGAGTTTCTCTGTTCTTTTCAAGCATTTCATAAATTTCCTTTTCTTTCAGATCTGTTATCAGAGAATTATTGTGTTCCTTTGGAGGTGTCATGTTTTGTGTTTGTGTGTGTGGTTTGAGACAGGGTCTATCTTTATCACCCAGGCTAGAGTGCATAGTTCGCTGCAGCCTCAAAGTCTTGGGCTCAAGGGATCCATCTGCCTCAGTCCCCCAAGTAGCTAGGACTATGGGCATACACTACCAGGCCTGGCTACGTTTTTATTTTTCATAGTGATAGGGTCTTGCTATGTTGCCCAGGCTGGTCTCCAACTCCTGGCCGTAAGCAATTCCCCTTGTTGCCTTATTAAGCACTTACTTATCTGTCAGGCACTTTATTTTATTTTATTATTAATTTTTGAGATGAAGTCTCGCTCCGTCGCCTAGTTTGGAGTATAGTGGCATGATCTTGGCTCACTGTAACCCTGCCTTCTGGGTTCAAGCAATTCTCATGCCTCAGTCTCCCGAGTAGCTGGGATTACAGGCATGCATCACCATGCTCGGCTAATTTTTTGTGTTTTTAGTAGAGACAGTGTTTCACCATGTTGATCTTGAACTCCTGACCTCAGGTGATCTGCCCCCCTCAGACTCCCAAAGTGCTGGGATTACAGGTGTGAGCCACCACACCCAGCCTCCAGTGCCTTTAAGTAATTTTAATTTTTTTTCCAGATTTTATTATTGTTATCTAAATGAGGGTTAGTATAACCAAGGTACTCTGCCAGTATGGGCAGATGAAAGTCCCTAGTTACTGAATTTTGTGTGTTGATCTTTTTTTAAAAGTTTTAATTTTAAAACATTTAAATAGTTTTTGGAGTACAGGACAAGTTCTTTAGTGGTGATTTCTGGGATTTGGTGCATCTGCCACCTGAGCAGTGTACATTGTAACAAATATGTAGTCTTTTATCTCCCTCCCACCCTTCCCCCACCCCAAGTCTCAAAATTCTGTTAATTCATTCTTATGCCTTTGTATCCTCCTAGCTTAGCTCCTCCCCACTTATAAGTGAGAACATGTGATATTTAGTTTTCCATTCCTGAGTTACCTACCTTAGAATAATGGCCTCCAGCTTCATCTGAGTTGCTACAAAAGACATTATTTCATTTTTTTTTTATGGTTGAGTAGTATTCCATGGTGTATATATACACCATATTTCTTTATCCACTGGTTGGTTGATGGGTACTTAGGTTGGTTCCACATTTTTGCAGTTGCGAGTTGTGCTGCTATAAATGTGTGTACATGTGTCTTTTTCATATAATGACTTGTTTTCCTTTGGGTAGATACCCAGTAGTGGGATTGCTGGATTGAATGGTAGTTCTATTTTTAGTTCTTTAAGGAATCTCCATACTGTTTTCCTTAATGGTTGTACGAGTTTACATTACCACCAGCAGTGTAAAAGTGTTCCCTTTTGACCATACCCACACCAACATCTATTGATTTTTAACTTTTAAATTATGCCCATTCTTGCAGGATTAAAGTGGTATCTCATTGTGGTTTTAATTTGTGTTTTCCTGATAATTAGTGATGTTGAACATTTTCTCATATGTTTATTGCCTCCTTTTTTTTTTTTTTTGAGACAGGGTTTTGCTCTGTTACTCAAGCTGGAGTGCAGTGGTGTGATCTCAGCTCAGTGCAACCTCTGCTTTCTGGGCTCAAGTGATCCTCTAGCCTCAGCCTCCTGAGTAGTTGGGACTACACGTATGAGCCACCATACCTGGCTAATTTTTGTACAGATAGGTTTTCACCTTGTTGCCCAGGCTGGTCTTGAACTCCTGAGCTCAAAGTGACTCACCTACCTCAGCCTCCAAAAGTGCTGGGATTACAGGCTACCACGCCCAGCCTGTATATCCTCTTTTGAGAATTTTCTATTCGTGTTCCTTGCCCATTTTTCAATAGGCTTATTTTTTTTTCTTTGTTTGAGTTCCTTATAGATTCTGGTTATTAGTCCTTTGTTGGATGCATAGTTTGCAAATATTTTCTCCCACTCTGTGAGTTGTCTGCTTACTATGTTGATTATTTCTTTTGCTATGCAGAAGCTCTTTGTTTAATTAGGTCCCATTTATTTATTCTTGTTTTGTTGCATTTGCTTTTGGGTTCTTAGTCATGAATTCCTTGCCTAAGCCAATGTCTAGAAGGGTTTTTCTGATGTTATCCTCTAGAATTTTTATTCAGATCTTAGATTTAAGTCTTTGATCCATCTTGAATTGATTTTTGTGTAAGCTGAGAGATGAGGATCCAGTTTCATTCTCTATAGGTGGCTTGCCAGTTTCCCCAGCTCCATTTATTGAATAGAGTATCCTTTCCCCAGTTTGTGTTTTTGTATGCTTTGTCAAAGATCAGTTGGCTGTAAGCATTTGGTCTTATTTTTGGATTCTCTGTTCTGTTCCATTGGTCTACATGCCTATTTTTATACCAGTAACATGCTGTTTTGGTAACTGTAGTCTCATAGTATAATTTGAAGTCAGGCAGTGTGATGCCTCCAGATTTGTTCTTTTTGCTTAGTATTGCTTTGCCTGTATGGGCTCTTTTTTGGTGCCATATGAATTTAAGAATTGTTTTTTCTAGTTTTGTGAAGAATGATGATGGCATTTTGGTGGGAATTGCATTGAATCTGTAAATTGCCTTAGGCAGTATGGTCATTTTCACAATATTGATTCTACTCATTCATGAGTATGGCATGTGTTTCCATTTGTTTGTGTTATCTATGACTTCCTTCAGCAATGTTTTATAGTTTTCCTTGTACAGATCTTTCACCTCCTTGGTTAAGTATATTCCTGAGTATTGTATTGTATTTTGCAGCTGTTGTAACAGGGATTGAGTTCTTGATTTGATTCTCAGCTTGGTTGTTGGTGTATAGCAGTGCTACTGATTTGTGTACATTGATTTTGTATCCAAAGAGTGTACTGAATTCGTTTATCAGATCTAGGAGATTTTTGGATGAGTCTTTAGGGTTTTCTAGTTATATGATCATACTGTCAGTGAACAGCAACAGTTTGATTTCCTGTATTTCTATTTGGATGCCCTTTATTTCTTTCTCTTGTCTGATTTCTTTAGCCAGGCCTTCCAGTAGTATGTTGAATAGAAGCAGTGAAAATGGCATCTTTGTCTTGTTCCAGTTCTCGGGGGAATGCTTTCAACTTTTCCCCATTCAGTATTATGTTCAGTGTGAGTTTGTCGTCTATGGCTTTTATTGCTTTGAGTTATGTCCCTTCTATGTTGAGAGTTTTTATCATAAAGTGATACTGGATTTTCTAAAATGCTTTTTCTGCTTTTTTGTTTTTAATTCTGTTTCTGTAGTATATCACATTTACTGACTTGTATACATTAAATCATTCCTGCATCTCTGGTATGAAACCCACTTGATCATGATGTATTATCTTTTGATATGTGATTGGATTTAGTTAGCTAGTTTTTTGTTTTTGTTTTTTAGGATTTTTGCATCTATGTCTATCAGGGATACTGGTCTGTAGTTTTCTTTTGTTAAGTCGTCTCCTGGTTTTGGTATTTGGATGATACTGGCTTCACAGAATGACTTAGGGAGGATTCCCTTTTTCTCCACTTTTGGAATAGTTTCAGTAGGATTGGTACCAATTCTTCTTTGAATGTCTGATAGAATTCAATTGTGAATCCATCTGGTCCTGGACTTATTTTTGTTGCAATTTTTAAAAATTACTGATTCATTGTTACTGCTTGTTATTGGTCTGTTCCAGGTTTCTATTTCTTCCTGATTGAATCTAGGAGGGTTGTATATTTCCACAAATTTGTGTGTTGATCTTGTATTTGCCCATTCTTTACTAAATATCTTATTAGTTCTAAAATTTCAGCTGTAAATAATATTTCCCTTTCTCATGTTGGTACCTCTTAATTACTTTTCTTATCAAATCTCATTGTCTACAACTTATAGTCTAAACTTGGAGATGACACAGCAGGTATCCTTGTCTTGTTCCTGACTTTAGTAAGAATACTTCCAGTGTTTCATCATGAAAGCATGATATTTTAGGTAGGCTTCTAATAATTCTTCGTTAAGGAGTTTCTCTTTTTAAATTTAGAAATAAGTATTTAATCTTTACAATGCTGTTTTTAGCATTTACCAAGATGAACACATGATTTTCTCCTTCAATCTGAGTTTATGTAATTAATTACATTATACATTTCCCAATGTTGAGGCATCCTGACGTTCTTAGAATAAATCCTACTGGGTCATGATGAATTGATTTTTAAAAATATTATAATGTTAGATTTAATTAGGTAATACATATTTATAATTTTAAAATTCATATTTGTAATTGAGACTTGCCAGAGATTTCTTCTTTTGTTTTCATGGTCTATTGTCCTCCAGCTTTGACATCAGGTTTATGCTAATCTTTAACAGACACTTAGCCTGCCAACTTGATGTAATCCACAGTAATGTCTCCCTGTAAGATTTCTGAAGAGATTGGTGTGAGGTAGATATTATTATCATCATTTTTTTTCAGATGTGGTAACTGAGGCACATTGAGAATTATAGTGTCTAACGTTTATGATATAAGTCAGTGACTAGCAAACTACTTCTTATTTATGAAAATACTACAATTATTCTTTTAATTTCTGGGGTTGAGAGGAGGGCAAAGAATTATTACTCCTGTGATCCTCTCCAGCTACTCAAACTAATATTGTTGTTTATTTCTGTTTCTCTCTGTTTTTACTAGGCTAGGAATTATCTGTGAATGTAGGACCACTGGATTTGCAGTCTTCATCTGACACTGTGGAGAGTTTCTAGGAATGAAACAGATATATGGCCTTGGGTCCCCTTTTTTTTTCTTTTTTTTTTTTTTAATAGAGACGAGCATCTCACTATGTTGCCTAGGGTAGTCTTGAACTCCTGGCCTCAAGCAATCCCCACCCGACTCCGCCTCTCGAAGTGATGGGATTACAGGCATAAACCACCACGCCTGGCCAGAAGGTGCTTTAACACCAAATCTGAAAATTGTTCAGAAGAGAAACATTGAGCATGAACACCATCTGTGCGAGTCATTTACTTATTGCCCCTCACCTCTAAATCTACCTTCTGTACTCTTCTTCCCTGTAATGATGGGGCTAGTTGTCCTCAAACTGTTTCTCAGACTTCTTTTTAAGCTTGCTTCCTGTTCAGTTCTGCCAATAGGGGTCACTAGAGAGAGACTGGGAGGCAGAAGGAGAGAATATGCTTCCTGTTTTTTCTGTTCTTGTTAATGTTGCTTACAGGACCAGCAATGCTTCTTCACCTAGAGACACTTCTCCCAGCAGTGGCAGTGCCACTTCAGCTTCTTTCAGCACTACTGGAATCAGCCTCAGTGATTCCCCCTGTACCCGCTCAGAGATTATCCACAGCAGCCAGATGGTTCTACCTTCCACAAAGATTGTGGTTGCAATTCTGGGCTTCTAAGTTCTGGTTACTTCATATTTTTCCTTTTGTTCCTCCAGCCCTAGAGGTGGTAGCTGCTTTCTGAAGTTATTATTTCTAGATGACTTTTGGTTTTTCAGCCTTTGTATTTTGCTTTTCAGCCCTCTAATGCCTGTATAACCAATTTCCCTGTAATAAATAAATTTCCTCCATTGAAATACCTAGTATGGCTTTTTTTTTGTTTGTTTTTCTGACTGGACTGACATAAAGAGGACTGCTCATTATATGCCAGCTCAGAACCACTTAATTATGAAAATAGTATATTCATTGTCTCCACTCCTCCAAAAATTCTGAGATTAATTTGTAGATGTCGCCGGCCTTGAATGAAATGCTTAGTTCCTTGCCAATGGAAAACAAGATTCTGGTAATCTATAACATAAGTAGGATCATGATTAATTAAAGTATCATCTATGGTTTCTTGGGAAAAAATACCTATTGAAGTAGTTGCCTTCAGGGATCAAGTGGCTGCTGCATTTTACCATTGTGGTAGTACAGATGACAACAAGGACTGTGAGTGGGATGACATCTATGCACTGGAAACCTTACAGGCAGAAAGTGACAAATTGAAGACTTTGAAGTCTAAGTTCAAGTCAAATTGAGACAGAGAACTTCTATAGCAACTTTGAAAAAAGTTTCTGATTTCTTATAGCTATAAGATCAACATTATTAAAAATATAACTAGGTGGGTTGCAGAATTAAAATGGAAATTAAATTTAGAGACTCATCAAGTCATTTATGTGACAATCAGGGCACTGGGAGCAAGCGGGATTCTAAGACTTGCGTTGGACTTGGATGAAGCTAAATGCCCAGGTCCCTCTGAATAAGCAGAAGCAGTCCCTCTTATAACAGAGAAGATTGCCAGGCGCGGTGGCTCACGCCTGTCATCTAGCACTTTGGGAGGCCGGGGAGGGCGGATCACCTGAGGTCGGGAGTTCAAGACCAGCCTGACCAACACGGAGAAACCTTGTCTCTACTAAAAAAATACAAAATTAACCAGACGTGGTGGTGCATGCCTGCAATCCCAGCTACTCAGGAGGCTGACGCAGGAGAATTGCTTGAACCCGGGAGGCTGAGGTTGCGGTGAGCCGAGATCACGCCATTGTACTCCAGGCTGGGCAACAAGAGCGAAACTCCGTCTCGGGAAAAAAAAAAAAAAAAAAAAAGGCTGGGTGTGGTGGCTCACGCCTGTAATCCCAGCACTTTGGGAGGCCGAGGCGGGTTGCGGTGAGCCGAGATTGCGCCATTGCACTCCAGCCTGGGCAACAAGAGCGAAACTCCGTCTCAAAAAACAAAAACAAAAACAACAGAGAAGATTGACCTTTCCTTCTTGAAAACTCTATAATCAATTCATCTGAAGCAGCTGCCTTACAAGGGATACTTATTATCCTCAAGACCCATCCCCATTGCTGATTATTTTTTAGTCTAGACCTAAACTTGAGTTAGATCTCAGCATACTCAAACAGAATGGAGATTCAGACCTGGGGATAAATTGCCTATACCTAAAAAAAAAAAAAAAAAAAAAAAAAAAAGCAGGATTTTGATAATTCATATAGAAAAAACCAAGAAAATATGTGTGAGAATAGTATACAAGGGTGTTAGGCTAAAAGGAACAGAATATAATTTTGTCTCAGGATTAACATATTGATATAAGAACATTTACCAGATAGTCTAGATTTAATGTTTTAGATAAAGCTAGAAATGGCTCTAATAGCTTTCTGGAATGACTAAATTTTTGCCTCATTGATGGCCTACATTCGATGAAGTTTGGTGCCATAACTTCTCTTGCATAATATTTGAAAGGACTCCAAAAGCTAAAGAGATAGGAATGTTGGAATAGATTTTCATATGAGACCAGTGTACCCATTTCTCTCTCCTACATCTTTCAAGAAGTCTCAGAGGAGATTTCCTTCCCTAAAGCAAAAAGAAAAACATTAGTGAGGAAGATACGAGGATCCTTGACAAGCTCTGTGGTGTGTGTTCTTTATAGCCCAGGAATGATCATGGAAGATACTGGCATTGAAATGGACATAATACCACCGTTTATTCACCTTAATAATATTTCTCTGCCCGCTTTTCTTTCATAAACACACGTGAAGTCCTATTCTTCTGGAGCAAGAGGAATTGCTAGAGGAAGTGAAAAGTGTTTGCATTTCAGATCTCTCTTATTTTTGCCATTGACTGCTGAAAAATTTTGTCTAGCTACTCTAGGGAGAGGTGGGAATTTCAAAGATTGCTGAAGATAATAGCAGACCTGGCCCAAGTGTTCTCAAATCCTAACTCTTAGTTACTAAAATGAAGATGAAAAATGAGGGCAGTTATACAAGAAACTAAGATAATGTGTTATCAGTTAGGACTGCCATTTTTCCAATTCTCCTAGGACCTGTAACTCTACCAATGACACCCTTTTAAAAATTTCAAATTAAGTCACCAGAATTGAGATAGAGAAAGTAATTTTATCACTCTTCAAAGAAACTACATTGGATTTTTCTGGAGAGCCAAGCCATTTCACTGATAATTTTAGTAGAATGATTTGCATGTTCTCAGAATTTTATTGAAACATTATTGATTTACTGAAGGGCCTTATCACTGACATAGTAATAATTTGTTTCCTTCACTGAAAATAAGAAGTCACTTTTAAAAGGAAAAGAAAATTTGTGATAGTCTGAAGGAGAATGTATCTTGTAGCAGATTCATATATATCTAAATTTAAAAAATTCAATACCAACTTGTCCATAAATGCACCAAACCTTGGTTAATACATAGAACTCTTGGTGATTAAATGCTTAACCATCATCATCTGTAAGAATCCAAATGCTTGTCCTGAGGCTTTGCCTGTGCCTTAAAATCCTACATATTAGTACTTTACCATCTTTACAGCTCAGGTCTTGTAAATCCTAGGGCGCTAGGGGAAGAAAGTACCTGCCAGGGTATACAAACTCATGGTATGTTTGCCTAAGGGTAGGGAGCCATAAAACTGGCAGCAGGCGATTTTCTTTTCTTTTTATTATAGGTCATGCATTTGATCTCCCTACTTTTCTCAAATTTGTATGGGGCCGGGCCAGCAGCTCTGCATTTGAGTGGGTTGTATGGGAATGCTTTCATTTTCTCTGCTAAACCTGCTCTCAAATTATCACTTTCTAGCATCTACTGATGGATCTTAGGGATGTTCATGTTTCCTAAGAAATTTAGCCCCATAAAAGGTATGAAGAGATTTACCCAAGTAGCAGATAAAGTTAAGGGATGTCACTTCCATGATGTGCAACTCTCCCACTAGGGTTGCAGCTGGGACACTATCAATATTCACTTTTCCACCCCTCCCATCTCCTTTTTACCCCTAGCCATGGCAAACATGGAATAAATACAGCACCGATTCTCCACATTTTTTATCTCAAGACCACTTTGCACGCTTAAAAATTGAAGATTCAAAGGGCTTTTGTTTGTGAGTTGCTGTATTAGAAATTGAAATGAGAGAAATTTTTAAGAATTGATACATCCTAAAACACAATAATAAACCTACTACATGTAAATATAAATAACATATTTTATGAAAAAGTACTGTTTTTCAACACAAGAAAATTAAAGAGTAGCACTGTTTTACATTTTTACAAATTTCCCTAATGACTGCTTAACAGAAAACAGTTGGATTCTCAGATCTGCTTCTGCAATGGGTCTATTGCAATATATGGCTTTGGTTGAAGTATATGAATAAAATCCAGCATTACACAGATATGTACTTGAAAAAAGGAGGAGTATTATAATAACTTTTTCAGATAAGTGGGGATAATCTTCTTTGATACTACACCAAAACTGGACAAGTCCTAGCTAGTTTCTTAAAGGATGGTTCCAATGTGGAATCTGAAACCACAGCAGTGAAAGTTATGTAGTCTATTATGTTAAAATCTAGTGCCCTATTTTGTACCTTGAAAATTTCTATTACCCATGCATGATTTTGTACCATGATGCACTGGCCATTTGGAAAATATTGGTTCATTGAATTATGCATATCTTTCAAATGTTGACACATTTCTTTGTACAGCATCAAAAACCACATTCATTAATATTACCACTGATTTCATTAAAAAAAGTCATAGTATTGTGATGATGTCAAGCTTATAGTGGCATATACAAGTTTCCCAAAATTCCAATTTTTGCTTGAAAGCTAGAATGTTATCATTGGATACAAATACTGCCAGTTGTTTTTCTTGCAGACTCACTTCATTCATTTTTGAGAAAATGTCTGACAGATAACCAAGTCTGAATTACTGTAGTTTGATGTCTTGTTCTTTCAAGAAAAAAATGGTGTTCCGTAAAAAAAGCAGCTAATTCAGCTTGCAGCTCAAACAATTAATTGTACAAGTGCTTTTTCTTGAGATAATCATTAGATTTTGGTATTCAATAGAAGTGCCTTATACATCCCATTTGGTCACACAGAATGTTAAAAGACCCAAAGGTTGAGATTTTGATGACATTAATAATTTTTACTGCTTCACCAGGGCATTCTTATGTGAAACAGTTTTTTTCCCCCTCCTGTGAGTACCTGGCGATAAAGAATATAATGACTATTAGTATCAGTTAAGTGTCTGCTTTGGTTTAAATGTTATTGTTTCCTCTAAAATTCATGTGTTGAAAACTTAATCCCTATGGCAACAGTATTGGGAGGTGTATGGATTAATGATGTTATAAAAGGGCTCACAGGAATGAGAGTGGCCTTCTCTCATTTCTGCTCTTCTGCCATGTGGGGACCTGGCCTTCCTCCCCTTCAAAGGACACAGCATTCACGTGCCATTTTGGAAGCAGAGAAACTGGGCCTTCACCTGCCAATGCCTTGATCAACTTTCAGAATTGTGAGATAATTAATTTCTGTTCCTTATAAATCATGTAGTCTCAGTTATTCTGTTATATTAGGTTGGTGCAATTACTTTTGCACCACAATTTTTTTTTGCATTATCTGCTGGGGGAACCAGCCCCCCAGTATTTCAACGTAGATTCTATTTTCCCTAAGTGTCGGCCGGTCTGAGAAATAAAGAGAAGGAGTACAAAGAGAGAAGTTTTACAGCTGGGCCTCTGGGGGTGCCATCACATATTGGTAGGACCGTGATGGCGACCCTGAGCTGCAAAACCAGCAAGTTTTTATTAGGATTTTAGAAGGAGAGTAGATGTACGAACAGGGAGTAGGTCACAAGGATCACATGCTTCAAAGGGCAATAAAAGATCACAAGGCAAGGGCAAAATTAGAATTACTGATGAGGGTCCATGTCCTCCTGTGCATGCATTGTCTTGATAAACATCTTAACAGGAAAGAGAGTTTGAGAGCAGACAACCGGTCTGACTAGAATTCACCAGGCTGGAATTTCCCAATCCTAGCAAGCCTGAGGGCACTGCGGGAGACCAGGGTGTATTTCAGTCCTTATCTCAACCACATAAGACAGACAATCCCAGAGCAGGCGTTCATAGACCTCCCCCCAGGAATGCATTCCTTCCCCAGGGCTATCAATTATTAATATTCCTTGCTGGGAAAAGAATTCAGCAATATTTCTCCTACTCACACATCCATCTATAGGCTTTCTGCGAGAAGAAAAATATGGCTGTGTTCTGCCCAACCCCGCAGGCAGTCAGGCCTTATGATTATCTCTTTTGTTCCCTGAAAATCACTGTTATTCTGTCCTTTTTCAGGGTGCACTGGTTTCATATTGTTCAAACACACGTTTTACAATCTGTACAGTTAATGCAATCATCACAGGGTCCTGAGGTGACATACATCCTCAGCTTACAAAGATGACGGGATTAAGAGATTAAAGACAAACATAAGAAATTATAAGAGTATTGATTGGGGAAGTGATAAATATCCATGAAATCTTCACAATTTATGTTCAGAGATTGCAGTAAAGACAGGCGTAAGAAATTATAAAAATATTAATTTTGGGAACTGATAAATGTCCATTAAATCTTCACAATTTTTGTTCTTCTGCCGCGGCTTCAGCTGGTCTCTCCATTCGGGGTGCCTGGCTTCCTGCAACAATTATCAAAACAAATGTCAATACAGTGAAAAAGGCAAATAACAGCTTAGTATTATTTTGAAAATAGTTTTTATCTCACAGGCCTCACACATTTAGAAGTACTGGTCTGTAGGTCTAGCATATGAGACAGTGACACAATTCTAAAATGTAAGTCTTTTAGTGTAATTCTCTTGAGCTTCCCCCAGCCTACTTTTTATGTTGTTGCTGTGCTAAGTCTGATTTTTTTTTTTATATAGGTCTTTTGGGGAAACCTATCTACTTACTTCCCTATTCTCTTCTGCCTGTGTTGAGTGCTCACCCTTGGCACTAACTGTCTTTTTGTCAGTTTGCTCCATTAATCAAATATTTATATTTAGACATATGTTAAAAATATACATCAAGAATTATATTTGTCCTGTCTGCTTCATATCTTCCAGAAATTCAACATTTATTTGGGGGTCATAGAATTCTTCCTGATTTTTTTAGTGTTGGTATTTTTTTTTCTTTTTATATCTTTATTATTTCAATGGCATTTTTGGAAAAAGTGGAAAAACTTTGATTCCATTTGTCATTTTTTTAAATCCAAAAGTATTTCTTCTATTTGGAAATAATGGGAATTTGGACTTTGCACTAGTTTGGATGGATCTTTCTCCCAACTAGTTGACTTGAATAGTGAGGTTTTAGGTACTTTATGACTTGGAGGTGCACTCTTCACCTCACTGTCAACTTTGGTTGTGCTGCTTCCTTCCAGAGTTCACATCAAGGGCAGGGAGGTTATACAAGCCAGAGACGTCATGGTGTATCAGTCTTTCTAGTTGGCTCAATCCCAGAGCAATGCTCTGTTTTTACTCTAAACAATCCCTCACTGAATTTGGCAGCAGGGATTGAGTCTGGTTTTTAAGGTCCTGTTTAAAAACTATCTATCCTTTTCAGCATGTTTTCATTACTTCTTTCATGTTTTCTGGTATGAAATTAAGATAAAAATTTCTTTTCACCAAGTTTGAAATCAAACAAATAAATGGAAATCTTTGTGGGAGAGCTATTGGAAGGATGGTTGTAGCATCAAAGGAGGCTATGTATCATTAACTGACTGACTAATGCAGAATTCAAGATAAGGTTATCATTCACAATGAGTTTTTTTTTTTATTGCAATTATTAGCAACATATCGAGGTCTTCAAGGCCAGGAAAGATTAGACTCTGTATTGTATTTATATTGGATACTTTTTACTTTAGTAGTGATAAAATTCACAAAGATTCTTTCGAAGGATTGAAATTTTCTACAATAAGTCTAAAATTCAGATGTCAGAGAGATTTTTCTTTTAGGAAGATTTTCAGAAAAGGCATATTAATTCAGTCCCTATTGATGGTGTCAGATCCACTTCTGGTGCTTTGATATAGTCTACAGACATTTTAAAAAGTTCTTATCCAGTACTAGAAACTAAATTACATTGAAGCAAAAGTTTTTCTTGAGCTGATAATGCTGTTCAGCTAAGAAAAAATTGGTGAGTTGAATACTTGTTGATTGAATCGGGTAAAATAGCTTTGAAGAATCTGACATTTCTAAATGGTTCTTAGTAGTTACAAATACAGTAAGAAGACGAGTCTTACTCACTTATAACCAACATGGTTGATAACAAGATATTATTGTTTGGCATCCATAGCAGTAACCATAGCACCATTTCTCAAAGCTTTTCTCTAAGAGGGCTGTGAAGTAGTAGATTGTTGTTCAGCAAATATTCATTCCTTCCGCTCTAACTCCTATAGTAGGGTTGTATTCTTCCTTTTCCTACTGATGTTGGACTTGGTTGTGTGACTTGCTTTGGCCAGTGGAATGTGGGTAGAAGTGATATCATATAAGATCTGAGCCTAGGCCTTAAGAGGAATTATGTACCTTCCCTCATTGCTCTATGAGCTTTTGTCCTCTGCCATGAGAAGAAAATGCCCCGGGGGCTGTGGCTCTTTCAGCCTGGCTATCCATAGTTTCTTCACAGAGCTGCAGCCTGAAGCAGCCTATTATTCTATCTGAAGACTTGTGAACATGAGAATAAATGCTTATTGCTGCATGACAGAGTTTTAGAATGGTTTGTTATTCAGCACAATCTGACTTGTATAGGGACACAGATCATTTCCTAGAACATCATCCAATAGTGGCTTTTAGGATATTAAGGTCGTAGGTACTATAATTACTAGATTGCTCAAAGAGGCAGAATTTTCAAAATTTTGCCAATCACTTCTTTGACACATTGATTGTTAAAGAGTGTGTTGTTTAATTTCCATATAGTTGTGCATTTTCAGATTTCCTTATGTCATTTATTTCTAGTTTCATTGCATTATTGTTGGGGAAGATTCTTTATATGATTTTGTAGAGGCAGAAGCAACTCCATTTTGGATGCTAATCTGCTATGTTGACTTCTGATTAACTCCAGTTCTGGGAATGCCTCTGAGATTTCTAGTTTATCTACTGTGAAGAGCACATACTTACCATAAACCCTGCCCTTAGGTCAAAACAACCTTGATGATGCATTTTTTAAATAGATATATGAAGCACATATACCCTTTCCCTGTGGTATATAAGCCCTGAGTCTGGGGGTTAATGGTGCAGGGATCTACTGTTTTGTGGCTGCCTGAGTCAGAGCTTCTGTTTGTAAGTCCCTTTTTAATGTTTCTTTCTGGCTAGGAGCAGTGGCTTATGCCTGTAATCCCAGCACTTTGGAAGCCAAGGCTGAAGGATTGCTTGAGGCCAGGAGTTTGAGACCAGCCTGGGCAACATAGCAAGACCCTGTTTCTACAAAAAATAACAAAAAATAGCTGGGTGTGGTGGTACGTGCCTGTAGTCCCAGCTACTCAGGAGTCTGAGGTGGGGGGATTGCTTGAGCCTAGGAGTTAGAGACTGAAATGAGCTATGTTCATGCCACGGCACTCTTGACTGGACAACAGAGCGAGACCTTGTGTTTATAAAACAAACAAACAAACAGTTTCTTTCTGAGAAACTGGATTTGCTAGACTCTTTCTTTGGCCTCTTGGCCTTTAGGGGTAGGTTTACATAGACCTACTCAGGGTGGAACAGATTTTAATCTTTTAAAATTTATTGAGACTTGTTTTGTGGCCTAGCACATAGTCTATACTAGAGAATGTTCCATGTGTACTTGAGAGAATGTGTACTCTGTTGTGGTTGGGTGGAGTGTTCTGTATATGTCTGTTAGGTCTAGTTGGCTTATAGTTTTGTTGGCAAGTCCTTCATTTGTTTCCCTGTTGATCTCTTAATAATTGTTCTATCCTTTATCAAAAGTGGGAGTATTGAAGTCTCTAACTGTTACTGTAGAACTGTCATTTCTGCCTTCAATTCTGTCAGTTTTGCTTTACATATTTTAGGGCTCTGTTATTACATATATATGTGTTTATAATTGTTATACCATCTTGATGGACTGATCCTTTTACCAATATATATAATAACTTTCTTTGTCTTTCTGTTCATATGTGCTTTCTAATATAAAGTGGTACATTGTGGATATTCAATCCATCTAATTGCCCACTAACATCTACTTTAAGCTTATCTTTTATGCAATAAATTCCTTAACATTTGCTGCACAAAAAGGTACGAATGAGATTGGTATTTAAAGGATGGAAAGAAGACTAGTATGGCTAACAGTGGTATCAAGGGGAGTCAGAGAAGTGGGCAAGGGCTTTGTAAAATAAGGTAAGAATGTGGATTTTATTGCCAATGATATAAATATTTAGTGGAGGATTTTAAGCATGAGATTTACAATTTAAGAAGATCACTCTGGGGACTGTTTTAAGAATGGGTCATAGACAGGTAGGGAAAGGGGTAAGGCTTTCTCTATAGTGCAGGCAAGAGATGTTGATGGCTTAGACCAGGGGGGCAAAAATGAAGATTAGGGAAGTGTAGGCTTTTAAGATATATTTTGTATATAGAGTGGATAGAACTTACTGATGAGTTTCTGTAGGGAATGGAACAGAGGACTCAGGGATGACTCTTGGTTTTTTTTGTTTGTTTGTTTTGTTTAGTTTTTTGGTTTTACCTTTGTAGTATTTCCTCAGACAAGAAGAGCATAACCGACAGTGGGTTCACCTTGTCTGCTGCCTAGACAGAGCCCATTTATCAAGACAGGGGAATTTCAATCGAGAAAGAGTAATTCATGCAGAGCTGACTGTGCAGGAGACCGGAGTTTTATTATTACTCAAATCGGTCTCCCCAAGGATCAGAGTTTTTAAGGACAGAGTTTTTAAGGATCAGAATTTTTAAGGACAACTTGGTGGGTGGGGGGAAACCAGTGAGCCAAGTGTGCTGATTGTTCAGGTCAGAAATCACAGGGAGTCAAAGCTGTCTTCTTGCACTGAGTCAGTTCCTGGGTAGGGACTACAAGATTAGATGAGCCAATTTATTGATCTGGGTGGTGCCAGCTGATCCATCATGTGCAGGGTCTGCAAAATATCTCAAGCAATGATCTTAGGAGCAGTTTAGGGAGGGTCAGAATCTTGTAGTCTCCAGCTGCATGACTCCTAAACCATAATTTCGAATCTTGTGGCTAATTTGTTAGTCCTACAAAGGCAGTCTAGTCCTCAGGGAAGAAGGAGGTTTGTTTTGGGAAAGGGCTGTTATCATCTCTGTTTTAAACTATAAACTAAGTTTCTCCCAAAGTTAGTTCAGCCTATGCCCAGAAATGAACAAGGACAGCTTAAAGGTTAGTAACAAGATGGAGTCAGCTAGGTTAGATCTCTTTCACTGTCTCAGTCATAATTTTGCAAAGATGGGTTCAAGAGGAGGAGTAGCAGGTCTGTTTGTTTGTTTGTTTGTTTGGCTAGTTCCTTGGTGGAGGAAAATAAATCAAGTGTTCTTTTTGTTTGTTTGTTTTTTAAGCCTGAGATACCTATTTTAGTTTAGACAACCTTTCAAGAAGGAAGGATTAGTTAGTTGGGTCAAATGTTATGAGACGTCAAGTAGGATGGAGACCAAGAAGTGACCACCACTTTGTCAATATTTGAAAAGATCAGTCTCTGGTATAAACAGACAGCCACAGAATGAGAGAAAATTTTTGCAAACTATGCATCTGGCAAAGATCTAATATCCAGCATCTATAAGGAACTTAAATTTACAAGAAAAAAATAACCTCATTAAAAAGTGGGCAAAAGACATGAACAGACACTTTTCAAAAGAAGACATACATGTGGCCAACAAGCATATGGAAAAAAGCTCAACATCACTGATCATTAGAGAAATGCAAATTGAAACAACAATGAGATACCATCTCACACCAGTCAGAATGGCTATTATTAAAAAGTCAAAAAATAACAGATGCTGGAGAGGTTGCAGAGAAAAAGGAACACCTATATGCTGTTGGTGGGAATGTAAATTAGTTCAACCATTGTGGAAGACAGTGTGGTAATTCCTCAAAGACCTAAAAACAGAAATACCGTTTGACCCAGCAATCCCATTACTGGTATATATCCAAAGGAATATAAGTACATGCATGTGTACATAAAAATACATGCATGTTTATGTTCATTGCAGCACTATTCACAATAGCAAAGACATAGAATCAACCTAAATGCCCACCAATGATAGACTGGATAAAGAAAATGTGGTACATATACACTGTGGAATACTATGTAGCCATAAAAAAGAATGAGATCGTGTCCTTTGCAGGAATATGGATGAAGCTGGAGGCTGTTATCCTTGGCAAACTAACGGGAACAGAAAACCAAATACTGCATGTTCTCACTTATAAGTGGGAGCTAAATGATGAGAACTCATAAACATATAGAAGGGAACAACAGACTTTAGGCCTACTTGAGGGTGGAGAGTGGGAGGAGGGAGAGGATCAGGAAGAATAACTATTGGGTACTAGGCTTAATACCTGGGTGATGAAATAATTTGTACAACAAACCCCTTTGATGGAAGTTTACCTATGTAACAAACCTGCACATATACCCCTGAACTTAAAAGTTAAATTAAAAAAAAGGAACAGTTTCTGGTAAGTGATGGGGGCAGAAACTTGATTGGAGTGGGCTGAGAAGAGATTGTGAGATGATGGGGTGGAGACGGTGTTCATATATAACTCTATCAAGAAGTTTTCCTGTGGTGGGTTTGAGTAGTTCATAATAGTTGAAGGAGATTGCAAGGTTTAAGGAAGTTCTCCTTTTTAAAATAAGATAGAACATAATCCCCTGGCCTCCACCAAATACCACTAGGGCTCCATGGTCACTGTGACATCAAAATGCATCATCATTCATTTCCAAATTTTCCTTGGAGAGGGAAATTGTGTTCCCCTCCACTTCCTCAACTACAACATGTTTGTGTAACAATGCAAATAATCTAGTAGAGAGAGAGAATGTGGAGAGAAATGGGACAATTGCAGGAGTGAAGACTGAGAATGCCAGAGGGGATGGAATTTAGATGGGACAGGGATATTTTTTCTATTGTGAAAGAAAGAAAGCAAAGCAAATATGTACTGAATGAGAAAAGAAGGTTGGTATTTTGTTGAGAAGATGAGGGAGGTCTGTTAATTGCTCTTTTTCAAAAAAATGAGTCAGGAGGGTAGATTATCTGCTGGGTATAGGGGCAAGTATTGGGGCAATGAATTTGAAGAAGGAGAAGAAGATGGGACCTACTCATTTTGAATGTGAATGCTAGGAAAGTGGTCTTGGATTGAAAGAAGCTTGAGCATCCATTTAAGATTTGATTGTGGTCTGTTGCCATCATTCAACCTAGCTCCATGAGTTCAGAAACCAGGTATCTTTCTCTTGTTGTACAATAGCATACCTATACCACCTGACATGGTATCTAGTGCCTTGTAGGTACTTGATAAATATTTATTCTATAATTTATTAATGCTTGGCTTCCTGTTGAAATTGCTTTCCTAGAAGACACCTATTCACCAACTTTACCAGGGTTCCATAGACTGTTAATGCTGGTCAGTTGTGCCTGAATTCCAAAGGGAAGAGGGGATAATGAGACATATCTTGTTCTCCCTACCCATCATGGCCTGACCTAGTTTTTCAGGATAACTTTGGAATGCCCTTGGTTGGGCATTCTACCAAGGAAGCAGGCAGGTTTGAGGGTAGTCCATTCAGTTTGGTGGGGAGCTTAGAATTTTATTTTTGGTTTATGAAACCCACATATTTTCTGAAGAATTCCAGCTGTATTATATATAATATATATGTATTGTAGAAAAAATAAGAAAAAACAGATAGAGCATCTTAATACGGAAAGTATCTTTCTCAGACACCATCTGGTAGATTAATTGCAGTCATTCACTTCCTCCTTCTTAGCAAGTGAATTATATTTCCTCTTTCCATTGACTCAGGGCTTGGCCATATGGCTTGCTTTGGCCAATGAAATGTTAGCAATATGACATATGCTATATCTGAGCAGAAGCTGTAGACATGATTGCCTGATTTGGCTTGGCCATTGATGTTTCTGTTCTCTGCCACGAGCTGAGCATGTTTTGGACCTTTCTGCCTGGGTCCTGGCATAAGAAGAAAGGTGGAGAGGACTCTGTCTAGCCCTAGCCCATAGCCTTATCCTCCATGTGGTGAGAAATACACATCTGTGCTTCTAAGCCACTGAAATTGTGCGGTTGTTTTTTGTTACTGAAGCAAGGGTGAATACATGTTCCTGCCTCCAAGAATTGACTGTCAAGCTCAATGCTTTCAGTCAACAACAGGGATGTCATACAAGGTGCCAGACCCTCCTCTTGTACCCATTGATCAGGGCATTCTTCCCTCTTGAACCCAAATATGACCTCAGAATCCTTTTGAATACAGGGCCCCAAGGAGCTACCGCCAATCAAGTGGATGTGGCTGGTGAGATGAAACCTGTCTGGCCTGATTCCACTACACTATTCTGTCTTCTAAGATTGATAACTTTTGCTTAGATGGGTCCTCCAAAGGAGGAATGTCCTTGGACATGCCAATCAGAACTGCCTGGCTCAGAAAACTCATTTATTATTTTATTATTTATAATATTTTATAACATTTTTAATGCTTACCATATTATTAGTGTCTTGGAATCAATAATAACTGTAATACTAATAGTGCTCAAATTCATGAAGATGTGACTTGCTCAAGGTCACACACTCTAGTCTGTTTGTGTCTTATGACCACAGTCTCTACATTATCCTTATGGGTCCCAGGTGTGGCTAAAGGATTCCACTGGCTACAGCCTTTGAATTTCTTTTTTCTCTGGGCCCCAAACTTCCTTATTTCCTAGATTCCAGAGGACTGAAGCATATGGATCCTTTAGATCCCTCTTCCACAAAGAGCTGAAATCCAAGTGTCTTTACAGGTGAAGAGAACTGCAAAGGAATTGTATTAGAAAGGAGTTATTAGTGGAGCCAGGAGAGGCACATGACTGGCTCAGGAGGCTTCTCCTTCTGGCAAAAGCATATTCCTGAATTTAACCAAAGCGGCATCAGAGGCTTTACTGAGAAAACTGATGAGGAAAGCCAGGTATCCTTAGCATGTTATTGAATGTCAACATGTCCATTAAAAAGGTACAGTGCAGGCTCTGTCAAAACATGGGGTTGGTGGACAAGGTAACTAAGATCCTCACTACTTCTGGGTAATGGAAAGAAATGCTGAGATTCACTTGGGTTGTGGTCCATAGTTTTACCTGCAAGGTGACTCATCCATGGGACAGTCAATCATTATAATCAGGGTTAATCATTTATAAAAAGAATTTTCTGCTGAGACAGAGCAGCTTCATGGGATATCAGGCCAGATGTTCTTCTAAGCATTTACAGCTCTGTGATGAGGTTGCTATTGCCCCATTTTATGTTTATTTTTCAACTGATGTCATGTTTTTCAAAGTGGTTATGATTTCAGCCTTGTCATTCCTGCCACTAGGCAGCTTCCAAATTGTTCATTCTTGGCAATGTTTAATGCCATGTCCCCTGTCTTGCTGTCAGGGGCAGCTCATCTGAGCTGCCAAGAGGGCCTGCTTTATTGCTCAGCCAGCCAAGGCCTAAGCTGCTTTATGACATTTCAAAGTGAATTGATGATAGAAATTTCAATTTGTTTCAGAAGAGAGTTATCAACAGACCTAGAGCTCAGAAAATGAGTGACCAGGTCTTTAAAAGGCGTTGATTTGAGTGTACATAGATGAAAGACACCCTGAATGCTGTTTCAGCATGTGTTTAGTCTCTGAAATTTATCCTTATTTATATGTAGTTACTGCTTCTGAAGAATGCTTGGGTAGCCTAATACTGCTGATTAGAATTCTTTCTTGTCTACTTTGATAAATGTGGTGATCATAGGTTGTTTTTGTCTGTCCCTTTGGGGGACTACCATACTTCCACTCTCAGTACCTGTGGTTTTGATGGAGCTAATTTCAGACCTTTGTCCCAGGGGTAGGCCTGCCCAGTGAGACACATGGATTTGTCTTAGGGATGGACATGTTAGCTGTATCGGTCAGGATCTTGGAAACAGATGACACTTTCAAAATCGGTTATCAAATAACCCTTCCATGGAGGTGTAGGTGGAGTGTGGGAAAACCGTAAAGGATAGTGCAGTTTCTGGGGCTGCTCACAGTAGGGCATAGTACTGCTTTTAGGTTGCAGAGGCAAAACTGGGAAGCCATTACTGGAACTCAAAGAGAGAAGATGTATGGAGAAGCTGCAGGCAGGACCTGTGACTATTGGCTGAGAGATATAGCCAGCTCATGTGGACCCTTGCAAGGGGTGCTGGGGGAAATTAACATCCTGACTTCATTCTTATCTCTTCCTCCAGCCTCCCACTGGTCTCACTATTGACAATACCCAAGGCAAGGCACAGAGGAAAGGAGCCATTGATATATCCAATCTCTCACCTACCGAGCTGGAAGAAGAGTAGAGAGTGGCCAACCTCCCAGCTACCAAGCTCAAAGAAGAGGAGAGAGTAGATTTGGAGGTCAAGCTGAGGATATCTGGCAAATGAGCCAATTTAGGCCAATTGAGAGTTAGTTCTGGGACTTTTAATGGAACAATCGGGCAATAAGTTCTTCTTTCTGCTGAAATTTCTGTGAAATAGGCCTGGTGGCCATCTCATCACCACCCTGAAAAGAGGGCCAAAAGATGGGGACAAATTCCTGTTGATATCATTTAAGCACTTGAACCCAGTTACACTTGAGGACTACCCCTAGAATTTTCAACTAGGGGCCAATAAATCCTACCTCTGCATTAGCTAGTCAGGTTTCTCTCACTTGCATCTGAAAGAGGCCTGACAAACAGTCTACACAGTTCTACACATTGCAAAACTCAGTTCATGGAGCCATTGAAATGATCTCCTGCCACATGCAGCAGTGGCTCTAACATACTCATTCCAGTAAATCTGAGTTTTCTTGGTGCCAGTCCCTGTGCTTTCGTAACCCTCTCCAGCTGTAGCCTCAGTTCCACCCTGTTCCTTTGTAGTCTTAACTAAGATAGCCAGGATGTCACTGGCCCAGAGGCATCATTGAGCAGCATCTGGAATTTTATGAATTCAGTGTGTTTTGAATACAATTTCTTTTCTTTTTTCTTTTTTTTTTTTTCAGATAGAGTCTTGCTCTATCACCCAGGCTGGAATGCAGTGGCACGATCTCGGCTCACTGCAACCTCCTCCTCCCAGGTTCAAGCGATTCTCCTGCCTCAGGCTCCCGAGTAGCTGGGACTATAGGCGTGTGCCACCACAGCCAGCTAATTTTTGTAATTTTTTTTAGTAGAGACAGGGTTCCACCATGTTGGCCAGGATGGTCTTGATCTCTTGACCTCATGATCCGCCCACCTCAGCCTCCCAAAGTGCTGGGATTACAGGCGTGAGCCACCTCGCCTGGCCGAGAGACAATAATTTCAAACATGCAGGGAAATAATGAAGGTCCCCTTTAGTAGAAAAAAAAAAGGCTGGAATTAATATAGACTGAGGTTTGGTGGTTTAATTGAAATATTGAAATATGTGCAAAGCTGGTAGATGTTGGGCCAAATCAAATAATTCCATGAGAGAATTATTTTAACATAAGGATAGGCCTAGTCCGTGGACTCAGGTTGAGTAATAACTTTTCTGAAAGATACTTAGCATCAAAGGACATTTGGTAAGTCCTTGGTTAGCATCTTTGATAGGTGACAGGTCTTTTATTTACAGAGAGCCCTCTTCTTGGAGTGAGTGAGTGTGTGTGTGTGTGTGTGTGATTGTATGTATGTGTATGTATAAAACAAAGTCATCTTTAAATTATGCTTTTCACCAGCAGGAAATAAAAGGAAAGAGTTTGTAGGCTGAGGGCCAGGAATGTCCCATCCCCTTCAGGGTAGTCCTGCAGATGGACCTTCCCCCTAGGCTCATGTGTCTTACCTTCCCTCCTTTCATACAGGGCAAAGAGTGAAAATCCCTATCTGCGTGCACATGGGGCTGAGAGTGGGGAAGGGCTGAAGCACAGCATGGCAGAGCAGAAAGAGCACACCCTTGAACCAGACTAGGTTTCCAGCCTCTTCTATTCATGATCTGTGAGGCCTTCGCTTAATCTCCCCAGGTTCCCGTTTCCTCCTTTGTAAAATGGGGATACTAATATCTTCCTTAGGGCACTATTGTGAGGATTAAATGAGATCGAGTGAACAAAGCTTCTGAAGTCCTGCTGGGTGAACGTCTTCATAAGAGGCCAAGACAATAACAATGATGACAAATCTGGGCAGGTCAGATCAGCAGCACATCCAAGGTTCACTTCGAAGCCTGTAGGACGATGCCTGGCGCTCAATAGCAAATGTTAGTTCCCGTCTCCTTCTTCCTGCTTTCCCCGGGAGTGTTTAGTCCCTCAAATAGAATCCTCTGCTGACTGCATCTCAGGGATGCATGACATAATGGGAACAATGAGAGCTTCGGAAAGCCATAGTTTGCTTTTTTGGCCCAATAACCCCATCTCTGAGAATTAGCCTAAGAAATCACCTGAAAGAAAAAAAATGTCATTTCTGCTAAGAGTTTACTACAGAATCATTTGTAATAGCAAAAAAACCCTACCATTATTCAATAATGATGTCAGTTCAATTATAGTAATTCAACTAAATGAGTTATTCTACAGTCATTGAAGTGATACTTTCAAAGGCTATACAGCAACATGGAAACTGTTTATGATTTAATGTTAAGTCAAAAGATACAGGGCAGGGTATGGTGGCTCACTCCTGTAATTCCAGGACTTTGAAAGACCAAGATGAGAGGATTGCCTGAGGCCAGGAATTTGAGCCTAGCCTGGGCAACATAGCAAGACCCCATCTCTACAAAAAAATTTAAAAATTAGCTGAGCGTGATGGTGCATGCCTGTAGTCCTAGCTATTCAGGAGGCTGGGTGACAGGATCACTTGACAGGAGTTTGAGGCTGCAGTGAGCAATGACCTTTGAGAGGGCCACTGCACTCCAGCTTGGGTGACACAGTGAGAACCTGTTTCTAAAAAAAAGAGATACATACAGAATTGTGCCTGTACTATGTCATACTATGATACAGGCCTGTATCCATAGGAGGGGCACTACTGGGAGTTTCTGTCCCCTGGGTGGTTTATTTTTGTCATCTTTACACACTGGGTTTGCGTGTTCAGATAGGGAAATTCTCTAACCTTTTACAACTTAGTTTATTTTTTGACCAGATATGAATATTTATTATGCATAAACCTTACAAGGCCAGGAGAGAGAGCACAAGAAAAAAAAGTAAAAACAGTTTGATTCTTTAAAGTAGCAAATATTGTGATGAATTTCAACAATGCATTTCAACTCCTGTTGATGGAACTTATGCAATAAATATTAATGATAATTTAAATTAGAATTATAAAATGATCCTTCTGTCTCTATTTCACTTTGCTTAGGAAAAACGAATTATTGGATGTAAGGTATTTAGAGTAAGGCCTCACATACAGTGAAAAATCAATAAATGAGAGCTTGTGCATCACGGCACTTATTACATGGAGGCACCATTTTTACACTAATTAATGCGTATATGGCTCACAGCAATGCAGTGGGGTGGGGACCATTAGTTTTCCAACCTCAGAGATGAGGAAACACTATAGAGAAGTTCCATCACATGTCTAGGGTCTCATCACTAGCAAGAGGCAGAGCTGGAATTCCCCTGTGGACCAGGCACCAGAGTCTTGGTCCTCACCATTTCACCATGGGGCATTCTCATTAAGCAAAGCTACTATCTTTAGGGCTTCTGGGAAAGAAAACCAAGTGAGTCCCTGAGCTTTTAGGGGAAGATGGTTTTTGAGTGCCTTGGCCCCCAGGGAAGGGAGTGATGAGGGCTGGAGAGGAGGAGGAGGGGAGCAGGCCCTTGTTTCTGCTCCTTCTGGAGTGGAGGGAATGGAGACATCAGGCATGGGGAGCCTTGGGAGGACTTATTTGTTTGCTGGTGCAGGGGCTAGGGGTAGAACATCCTCGACAGACATGTTGCTAAAGTCACACATGGAGTCAGGCGGACAAGGAAGAGAATGTGAGCCATGTGGGACCAGAGGGCTGCCTCTGCTCTTCAGCTGCTCTGAGCTCTGAGGTTTTAGAACTGAATGCTTGTCTGCGCTATTTGGAGCAGCATCCTCCTCCCTACACACAACTGAGAGTCCTCAAGTGCCTTGACTTGTGCTGTCTCCAGGGACAGAAAGATTCCCAGGTAGCTGTGAGACTCCCCACAGGCTCTGAGCCCCATCAGGGCTCCATTTGAGGCAGTGTTGCCTCCCTCCCTTCAGAAGCCTGAGAGCCTCCTCCACTCTGACCTCAATGAGATAGGGAGGGGGGTGGGTTGGTGTAACTGGGGCAAGACCAGCATGAAATCAGAAACTGAGTTCGGGACAGAGCTGTCCCAGGTGAGTGAGGGACTCCGAGGATCAGGACCTAAGTTGAGGCCAATGCCCGGGTGCATGACCAGGGAAGTCCAGGTGCTGGAATTGAAAGACAACGCAAGGCTGAAGGTGAGAAGCCAGGCAGGGACCCCAGGAACAAATCCCTCACCCTCCGCCTCTTCTGGGAGTGATCTCAGGGGAGGGGGTCTTCAGGGTCTGGGCCTGAATCATGGGGTACTCACCTGAGACCAGGGGTGACGCTGGCATGGCAGAAGCAAGTTGAGTCAGAAACATGTGACAGCTGTGGTCTAAAAAGGGAAGCCTAAAGGGTCACCAAAGTGAAGGGACCAAAGGGGCTATGGCAGCTGGGAACCGGAGCCAGAAATCTGAGAACCAGGGAGGTGAGTGCAAAAATAGTAGGTCCAGGGTGAACAGGGTTGGTTTAGAACATGTGTTGCCTGTGGCTCACTCTGGTGGGCCAGCTGGGCGTGGTGGGAGTGTGGATCTGCTAAATTTAAAGGGCCAGAACAGACACCACTGTGCAGGAGACTGTGCATGTGTTTTAGCCTGGGAACCTCTTATGATAGCTCAGGCTGAGTCCAAGAAGGTCTAAGCATGGTTTGCCCTGAACCTGGAGCTGGGAAAGCAGACCAAGTCTAAATGGGAGGGGCAGGCAGTGTTGGAGATAAGGACAAGCCGTGATGGGTGCTTGGGTGGAGGGACAAGTCTGGGCGCTGGGCCCTGGGCACCGTGGGGCTTACATGCTCAGGCCTGCAGGAGTGAGTGAATAGTGCTGGGGGAGACAGAGGCAGATGAGTCACAATCCCAGATGTGAGCAGATGCTCTGGGCAGATTTGGGCTGCTTGTCAGCAAATTTGACCACAGCCTGGATGGGCTGTCAGGCTCAGGCCACCGGCCCCACTCCCAGCACAGAGAAAGCCTAAGAACGCACTCCTCTGTGAGCGATCACTCTTTGAAATGTTTCATAGCCCTATATGGAACCACATCTGGGAGAGTAAATGTATTTTCTGAGCCAGGCTTTACAAGTTGATTTTATGACGCATCTAGGCAGAAGATGAAACGCCCCAGTCATTAACTCACTTCCCCTTGTGGGTGAATTCCACAATACGTTTTTCATCTGAGCTGTGGAACAAGTTTCTCTAGCACACACAGACCTGTCTGTCAGTGGACATTTGGCTGCTCAGATAAATCCTTCGCTCTTCAGAGGCTGTCCCTGGTTCACCCCTCAGGCCACGTGCTCTCTCTTGCAGGCAACTTTGCTGGCTCTTCCTGGAACAGGCCAAAACACAGGGATGAAGTTCTGTGGATAAGGCTGCCTGTGTCAGAGGGGCCTTGAGCACACATTCGGATTCTTAACCACCAGCTTACCAGATAGCTTGCTGTGTCCGTGTGTGTGTGTGTGTGTGTGTGTGTGTGTGTGTGTCCTTTAAAATTCTAGCTTAATGGCCACATGTTTTAGGCCACTTCTGTCCTCCTAAAATAGGGCTCTGAGCACGTCTCCAAAGGAGGGCCCCTGAAGCACAAGCAGTGGGCCGGCTGCCAGGGCTGGCAGAATGAGACACAGTACTTGAAATAAATGCAGGGTGTTTGCTTACAGATTCTTTACCACATCATGGATGAGTCAGATGACTTCTCACCCCAGATTCTGTTTTTACCCTTTTTCCTACTCAGAGCTAGGGGTGGGAGGATTGTGTAAAGTTTAAAATATATCCCCAAATTATATACTTCTGTCTTTTGAGTTTTAACATACAATAGGGATCCTTTCATTCTTCGACGCGGTCGAGAATTATGTTTAACTTTTCCTGTTTCATTCTGTTTTAATTCATACCTGGTTGTGGAAAGAGCAGTGGGTTGGAAGTTGAGAGACCTAGGATCAAGTCTCTGCTAGTTAGTAGCTCTGGGATTTGGGGCAAGTCAGTCCACCTGTCTGAGCTGCGGTTTCCTTACTGACAACATGGACTGTCAGTTCCCCGTGGAGGCTATGAGCTTGCACTGGGAAGGAACAGCTTTCCCCATTCAGTGGCCCTGGTTTTCTGAGCCCCTGCCCTTCACTTGGGGTTGCTTGTCATGACAGCAAGTTAGATCACTCATGGAAGTGTTTTGAAAACTAACATGCTACATTCTTGTGAGGGATAATTATTACTATGTGCCATGCCAAAAACAAAACAAAAAAAATCCTTTTCTTTTCTTCAGCCTTCTTCACACTCAACTTAGCCTCATCTGTGGCTAGAGCTTCTTCAGTATTCCAGGCAAATCCCTTCTCTCTGGCTTTCTGAGGCTGACCTAACCCCCAACTCCACTCATAACACCTCTGCGTCTGCTTCTGCTACTTCTTTTTTTTTTTTTTCAGGGTCGTCCGTATGTTCTTTTATTATTTATTTATTCATTTCATAGTAGTAACATATAAGAATATAAAACTTAGCATTAAAACATTACAAATTTTTTTATTTCAAAATACTTTTAAAAATTGTATTTTTAAAATTGACACATAATTGTACATATTTATGGGGTACATAGTGATGTTTTGATACATATAATATATAGTGATCAGATCAGGGTAACTGGCATAGACTTCCACCTCAAACATTTATCATTTCTTTGTGTTGGGAACATTCAATATCCTTCTAGCTATTTGAGTCTCTCTCTTATTGTGAACTATAGTCCTTCTACAATGCTATAGAACACTACAACATATTCCTCCTATCTAGCTGTCATTCTGTATCTTTAACAAATTTTCCCCTGCCCCTCTCCACACTACCCTTCCCAGCTTCTAGTATCCTCTGTTCTACTTTTTACTTCTTCTTTTTTTTTTTTTTTTTTTTTTTTGAGGCAGAATCTCCCTCTGTCACCCAGGCTGGAGTGCAGTGGCAGGATCTCGGCTCACTGCAAGCTCCGCCTCCCAGGTTCACGCCATTCTCCTGCCTCAGCCTCCTGAGTAGCTGGGACTACAGGCGCCCGCCACTACACCCGGCTAATATTGTTCTTGTATTTTTAGTAGAGACGGGGTTTCACCGTGTTAGCCAGGATGGTCAGGATGGTCTCTATCTCCTGACCTCGTGATCCACCCACCTTGGCCTCCCAACGTGCTGGGATTACAGGTGTGAGCCACTGTGCCCGGCCTGCTTTTTACTTCTAATATCAACTTTCTTTTTTTCTTTTTTTTTTAGCTTCCACATATGAGTGAGAATATGTGGTATTGAACTTTCTCTTCCTGGCTTATTTCACTTAACATAATGTCCTCCACTTCCATCCATGTTGCTGCGAATGACAGGAATTCATTCTTTTTATGGCTGAGTAGTATTCCACTGTGTATATGTGCCACCATTCAAAAATCCGTTCATCTGTTATTGGACACCTAGATTGATTTCATATCTCGGCTAATGTGAGTGGTGCTGCTAGAAACATGGGGGTGCAGATGTCTCTTTAATATACTGATTTCCCTTCCTTTGGTTACATGCCAAGTAGTGTGACCACTGGATCATATTTAACCATTTTTAAGTGTATACTTTAGTGGCATTAAGTACATTTACGCTGTTGTGCAATTATCACCGCTATCCATCTCCAGAACATGTTCATCTTGCAAAACTGAAATTCTATCCATTAAACAACAACTCCCCATTTCCTCCTTCCTCCAGCCCTTGGCAACCACCATTCTATTTTCTGTCTCTAAGAATTTAACCACTTTAGGTACATCGTATAAGTGGAACCATACAACGTTTGTCCCTTTGTGTCTGGCCCATTTCACTTAGCACAGTGTCTCCAAGGATCATTCATGCCTGCTTCTTTTCAGAGAAAGTCTTCAGAAACTTTCCAACAGTAGATAGAAAAAATGATATTGTATCTCAGAAACTACTATAAAGGGGGAAGCTGAGTGGATACATACACTTCTTTGTTTTAGATGCTGCTTATAGCTGTAAAGTAACTTCCTTAAATAAAAAATAAAATGTATTGTGTATCTGTATCTGGGGAATCAGACGAGATCGGGCGTGTTCAGGGTGGTATGACTGTAGAGGTCTCGGCCGGGCAGGAGCTGAGTGAGACTTTATCTGATATGCAGATTTGGGCAACACCCTTCCTCCCATGCATTTAGCTGGTCCAGCAGGACCAATGCCCATCCATGCTTCAAAATTTTCTTAGCCATATATCTGATGATTTACTTAAGACCAAAGAAGTCCTGAGCAAGAACGCTTAAGAAGCTGATAGTAGCCAGGCGAAGTGGCTCACGCCTGTAATTGCAACACCTTGGGAGGTTGAGACGGGTGGATCACGAGGTCAGGAGTTTGAGATCAGCCTGGCCAACATGGTGAAACCCTGTCTGTACTAAAAACACAAAAATTAGCTGGGTGTGGTGGAGCACACCTGTAATCCTAGTTACTCGGGAGGCTGAGGCAGAAGAATTGCTTGAACCAGGGAGGCAGAGGTTGCAGTGAGCTGAGATTGTGCCACTGTACTCCAGCCTGGGCAACAGAGCTTGCTCTGTCTCAGAAAAAAAAAGAAAGAAGAAGAAGCTGATAGTTCGGGGGGTCTGACAGAACCAGGTTTCAGGAAGGTGATTTGGCTCCTTGAGGGAAAAGTCACTGAAAGGGAGAAAGTAGGCTGGCATGGTGGTCCAGACCTGGTAGTGGGGCCTGGGCACCAAAGAGGAGTGGCATCAAGACCCCCGAGCACCCTGGAAGCAAGGGCCGGGTGTAAAAATTCGAACACCTGTTTAAGTAAACTCTGTGATGGTTTGGGGCCCAAAGGAAAGGAAGGGGAAGAGGGAAGGGAAATTATAGCAGGACTCCTGCTATGGCTTATGAAAAGTCAAACATTCTTCTCTTCCCGTTGGCAGTGACTGGGGAGCTGAGTAACTCCGTCATGAACATCAGTGGTTCAGTCATTGGTGTTGCGAAGAGGGTCTCCATCCAGCTCAGCAGAGGCAGTGCAGTGACAGTGGTGGGCTTCTACATCACAGTGATGGTGTATAGCAGCAGGACCCCCAGATCTCAGGCTAGCAGAAGGTTCGTTAGCAGCTCTGGTTTGTACGGATAGAGGCCAGCAGCATGGGGGGGCCTGAGCTGATTTGGGTTCATAGGTAAGGTCCCACTCAGGGACTCCTGGAAGGTCTTGGGGAGGAACTTCGTCAGAGACTGTAATTCTTTTTTTTTTTTTTTTTTTGAGACGGAGTCTTGATCTGTCACCCAGGCTGGAGTGCAGTGGCGCGATCTCGGCTCACTGCAAGCTCCGCCTCCCGGGTTCACGCCATTCTCCTGCCTCAGCCCCCCGACTAGCTGGAACTACAGGCGCCCGCCACCACGTCCGGCTAATTTTTTGTATTTTTAGTAGAGACGGGGTTTCACCGTGGTCTCGATCTCCTGACATCGTGATCCGCCCCCTCGGCCTCCCAAAGTGCTGGGATTACAAGCGTGAGCCACCGCACCCGGCCAGAGACTGTAATTCTTGCCTGACTGGATGGGGTGCTAAGCCAATGAGATTCAGATGATAATGTGAACACAAGCCTAATTGTACCTATTGGCTGGTGAAGGGCAGCAACCTTTGGGTTAGGTATGTTTTGATTTGATAATAACAAAATTATTATGCAGTTTATTCTCACAATGATCAATTCATTAATCTCATTTAATTTATAATGTTTGCTCCAAGCAGAGCTACTAATTGCCAATATGTAGGAACGATAGACCTCTTACTTTTGGCTAGATGATGACACTCATGAGGGACTTTGAGAATAGATGAAACCGTCATTATTACAGTCTGTTTTTTTGGACTTGGTCACATTTTCAGAAAATAAAAAGACATTGAGAAAAGAGGAGGCAAGGGAGCCTTGAAATTGATGAAATATGACTTATCTGTGTGGAAGTTTGTCTAATCAACGTCTACTTTAGAGTGGCTGCACTCTCAGTGGTTTCTGCTTCTTCCAGAGCTTCTTTTATTGTTGTCCCAGACTTTTGGGAACCAAAGAGGAGTTTGCTTGGAAGTGACAAGTTTCTTGAGCCACTTCTATGCTAGTTTTCTTCAGAAAGGTGTTTATTTCTATATGTCATGTGACTGGGTCTTAACTACTATTGACTCTAGGAAAATTCTCAAAGTGGTTTCATTTGGTTTTATCCAAGTACAGGCAGTGGAGGGTAGGATGCTAGGTAGGTCCCCATCCTTCCTTTGGTGGGACTTACAAGTGTCTCAAGCCATCAAAATCTGGGTTTTTCTCATAGCATGGATCTCTTGGGCTAAGAAAATTTTGAAGCATGGATGGGCATTGGTCCTGCTGGACCATATATGGCTACCCAGAGGCAGCTGTTGGTGGGATGTCCTCACTCGGGGACAATGAGCAAAGGACTCATCAGCCCAGGTAGTAAGTGTTGGTTGAATTCTGGGCACTGGATGTTCTCTCATGTGGTACCCTGGCGCTGCCTACTGACCATGCTCACCTGGGCCCAGGTGGGGCAATCTCTTGAATCTGACTCTCATCGTCACATGCCACTCTAGTCCTGGAGGCTCTACTGACTTCCCTCCTCATGCCCCTGCTCTGTCACTCATGGCAACTCCAATACTCACCTTTGAGATTACTTTTGATCTTCATCTCTTCTCTTTTGAAGCTATTTTTAATTTTTATTTTATTATTATTTAATATTTTAATTTGAGATGGGGTCTTGCTCTGTCACCTAGCCTGAAGTGCAGTGGTGCAATCATAATTCACTATCGCCTTGAGCCTGGGCTTAAGTGGTCCCCCTGCCTCAGGCTCCTGAATAGCTGGGACTACAGGCACATGCCACCAAGCTTGGCTTCAAGCTATTTTAAAAACTATGTATTATAAACATCTTCAAGAATACAGAAAAATGGAAAGAACAGAACCATGGCACTCATATTCACTTAATCTTGATTAAACAATTGTTAACATTTTGTCATGTTTACTTTAATAGAATATATATGAACCACTTCAAAGTAATTGTAAACTTTTCATTAATAAACACTTCAGTATTCAACATGCATCTCTTAGGAATACAACATTCTTTTACATAATGACAATACTATTATCACACCTAAGAAAATTAATAGTAATTGGCTAACATCATCTAATTTAAATTGTATATTCATATTTCCCCAATTGTCCCCCACATGAATTTTTAAATTGGTACTTTAGAACCAGAATTTAATCAGAGTTCATGCATTGCATTTAGTAGTATGATTTTTACTCTCTTTTATTCTAAAACAATCCCATTTGTGTTTTTAAAAATTATATCATCAGGAGTCAGGGCAGTTGTAATGCAGAATGTCTCACCTTCTGATTTGTCTGACCATTTCTTTGTGGTATCATTTAACTTCAAAAATACATATGTAGCCCTTGTATGCTCTGGAAACTGGAAATTGATTGTAAAAGCTTGACTAGATTTGCTTAATAATTTTAGTGGAGGATGCTCATTTTTTTAAATGAACAAATGTCCTGCCTTAGTCCCTTCAGGGTTTGCCTTTTGAATTTCAGTATGTTCTCTTTCTCCTCTTTTCTCTCAAAAAAGCTTATTTGGAAAATTGCTTTTTTTTTTTCCCCACAGCTATTACTACTGAACTATTTCACAAACCCATTTTGAAAGTCAAAAACCGAGCACTGAGTCTTTCTCTGTAATCCAGCTACACCAACCCTAATCTTCTCTGAGGTGATGCACAGCTGTCACTGGGGAGAAATGGAATGCCAGGAAATGCACAAAGGAAAAGCATCCTGACAAATGTTTTCAGCCTTATGCGCCACACCACTAAAGAACATTGCCACCTGCTGTAGGATATGAAGCTTCTGAAGCACATGAGAAGTAAGAGGAAACAATGGTCATGCCCCCAAAGGTCTTGCTCCACAGAACTGGAGGGACACGTTCTGAAGAATCCCAGATTGCATTCCAGATGCACCCCATGGAAACATGGGACTTTGGTCCTTTTCCAACACCAGGTCACAAGGAGAAAGCTCATTTTGCAGCTACTCACAGTTACTAGCAGGGCCATCATCCTTAACATTTTTCTGTTGACTCAGATCTCAGTGATTTGTAGAAGGATAAATTATCTAAGTATGAATTTCCTCTTAATTCTGAATAGAATCTTATAATAGCCTCTATCCTGTTACGACGTTCCCAGTAGTCTTATGAATTCAGTAGGGAATAAACCAGCTGTTTCCATTTCATGGGGAGGGCGGGAGGAACAATCTTGGACTTTTTCTTTTTTTCAACCAATGTTTATTGAACCCTTATTGTGAACCAGGAGCTGTATTAGGCTCTGAGAATACACAGTTAGCCTGAACCTACATGATGCTTATACTAGGGAAGAAGACACATAAACAGATACTTTTATTATAAAATGGTAGAAATAATTACTAGGTGTCAAAGGTTCAAAGTTGAAGGGTATCACTCAGCCTTCCTGGAGGAGCTGAGACTTGAATTAAGACTTGAAGGATGGGCCAGATGCCAAGTGGGGAGAAGAGCTCTGTTGATCTGTTCATTGTGGTATCCCTACCACCCCACCACATGGTCTAGTACATGGAAGACATTTAATACAGTGAATTTGCGAAAGAAATCTCAGCAGAGGAAATGTTATAAGCACAAACAAGGCACGGGAAACTAGAAATGATTTGGATTTACGAGAAGATTAATCCTTATAGGATCATAGATTTCTCTGAAAAACTAATAGAAGCTATGGTCCGTCTTCCTACCAAAATTAACATACACTCAACATTTAACAGGTAATTTTAGGGGGATACAGATATGCCTGAAACTTGTACACACTGAGAAATCTCTGTTATAGGGAATTGGGAGCATTGAGGTTTTTAAAAACATCTTTATTTTATTTATTATAAAGTAGGGGAATGACATAACTTAGAGTTACTTTGGATGCATAGTGAAGGATGGGCTTAAGGAAGATAAGACTAGATGTGGCAGTTCACTTAAGAGGTTGCTGAAATAATTCTGGGTGAGTTAGCCAGAACTAGGAGTGAAGACACGGGCATGGAGAAGAGTAGTGGGGTGAAGAATACTTTAAGCGGTAAAACTGGCCTTGCTGGTGTTTGGTTGGATTTGAGAGCAAGGAATGGGAAGGAGCTAAGGTTGACTTTCAGGTTTTTTGAAGGACAGGGCAGATGGTGGTGCTAGTAATTGAGATAGGAAATGCAGGAAAAGAGGTTTGGGTCAGGAATGGGCTGATGGAGAGTCTGGGGACGGGAGAAATGAGGAGTTTGGGTTTGGCCATGTTGAGATCACTTGAGGCGACCAGGTAATGACAGATACGAGCGAAGTGGAAGGATAATGGGGAGATGCTGTAAACTTTAAGGAGCAAAGGATTATGGGAGAGTGGAGTGGGGGTCCAGCATATGTTTTCACTTAATTGGGCAGTGAGGAGGACTGGTGGCCACTGAGTCTGAGGAATGTGGGGAGTAAGATCATAAGGCAGCTCCTCAAACAAGGGTTGGCGGAGGGCCAGTGTCTTCAGGAGCTATGTTAATTTCCCAGGGCTGCCACAACCAAGCACCACAAACTGGGTGACTTAAAACAACTGGAATTTATTGTCTCACAGTTCTTGGGGCTAGAAGTCAGAAATCAGAGTGAAGCAGGAGAAGAAGGTCTGAAGGCAGGGAACCTGAGGCCATTTCATGCAGACTTCCTAGAACTAAATTCATGCAGACTTCCTAGAACTTTCCATGCCTAAGTAACAAAAGGACCAGAGGCTATTCCCTTTGCAAACCCCCACCTTTTCTGTGTGGCAGATGGGAAATCTAAAGTACCTCAATTTGCATACGAGTGTAACTTTGTTTGCTTTGGAGTGTAACTTTGTAACTTCACTCCAGCCTCTGATTGGTTGCTGTCCACAACCAATCAAAATGATTGCAGGCCGAGTCTTCGTTTGCATAGAAGTGCGGCTTTGTAACTTCACTTCAGTCTCTGATTGTGGGCCACCACTTCATTTACATGAGGTGAGCACCAAGTGGCCAATGGGAAACCTCTAGGGGGTATTTGGATCAGAGAAGATTCTGTATCCGGGCCCATGAGCCTGCTGGTGCCGCTCCCACGCTGTGGAGTATACTTTAACTTTCAATAAATCCTTGCTTTCATTCTTTCATTGCTTCATTCTTTTCTTGCTTTGCTGTGAGTTTTGTCCGATTCTTTGTTCAAAATGCCAAGAACCTGGACAACTTGCAGTCAAGACCCTCTACCGATAACAAAGGTGCTGGCAGGATCATGCTTCCTGTGAAATTTAGCGAAATCCTTCTGCCTCTTCCTAGCTTCTGGTGGTTTGCTGGCAATCTTTAGTGTTCTTTGGCTTGTGGAAGCATCACCTTACTCTCGGCCTGTGTTATTGCATGGCGTTCTCCCTGGGTCTGTTTTCTCATGTGGCCCTCTTATAAGGACCCCAGTCTTATTGGATTACAGACCCATGCTGCTCCAGTATCACCTCATCTTAATTAATTACATCAGCAACGGCCCTATTTCCAAATAAGGTCACATTCTAAGGTACTGGAGTCAGGACTTCAACATACGTTTTAGCAGGGGATAAGTTCTACCCATAGCAGGGAAGTTACTATTTCTAGTTCAAGGAGAAAACAGAGGGAACATTCTTCACAGATTGAGGGGGCAGGGGGAGTTAGGTTCCGAAAGGCTCAAGTGAAATGGTTGGGGGTACTGGGGGGGGATGGTGGTGGGGTTTCTGATCAGAGGAGAGGTGAGAGGAAGAGCTAACCGACATTCTGGGTGATAAGACTGGTGCAAATGTGAGTCATGGGGTGTTGGCACGAGGAACTCACTGCAGCTCTGGTTTGAGGGCAGTCTGGGTGGACTGGCCCTGTGGTGGGGTGAGAACACACTCTGCCTCAGGGGACTCTGGGTAGAGGAGCATCCCATGAAATGCATCAGACTGCTGTTGCCTGGTCAGCTTCTGCTTATGGATGTTAGTTTGATGAAGAAGAATCACTTACTTCTTGCAGATTCTTGAAGTTTTCTCCACGGTGGCTGAGATTTCCTAAAAGCTGCCGGTGTCACTGCTGTTTTTTAAATTATTTTCTTCTTGCTGCTTCTAGCAGGCAGTAAGCAATGATAGTCTGAGAGGTGCTTCTGTGCTCATAACTTCTTTATTTTCTTTGGGATTTTGAAGTGTTCTTCTATTCCCAAAGAACTTAAGAAAGCAAATTCAATGAATAAACCTGTTATTTGAGAAACCCCTCTCTATCTACTTACTCCTTTCTTATTGCCTTTATGAATTCCAAAACAGCAGAGTGCAAGGTAAAAGGTGTTAAGTCAAAAGACTGTCACTGGATTGTAAATACATTCTGGGTAGGGGCTTTATATTGTTAGCCCTTTTAAAAATTCTACTCTCTATGAAAAGGGCAAAAAGAGCTGATGCTCAGGCCACTGCTCTGTGTTTCACTTGCTTGCACTCTTTCTTAAATAATTTCTTAGTTATAGTCCCAGCCACTTTATATCCTATTTGATCCTTTTTTTTTTTTTTTTTTTTGAGGTGGAGTTTCGCTTTTGTCACCCAGGCTGGAGTGCAATGGTGCGATCTCAGCTCACTGCAACCTCCACCTCCCGGGTTCAAGCAATTCTCCTGCCTCAGCCTCCCGAGTAGCTGGGATTACAGGCGCACACCACCACGCCCAGCTAATTTTTGTATTTTTGGTAGAGATGGGGTTTCACCACGTCGGCCAGGCTGCTCTCAAAATCCTGACCTCAGGCAATCCACCTGCCTCGGCCTCCCAAAGTGCTGTGATTACAGGCGTGAGCCACTGTGCCCGGCCTGTTGGATCCATTTTTATGAAGGATTATATAAATGTCCTCTGATAGACATAGTTTCATAAAAAGAAGCTCCTATCCAGGTGTGCTAGCTTAAAAACCAGTACGGGAAGAATTTGTGAAACGATGTTTGTGGTAGCTAGAGGGACTGTATCTGTTGAGCTGGGTGGTGAGCGGTATGGCACAGATCTGAAGTTAAGGTGGTTTCTTCTTTGTTGGTGTAAAAATGATGGTTGGAGCTATTTTCAAAAAACTCATAAGAAGGGATGATTGTACACATGTGTGTTGCAGTTCATCTGTACAAATACAAAGACCGGGGACTTAGGAATGTTGACTGCCACTTAGAGCAGTGTTTTGCAAAGTTTAATAAGCACGTGAAGTGCCTGGGCATTTTTAAAAATGCAGATTCTGATTCAGCATATCTGGGATGGGTCCTGAGATTCAGTAGTTCTAACAAGCCCCCAGGTGACATTGATGCTGCTGATCCAGAGACCACACTTAGAGGAGCAAAGACCTGGGGAACCTCTTGAAGAAGCACCATGATAGCATTGCAGTCTGGTCCTCAGCCTAAATCCTTCAACTGCAACCTGAAATCCAGAAACAATAAAAGCCAAAAGTATTTTTATAACTCCTTTTGAGGCAAAACCTGATTTGAACTCATGTGAAAATATTCATAATGCTTATTTCCTATTTTGCACAACTATTCATGTTTTCATTGCAAAAAGATTGGTGTATATGATTATGGGAAACTGCCCTAGACTCCACTGGTGTGTGATGTTATATGAGGCACAAGACCATATTCTAAAGTCCAAAAAATTTCTGAATTCAGAAACACCTCTGACTCTCAGAGTTTGTGGACCTGTGATGGTTTTGGGGATGCTTACTCTATCTACAGTCTTCCTTCTTCTTCTGGAAATTGTTTTCAACTTCATGAAGCTGGGCCTACTCTGTCCTCCTACGCCCAGCTTCCCCCACCGGCTGCATATAATTTGATCAGGGCTGGACACTTGACCCAAATTGGGCCAATCAGATTTTCTTTGTGAGACTGTAGAGTTTGAATTCATAGATGTTCATCTTGGGTGCAGGGACTGAGGCGGGTGAGAAGCAGCTTTCTGAAGCTGCATACCTGAGAAGCAGAGAAAGTTGATCTGGAGAGAGAAAGAGAGAGAGGGAGAGAGGTGTAAAGACAGAAACAGAAAGGAGTGTACGTGCAGCCTGAGAGTGGGAGGGGAGAGCATCAGCAGGAGTGTGAGATGCAGACGGTAATGCTGTAATATAATTAGAAAATATATATTTGGTCTTTGTCTCTGGTTCCTGGCACAGGGCTTCTAAAACACTTGTAACTTCTTGAGCGTAGGGAGTCAGAGGAGTATCTTTTGTTATAATATTTGGCTTTTGTCCCCGGTTCCTGGCGCGGAACTTCTAAAATCCTTGGAATTTCCTGAACGATAGGTGTGAGAGAAACCTCTATTGTCATTTATAATACGCCTCTTGCAATCATACTTGAGTTTATGTGAATGGGGTGATTCTTGGAGGGTGCAGACTGGTTACCAGAGGAACCAGCCACATGATTAGAAGATTGGAACTTCCAGCTCCACCTGCTGACCTGTGGGAAGAGGAGAAGGGCTGGAGATTGAGTTCATCACCAGTGGCCAATGATTTAATCAATCATGACTACGAAATGGAACCTCCATAATGACCCTCAGTGATGGGGTTGAAGAGCTTCCTGATTGGTAAACACATCTACGCGCCAGGAGGGAGGCACACCCCAACCCCGGCGGTGCAGAAGCTCCTTCACTCTGGACCCTGATGGCCCCTACTCTGTACCTCTTCACTTGGCTGTTCACTTGTGTCTTTCATAATAAGCCAGGAAGCATAAGTAAAGTTCTCCCCTGCGTTCTGTGAACCATTATAGCAAGTTATTAAACCTGAGGAGGGGGTTGTGGCCAAGTCTGAACAAAGTGTAAATAACCTGGGGACCAACTGCTTGCAATTGGTGTCTGAAATGAGGGGCAGTCTTGTGGGACTGAGCCTCTAATCTGTGGGGTCTGCAATAACTCTGGGTAGTTACTGTCAGAATTGAATTCAATTTTAGGGCACCCAGTTGGTGTCCATATAGAACTGGAATATTGCTTGGTGTGGAAAACCCATACATTTGGGGTAGAGAAACAGTTTCTCCTAGAACAGACCAAGAGTGAAGGCAGAGGTTTCAATCCTGATGGCTTTTTGGTTTCTGGTTTTCAGTCCCAACAGCCCTTTCTTCCCTTGAGTTCTGTGGCATACAGCTACCATCTTATAATACATTTTTACATTTTTTTAATGCTAGATGGAGTGGGTTTCATTGACCCAAAAGGCCTTAACTAACACACTAACATAACTTTTTCTGTTAGTGCAGTAAGTTTTTTTTTTTAGACTCTGGAGAATGGACATGCAAATCAAATTCCCAAGAGAATGCTGATTTATTAATTTCCATGCAGAATAACTGCCAGTGGGACCAGAATACTCCTGCTCACAGGTCAGCTTGTTCCCTGCTGGTAGGAAAATCTGCATGGGAAGCCAAGTTATTATGAGAAGGCTGCTTGATGAGTGCAGACAGAACCACATAATGAGGGGATCTGAGCAGACTGCCTCCAAGCTAGCCAGGATGGCTGGAGGCCCTTTTCCCTACTTTCAGGATGGAGTGAACCTGCCAAGTGGTGTACACATGTGCCCATGCTACAGCATCCTTGGAAAATAGGCCAGCTCACTAAAACGAGTTCACCCATAAGCCAAGTCAGCTAATGAGCCATTTACCTAAAATGAGTATTTGTTAAAACATTTCATGTGTGACTGGATGGTTTCCATAGCTTTCTGAGTCTTTTCTGTCTATGGTGACTGGTGACTGTTTTATGTTCTGCAGTTCTTATACCTCTTTTTCCTTTTCTCTTCCCTTCCCTTCCCTCTTTTCTTCCTCTCCTTCTCCCTTTCCTCCCTCCCTTTTTCCTTCCTGCTTTCTTTTCTATTCTTATTTCAAAGATATTTTTGCTTACTTATCTAAGGTTGCCCATCTCCCCTACTTCATGCTGCCATCACCCCATCATCTCCTAGAGCTCAAGACTGGAGATTGTCTCTTGAGAGCTAGGGCAGCCATAAAGCCAGAAACAGTGCTGGATGGAGAAAATGGGTGGAGCAGAGCTAAATGTGTGTGTGTGTGTGTGTGTGTGTGTGTGTGTGTGTGTGTGTGTGTGTTTGTGTGTGTGTGTGTGATGGGGGGAAGCTGGAAGGGCAAGAGCCAGACACTCCAGACAACTTGAACCACCCAGACCAAAGCAGCAGGGGCAAGACTGTCAACTAGAAATCAAACCAAGAATCAAGAATGGAACAAGAGACTGGATTGAAGTAAGGAGATAATAATAGTAGTTTTGTATTTCTATTGCCCATTACGTATCTTATAACTTTCTATTTTTCTAAATTTGCAGTATGTGCCTTTTGGAAACATTTGTGTAATGTTGAATTTGCATAAATCTAGAGTTGCCCAACTCAGGGGGTGTTTTATTTATGATTCATCAACTTTCTCCTTTTTTCTTTTTAGCTTCTCCTTCCTGCTGCTTATTATTTGCATCTTAGACTTTTGTGCACTAGATGTCATCATTAAGCAAATTAACCCAAATTTAATGTTTGTTGCTCTGTAGTGAGGCATTTCTGTGTTGACAGTGGAAGTGAAAAAATAAGGCGTTCATCAGAAACATATTAAGCTCTATTGCACTTTATAGCTTGTGACACCTAAATGACAAAGTGATACTGGACCACAAATATTAACCCATATTATATTTTAATGCTCTTTTGAACCAAATAAAGCCTGTCTTAACCAAATAAAGTTTTTTCCATCATAAAAATTATATATATTTGTATTTCTTTCCTGCTGTTGATGTAACAATCACAATTTAGTGGTTTAAGACAACATAGCTCTTTTTTTTTTTTTAAGTGAGATAGGGTCTGGCTCTGTTGCCCAGGCTGAAGTGCAGTGGCATGATCATGGCTCACTGTACCCTCGACCTCCTGGGCTCAAGAGATCCTCCCATCTTAACCTCCCAAGTAGCTGGGACTACAGGTGCATACCACCATGCTCAGCTAATTTTATTTTTTGTAGATACAGGGTCTCACTGTGTTGCTTAGGTTGGTCTTGAACTTCTGGGCTCAAGTGATCCTCCTGCATCAGCCTTCCAAAGTGCTGGGATTACAGGCATAAGTCACTGCACCTGGCCCACAAATTTATTATTTTACTGTTCTAGAGATCAGAAGTCTTAAAATCAAGGTGTCTTAAGGGGTAAGTCCCTTCTGAAGGCTCTTGGAGAAAATATTTCCTTGTCATTCCCTGTTTCTGGAGGCCACCTGCATGCCTTCACTCAGAGGCCCTTTCCTGCATCTTTAAAGCCAGCCGTATAGTTTCTACAAATCTGTTTCTCTGACTATACCCCCTGCTTCTGTCACCACATCAACTGTCTTCTCTCTTGCCCCTCTGTCTATGTCTTATAAGGACCCTTTTGATTATATTAGGCCTACCTGGACAATCCAGTTCCTCTCCCCATTTTGAAATCTTAATCACATCTACAAAGTCCCTTTTACCATGTAAGGTAACATATATACGGGTTCAGGGGATTGGGATGTGCACATCTTTGGGATGGTCTACCATAAAACTCCTTTCTACTATTTAGCCTACTGTAATATTAATTTATAAAGCATTAAAAAAGAGTTTAGAAACAAAGAAAGAAGAAAAATGTATCTCGTTGCACTACTGAAAGATAGACAAAATGAACATTTCCTTCTAACTTTTAAAAAAGAATAGTTTTTACATAGTTATAATTATGTATACAATTAGAGATCCTGTTTTTTCACTAAATATTATATCAATGTATTTTCCATGTTAGTCTATAGTCTGAGCAAACATTTTTTATTGACTACACAATATTCCATTGAGTGTATACACCATATTTTACTTAAGCCTCTCTTTATTTTTAAAAAGTTATTTTTAATTTTTTGATCTTATAAATAACCCTGGGCCAAATATTTTTGCTTACAAGGACTTTTGTGTTTGTGTTTGTTTTTCCTTGAGATAGATTCCCAGATGCTGAATTACTATATCAAAGGCTTTTCACAGGAAATTTTTTCAAATAGTTTATACCAATTTTTAGAATCAACAGAAATAAGTTAGTGCCCATTTTGCTATATTCTCACCAGCACCAAATAAAATAACAATTGCAATAATATATTTGATAATCAGAATATATATCTAATGGACTATCTATCTGGTGGAATATATATCTGGTGACATTAATATTTGGTGGCATAGATATCTTTTGCTTTAATTTGCATTTGATTGTTTACAAGGGAGACTGAACATGTTTTCATGAGATTCTTTGCTAGCTAGCTATAATTCTTTTTTTTTTTTTTTTTGAGACAGAGTGTTGTCTTGTCCGGGCTGGAATGCAGTGGCTCGATCTCAGCTCACTGCAACTTCTGCCTCCTGGGTTCAAGCGATTCTCCTGTCTCAGCCTCCTGAGTAGCTGGGATTACAGGCATGTGCCACCACACCTGGCTAGTTTTTGTATTTTTAGTAGAGACGGGGTTTCACCATGTTGGCCAGGCTTATCTAGAGCTCCTGACCTCAAGTGATCCACCTGCCTCGGCCTCCCAAAGTGCTGGGATTACAGGTGTGAGCCATCGCGCCCAGCCTGCTAGCTATAATTCTTTGATAAATTATGAATTCAGGTCTTTACTTTTAGGAGGTCTGTGTTAATCTGTTGTGTTGCTATAAAGAAATACCTAACCTAGCTTAGGGAACATAGTGAGATCCCATCTCTAAAAAACAAATTAGTTGGACACAGTGGCATGCACTTGTAGTCCCAGCTACTCGGGAGGCTGAGGTGGGCGGATCACTTTAGCCCAGGAGTTCGAGGCTGCAGTGAGCCATGATCGCACCACTGCATACCAGCCTGGGTGACAGAGAGAGACCCTATCTCAAACAACAACAAAAACAAACCAAAAGGACAAAAACAAAAACAAAAAAAGAAATACCTGAGACTAGGTAGTTTATAAAGAAAAGAGTTTAATTTGGCTCACAGTTCTGCAGGCTGTACAGGAAGTGTGGGGCTGGCATCTGCCTCACTGAGGTGAGGGCCTCAGGAAGCTTACAGTCATGGTAGAAGGTGAAGGAGGAGCAGATGAATCATATGGTGAGAGAGAAAGCCAGAGAGAGACAAGGGTGTGGTCCCAGACTCTTAAGCAATCAAATCTCATGTGAACTAACTGAGCAAGAACTGACTTATCACCAACGGGTGTTAACCATTCATGAGGGATCTGCCCCCATGATCCCAATCACCTCCCACCAGGAAATCACATTGGGAATCACATTTCAACATGAGATTTGGAGGGGACAAACATCCAAACCATATCATTCTGCCCCTGGCTCCCTGAATCTCATGTCCTTCTCACATTTCAAAATATAATCATGCCTTCATAATAGTCCTCTGAAGTCTTAACTCAAAAGTCCCAAGTCCCAAGTCCAAAGACTCATCTGGAGATGAGTTTCTTCTACCTATGAACCTGTAAGATCAAAAACAAGTTATTTACTTCCCAGACACAATGGTGGTGCAGGCATTGGGTAAACATTCCTATTTTAAAAGGGAGGAATCGGCCATAAGAAAGAGGCAACAGACCCCAAGCAAGTCCAAAATCCAGCAGAGCAGCCATTAAATCTTAAAGCTCCAAAATAATCTCCTTTGACACCATGTTCCCCATCCAAAGAACACTAGTGCAGGGATGGGCTCCCAGGGTCTTGGTAGCTCTGCCTCTGTGGCTTTGCTGAATGCAGTCCACATGGCTGCTCTGATGGGCTAGAGTCCAGTGCCTGTGGCTTTTCCAGGCTGAGGATGCAAGCTGCTGCTGGCTCTACCATTCTTGGTTCTGGATAATGACAGTCCCCTTCCCAAAGCTCCATTAGGCAGTGCCTTAGTGGGTATTCTGTGTGGGGGCTCCAACCCCACATTTCCTCTCAGGGCTGCCCTAGCAGAGGCTCTCTGCCAGGGCTCTGACCCTGGGGCAGACTTCTGCCCTAGCACCTAGGCTCTGAAATTGAAGTGGAAGCTGCTAAGCCTCCTTCACTCTTACATTCTGCATGCCTACAGGCTTAACACTGTGTGGAAGTTGCCAAGGCTTACAGCTTTCACCCTCTGAAGCAGCAGCCTGAGCTATACCTGGGCCCCTTTGAGCTGAGGCTGGAGCTGGAGCAGCTGGGATGTGGGGAGCAGTGTTCTGAGGCTGAGCAGGACAGTGAGGCCTTGGGCCTGGCCTCTGAAACCATTTTTTCCACCTAGGCCTCTGAGCCTGTGATGGGAGGAGCTGTCTCTAAGATCTCTAAAGTGACTTTGAGGCCTTTTGCTCATTGTCTTGGATATTAGCCCTTGGCACCCTTTTAGTCACGCTAATCCCCCTAGCAAGTGGTTGCTCCACAGCCTGTTTATATTCCTCTCTCAATAATGCTTTTTTATTCTCTGCCACATGGCTGGCTACGAGTTTTCCAAACTTGTATGCTTTGTTTCCCTTTTAAATGTAAGTTTCAGCTTTAAGTCATTTCTTTGCTCCTATAACTTATTGCAGGCTGTTAGAAGCAGGCAGACTACTTTCTGGATGCTTTGCTGCTTAGAATTTTTTTCTGCCAGATATCCTAGGTCATCACTCTTAAGTTCAAATTTCCACAGATCCCTAGGACATGAACACAATGCAGTCAAATTCTTTGCTAGAGTGTAACATGGGTGACTTTTACTCCAGTTCCCAATAACTTCCTCATTTCCTTCTGAGACCTCGACAGCCTGGCCTTCAGTATCTGTATTTCTACTAGCATTTCAGTCACAACCATTTAACCAGTCTCTAAGAAGTTCCACACTTTTCCTCATCTTCCTATCTTCTTCTGAGCCCTCCAAACTCTTCCAGCCTCTGCCTATTACCCAGTTCTAAAGGCACTTCCAAATTTTCAGGTATCTTTATAGCAATGCCTGACTCCTCAGTACCAATTTTCTGTGTTAGTCCATTCTTGTGTTGCTATAAATATCTAAGACTGGGTAATTTATAAAGAAAAGAGGTTTATTTGGCTCACAGTTCTGCAAACTGTATAGTAAGTATGGTGCTGGCATCTGCATCTGGTGAGGGCCTCAGGAAGCTTACAGTCATGGTAGAAGGTGAATGGGGAGCAGATGAATCATATGGTGAGAGAGGAAGTCACAGAGAGAGACTAGGATGTGGTACCAGACTCTTAAGCAATCAAATCTCACGTGAACTAACTGAGCAAGAAGTGACTTATCACCAAGGGGTGTTAACCATTCATGAGGGATCTGCCCACATGATCCAATCACCTCCCACCAGGAAATCACATTGGGAATCACATTTCAACATGAGATTTGGAGGGGACAAACATCCAAACCATATCAAGGTCAAAGTATTTTTAAAATCAATTTGTCTAAGATCTATATATTTTTGAAAGCTTATTTAATGTTTGTGATACTTGCTATAATTATTTTCTCTCATCTGTTGTTTCTATACTTTTTTATATCTAGAAGTTTTAAATTTGTATATAGTCTACTCTATCCACTTTTTTTCTTCTTCTTCCTTGTTGTTTCAAAAATCTTCCTGTTCCAATGGTTAAATATGTAGTACATTTAATATTCATATAGTTTTTCTTATGGCTTAAAAAGTGTCTCTTTGGTCCATCTGGAATTTATGTTGGTATGAAATCCGTGGAGAGGATCTGACCACCTGCTTAAATTATACTCAGAGAAGGAGCCGATTTGCACTTCTGAGTTTTCTGCAATGAGCCACCTGCCTTTTTCTCCTTGTTGAAAAGAAATAAAAACGATGACAGAAAAATGTGAGACGCTACGCTGTTTTCCTAGTCACAGGGAATAAGTTTCCCTTTTTCTGAATCTTTCTCCAAATGTTCTCATCTTCTGATTAGTATTTTAACTTAAAATTGAGACATAAATAGCCTTAGATAGAAATAGACAGAAATAGCCTTAGATTGGTATTCATGGAAAGTGCTCAAAAGTGGGCAAATTAGAAAAAAAAAAAAAGCACCAAACTTTAAAAAAGTGTTGGAAATCATTCTCTCCAGTGTAAAATATTGTACATTTAGCAAATATGAATTCTGGATAAATTGGTTCAGGTAAATTAAGCCAGAGCTGACAATCTTCCCTCAGGACAATAATCTAGGCCAGCATTGTCCAATGGAAATAAAATGTGGGCCATGTATGGAAATTTAAGCCTTCTAGTAGCCAGATTAAAAGGTAAATAGGAGCAGGCAAAGGTAATGTAAATATACTTTCTTTAACCCAATATATGAAATATATTATTATTTCAACACATAATCTATGTTAGAATTATTAATAACATAGTTTTTTTTTTCATATTAGGTCTTTGAAGTCCATTGTTTATGTTATGCTTATGGCACATTTCAATTTGAATTAACCTCATTTCAAGTGTTCAGTAGCTACATGTGGCTAGTGGCTGCCATATCTCACAGAAAAACTCTAGACACAGGAACACAGTTTGGCTGTTTGACTCCTTTTTTTCTATACTCCACCCTGAGCAACCTTTTAAAAATGTCTTTTCTCAGGGTCTGTTAGCTGATTAGCTTTTGGTATTGTGTTGTTACAATCATTTTAAACATAACTCTTCTCCACAGAACTTGGGTGTTTCACAATCTTGCAGCCATGGTTTACAGACAACTGCTTGGTCACTCCTGCTAATCTGAGGTTAGCACTGAGGTTAATCCTTCCCTCTGTCGCTCTCTCTGTCTGCCTGTGCCTCTGCCTCTGCCTCTCTCCTCCCACTCATTCCCCTCCATTTTCAGAATAGAAATAGCTTTCTTACTTTCTTCTGATTAAAAAAGTAATAATATATGTTTGTAGGTTTTTTTGAAAAAGAAGCAGGTGCTCAGAAGGAAAAATGAATAAAGTGAAAATTAACTGTAGCTTATTACACAAAGATAACCATTAGTAGCACTTTGGTAGCTTATCTTTCAGTATTGCAAACATATATTTATGAAAACACAATCATACCATATATACTACTTTACTTTGCCTTTTACAAATAATAATACCTGTATTAAAAATATAAATTGACCTCATTGTTCTTTATGTTCCTCCTAGTATTCCATATGCGTATTTACCATGCTTTATATAACCAGCCTCCTATTATTAGACATTTAGGTTGTTTCCAATATTTCACTCTTATAACCAGTTTTTGCATGGGTGTATAATTTTCTAAGAAAAAATGTCTAAAGTAGGTCAGATTTTGATAGACAGGGCTGGATTGTCCTTCAGAAGGATTAGGCAATTACATTCCTTACAGCAGGGTATGAAAATGCTTGTCATCCTACATCTTGGTTGGCACCAGATAGTATCAATCCTTTCTAATCCTGTCCATTTTAGTTTGAATCTTCCTAACTTTACTCTTACAATTCTAGAAATATCTTAACATTGATTGTAATATATGGAGAAGTTCAAAGCTTTGAGTGAATTAAAGTGTATACTGAATATCTCCAAATGACTTCACATACAGGAAATGATCTAACCTGATGTATCAAGCAAGATAGGTTTGGTTATGCTCAAATAAGAAGCAACTCAAAATCAATTTCTTGCTCATGATCCATATCCAGGGCAGTTCAGCAGGGAGTTTTGTCCATCATAGACACCTGGCGGCTCAGGCTGACAGAGGTCCAATCTGGATACTCGCTTCTGGAATCACCTTGTCAGGTGGAAGAGGACCTAACAGATCATGCTCTGGTTCATAAAGCTTCCACCTCAACAGACCTAAGTCACTTCAGCACACATTTCACTTCCCAAAGGAAACCATAAGAACACATCTGACTTCAAAGAGGGTGGGGAAGTACAGACCTACATACACCTGGCAAGAGAACAGGACTCTGTCAGCATCCCTAACGACTGTCACACCTTAGAGGAAAGGAGACACTACCAGGTACATATTATTATCCAAATGTCACAGATAAGAAAACAGAGACTTAGTGAGTTTAAGAAATAGCTCAGTGCATTTGTCAGGCGGGTGCAGTGGCTTATGCCTGTAATCCCAGCATTTTGGAGGCCAAGCAAAAGGATCACTTGAGCCCATGAGTTTAAGACCAGCCTGGGCAACATAATGAGACCCCGTCCCTACACAACATCCAAAAAAATTAGTCAGGTGTGCTGGCATGCACCTGTAGTCCCAGCTACTTGGGAAGCTGAGGTAGGAGGATCACATGAGCCCACAAGGTTGAGACTGCAGTGAGCCATGCTCACACCACTACATGACAGAGCGAGACCCTGTCTCAAAAAACAAAACAAAACAAAACAAAAAAGTAGTTCAAGGCCACTTAGCCAGTAAGTAGGGGATTATAATTATCTGGGATTATAATTTAGGTCTGTCTGATTTCAAATGCATGCGCTTTGTAATACTTTGTCCTCTTAGGAACGTCAGCAACATCTTCAAAAAGAAGGCCCGGCTTTGGGACACACATCTCCTTCTAGTTCTGTGTCAGCGCGGGTTCTTCAGATTCTCTGGGGCTGTTTTTCTCAGTCAACACATCAAATGCATCATTGTAGTTTGTCCTTGGTAGGACTTCCTGCTTCCCATCTACCTGGAGTCAATTCTCCTGTTGTGGCAATTGTTCTACGAAAGTGTCCACTGTGATGTCCTCCTCATAAGATACATATTTTGGCCCATCATTTGTAAGCATAACAGTATCACTGCATTAGGGATGTCTTCTTGCAAATATTTGATGCTCTGCCCATGTTTCAGTGCAAAATAGGTCCAAAGAACATTATCTTGGACAACTGTGTAGGTCTTGATAACGTGTAAGCTTCTCATCTGTGTGCATTTGGTGTTTGGGCATCATATTCTAGGAAAAGGAGACTAAGATTTATTGAGAACCTACTGTGTGTCAGGCACTGTTCTGAGCATTTTAATGTATTTTTATCCTCCTTTATTCTTCATAACAGCCCCTTTGAAGGAGGAGCTGTTATTCAGGGGTATAATTGTCGAATCAAATGGGATAATAAGAGTCAAAAATAGATTTCTGAATAGGATAATAACTATGATAATTACTCTCATGGAGAGTTTTTCAGCTTCTGCAGGATGTTTATAATTTCTAAAAGGTGTGTTTGACCATCCCTGCAATATTTGGAAATAGGTGTTGAACTTGAGAGCATATCATTTAGGATTCTCTTGTATGTGAGCCATGGAAAACTTAGCTCATCTTGGCTTAAGTTAAAAAAAAAAAGGTGGGGGCAATTTATTGGGTTGTGCAACTAAAAAGTACAGGAATAGTATAGCTTCAGGTATGTTTTGATCAGGGAATTAAATGATGTCACTAGATCCAAATCTCATTCTATTTCTTGGCACTAGTTCTCCCTAGATTGATATTGATGTCACCTTCAGGCTGTTAAGTGGTAGTGAGAAGGCTTCTGGCAGTGCCAGCCTTTTGTCTTTCTTGATTTAAGTCCAGTAGGAAAGATCATGTGTTTCTCTCTCAGCAGTTCCACAAAAACTTTATTGCATTTCATTGGCTGTGATTAGAGCAAACGCTATTCCTTAAGCAATCCCTATGTTAGGGACTGTGATGCTGTGATCGGTCAGGCTTGACTTAATGTCCATCCCTGGAATTAGGGCTTCCTTTGTATGTGGACTTCTTTTTTTTTCCTTCTTCCAACTTTGCTGGAGTATGTTTGACAAGTAGAAATTGTATATATTTAAGGTTTACAGCTTCATGTTTTGTTTTTTTTTTTCTTTTTTTGAGATGGAGTCTTGCTCCGTTGTCAGCTTGGAGTGCGGTGGCGCGATCTCGGCTCGCTGCAACCTCCAACTCCCTGGTTTAAGCGATTCTCCTGCCTCAGCCTCCCAGGTAGCTGGGATTACAGACAAGCACCACCACACTCAGCTAGTTTTGTATTTTTAGTAGAGACAGGGTTTCACCATGTTGGCCAGGATGGTCTCAATCTCCCGACCTCGTGATCCGCCCACCTTGGCTTCCCAAAGTGCTGGGATTACAGGCGTGAGCCACTGTGCCCAGCCCTCATGTTTTTATATATACGTATAATGAAATAACCACCACAATCAAACTAGTTAATGTAGTTATCTTTTTTTTGTGATGAGAATACTTTAAGATCTACCATCTCAGCAAATTCCAAGTATACAAAACAGCATTGCTAACAATAGTCACCATGCTATACATTAGATCTCCAGAGCTTATTTATCTTGCATAACTGAAACTTAGTAACTTTAATCATCATCTACCCATTTCCCCCTCCCACTAGCCTTGGTAACTACCATTCTACTCTCTGCTTGTATGAGTTCAACTAATTTAGATTCCACATGTAAGTGAGATCATGCAGTATTTGTCTTTCTGCATTTGGCTTATTTCACTTAGCATAATGTCTTCCAGATTCATCCATGTTGTTGTAAATGGCAGGATTTCCTTGTATTTATGCAAATAAACATCTTTTATGTGCAAAATTGGGACAGTATAATGTATACTATATAGCTTTTTAAAATCTAACAATACATTGTGAATAATTTGCCATGTTTTTAGATATTATTATATGTGATTATTAATGACTGTGTGGTATTCTCCAGTGGATATACTACAATTTACTTACACGTGCCCCTACTTCTTTTCTGTCACATAAAAATAATATCATAATGGACATGTTTGTGGACAGCTACAATTAATTCTTTTTTTTTTTTTTTGAGTCGGAATCTCACTCTGTCACCCAAGGTGGATGAACTGTTTTTCAGTTCATCACCAAAGGTGGGGTTGTTTTGGAAGTCTGAATAATCTAGGATTAGCTGGGATGGCCTATTTGGTCTTAGTGGGTAAACACAGAAGTCAGTTGCCTGTTCTGGCCAAGCTTGTTCTGGCCGAGTTCTATTTTTATTTTTATTTTTTTGAGATAGGGTCTTACTCTGTCGCCCAACTGGAATGCAGTGGCACAATCTCGGCTCACTGCAACCTCTGCCTCCCGGATTCAAGCAAGTCTTGTGCCTCGGCCTCCCTAGTAGCTGGGAGTACAGGCACGTACCACCACGCCCGGCTATTTGTATTTTGTATTTTTAGTAGAGATGGGGTTTCATCATGTTGGCCAGGCTGGTCTTGAACTTCTGACTTCAGGTGATCCATGCACCTTGGCCTCCCAAAGTGTTGGGATTACAGGCGTGAGCCACCGTGCACAGCCATGGCCAAGTTCTGTGAGCACTCTCAAGCTCCTTTACCTCTCTGGGGAAGAAATTGGAGTGTTTCCCTGTTGGAGTGGGCAGTCTCAGCAGGCAGGCTTTCGCTATCCTTAATAAGAATACTTAAAGTGTAAGTGAATATAATTGCTGGAGAAGGAGAATTTATTACAGAAATCTTGCACCTCTTTCATGTTCCACCTGTTGAAGAAGTAGAGCTTCTGGAAGGGTGCACATAGATGTGGTGTGACTTCAGCACAAGGGTCAGTCACAATTGTCTGCCTCATTCATTTCCCATGAGAAGGAAAAAAATTCAAGGAATGTTAGGAGGTGTTTGGGAATTTCTCCATAGCCCTCCAGGCCTTCTATATCAGATTAAGCTGGTAACTGAAGAAACACAAACCACTTTTATATGAATTATGATGGCTCTAGAAATATTGCTATTACTGAGTCATTCAAAGGTATAGCCAAAGAGCAATTCCAGGCAGGTGAAAATGAGAAGTTTTGGATTACTCCACTGTTTGAAGTTCCCTTGGGATAAATGCCGAGCATGGTGTCAACAGCAGTGTGACTTGGCCCTGTGCTCTGGACTTTGCATTATCCAGGCCCCAAGAGCCCAGCTCTGCAACCCAGAGCTCCCTGCAAATATGATCTGTTGGTAAAAGGGAACCTACACGGGCGACAGACGGAGCAGCCTCCAGAATAAGTCCTTGCTTGCCTTCAAAATCCTCATGCTAAGGGCAGGACTTCTGCGCTATTTATTCTAAATCCCCAGCACCTGCCACAGCCCTGGCCTACAGTAGGTATCAACATCTGCTAGAAGGATGAACAGATGGATGAGTGAGCTGGCTAGACCAGTTCCAGCTGTCTCCAGTACTGGCGGCCTGGTGTTCATGAGTGTGCAGAGCTGTCCCTTAGCAATGAAAGACAGCATGACAAAGGCTGCTGTGGACTGCAGAGGCTACCAGCTGGAGATTTGGAGTCAGCCACATCTGGGTACTAATTTTGCTCTGTCACTTGTTAGTTGTGTGACCTTGGGCCAGTCATTTGATCTCTGAGCTTCTGTTTCCTCACATATAAAATGAGCATAATAAAATCTACCTCACTTGGCTATTGGGAGAATGAAATCAGATAATGCCTGTAGAATGTTTAGCTACGTACCTGGCACACAGTGAATGCTCAACAAATGGGTCTGTCTGGGATTCTATACATTTTTTTTTGAGACAGGGTCTCACTCTGTCACCCAGGCTGGAGTGCAGTGGCGCCATCTAGGCTCACTGTAGCCTGTGCCTCCTGGGTTCGAGTGATTCTCATGTCTCAGCTTCCCAAGTAGCTGGGATTACAGGCGTGCGTCACCACGCCCGGCTCATTTTTTTCTATTTTTTTGTAGAGACAGGGTTTCACCATGTTGGCCAGGTGGGTCTTGAACCCCTGACCTCAAATGATCCACCTGCCTCAGCCTTCCAAAGTGCTGGGATTACAGGCATGAGCCACCGCTCCTGGCCTTGATTCTATACAATTATAGATGCAATGCTGTAGGCTAGAGAGTTAGCTTGGGAGGAACTGCACTCATCACTGTGTCTAGAGGAGGTGATATTATAGGTTCTGGAGCCTGCAATGTCAGCCGGTGTGGTGGTCAGTGCTTAGTATTGTCCTGGAAGGGGTGTAAGTCATGAATCACGAGTGAACGGCTCAGAGGTCACATGTGTGGGGACAAGGTAAGGGCAAGGCTGTTATGAGGTCACAATGCTAGATTCTCAGGATGAGAGTTATGGCTGAGTTTATAGAAGATGAGGGATGGAACGGACCTTATTTGGCTCTAGTCTGGGCCTTGAATTTGATGGGGCTTCCTTATGAATCAAGGTATATTTCTAGTCCACAGGGATGGACTCTCCCTGCCAAGTGCCTTCATGGGAACCATGTGACAGTTAAATTTGATTCATGCAAGATGCTTCTCTGGGCAAATTTCATTGTGAGTTCTACATGCCAGGAATTCCTACAATCTGTCATCTGAGAAAGCCCCCAGAATGCTGAGACAGGAGCCAAGCTCTGCCCTGTATGCCAGAGGGGTGATGATTCTGTTTGTGAAAATTTAGTTGCTCAGAAATGACTGATGGTGCTGTGACTGATTACTGAATTATACCTTTGGCAATTAGTCATTCACTCAACAAACATTTATTTCTCTTCTTTGCTTTCCTCTCAGATGAAACCATAGCAGTCAGAGACCATACATTGGAGCCCACAATGTGTCAGAAGCATGGCATGCTCTGTGCAGCCTTTTTCATCCTGTTTGCTTCCATATACAAAGTGTCTCTGCATATGAGTCCCAGGAGGTTTGGTGACTTTTTAATATTCCCCAGAGCTACCTTTCAAAGCAGCGAGGTTACTTGAGTTCCAGCCTAGAGGCTGGATTCAATGCTGAGCAGCAACTCTAGAGAGAAGATGCAGACTGCAGCTGTTGTTTAGCATCTTTGAGCATTAACTATTCTCACTCTCAGAAAATGGAGTATTTAGAGAGCAGTCACTGGAGGAGGCCAAAGGTTTTAGCAAGAGAACTGTTTTACATTCAACAGCTATTAAACAAGTCGCACCCTTCTTCCTGCAGTCTTTAAGTATGGTCACTCAGTGGAGCTCATGGGAATAAATACACTTGGAGGAGATCAAATCCCAGTGTTCCTGGTCTATGGGGCATGAGTTCCCCAGTTACTCTTTCTCCAAGCACTCAGCAAGGTGTGGTGATTCTGAGCTCTGAACTGGAGGTTAGGATATTGAAGTTCAAAATTCCAGCTCTGCCACTTACCTGCCAGTTGGCTCTGTCAGGGCTGTTGCTCCCTTGTTTACAGAACAAGGGCTGTCCCTAGAGTGACTCCCAGCTCCAGCGTTCTAGAAGACTGAGTTAGCTCTGAGTGTCATTTCAAATTCTGGAAACAAAGTAATGACTGTTAAAATTAGCATACTTTGGTAACTTTGAGCAAGGGTCACAGACATTGGCACTGGCTAGCAAAATCTCAGAGCTATGGAATTTCACTCAAGTGCGAAGTCCCCAGAACTACTTATTTGTCACTGATCTTTAATGTGAAATTCTTTGACAGATAATTTCATCATGTTTGACAGACTTTTATTAAACAAATGCTCTTTAAAATGATTAGCAAACTCTAGTCAATCTTTTTTTCATTTTTATTAATAGTAGTAAAAAATAGTACCAACTATTCAGTGTGTATGATATACTAAGCACTTTTTACACTGTAATAAGCATTACTTCATTAGAGCCTTCCAATAATCCTATCATTGTTTCCATTATTATTTATTTATCTATTTGAGACAGAGTCTCACTCTTACCCAGGCTGAAATGCAGTGGTGTGCTCTCGGCTCCACCTCCCGGGTTCAAGCCATTCTCCTGCCTCAGCTTCCCGAGTAGCTGGGATTACAGGTGCCCACCACCACACCCTGCTAATTTTTTGTATTTTTAGTAGAAACGGGGTTTCACCATGTTGGCCAGGCTGGTCTAGAACTCGGGACCTCATGTGATCTGCTCACCTCAGCCTCCCAAAGTGCTGGGATTACAGGCAAGAGCCACCATGCCCCACCCATTGTTCCCATTTTATAGATGAGAAACTTGAGGTTCAGAGGAATTCTGAGAGGTTCCCAAGGTCACATCATTAGTAAATGGAGGCAGTAGGATTTGAATCTGGCTCAGTTTAACTTCTGAATCTATGCTCTTTTCTTATGGCTAGAAATTCTAGTGTTTTGTATCACTTATGACCAGCATCATTATAATCAACCACACTTGCAAAGTGTCTGCTATGAGCAGAAGATAGAGGAGGAGAAATCAGACATGGTCCTTGCCTTTAAGATCTTCAAATCTAGAAGACAGAGCATGTCTGTAAATGATGCAACAACATAAAGCAATGAGTGGTGTTGATAGCAAGAACTGGAGGGGCTCAGAGGCAGGAAAAATCCCTGGGGATGCTAAAAAACTTTACTGACAAATTGGGACTTTATTTGGATTCTAATGAATGCGGGCTGAAAAAAATATGAGGCAAGCAGAAAGAAAAGGCCCTGGAGGAAGGAGAAGGATAAGAGCAAAGTCCTGAAGATGGGAGCGTAGTTGATATGTTCCAAGAACACTAGGCATGGCTGTTTGACATGAGTGGAGACTTTGGGGAGCAAGAGACTCATTTGGGAAGGAGACCTGGGCCTTGGGCACCAGTTAAGAATGCAGTCTCCTCCATGAAAATTAAGCAGGTGCACATACACTGGGTGTGTCTTCTTTGTAAGCAAGGACTTTGCTTACAAGGACGTGCTTACTTTGTAAGCAAGAAATCAATGACCTTTATAGAGATATTAAATTGTTTTTGCTACATAGAAATAGTGATTCAGATAGAGAAATTTTACTGATGAAAAAACAGCTACTGAGAGAACATTTGTAAATCCCATCGAACCCTCTTAATATTCACTTGGTCACACTGATGGAGCACACTAATGGGACTGCTTTCCACATCACCCAGGTTAAGTGCCTGTGCATTTACTTACAAGAACTGGGAGGAAATATATGGTGATTTAAAAAGCCAGGGTAGGCCAGGTAAAGTGGCTCATACCTGTAATTCCAGCGCTTTGGAAGGCCAAGGCAAGAGGATTGCTTGAGCCCAGAAGTTTGAGACCAGCCTGGGCAATATAGGGAGACCCTGTTTAAAACACACAAACCAACCAACCAAAAAAAAAAAAAAAAAAAGGCTAGGTGTGGTGGCACATGCTTGAGCCCAGGAGGTAGAGGCTGCAGTGAGCTCTGACTGGGCTGGGCCACTGTATTCCAGCCTGGGTGACAGGGCAAGACCCTGTCTTTAAGGAAAAAAAAAAAGGCCAGGGTAGGATGGTGGCATTGTGGGTGATTCTTTTCCCCCCTTTTAAAGTTGACTTTAGTATTACTGTTAAGTATTAATTTGATATTTGATCTCTCTCTATATTTTTCTCACTCTGTCGCCCAGGCTGGAGTACAGTGGCGCCATCTCGGCTCACCACAATCTCTGCCTCTTGGGTTCAGGCGATTCTCCTGCCTCAGCCTCCCGAGTAGATAGGATTACAGGCATGCGCCACCACGCCTGGCTAATTTTTGTATTTTTAGTAAAGACTGGGTTTCACCATGTTGACCAGGCTGGTCTTGACCTCCTGGCCTCAAGTGATCCACCCGCCTCGGCCTCCCAAAGCGCTTGTATACAGGCGTGAGCCACTACGCCCAGCCGATATTTGATATATTTTTTTAAAACCCATTCATGTTGGGATCCTCAGAAAAATTTTGAATTGAACATTATCTAAACTACTTCATCAGAAATTATTTCAGATTTAAAAAAAGTTCATTAAAAGAAAAAAATTACAGCAAATCAAAGGAGATTGCACACACCATCCCTTGACCTAGAGTTCTTTGGCTACAGAAGGAACTCCTATTCATCCCTCAGAAACCACTGGGGTCTCACCCCCTAACAGAGTTTAGCATCCATGGTACCTTTTATCAGTAGAAAGCAGTAAAGTCCATTTTGGAGTCAATCAGGCAGTTTAAGAATCCCCGCTTCCGTATTACTATTAGCTGTGTGACTCTGAGCAAGAAGTTACACAACTGAGCCTCGGTTTCCTCCTCTGTGAGGTGGGATAATAGTAGCTTTTAATAGTAGCTTCTGAACAGATGAGGACTGAAATATATGTGAAATGTGTTGAGCTGTTTGTCGCGTGTGTGTACAGAACGTGATTCCTTTCACAATTTCCCACGATTTGTGATTTCATTTACCACACTGTATTCGCCACACGGGGTCCCGAGGGCAGAGACTCCGCTTTACTGATCTCTGGTACCCCATGCCTGGCCCACGGGGGCTTGCAATTAGGTGTTTACAGAAGAAAGGAACGGAACGACTTCGAGGGCTCTGCTGGAAGCTTCGGCAGCGGCTCCGAACGCTTCCCGCCGCCTCGCCCGGCCGCAGCCGGTTCTTCGTGCTCCTCGCTCGGCGCCCACTGGCCGCCGTCGCCCCGAGGCTGCCTAGCGTCTCCCCTCAGCTTCTGCTCGGGGGGCAGCGGGTTTTGCCCGCCGCTCCTCCGTCAGAAGGGCGGCCAGGGCTGGGACAGGAATGAATTCCCTGCGGGTCCGGCATCCTCCTCCAGCCTGGGGCGCCGGCAGCGCGGCGGGCAGTGCTGGGACTCGTGGCGCCCGCGCTCCAGCCCCCGCCCCGGGCCGCTACTCTTCGGCGGGGCCCGCGGGGCGCAGGCTGCTCTGCCGCTGGGGCTCCGGTCCGCCTGCACTGTGACGTGGGCAGCAGCTGGGGCGGGCAGTGCCTCGGTCTCCGCTCGGGGACGCGGTGATTTTCTTTTTTTTTTCCGACTGCCGGAGCCCGTGGTGGTGGTGCTGGGGGGCGGGGTCGGCGTGGGCAGAGCTGCGGGGGCTGCCGCGGAGGCCGCCCTAGGAGGGAGGGGGCGGACCGGGGTGTGAGGTGAGCGGCCGTAATGAGCACTCGCAGGAGCAAGGGGCCCGGCGCGGGCCTCCAGGGCGGGAGGCCCTGACGCGGGGAGGAGGCGGCCGGGCGGCCAAGGGCCTCCCTGGGGAGTGTGCGGAGGCCGGGACGGAGCAGCGCGTAACTAGGGAGAGGATAGGCCGGGCTGGTGGAGATGCGGGGAGAGACCAGCCAAAGCTAAAGAGCCAAAGCAAAGGTGCTGCGGGGAGGACAGAGGAGCGGGAGGAAAGGGGAAGGAGAGAAGAAAAGAGGCAGGGAAACCCGGAGAGAAAGTGGGAGGGAGGCCAAGGGGACAGGGGAGGGGTGGGAAGAACGTAGGGCGGGGAGCAGAAAGGAAGGAGGGATCCAGAAATGGACCCGGAGGGAGAGAGGAAGGCGGAGAGCAGCTGTGAGGGAGAGGCTTGGCGGGAGCCTCAGCAAAGAGGAGGCTTTGAGGAGGCAAGTCTGGAAGCTGAGAGAGCTCTCTCCATGCTTTGCCAAATAAAAAGGCTCAACAAACAGGAACAGTGCATTCCTTGGTACTCCTGTCCCTTAGTCAATAGCAGGCTAGGGCTGGCCTCAGGGGCTGCTGAGTACTTCCAGGTGACAGAACAGGAGGAAAGGGGTCCCAGGCCCCTTGGAAGGAGAGCGGGGCGCGGGGGCAGGGAGGAGGGGAAGGAGGTGGTGGTTGGGAGAAAGAGGAGGAGGTGGTGGTGGGGGAAGGAGAGTGGGAGGAGAAGTGTGGGAAGAGAGAGTGGAGGGAAAGGAGAGGAGGAGGAGGTGGTGGGGGGGAGGAGGTGGTGGGGGGGAGGAGGTGGTGGGGGGAAGGAGATGAGGAGGAGGCAGCCTTGTGGAGGAAGGAGAGAGGAGGAGGAGGAAGCAGTGGGGGTCAAGGAGAGGAGGAAGAGAGCAGAGGGAGAGGGCAGATTTGTTGCCTAGGCACTGGCTGAGGGTCACGATGGAAGGAGGCAGTATTTATTTTTTAAATTTATTTGACATATATTTACAAGGCAACTACATTGTCGGCACTGCCCTAGGCTCCAGGGCCACAGAGACAACCATAGCTTCAGCCTCCTGCTGTGAGTACTCTTGTCGGGCGACATAGAAAACATACATCCCAGGCTGGGCGTGGTGGCTCACACCTGTAATCCTAGCATTTTGGACGCTACGGCATAAGCATTGCTTGAAGCCAGGAGTTTGAGGCCGGCTTGGGAAACAGTGAAATCCTGTTTCTACACAAAATAAAAAAATTAGTTTGCTGTGGTGGTATGCATCTGTAGTCCCAGCTACTTGGGAGGCTGAGGTGAGAGAATCACTTGAACCCAGAAGTTCAAGACTGCAGTGAACTATGATCGAACCACTGAACTTCAGCCTGGGCGACAGTGAGACCCCTTCTCAAAAAAAAAAAAAAAAAAAAAGAAAGAAAGAAAACATACATCTCAGCAGTATGGGTAATGGGCCAGTTAGTCAAGTGCGCTTTGCCTCAGTTTCCTCGTCTGTAAAATGGGGTTTATTAGGAGACCTACTCTGTAGAGTTTTTTTTCTTTTTTCTTTTTTTTTAAGAATTAAATAGTGTTTCTTTATAAAGTAATAATGTGGTGCAAAGCACAAAGCAAGCACTCGGAAAGGGTTTACCTATGAACATTTGCACTGCCGGGTCTTGAAGGAGAAGGCATTTGCCAAGCGAGAGCAGAATGGGAAGAACTTTCCAGGCAGAGGCCACAGAGGCAGTAAGAAGGAGGGGGGCGAGGATGATTGTGGGCTTAATAACAGTGGTGGGCATGAGGATTACCTGCAACAGCAGCACCCTGTGGGGAGGTCTTGCTAAATATTCAGATTCTTGGGCCCCTCCTTAGACCTACAAGATCTGGGTCTCTGGGCAAAGCATGGGAATCTGTGTTTTAACTTGCTCCCCAGAGATTTCTGTTGCACCCCTTCCCTCCACCCGATCCCAGGGCTCTGTCCTGGTTCAGGCTTTATTGTGTTCAGCTGTGCTAGAATAAACACCTTTTTAATGGATCCTCCTTCAATCCTATAACCTGATTCTCCTTCAATCACCTCAGCCGAATGACATCTCTCAGAAATCTTCCCTGACTGTCCAGGCGGAATTAATGGTTCACTTCCCTGTTCCTCTATACCTTGAGCATCCCTCTACAATTGAATGCTCCTTCATTCCATTTCATTGCACCAGCATGTATCGAGGGTCTACTGTTATCTATCGCTGAAGAGAATGATTGCAAAAAACTTGAATGAACATGGAAAATGCTGATGATCAGATTTCCATTGAAAAGAAAGGTGTGCTCCTTGGGGTGGGGGTGTTGTTGTAATTGTCAGAAAATGTTTAATAAAAGAAACAGAAATAACAATAATCTTGTTAGCATAATTGTGAGTGAACTTTTGCTCTTTTTTAATTCTCAAAAATACCCTAAACATCATGTTTCACGGTCTTTACAAAAACACCACCACAGAAACAACAGAAGCCTCCGGGCCTGAGGTGTCATACTGGGTATGGCCACATGGTGTCCCTCCAGCTCAGTCTAAACCTTCCAGACTACAGTCTTCCAACAGTCTCCGCTTCGCCCAGCAGCCGGGGCTAGTCCGAGCCGAGCGAACCCTAAGCTACGGGAACCAGCTTCTTGGTGCTGTCCCAAGAGTGGAGAGGAGACAGATGAACGTTTCTCAGGCTAGAGGAAGGCGGTTTATTTGCTTCCAAGGGTTCCAGTAGACAGTTCTGACACGAAATTTCGTTGTGGAGGGAACTTTTAAGACTGTGTGAAGGGAGGGAATGGGAAGGGTTTAGATTTGCATAGTAGGTGGGCAGCTTTGTGGCGGTTGGGAGGAGGTTTGGATGACTTGAGAGAGACCAGGAAAAAAGCTGGAGTCCGGACTGAGGAACGGAAGGATACGGAGTTTTTTTGTAGGCGAGGGTAAGGGGCAGCAATGGGGTTGGAAGGAGGGGTTGGGGATGTGTTTGCACAGCAAGCATACTATTTATATCACACATCCATAAGAAAAAAGTTGTAAAGAGGCCCTTCCCCGTCAGTATTTTACTTCGGTTTTCTTGCCAATCCGGCCCCAAACTCGGAGGTTTTTTTTTTTTTTTTTTTTTTTTTTTTTTATGCCAGTCTGGCCCCAAACTCTAGCCGTTCACCTACATACTGGGAAACTGTTATGTTTTCGGTTTGATAGCAGACAGGCAAACTTTTTAGCAGCATTTGGATTTCCTGTAGGACGGTGGTTCTCAAACTGGTGCGCATGAGTGTCACCTGGAGGGCTTGTTAGAGCAGATGGCTGGGCTCCACCCCAGAGCTCCTCTTTCAGTAGGTGTTGGGTGGAGCCTGAGAATGTGCATTTTAATAATGTTCTCAGATGGTGCTGATACTGCTGGTCTGGAGAACCAACAATGTAAAGGAATTCATTTCCTAACAGGTTCTGCCAATGTTCTCTCCACCTTAAAAACCAAAAGCCAAAGAACCCCAATTCTCCCCCTGGATGATGGGTATTTGCGATTGCAGGCACTTTAAAAAGTGGTAGAACTCACCTTCTGGTTTTAGTTTAATTTTTTGTTTGTTCTAACCACTGTCATTCAACACATAATGGTTTTAGATATTTATTGTTAGCTTTTGCCTGTTTAGAATTTTTGATCTTGTTGCTATGGATGGTGTTTGCTATAAAAACCTTGATGGCTGGGGAGTGGAGTGTTCCAAAGGAAAATGCTCTTATATTCAAGTCAGTTCCTCTGCTCTTATCTGTACACCACACTGTAATCCCTAGGAAGGAGACTCTAGAGGAAAAGGGGAAGGCGGGAAGGCTCAACAGCTGGGACTGCCATAGGTTCAACCAGTCCACAGCCCTAGAGGGGTGCATGCACACAGTGGAGCTGTCTCTTCTCCTCTTAAGGGGCAGCTCTGGGCTTTGGGGTACCTGAGTCTACAGTAGGAGGGAAACGAGAACTGGTCTCAGCTCCTACAGGTACTTTGGACTTTACCTCCTCGGGTCTTATATTAGTTTCCTATTGCTGTTGTAACAAACTACCATAAATGTCATGGCTTAAAACAACTGAAGTTTATTAGCTTACAGTTCTAGACGTCAAAGTCTGAAATGGGTCTTGTTGGGGCTAAAATCGAACGCTGTGTTCCTTCTGGGGGCTCTAGGGGAGAACCCGCTCTTTGTCTTTTCCAACTTTGTTTTGTTTTGAGACAGGGTCTCCCCCTGTTGCCTGGGCCAGAGTGCGGTGGTGCAATATAGCTCACTGCAACCTTGAACTCCTGGGCTCAAGCACTTCTCCTGCCTCAGCCTCCTATGTAGCTAGGACTATAGGCACACGCCACTATATCTGGCTAATTTTGTTTTTTATTTTTCGTGGAGATAGGGTCTTGCTGTGTTGCCCAGGCTGGCCTCAAACTCCTGGCCTCAAGCAATCCTCCCGCCTCAGCTGGGATTACAGGCACAAGCCACTGTGCCCAGCCCATTTCCAACTTTTAGAGATTGCTTGCATTCCTTGGCTCCTGGACACATTACCCTGATTTCTGCTTCTATCACCACCTCTCCTTTTCTGACTCTGAGCCTCCGGTCTTTCTTTTAAAAGGGCCCTTGTAATTACACTGGGCCCATTTGGATAGTCCAGGATACTCTCCCCATTTTAACTTAATTCCATCTGCAAAGTCCCTTTGCCACATAAGGTAACATGTTCATAAGGTCTGGGGATCAGGATGTGGACTTCTTTGCAGGGGGTGAACTGTAATACTCATTTATAAAGTATACTCATAAAGAATTGAAAATACAGTTCAGACAATAGAAGAGAAACATAATAAACATTTCCTTCCATTTAAAAAATAGTTTTTACATAGTTATACTGTATATACAACTTGAGATCCTGGTATTTCAATTAAATATTGTGTCTAAATATATTCTAAATTATATAAAATGTGCTAAATTATACTAAATATAGTCTATATTAATATACACAGCGAACATTTTTACTGACTACATAGTTGAGTGACTATACCATATTTTACCTAAGCCTTCCCATAATTTTGGAAATGTAAATCATTTTAATTTTTAAATATAAATAACTCTATGATAAATACTTTTGCTCGTAAGGATTTTTATGTTTGTAAGTTTTTCCTTGGGATAGGCTCCTGGATGTGGAGTCACTGGATCAAAGGCTTTTACACAAAATGTTTTTCAAAGGGTTTATATTAATTTTCAGAACCACCAAGTTCTGAGAATTAGGATGTGAATATCTTTGGTGTCATTATTCTGCCTACCACAGGCCTCAAGTTTCTCCTTGGTAGAATGGTAATATAATCACTATTCCCCAGGCAGCTGAGAAGATTAAAGGCACTCATATCTCTGAAGAAAGCTTGGTAAGCAGTGAAGACCTGCACATGTGGTAGTTATTGCTCTCGTGACCTGAGCTTACCTGGTGGGCAGGTTGGGAAAGGGGCTCATGCCCATGACTCAGTTATACCACACTACAGCCCTGATACTTGAGAGACAGTGTGTGTGCGTGTGTGTGTGTGTGCTTGTGCATAGGGTATGGGGTGGGAACAGTTTTCTAAGCAGCAGCCACTTGCTTACAGAAAGGCCCAGCAAACCTATGGAAAACTGTCTGGAACTGTGGTTCACCACCCTCACTGTGCATCAGAATTACTCCATGAGTTTTTAAGAAGCACAGGTTCCCTGAGTTCCATACCCGAGTGATTCTGGTTCAGTTAGTCCAGGTGGAGCTCAGTCTTCATGTTTTACCAAAGTTCCCCAGGTGATTGTGATGCAATAGAGATTAAAAAAACTCTGACCTAGGCCATCTATGGGAAGCCTGGGGAACAAAACCTGGGAAAAGCTGGAATGGGTTCATGGCAAACGCAAGACGTATAGATGGCTTTAAGAGGCAACAAGGGCTATTACCCCTCCCTGTCTCTCAGCTCTGTGGCCCAACTATTAACCCAGAAAAATTACCCAGTGGATGCTGGTTGAGGAGCTCTGGCTTTAACAAGACAGTTAAGAGCTTTTGTTTTGTGCCAACAGATGTTGCTTTCCTCAGTCAATAAGGAGGCCAAGACAGGCCTCTGAGCAGCACGTTCCTGGAGCAGTCCAAGCTCTGCAAGGGGAAGTGCTCCTTTGACATCCCCTTCTGTTTCACTGGGGAGTAGAGAGGGTGCAAGCAGAGGCCTCCCTGACTGGCATGTTCCCTGCCCACAACCTCCCAGTGAGGAGGAGGGCAATAATCAGTCTCCCAGGGCAAAAGCAGGAAACTCTCATTAGTTGGGGACAAGTGAATGAGGCAGTGAGGGCACCTTTTCTCAGATGTGGTGTTTTTCCAGGATGGTTATTAAGAGAAGCTGCCTCCTTTGACCTGGAAAAAGAGGCCACTTGCAATCTGAGTTTTCAGTTTCAAGATGTGGAAGCATTGCCACTGGGGGCTGCATGGAATTTTAACTGCCAAATTAAGAGGCGTTAAGATTGACTTTGGGTTCTGTCGTGTAGACAATACTCACGTCACCCAGAAGCCCTACTCATTTCTGTATAAGAGTAATGAGATACATACATACATATATATATGCATCGTATGTAAGTGTAATGACTAACATAGTGCCTGACACACAATAAGCACAATAAGCATTACACACACACACACACACACACACACACACACCAGTTCACACTACTTACATAATCTCATTTATTCTTCACAACAACCCTGGGAAGCAGATATTATCATTTTCTCCATTTTACAAATGAAGAAATAGTGACTTAGGTTGGTTGTGTCATTTGTCCAGTGATGAAAAGCTGGTGAATGGCAGGGCCAGGGCTCAAGCCCAACCACCTGGGTCCAGATCTTGTTCTCTTACTACATTGCCTTTTACCAACAGATGTGTTCATTTGGTTCCAAGAGGTTGTGGGAAAGATTGGTTGGAGGGAGGGTGAGGCAGGAGTGCCTTTTCTAGAGGACCCTGAGGAAAAGGTTGACACATGCACAGTGCAGGGTCTGTTGCTGTCCTCCAGCCCTACCTGGATTCTGAGCCCACCTGAACCAGGGGCAAGGAGACCACTGGAGACCGTGGCCCACCGGTGGGTGCGTCTGGAATTGCTAATCAGGGGCTTGACATTTCACATGCCGGTGGGAGCCTTGCGTCTCCAGAGCCCACCAAGGCAAAGGATCTTGGCCCCTGCCATAGGGCTTGCCCCTTATCACTGGGCTCCTCCTCTCCTTTCCCCTTCCCATCTCCTTCCCCTTCCTCTTCCTCATCCTTGTCCTCCTCCTTCTGCTTCTCCTTCCCCTTCCCCTTCTTTTTCCTCTTCTGCTTCTTTTTCTCCCTTTCTCCCCATCTCCTCCACCGCTACCTCTGAGTTCTATCTGTCTCCTTCATTCAATTAACATTTACCCATCAGGTTCTTTGCTGTGTGTGGAGGTTCCAGGCTTGGCTGGAAGCCCTGCTCTGGTGTGAATCAGCCTGCCTGGGACTCCCGGGCTTCTTCCTTAGAGAGCTTGGTCCTGTGCTCTTGGCCCCAGCCCTCAGCAGGACCTTACTGAATGAGCCCATTGCTGTTGCTGGATTCAATATGGCTGCCCAAAGGACCCCATGGCCTTTGGATATAGTCCTTGGATGGCCCTGCTGACTCTCGCAGGCCTGTGTAGCTGTGTTGGTTCAGTCCTGCTGGGCCAGAGATTCTTTTTCTTCCTTCTGTAGGGAAAGCTGTTTAGTACTTGTGCAGTTGCCAAACTGAAGCCAAGAGAACCTGGTTGCTGAGTGACTGCAGAGTGAACAACCCCAGGTCTCCTGTAATTCTGACATTTTGCCCTGCTCACTCTCATCCTTCATGATTACTTATGTGTGTGTCAAGGGATGTCTTCGTGGGTGTCCAGACGTTCTGTATGAACACAAAGCACTGGCTCCTGGGAAGAGAAGAGCATTAGCTTCTTTATTATCTAAATTTGGAATCTGCATAGTAAAATACACACTGTCTCCAGGGGGATGCTTTAATAGCTCTAATGAGCCTTCCTGCAGGTCTTGTCAAGGGACACCCGCCTAATGGCTGCGTGAATTTCGATGTGTATCTGATTTGGGCCAGGTGTGGCCACTTTACAGTCACTGTTAGATACTAGAAGCCTCTCTAGAGTTTACAGATGAGGAAACTAAGGCCCTGAGAGGAGAGAGAGGTTAGGTTTGTATGGCCAGAACCTAAATGCTGCTTCAGTACATCTCCCTGGTTCAGGAAGGCATTAAGCAGGCTGAGCACTCCGTACACAGGCTAATTTAACAGAGAAATCACCAATCTTGCATCCATTGGTGAGCCAGTGCATTATATTCTTGAAGGACCAGCAGATAGGACATCCCCCTGGCTTTACCTTCCAAATCCATGAAGGATGATTAGACTGGGAAATACAGACTATTCTTTAAAGGAAAGAACTGCAGTTGCTTAGCAGCTATTACCAAAAGCACTGGAGGAAGAACTAATGAAAGGGGTCTGTTGTGGGTTACATTGCATCGCCACAAAAGATGTATTTTAGTTCCAACCCCGGGTATTGGAGAATGTGACTTTATTTGGCAATAGAGTCTTTGCAGATATAATAAAGTTAAGATTAAATCATTAAGGTGGCCGTAATCCAATATGACTCGTGTCCTTATAAGAAAAGAAAAACACCATGCAAAGACGGGGATGCATAGGGAGAATGTCATATGATGACAGAGGCAGAGATTGGAGTGATGCGGGTGCAAACTAAGTAATGCCAAGGATTGCTGACCACCACCGGAAGCTAAGAAGAGGCCAGGAAGTATTCTACCAGGGTCTCAGAGGAAACACCACCCCCTCAACACCTTGATTTCATCCTCCTAGCCTCTAGAACCGTGGGACAATAAATTCTCGGGACAATAAGCTATACTCAGTTTGTGGCACTTTATTACAGCAGCCTAGGAAACTAATACAGGGCCCAACATAGTAAGCCTCTTTTCTGTATGTACCTGATGCTTTGAGGCATAGGGCCCATGTGAATTGGGCCATCCCATCATGGCCATGATACAATTAGAGAGGGAGGCTGTGTGTGGGGCTTGTGGGAAAGCTGGGGAGTTGCTTAGAAAGGCCTGTGCTAGTCAACATCCCCCTCCCCTTTCCACTTTCCCATTCCTTTACCCTGTCTCCCTTCCAATCTAAGTTCCAATCCCTTGAGTGTGAGCTCTTGGGATCTCAGCTGATTCAAGTGATAGAACCTAAGGTGACTGATATATTCACACACTATTTGCCTCCCCAGCGAGAAGCTTGTTGGTCCAGCTGCATCTCCACTTGGTGGGCTGTCTGGGCCTTGAGTGGGATTGAGGGGGAAGATGAGTGGGAGTGGTTATGTCCAGTTTCTCCACAACTTCAGGGGGTTGAGCCGTGGCTATTAGTGTTAGTTCTCCTAGAATCAGCAGCTTGTTCGCCTAGCTATTTTTGTGGTGAACATTGTATTCTTCCTCAATGTCCACATTCTCCCTCACTCTTTGTGTAAACTCTGTGATTTGGGAGGGAATGAGCAACCCCAAGGTCCAAGTCTAAGCCAGTCAGATAGTTCTACCCCCTTGCCACTGTGCCAATGCACAGATAGACCAGGTCTAAGCCAATTAGCACATGATTCTCCCCGACCACAGGGGAGTTCTGTTGTATGATAAAGGAGTTCATCCTTTCTCTGGCTAGATATGAACAAGGAAGTACATCACCCTCAGTGCTGTTGGCAGCCTTCCTGTGACCATGAGGAGAGTCAGCTTCAAGATGATCCTTTGGATAAAAGAGCAAAGAATCAGAAAGATCCTGGTTCCTTGATGACTTCAACAAGCCATTAGGTCAATCAACATCCTGAAATTTGCTCTATTTCTGGATTCTAGTTAGGTGAGTCCATACATCCTCATGTTTCAAACACATTTATTTTGTCCTCTTATTGTGGTGGTTTTAAAATATGAATACACATTTTTTTCATGTTCCTCCTTTAAAAAAGTGGAGCCTAATTTTCCCCTACACTTAAGTGTGGGCTTGTCTTAGTGATTTTTTTGTAAAGCATAGAGAATATGGCAGAAGTGACAGTGAGTGACTTCTGGGATTAGGACACAAAGGCATTGTGTCTTCCTCCTTGCTTTCTCTATTGTATCACTGACTCTGGAGGAAGTCAGCTGCTGTGTCATGAGGGCACTCAAACAGCCCTATGAAGAGGTCCATGTGGTAAGGAACTGAGGACTTCTGCCAACAGCCAGCAATAACTTGCCAGGTATGTGAATGTGCCATCTTGGAAGCAAGTTCTCCAACTCCAGACAAGCTCTCTAATAACTGTGGCCCCAGCTGACATCTTGGCTGCAACCCCACGAGGGAATCTGAGCCAGCACCACCAAGCTAAGCCACTCCTAAATTCCTGACTTGCAGAAAATGTGTGAAAATAAATGTCTATTGTTTTAAGCCATTCAGTTTTGGGGGTAATTAGTTATGTTACAGAAGATAACTAATACTCTTATATCTGAAGGCATCCTAAAACAGATGCACCTTCCTAGCTATAATCACTGACGTCCAGTATTGAGTTGAACACAGTTCATTTCACCAGGGTCACTGTATTTGTTTCATTCTGGAGCCCCAGAGAAGTAGCCAGACCAGGGAGAAGAAATGACTGGGTTGTGTGTCTTGGTCATATGTTTCCCTTGGCCAGCCTGTTGTGACATCATAGGGCCTTGGACAGTGCCACAGTTTCCTATGGCCCAGCATGATGTGGGAGGTGCAGAATTAATTCCTAGTCACCAGAGAGAAGTATGAAAGTGGCTGGGCAAGTAGAATCTGAATAGGGTTTATAGCTGGGAATGAGAGGTGACAGGACATCTGAGCTTATATCAGTGTTGGTAGATAATAACAGAAAAGCAGATTGCCACCCCTATTCCAATGCCTTGGCCCTCTTTAACTCTGAGAAAAAGAAGGGAACCTCAGTGGAATGGAGCTTAAAAATAAATTGTAATAACAAAGCAAATTCCTACTTTTTTTAACAAATGAATTTATTGTATATAAATATCTCAATAAAGCTACTTTTTAATTGATACATAATAATTGTTCATATTTATGGAGTACATGTGATATTTTGACAGTGCATACAATGTGCAGTGAAGTCCCATTTCTTGTGTGCTTGAGCTTCGGCCTTAGTTTCATACCCACAACACTAGTAAGAAAACTTGTTTGCTCCCAGCGTGTTCCTTCTTTCCCTGCCCCACAACATAAGCAGTGGATTCACTGTGTCTCAGGCTCTCTTCCCTAGGCACCTCTCTTCCCTTGTGGGGTCCTGGAGACTCATGTTAACTCCTCTGCAGCCTACCTCTTCCTGCTCTTAATGCTATTTTACATGGCCCCACTCCCAAGCCTTGACAGCTCTTATTTTGCTGTAGTTCCTCAGACATGAGCTAGTCCTGTTTGGTCTTTAAAAATCTCTCATTCGTGCTGATGTCACCCTTCCTGTCATCACTGGTAAAGAGCGAGTCATTTTTGTATGGTGTCTGATGTTGTTACCTCTCCTTCCAAATCTTTCACCATTTTTTTTTTTCTCTGTTCAGAAAATTATTGAGCTGGGGTGAGAGAAGTGTTCTTTCCCAACTGTTATTATTTTTCCACTATGCTCTAAAACGAATCATCTTATTCTCATTTTAATATATAACAGTGAATATTTCAACCTTTATTGTATTCTTTCTTCATTCTTAGGCTCCAGAGCCACTTCTTCCTTGAGGCCTTTGCCCATTTCTCTCTCCCTTTCTAATGCAGGCCAATCTCTCCATTATGTATTCATACCTCTGTGGTTTGTGTACATTGTATTGTATTAAAATCATCTGTTCATGCATATTGCCCTCTCTGAGAGCCTACAGAAGCAGACACTAGATCTGATTTATTTGTGTACCCTCAGTGCTGGTGTAAAGTAGGTGCTCAGTAAATGTTTGATGAACTAAGGTCTAACAGCTCATAGCTCTGTGATTCTGTTTAATTTCTATTGTGGATTTGTAGAGATTTCTCAACACTTAGAGCCTAGAAGAAAGGTCAGCATTTTTCCAGAGCTTTTGGCCTTGCTCAAGGGGTTTAGTGCATAAAGGGACTGGTTTAGTAGGAAGGGGTCTGACTTTCCAATACACGTAGATCAGGATTATTTTAAACATAGGAAGGAGGATAATCTGCATTTCTCATTAATAATTAGAATGAAGTTTGCATCCATGTTTCTACTCATATATTAGCTCAAAAATGTTGGTTCTTCAATATAACAAGGAAAACTAGAAATGAGTCCAGCTTTCAAAGGGCTGAATAGGCATGTCTTTCTGTTTCCACTTAAGTTCTGATTGCAGTCATTATCCACTGATGGTTCCTTGCTTCTGCCAGGCCCAGACTCAGTGGGTAGTCTGAGTGTGCTCCCTGTTGCTCAGGTCTGAGCTGAGCACATGCACAGTGCTACACTCAAGCTGGGTAGAGAGCAGCTGAAGACATACTGTCCAGGTATGCACAGTATCTGGAACTGCAGACTGCGGCTGGGGTAGGTGGCTTTGGTTTAGGACTTGGTATTTCACAGGGGCTCTCTCCTTGCTCCTGGAGGCCTCTGGCCCTGATATGATGGCCCCAGTGATGTTCCGTGGGTCTTCTTCCACCACCCTCACTCTACTTCTCTAGCAATTAGACTAGAGCACTGATCATCTGTAGGAAGATGATGATGGCGTTCTTCCCTCTCTAGCCCCTTCTCCTACTCCCTGAGCTCAGCCCTGCATTCCTAAGAGGTCCAGTGGTGATTCTGTTCTGGGACTCAGGCCAACATAGCCCTATGTCAGCCTGGCTCCCTCTTCTACTTGAGCTCCAGATCAGCCTACTTCCTGCTGTCTGCTGTTTAGAAATGCTTTCTGCAGCTCAGTCTCAATGGTGGCTTTTGGTTCAGCAGGCACCCCTTTCAACAGTCCCCCTTACCTGCTTCACTAATTAGGCACCAACTGCTGACTACAATCACTAATCTCAGGTCTCAGCTGTGGGGCTCGATTCATCCTCTCCAAACACATGCTTATCCAAGGGGGGCAGACACCATTGAAGTTGTTGAAGAGTAGTTTCACATATGCTCACATGGCATCCTCCGGTCCCACAGAGGAAATGAGCTCCATAAAACCTTTGTTCATCCAATATGCTAGGGACCAGAAGAAAAGGACTTAGAATTAACCATGATTGGACTATCCAATTCTTTGATTAAAAAGTGCAGGGAAGCTGGTTGCCTGGGCAATTAGAGTGGCTCTAAAATGGGCAATGTTGTCGTTCAAATAAGCTGCTTAACAAGAAATGACCATTGCCCAGGCAGAGGGAAGCCATAATGAGGGAGAGTTACCAGCCATCCATGCTGCCCTTGACACATCATCTTGGGAACCTAGTGTTCGATGGACATTAAGGGGTGGCTGTGTGACAATTGCTACCACTTAAAGGTTTTTGCAAGAGCCACTGGTTATTTCCTCCAGGAATTCATATGCCATATGGGCACTTGTCATCAGGTGAATTTAGTGCCCAGATTATGGTTATGGAATTAGACTTTTCTCAGCTGCTTTAACTGAGAGAGAACACCTGGGACATGATCCAGTCCAGTGATAGCCAATTATTGCCGCATGTTAGACTAACATGAGGAGTTTAAAAAAATTCCTGTCCCCACACTGCATGCCAACCAATTACATCAGAATCTCTGGGAGTGGGACCTAGGCATCAGGATTTTAAAAAGCTTTTCAGGTTATTGAAAGCTGCTAGTCTAGTCACACTTTCCCCATCAAAATCCTGTATTAAAATAATCTGAATAGTTACTAAATATATACAAATGATAATTCATAATCGGCATCTAAAAAAATAAATGTAACTACCTAGGTACAATGCAGAAATTCCTTTGTGCTGGATTTTCATTGCTGTCGGTTATTGCTCTCTATTATCCTGGTTTTCTTTATTCTGCTTTCAGGAAAATCCATAAACATTTGCTTGCTTTGATTCCCAGTGCCAAAAAGTCTTGGGCCTGTTCTGGGAAACTGACAAAGTGCTGAGAGCTTAGAGAAAAATTCCACCTTTGGAACAGAGATCAAATTTAAAAAGCCCTCTTAAATATTTGGAGTTCCTTTAAAACTCCAAATATTTAAAGGAAATATTTGGAGTTGAAAGAGATGGAAAAGATGATAACAGAAATGAAAACTCAAAGACTAAGGAGGGAATCAGAAACTTTAAAAAAGTATACAAAAACATTGTTACTAAGTTTAAAAATCCTGAAATTAGAGAATAACCATCTGTGCATCATCCAGCTCTTTGATAGTTTCACAGAGTTGAAACAAAGCTGATCAGCTTAAACCAACTCCAAAGTGTCAGCATTCAAACTCGATGGAGACTGGCTTGGGCATTATGGACCTGCTTTAAATGACTAGAGCCAGCCTCACCCATGTGAAGTTAGTGACAGCCTGAATTTCTATTGCCTGTTACTTTTAAAACATTTAATTATTTTATAAAAGTGCCAAAAACATATAGTTTAAAAAATTAAAGAGTACTATAAGTATTACAATAAGAAGCAACAGTTTTATGCACCACTTTCTCATTCCTGATTTTCTGCTCCCCAGAGATACTTTGCATTCATTGGCTATTTCTATTGGTATTGATCTCCATATTTCTAAGTAACATGCTTATACTGCTATTTCCTAAACTTTCTGTTTTAGACCTTCCCTATTAACTTCCTATTATGGCAGATAAGGATATCTTTTAGTTCTCTTACCTCTTTTCTACCCTTCCCTCAAACTTCCTTCCTTTGTCACTCCCCTAATATAGTTATAAGTTTTAGTTAGATCAAAATTCAGTATTTACCTTCTTATGACCACTTAGGTATATTACAGCTAGCCAGGAAATAACCTATGATTATATTTCCTTTTGTTTATGACATTTTATTTTTCTTGGAGTTAATGATTATCTTATTTTCTCAGTTGCTAGGGATTTTTTTTTTTTGTATACACGTGCCATGGTGGTTTGCTGCACCCATCAACCTGTCACCTATATTAGGTATTTCTCCTAACACTCTCCCTCCCCTAACCCACCACCCCCAAGAGGCCCCAGTGTGTGATGTTCCCCTCCCTGTGTCCACGTGTTCTCACTGTTCAGCTCCCACTTATAAGTGACAACATGCAGTGTTTGGTTTTCTGTTCCTGTGTTAGTTTGCTGAAAATGATGGTTTCCAGCCTCATCCATGACCCTGCAAAGCACATGAACTCATCCTTTTGTATGGCTGCATAGTATTCCATGGTATATATGTGCCACATTTTCTTTATCCAGTCTATCATTGATGGGCATTTGGGTTGGTTCCAAGTCTTTACTGCAGCTATCGTGAATAGTGCTGCAGTAAACATATATGTGCATGTGTCTTTACAGTAGAATGATTTATAATCCTTTGGGTATATACCCAGTAATGGGATTGCTGGGTCAAATGGTATTTCTAGTTCTAGATCCTGATTGAACTAGTTTATACTCCCACCAACAGTGTAAAAGCATTCCTATTTCTCCACATCCTCTCCAGCATCTGTTGTTTCCTGACATTTTAATGATCGCCATTCTAACTGGCATGAGATGGTATCTCATTGTGGTTTTGATTTGCATTTCTCTGATGACCAGTGATGATGAGCATTTTTTCATATGTCTGTTGCCTGCATAATGTCTTCTTTTGAGAAGTGTCTGTTCATATCCTTTGCCCACTTGTTGATGGGGTCGTTTGTTTTTTTTCTTGTAAATTTGTTTAAGTTCCTTGTAGTTTCTGGATATTAGCCCTTTGGCAGATGGATAGATTGCAAAAATTTTCTCCATTCTGTAGGTTGCCTGTTCACTCTGATGATAGTTTCTTTTGCTGTGCAGAAGCTCTTTAGTTAATTAGATCCCATTTGTCAATTTTGGCTTTTGTTGCCATTGCTTTCGGTGTTTTAGACATGAAGTCTTTGCCCATGCCTATGTCCTGAATGGTGTTGCCTAGGTTTTTTTCCAGGGTTTTTATGGGTTAAGGTCTTACATTTAAGTCTTTAATCCATCTTGAGTTAATTTTTGTATAAGGTGTAAGGAAGGGGTCCAGTTTCAGTTTTCTGCATATGGCTAGCCATTTTATCCCAACACCATTTATTAAATAGGGAATCCTTTCCCCATTGCTTGTTTTTGTCAGGTTTGTCAAAGATCAGATGGTTTTAGATGTGTGGCATTATTTCTGAGGCCTCTGTTCTGTTCCATTGGCCTATATATCTGTTTTGGTACCAGTACCATGCTGTTTTGATTACAATAACTTGTAATATAGTTTGAAGTGAGGTAGCCTGATGCTTCCAGCTTTGTTCTATTTGTTTAGGATTGTCTTGCCTATACGGGCTCTTTTTTGGTTCCATATGAAATTTAAAGTAGTTTTTTCCAATTCTATGCAGAAAGTCAATGGTAGCTTGATGGGGATAACATTGAATCTGTAAATTACTTTGGGCAGTATGGCCATTTTCACGATATTGATTCTTCCTACCCATGAGCATGGAATGTTTTTCCATTTGTTTGTGTCCTCTCTTATTTCCTTGTGCAGTGGTTTGTAGTTCTCCTTGAAGAGGTCCTTCATATCCCTTGTAAGCTGTATTCCTAGGTATGTTATTCTCTTTGTAGCAAATGTGAATGGGAGTTCACTCACGATTTGGCCCTCTCTTTGTCTATTATTGGTGTATGGGAATGCCTGTGATTTTTGCACATTGATTTTGTATCCTGAGATTTTGCTGAGGTTGCTTATCAGCTTAAGGAGATTCTGGGCTGAGACAATGGTGTTTTCTAAATATACAATCATGTCACCTGCAAACAGAGACAATTTGACTTCCTCTCTTCCTATTTGAATATCCTTTATTTCTTTCTCTTGTCTGATTGCCCTAGCCAGAACTTCCAATACTATATTGAATAGGAGTGGTGAGAGAGGGCATCCTTGTCTTGTGCCAGTTTTCAAAGGGAATGCTTCCAATTTTTGCCCATTCAGTATGATATTGGCCGTGGGTTTGTCATAAATAGCTCTTATTATTTTGAGATACATTCCATCAATACCTAGTTTATTGTGAGTTTTTAGCATGAATGGCTGTTGAATTTTGCTGAAGTCCTTTTCTGCATCTTTTGAGGTAATCATGTGGTTTTTGTCATTGGTTCTATTTATGTGGTGAATTATGTTGATTGATTTGTGTATGTTGAACCAGCCTTGCATCCCAGGGATGAAGCCGACTTGATCCTGGTGGATTAGCTTTTTGATGTGCTGCTGGATTTGGTTTGCCGGTATTTGATTGAGGATTTTTGCATTGATGTTCATCAAGGATATGGATATGGGCCTGAGATTTTCTTTTTTTCTTGTGTCTCTGCCAGGTTTAGCAGGATGATGCTGGCCTCATTATATGAGTAACGGAGGAGTCTGTCTTTTTCTATTGTTTGGAATAGTTTCAGAAGGAATGGTACCAGCTCCTCTTTGTATCTCTGGTAGAATTCGGCTGTGAATCCATCTGGTCCTGGACTTTTTTTGGTTGGTAGGCTATTCATTACTTCCTCAATTTCAGAACTTGTTATTGGTCTGTTCAGAGATTCGACTTCTTCCTGGTTTAGTCTTGGGAGGGTGTATGTGTCCAGGAATTTATCCATTTCTTCTAGATTTTCTAGTTTATTTGCATAGAGGTGTTTATAGTATTCTCTGATGGTAGTTTGTATTTCTGTGGGATCAGTGATGATATCCCTTTTATCATTTTTTATTGTGTCTAGTTGATTCTTCTCTCTTTACTTATTAGTCTGGCTAACGGTATGTCCATTTTGTTAATCTTTTCAAAAAACCAGCTCCTGGATTCATTGATTTTTTGAAGGATTTTTTTTGTGTCTCTATCGCCTTCATTTCTGCTCTGATCTTAGTTATTTCTTGTCTTCTGCTAGATTTTGAATTTGTTTACTGTTGCTTCTCTAGTTGTTTTAATTGTGATGTTAGGGTGTCAATTTTAGATCTTTCCTGCTCTCCTGTGGGCATTTAGTGCTATAAATTTCCCTCTACATGCTGTGTTAGCTGTGTCCCAGAGATTCTGGTATGTTGTATCTTTGTTCTCATTGGTTTCAAAGAAGTTATTTATTTCTGCCTTAGTTTTGTTATTTACCCAGTAGTCATTCAGGAGCAGGTTGTTCAGTTTCCATGTAGTTGTGTGGTTTTGAGTGAGTTTCTTAATCCTGAGTTCTAATATGATTGCACTGTGGTCTGAGAGACAGTTTGTTGTGACTTCTGTTCTTTTGCATTTGCAGAGGAGTGTTTTACTTCCATTTATGTGGTCAATTTTAGAATAAGTGCAATGTGGTTCTGAGAAGAATGTATATTCTGTTGATTTGGGGTGGAGAGTTCTGCAGATGTCTATTAGGTCTGCTTGGTCCAGAGCTGAGTTCAAGTCCTGAATATCCTTGTTAATTTTCTGTCTCGTTGATCTGTCTAATATTGACATTGGGGTGTTAAAGTCTCCCATTATTATTGTGTGGGAGTCTAAGTCTCTTTGTAGGTCTCTAAGAACTTTATAAATCTGGGTGCTCCTGTATTGGGTGCATATATACTTAGGATAATTAGCTCTTCTTGTTGCATTGATCCCTTTACCATTATGTAATGACCTTCTTTATCTCTTTTGATCTTTGTTGGTTTAAAGTCTGTTTTGTCAGAGACTAGGATTGCAACCCTTGCTTTTTTTTTGCTTTCCATTTGTTTGGTAGATCTTCCTCCATCCCTTTATTTTGAGCCTATGTGTGTCTCTCCACGTGAGATGGGTTTCCTGAATACAGCACACTGATGAGTCTTGACTCTTTATCCAATTTGTCAGTCTGTGTCTTTTATTTGGGGCATTTAGCCCATTTACATTTAAGGTTAATATTGTTATGTGTGAATTTGATCCTGTCATTATGATGCTAGCTGGTTATTTTTCCCCTCAGTTGATGCAGTTTCTTTATAGTGATGATGATCTTTATAATTTGGTATGTTTTTGCAGTAGCTGGTACTGGTTGTTCCTTTCCATGTTTAGTGCTTCCTTCAGGAGCTCTCGTAAGGCTGGCCTCGTGGTGACAAAATCTCTCAGCATTTGCTTGTCTGTAAAGGATTTTATTTCTCCTTTGCTTATGAAGCTTAGTTTGGCTGGATATGAAATTCTGGGTTGAAACTTCTTTAAGAATGTTGAATATTGGCCCCCACTCTCTTCTGGCTTGTAGGGTCCCTGCAGAGAGATCCACTTGTTAGTCTGATGGGCTTCCCTTTGTGGGTAACCTGACCTTTCTCTCTGGCTGCCCTTAACATTTTTTCCTTCATTTCAACCTTGGTCATTCTGATGATTATGTGTCTTGGGGTTGTTCTTCTCGAGGAGTATCTGTGGGTGTTCTCTGTATTTCCTGAATTTGAATGTGGGCCTGTCTTGCTTTGGGGAAGTTCTCCTGGATAATATCCTGAAGTGTGTTTTCCAACTTGATTCCATTCTCCCCATCACTTTCAGGAGAACCAGTCAAATGTAGGTTTTGTCTTTTCACATAGTTGCATATTTCTTGGAGGCTTTGTTTATTCCTTTTCATTCTTTTTTCTCTAATCTTGTCTTCATGCTTTATTTCATTAAGTTAATCTTCAATCTCTGATATCCTTTCTTCTGCTGGATCTATTTGGCTACTGATACTTGTGTATGCTTCACGAAGTTCTTGTGCTGTGTTTTTCAGTTCCATCAGGTCATTTGTGTTCTTTTCTAAACTGGTTATTCTAGTTAGCAATTCCTCTACCCTTTTTTCAAGGTTCTTAGCTTCCTTGCATTGGATTAGAACATGCTCCTTTAGCTCAGAGGAGTTTGCTATTACCCACCTTCTGAAGGCTACTTCTGTTAGTTCGTCAAACTCATTCTCCATCCAGTTTTGTTCCCTTGCTGGTGAGGAGTTGTGATCTTTGGAGGAGAAGAGGCATTCTGGTTTTTGGAATTTTGAGCCTTTTTGTGCTGGTTTTTCCTCATCTTTGTGGATTCATCTACCTTTGGTCTTTGATGCTGGTGACCTTTGGATGGGGTTTTTGTGTGGGCATCCTTTTTGTTGATGTTGATGCTATTCCTTTCTGTTTGTTGGTTTTCCTTCTAACAGTCAGGCCCTTCTGCTGTAGTTCTGCTGGAGTTTGCTGGAGGTCCACTCCAGACCCTGTTTGCCTGGGTATCACCAGTGGAGGCTGCAGAATAGTAAAAATTACTGCCTGTTCCTTCCTCTGGAAGCTTCGTCCCAGAGGGGCTCCCATCATATGCCAGCCAGAACTCTTCTGTCTGTATGAGGTATCCGTCAACCCTTGCTGGGAGGTGTCTCCCAGTCAGGAGGCACAGGAGTCAGGGACCCACTTGAGGAGGCAGTCCATCCCTTAGCAGAGCTCAAGCGCCATGCTGGGAGATCCCCTGCTCTCTTCAGAGCTGGCAGACAGGAGCGTTTAAGTCTGCTGAAACTGCACCCACAGCTGCCCCTTCCCCCAGGTGCTCTGTCCCAGGGAGATGGGAGTTTTATCTATAAGCCCCTGACTGGGGCTGCTGCCTTTCTTTCAGAGATGCCCTGCCCAGAGAGGAGGAATCTAGAGAGGCAGTCTGGCTATAGCAGCTTAGCCGAGCTGTGGTGGGCTCTGCCGAATTCGAACTTCCTGGGGCTTTGTTTACACTGTGAGGGGAAAACCATCTAATCAAGCCTCAGTAATGGCGGACGCCCCTTCCCCCACCAAGCTCTAGCATCCCAGTTCAACATCAGACTGCTGTGCTGGCAGCGAGAATTTCAAGCCAGTGGATCTTAGCTTGTTGGGCTCTGTGGGGGTGGGATCTGCTGAGCTAGACCACTTGGCTCCCTGGCTTCAGCCCCGTTTTCAGGGGAATGAATGATTCTGTCTTGCTGGTGTTCCAGGTGCCACTGGGGTATGAAAAAAACTGCAGCTAGCTTGGTGTCTGCCCAAACGGCCACCCAATTTTGTGCTTGAAACCCAGGGCCCTGGTGATGTAGGCACCCGAGGGAGTCTTCTGGTCTGCAGTTTGTGAAGACCATGGGAAAAGCGTAGTACCTGTGCCGGAATGTACCTTTCCTCATGGCACAGTCCCTCACGGCTTCCCTTGGCTAGGGGAGGGAGTTCCCTGACCCCTTGCGCATCCTGGGTGAGGCAACACCCCACCCTGCTTCGGCTGACCCTCCATGGGCTGCACCCACTGTCTAACCAGTCCCAGTGAGATGAGCTGGGTACCTCAGTTGGAAATGCAGAAATCACCTGCCTTCTGTGTTGATCTAGCTGGGAGCTGCAGACTGGAGCTGTTCCTATTTGGCCATCTTGCCAACCACTCCTGGATTTTTATTTTTATTTTTTTAACCTGAACTCATCCCCAGTTCTAAACTTTCACAGAGCTGTAAAACTCCTCTCAGCAAGGTTCAGCCAGTACACCAGGAAATCTAGCAGCTCCATTTCTTTCTGGACGCATCCCACCCACAACCCTCTGTCTTCCTGCTCCAGTTTGAATGGGCTGTTCTCCAGGACCAGCTATCTTTATTGAAGTCCTTTTTCCTCTCTCCCATTTGGATCTTTGCCTCTAGAATTCAATATTTTTCTCTCTAGTTTTATTCTTTTATTTTGGTAGAGTATATCCTTCAGTTTGTTTTTCAGAAAGCGTGCATGTAGCTAATTTTTTGGTGACCTTGCATATTTTAAAAGTCTGAAAAGAAGTGAGGATGGGAAAGGGGAAGCTGGGCAGGGCCAGGGTGCCAGATGGCTGGGGAATAGAAGACAAGAACCTATCCTAGAAAGGCAGAGAGGTAGTGGGAAGTGGGACTACACTGAGGCTCCAGGCCCCCTCCTCAGTGTTCCATTGGAATTCACTTACAAAACACAATTTGAAAGACAAAATTAAGGAGAATTTCAAGATGATGATAGCAGGGCAATAATCCAAGCATGTAGGGTCCTTCTGGTTTGGGGCCCTGTGTAACTACACATTGTAATATCCTTATTAAGTCAATCCTGGTAGAACAAAAATGGTTTATGTATTAAGTCATACTCTTCAACTTTACCCATCTGGAAGAATACAAAGACATTTTTTAACTCCTTCCATATACTAAAATAAATTCCAGGTGGATTAAAAATTTAAATGTAAAAAAACAGACAAAACAATAACATAAGAGCAAAATGTAGGAGACCATGAACATAACCTGGTGGTGGGGAAGATCTTTTAAATCAAGACAATAAATGAAGATGCCATAAAGGAAAACATAGTCATATTTGCTTGCATAAACTTTATATTACATGGAAAAATATTTATAAACAAAGCCAAAAGACAAATGATGGACTGGGAAAAAGTTGCAGCTTATAAAACAGGTAAAGGGCCGGGTGTAGTGGCTCACATCTGTAATCCCAGCACTTTGGGAGGCTGAGATGGGAGGATTGCTTGAACCTGGGAGTTTGAGACCAGCCTGGGCACATAGCAAGATCCTGTCTCTACAAAAAAATAAAAAATTAACTGGGCATAGTGGTGTGTGCCTGTAGTCATAGCTACTCAGGAGAGTGAGGCAGGAGGATCCCTTGAGCCTAGGAGTTTGAGGCCACAGTAAGCTATGGTCACACTACTACACTCCAGCCTGGGCATCAGTGCAAGATCCTGTCTAAAAAAATAGGTGAAGGATTTTATGTTTAAGACATTTAAATACCTCTACAAACTGATAAAGACATCTCAGTTGGAAAATAGGCAAAGGATATAAATAGGCAATTTCCGAGAGGATGTCTAAATACTATGTAAAAAAGTGTTAAGGAAATGCAAATCAAAGGGAAAGTGAGATAATACGTCTCACACGTTATGTTGAGAAAAATTAAGCAGATAAAATCTGTAGTAGGGGTTTTTGCTAGGGAAAGGGCACTCTCTCACATTACTAAAAGAAATTGAACTGTTACAGAATTTATGGAGAGAAAAAAACATGCATATGATGCAACAATTTCATGTCTGGGAATCTATCCCGTGGAAATTAAGGGACTAAGAAATAAGGATACACTTACAAATGTGTTTGTTGCAGCATTTTTGTTGTGGCAACAAACACAATAGTAACAAAACAAACATACAAATAAAAATAATGGAAGATAACCTAATATCCATCAATACATACATTGCTGAATAAATTATATGTTCATAATTTGAATAATTATGCAACCATTAGAAAAAAATGAGTTATATCTATATTAATTGATATGGATTGGATTTGTCTCCCCACCCAAATCTCATGTTGAATTGGAGGAGGGGCCTGATGTGAGGTGATTGGATCATGGGGGCGAATTCCCCCTTGCTGTTCTCATAATAGTGAGTTCTCACGAGATCTGATGGTTAAAAAGTGTGTGGCACTTCCCCTTCCCTCTCTCTTTCTTCTGCTCCACCATTGTGAAGATATGCATGCTTCCTCTTCACCTTCCATCACGATTGTAAGTTTCCTGAGGCCTTCCAGTCATGCTTCCTGTTAAGCTTGTGGAACTGTGGGTCAATTAAACCTCTTTTCTTTATAAATTATCCAGTCTCAGGTAGGTCTTTATAGCAGTGTGAGAATGGACTAATACCGAAAATTGGTACTAGAAGAGTGGGGCATTGCTATAAAGATACCTGAAAATGTGGAAGCAACTTAGGAACTGTATAATAGGCAGGAGCTGGAACAGTTTGGGGGTCTCAGAAGAAGATAGGAAGATGAGGGAAAGTTTGGATCTTCCTAGAGACTTGTTGAATGGTTTTGACCAAAATGCTGATAGGGATATGGGTAATGAAGTCCAGGCTGAGGTAGTCTGAGATGGAGATGAAGAACTTATTGGGAACTGGAGTAAAGGTTACTCTTGCTATGCTTTAGCAAAGAGACTGGTAGCATTTGCCTGTGTACTGGCAGCACTTTGCCCCTCCTCTGAGATCTGTGGAACTTTGAACTTGAGAGAGATGATTCAGGCTATCTGGCAGAAGAAATTTCTAAGTAGCAAAACCTTGAAGATGTGTCCTGGCTGCTCCTAAAAGCCTATGCTCATTTGCATAAAGAAAGAGATTAACTAGGCATGGTGGTGTGTGCCTGTAGTCCTAGCTACTCAGAAGAATGAGGCAGGAGGATCCCTTGAGCCCAGGAGTTTGAGGCCACAGTAAACTATGGTCACACTACTACACTCCAGCCTGGGCATCAGTGCAAGATCCTGTCTAAAAAAAATAGGTGAAGGATTTTATGTTTAAAACATTTAAATAACTCTACAAACTGATAAAGACATCTCAGTTGGAAAATAGGCAAAGGATATAAATAGGCAATTTCCGAGAGGATATCTAAATACTATGTAAAAAAGAAACTGGAACTTATATTTAAAAGGGAAGCAGACTATAAAAGTCTGGAAAATCTGTAGCTCTGCCATGTGGTAGAAAAGAAAAACCCACTTTCTGGGGAGAAATTCAGGCCCAAGCCAGCTGCAGAAATTTGCATAAGTAAGGAGGAACTGAATGTTAATAGCCAAGACAATGGGGAAAATATCTCCAGGGCATTTCAGACACCTTTGTGGCAGCCCCTCCTATCACAGGCCTGGAGATCTAGGAGGGAAAAATGGTTTCCTGGGGTGGGCCCAGGGCTCCACTGTTCTGTGCAGCCTCTGGACATGGCACTCGGCATCCCAGCCATTCTTGCTTCAGCTATGGCTAAGGTACAGCTCAGGCCATTGCTTTTCCAGGTGCACAGTGCAAGCCCCAAACCTTCTACATGGTGTTGGGCCTGCCAGTACACAGAAGGCAAGAGTTGAGGTTTGAGAACCTCTGCCTAGATTTCAGAGGCTGTATTGAAATGCCTGGAAGTCCAGGCAGAAGTCTGCTGCAGGGCCAGAGCTCTCATGGAGAATCTCTACTAGGGCAGTGCAGAGGGGAAATGTGGGGTTGGAGCCCACATCCAGATTCCCCACTAGGGCACTGCCTAATGAAGCTGTCAGAAGAGGGTTACTGTCCATCAGGCCCCAGAGTGGTAGATCCACTGACAGCTTGCATTGTGCACCTGGAAAAGCCACAGGCACTTAAGACCAGCCCATTAAAGCAGCTACAGGGGTGCACCCTACAAAGCCACAGGGGCCAAGCTTCCCAACACCTTGGGAACCTACCCCTTGCATCACTGTGGCCTGGATGTGAGACATGGAGTCAAAGGAGATAATTTTGGAACTTTAAGATTTAATGACTACCCTGCTGGGTTTAAGACTTGCATGGGGCCTGTAGCCTCTTTGTTTTGACCATTTTTTCCCATTTGGAATGCGAGCATTTTCCCAATGCCCATACTCCCATTGTATCTTGGAAGGAATGAACTTGTTTTTGAATTTACAGGCTCATAGGCAGAAGGGACTTACCTTGTCTCAGATGAAACTTTGGACTGTGCACTTTTGAGTTAATGCTGAAATGAATTAAGACTGGAGGACTGTTGAGAAAGGAAAATTGTATTTTGTAATGTGAGAAGGACATGGACATGAGATTTGGCAAGGGGTGGAAGGTGGAATGATATGGTTTGTTTGTGTCCTCACCCAAATCTCATGTCAAATTGGAGGAGGGGCCTGGTGGGAGGTGATTGGATCATGGGGACAAATTTCTTCCTTGCTGTTCTCATGATAGTGAGTGAATTCTCATGACATCTGATGGTTTAAAAGTGTGTGGCACTTCCCCCTTCCCTCTCTCTCTCCTGCTCCACCATTGTGAAGACATGCCTGCTTCCCCTTTGCCTTCCACCACGATTGTAAGTTTCCTAAGGCCTCCCAGTCATGCTTCCTGTTAAGCCAGTGGAACTGTGCACCAATTAAACCTCTTTTCTTTATAAATTACCCAGTATCAGGTAGTTCTTTATTGCAGCATGAGCATGGACCAATACACTAATTGACCTAGAGAGATTTTTAGTTCAGTAAGAAAAGCATAATGTAGAGAAATGTATACAGTGAAACCGTATTTGTGTGTGTGTGCAAAATAACGCCCAAATTACCAAACTATGCATACTGGTGTATGATTGTACAAATGTGTGATAGTGGAGGAAGTGTGAAAGACACTTAATTTTTGAACCTTGATTTTGCTGTTAGCTGGAGATGAGGAAGGGAGGAGAATATATGGAAGGATAGGATAGAGATCGTTTTGGTGAAAACAGGTAGGTCTAAACTCAGAATGAAATGTGAATGATTGTCTGATGGAGAAAGGCTTTTGGTCTCTGAAACCTTTTGCAAAGCTTACTGCTGTGAGCTAGGCTTTTGTTGTTGCTCCAACTCGTGACTTTTGGGTTCCAAAATCAATAATAGTTGTAGCATAATTTAATTTCAAAGGTTTAGGAGTCCTACAATCAAGCCAAAAAATGAAGGATCCTTTTAGAGGAATTAAAATCTGACTAACATTAGATTTCTTCTCTGAGCCAATAAATTCTAGAAGTCAGCAATAGAAGGTCTATGGAAATTTAAGAGAAAAAGAATGTGATAAAGACGTTTCCCCCTGCCATTTTGTCATCATGTAGGGCAGCAACAGTTTCATTTTCTGATCTCCAAAGGCTAAGAAAAGTTACCACTCAAGTGTCCTTTCTATAAAAATGACTCAAAACATTTATCCACATGATATGAAAATAAGTCAAAACAAGAGCCTAAGATGGGGAATTTGGGATTGGAAAGAGGCAGTAGTAAGCACTAAAACCAATTAAATATACAAAAATTTAGGATGATGTCAGGAAGATGGCAAAATAGAAAGTTCTATCCCTCATACCCCTATAGAAACACCAATTTTGGCAACCACTCATAGACAAGAATACTTTTGTGGGAGCCTCAGAGTCCAGCTGAGAGGTTGCAACACTCTGGTGGAACAAAAAATTCAAGAGCTGGTATATTGAAGAGGTTAAAAAAGTAGTTTCACTTTACCCACATCACCCCCTCTCCCAAAAGCTCAGGGCTGAAAGAGGCCCCCTGTGCTGAGAGAGGCCCATAACTTCTCCCACAGGGTAAGTGAGCACTCAACTTCTACAGTCTTTTGGGACACTGCCCAGGAGGCTCATTTCTATCTCATCTCAATAAATAAGAACAGAATGCCAAGGGGATTGGCATGGCTGAGTTGTCTGAGAGCAGCTAGGAGGAGGGAGAAAAGGTGGGAGTGTACAGCACTGGCATGTGATTATCAGCAGGCTCACAAATGGTACCAAGAGGCCTGCCATGAGCCCCATAGGACAACTCACCTGTGGAACTCCCAACAAGTAGACACATGATCCCAACACCCTGCCCCTCCACCCTGTGGACAGTGCCCTACATGTTCCTGTGTGTAACACCCACAAGCTCCCACAGACAACAGATGGATCTCTATGGCAGGTGCAGATATTGGCAGCTGGCTTTTCTCTGATAGTTTGGGAAAAAGCACACAATCTTGAACACCTCAGGGCACAGTCCTAGGGAAAATAAACAGAAGACTCTTAGCAACAAGCCTGGCTTTGTGAGATCAAGAGAAGTCACACAATCTTAAGACTTCTCCCCTAAGAAGGATCAAGATGAGTGGAGTAGATACATCAATAGAACAGGCCTGAAAGACACCAAAAGTCTCTAGCCAGGCTCACTGGTGTAGGTCTTTCACTCCTAAAGCCAGTCAACAAAGACTGGAGGCAGTGACTGCATCTTCAAATGTGAAGACAACAATGCAAAGTTTCAAGAAACATAAAGAATCAAGGGACTATAATATCACTGAAGGAGCAAAATAAAGCTCCAGTGGCTGACCTCAAAAAATGGAGATATATAAATCACCAGACAAATTGTTTCAAACAATCATTTTAAAGAAGCTCAGTGAACTACCAGAGAAAATAGATAATTAAACAAAATCAGTTAAACGATACATGAATAAAATTACAAGTTCAACAAAGAAAAATAGACCATTAGTAAAAACCAAACTGAAATTCTGGTTATGCAGAATACCATATCTGAACTAAAAAATTCAATAGAGATCTTCAATAACAAACTCAATCAGGCAAAAGAAAGAATTAGTAAACTCAAAGATCATTTGAAATTATCCAGTCAGAAAAATAAAAAGTAAAAAGAATGAAAAATAATGAGGAAGGCCTACAGAACTTATGGGACACCACTGAACAAACCAATAGATACGTTATGGAAATCCAGGAAGGAGCAGAGAAAGAGAAAGGAGCAGAAAACTTATTAAAGAAATAATGATAGAGAACCTCTCAAATCTGGAGAGGGAAATTAACATCCAGATTTTTGAAGCCCAAATAACTCCAAATAGGTTGAGTTGAGCATAAATAGGTCTGCAAGAAAACTATACCTAGCAAAGCTATCCTTCAGAAATGAAGTAGGGATAAAGACTTTCCCAGACAAACAAAACTGAGGGAGTTCATCACCACTAGATAGCCTTACAAGAAATACTAAGGAAAATTCTTCAAGTTGAAATGAAAGAATGCTAACTGGCAATTAAAAAATATATGAAGGTATAAAACTCATTGGTAAAGGTAAGTAGAGAGTCAAATTTAGAATACTCTAATACTTTAATGGTGACGCATAAATCACTTTGAACTCTAGGATAAAAGTTAAACAAAAAAAGCATTAAAAGTAACTATAGCTGCAATAATTAGTGAATACTCAATATAAAGGATGTTATTTATGACATCAATAACATATAATATGTGTATGGGGGAAAAGTGTAGAATTTTTATATGCAATCAAAATTAAGTTGTTAAAATAGACTGCTATAAGATGTTTTATACAAGCTTCGTAATAATCGTAAAGAAAAAGCCTGAAGTAGTGACACAAAAGATAAAGGAATCAAAGCATACTACTACCCTAAAAAATCAAATCACAAAAGATAATAAGAGAGAAAAAATTATAAAACAGAAAACAATTAACAAAATGTCAATAAGTCCTTACTTATCAATAATTACTTAAATATAAATGGCCTAAATTCTCCAATCAAAAGATATGGAGTGATTGAATGGATTAAAAAAATCCAACTCTGTGCTACTTAAAATGGATTCACTTAAGATTTAAGGACACACATATGCTGAAAGTGAAGGGATAGAAAAGATATAGCATGCAAATAGTAACCAAAAGAGGGCAGGAGTCACTATACTTACATCAGACAAGGCAGACTTTAAGTCAGAAATTGTCACAAGAGATAAAGAAGGTGATCATACAATGAGAAGGGGCCAATTCATCAACAGAATATAATAATTGTAAACATATATGCACCCATCATTGGAGTACCTAAGTATATAAAGCAAATATTACCAGAAATGAAGAGAGAAATAGGTGGTAATGCAATAATAGTAGGGGACTTAAATACTCCAGTTTTAACAATGGATGGATAATCCAGACAGTTAATCAATAAGGAAACGTGGACTTGAACAACACTATAGACCAAATGGACCTAACGACATGTATAGAACATTCCATCCCAAAGCAGCAGAATACACATTCTTCTTAAGTGCATACAAAATATTCTTTGGAATAGATTATATATTGGGCTACAAAATGAGTCTTAACACATTTAAGAAGACTGAAATTATATGAATATTTCTGACCACACTAGTAAGAACCTAGAAATCAATAATAGTAGAAAATTGGAAAACTTGCAAATATGTGTAAATTAAGCAACATACTCCTGAAAAACCAATGGGTGAAAGAAGAAATGAGAAATATTTTGAGACAAACAAAAAATGAAAACAAAGTATATTAAAACTTATGAGATGCAGCAAAATCAGTTTGAAGAAGGAAGTTTACAGTGATAAATACCTACATTAAGAAAAAAGAAATCTCAAATAACCTAACTTTATACCCCAAGGAACTAGAAAAAGAATGAACAGCTCAAAGTAACCAGAGGAAGGAAATATTAAAGATTAGAACAGAAATAAATGAAGTAGAGATTAGAAAAACAATAGAAAAGATCAATGAAACTGAGAGTTGTTTTTTTAAAAGATAAAATTGGCAAACCATTAGCCAGACTAAGAAAAAAAGACAGAAGACTCAAATAAATAAAATTATGAATGAAAGAGGAGACATTACAATACCACAGAAATACAAAAAATCATAAGAAACTATGAACAATTATATGGCAACAAATTGGATAACCTAGAAGAAACAGATAAATTCCTGGACATATATTTTACAACCTATCATGGCTGAACCATGAAGAGATGGAAAATCTGAATAGACCAGTAATGAGCAAGGAGATTGAATTACTAATCAAAAATCTTCTAATAAGGAAAAGCCCGGGACCAGATGGCTTCACTGGTGAATTCTGCCAAACGTGTAAAGAAGAGTCATTGCCAATACTTCTCAAATTTTTCCAAAAAGTTGAAGAAGGAACTTCCAGACTTATTCCATGAGGTAAGCATTACCCAATGCTAAAGCCAGACAACGATGACACAAGAAAATACCTTGTGAACATAAATACAAAAGTTCTCAACAAAATACTAGCAAATTGAACTCAACCTCATAGTCAAAGGGTGATATACAATGATTGAATGGGAGTTTTCCCTCAGATGCAAGAATAAATCAACATATGCAAATTAATAAATGTGATATACCATATTAACAGAATGAAAAATCATATGGTCATCTCAATAGAGGCAGAAAAAGCATCTGACAAATTCAGCATCTATTTATGATAAAAATTCTCAACAAATTAGGTGTAAGAAGAATATACCTTAATATAATAAATGCCATATATGACAAGCCCACAGTTATCATCACGTTTAACAGTAAAAAGCTAAAAGCTTTTCCTCTAAGATCAGAAATAAGAAAAGGATGCTCACTCTCACCATTTCTATTCAACATAGTTCTGAAAGTGCTAGCCAGAGCAATTAAGCATGAGAAAAAAGATAATTTGAAGACACAAATAAATGGAAAGATATCCCATATTTATAGATTGGAATAATTAATACTGTTAAAATGTCCATACTATCCAAAGTTATCTCTAGATTCAATGCAATCCCTGTCAAAAATCTAATGTTGGCCAGGCACAGTGGCTCATACCTGTAATGCCAGCACTTTGGGAGGCCAAGGTGGGCAGATCACCTGAGGCTAGGAGTTCGAGACCAGCCTGACCAACATGGCAAAACGCTGTCTCTGCTAAAAATACAAGAAATTAGCTGGGCATGGTGGCGGGCACCTGTCCTCCTAGCTACTTGGGAGGCTGAGGCAGGAGAATCGCTTGAACCGGGGAGGAGGAGGTTGCAGTGAGCTGAGATTACGCCATTGCACTCCAGCCTGGGCAATAAGAGCGAAACTCCATCTCAAAAAAAAAATTTAAAAAAATCTAATGACATTTTTCACAGAAATAGAAAAAAAGTCCCCAAACTTGTTTGGAATGACAAATGACCCATAGCTAAAGAAATCTTGAGCAAAAAAGAACAAAGTAGAGGCATTACACTACCTGACTTCAAAATTGACTATAAAGCTATAGTAATCAAAATGGCATAGTATTGGCATATAAACAAACATAGGCTGAGCATGGTGGCTTATGCCTGTAATCTCAGCACTTTAGAAGGCTGAGGTGGGTGGATTGCTGGAGCCCAGGAGTTTGAGACCAGCCTGGGCAATGTGGTGAAACTCTGTCTCTACAAGACAAAACAAACCCAAAAATTAGCCAGATGTGATGGTATACCCCTGTAGTCCCAGATACCTGGGAGGCTGAGATGGGAGGATCATCTGAGCCTGGGGAGGTTGAGGCTGCAATGAGCTATGATTTCACCACGGCACTCTAGGCTGGGTAACAGAATGAGACCCTGTTTCAAAAAAAGAAAAAAGAAAAAAAAATCTCAGACATATAAGTCAATGGAACAGAATAGAGCCCAGAAATCAATCCATACATTTACTTACAGTCAATTGATCTTTGACAAAAGGTGCCAAAAACACAAAAGGGGGAAAGGACAGGCTCTTCAATAAATGGTGCTGGGAAAACTGAATGTTCCAATGGAGAAGAATGGGGACCCTCTTTCATACCATATACCCTTGTTGGGCCCTTATTTCATACCGTGTACAAAAAACAACTCAACGTGGATTACAGACTTAATTGTTAGACCAGAAACTGTAAAACAAAACAAAACAAAACTAGAAGAAAATGTAAGGAAAATGCTTTATGATATTCTTCTGAGCAACGATTTTTTTTATATGACCTGGAAAGTACAGACAATAAAAGCAAAAATAGACAAACAGGATTGCATCAAACTAAAAAGCTTCTGCACATGACTGTTTCCTTTGTGATATAGCCCACGTCCTTCCTTTCTTTTCCTATTAACTCTTTGAGATGTATGGTTTGCAAATATATGCTCCTATGGGATGGGAGTATATATTTGCAAACCATACATCTGAAAAAGTGCTACTATTCATAATATATAAGGGATTCAGACAGCTCAATAGCAAGGAAACAACTCAATTTAAAAATATGCAAAGAAGAAACATCCCTGTCTGACAGCTCTAAAGAGAGCAGTGGTTTTCCCAGCATGGCGTTGTAGCTCTGAGAATGGACAGACTGCCTCCTCAAGTGGGTCCCTGACCCCCGTGTAGCCTAACTGGGAGACACCTCCCAGTAGGGGCCAACAGACACCTCATACAGGTAGGCGCCCCACTAGGACGAAGCTTCCAGAGGAAGGATTAGGCAGCAAGATTTGCTCTTCTGCAATATTTGCTGTTCTGCAGCCTCCACTGGTGATACCGGCAAACAGGGTCTGGAGTGGACCTCCAGCAAAGCCCAACAGACCTGCAGCTAAGGGACCTGACTGCTAGAAAGAAAACTATCAAACAGAAAGGAATAGCATCAACATCAACAAAAAGGACATCCACACCAAAACCCCATCTGTAGATCACTGACATCAAAGACCAAAAGTAGATAAAACCACAAAGATGGGGAGAAACCAGAGCAGAAAAGCTGAAAATTCTAAAAACCAGAGCGCCTTTTCTCCTCCAAAGGATTGCAGCTCCTTGCCAGCAACGGAACAAAGCTGGATGGAGAATGACTTTGATGAGCTGACAGAAGTAGGCTTCAGAAGGTCGGTAATAACAAACTTCTCCGAGCCAAAGGAGCATGTTCTAACCTATTGCGAGGAAGCTAAAAACCTTGAAAAAAGGTTAGACAAATGGCTAACTAGAATAAACAGTGTAGAGAAGACCTTAAATGGCCTGATGGAGCTGAAAACCATGGCACGAGAACTTCATGATGCATGCACAAGCTTCAATAGCAGATTCGATCAAGTGGAAGAAAGGAAATCAGTGATTGAAGATCAAATTAATGAAATAAAGCGAGAGGACAAGTTTAGAGAAAAAAGAGTAAAAAGAAATGAACAAAGCCTCCAAGAAATACGGGACTATGTGAAAAGACCAAATCTATGATTGATTGGTGTACCTGAAAGTGATGGGGAGAATGGAACCAAGTTGGAAAACACTCTTCAGGATATTACCCAGGAGAACTTCCCCAACCTAGCAAGGCAGGCCAACATTCAAATTCAAGAAATACAGAGAATACCACAAAGATACTCCTCGAGAAGAGCAACCCCAAGACACATAATTGTCAGATTCACCAAGGTTGAAATGAAGGAAAAAAACATTAAAGGCAGCTAGAGAGAAAGGTCTGGTTACCCACAAAGGGAAGCCCATCAGACTAACAGCATATTTCTCAGGAGAAACCTTACAAGCCAGAAGAGAGAGGGCCAATATTCAACGTTCTTTTAAGAAAAGAATTTTCAACCCAGAATTTTATATCCAGCCAAACTAAGCTTCATAAGTGAAGGAGAAATAAAATCCTTTACAGACAAGCAAATGCTGAGAGATTTTGTCACCACCAGGCCTGCCTTACAAGAGCTTCTGAAGGAAGCACTAAACATGGAAAGGAACAACTGGTACCAGCCACTGCAAAAACATGCCAAATTGTAAAGACCATTGATGCTATGAAGAAATGGGCAAAATAACCAGCTAACATCATAATGACAGGATCAAATTCACACACAACAATATTAACCTTAAATGTAAATGGACTAAATGCCCCAGTTAAAAGACACAGACTGGCAAATTGGATAGTCAAGACCTATCAGTGTGCTGTATTCAGGAGACCCATCCCACGTGCAGAGACACACATAGGCTCAAAATGAACGGATGGAGGAAGATCTACCAAGCAAATGGAAAGCAAAAAACAAAAAACAAAAAAACAAAAAAAACACAAAAAAACAAAAAAACAGGGGTTGCAATCCTAGTCTCTGATAAAACAGACTTTAAACCAACAAAGATCAAAAGAGACAAAGAAGGCCATTACATAATGGTAAAGGGATCAATTCAACAAGAAGAGCTAACTATCCTGAATATATATGCACCCAATACAGGAGCACCCAGATTCATAAAGCAAGTCCTTAGAGACCTACAAAGAGACTTAGACTCCCGTAAAATAATAATGGGAGATTTTAACATCCCACTGTCAATATTAGACAGATCAACGAGATAGAAGGTTCACAAAGATATTCAGGACTTGAACTCAGCTCTGCACCAAGCAGACTTAATCGGCATCTACAGAACTCTCCACCCCAAATCAACAGAATATACATTCTTCTCAGCACAACATCGCACTTACTCTAAAATCGACCACATAATTGGAAGTAAAGCACTCCTCAGCAAATGTAAAAGAACAGAAATCACAACAAACTGTCTGTCAGACCACAGTGCAATCAAATTAGAACTCAGGATTAAGAAACTCACTCAAAACCATACAACTACATGGAAACTGAACAACCTGCTCCTGAATGACTACTGGGTAAATAATGAAAAGAAGGCAGAAATTAAAATGTTCTTTGAAACCAATGAGAACAAAGACACAACGTATCAGAATCTCTGGGACACATTTAAAGCAGTGTGTAGAGGGAAATTTATAGCACTAAATGCTCACAACAGAAAGCAGGAAAGATCTAAAATTGACACCCTAACATCACAATTGAAAGAACTAGAGAAGAAAGAGCAAACAAATTCAAAAGCTAGCAGAAGACAAGAAGTAACTAAGATGAGAGCAGAATTGAAGGTGATAGAGACATAAAAAACCCTTCAAAAAAATCAATGAATCCAGGAGCTGGTTTTTTGAAAAGGTCAACAAAATTGATAGACCACTAACAAGACTAATAAAGAAGAAAAGAAGAGTCAAATAGATGCTGTAAAAAATGATAAAGGGGATATCACCACTGATCCCACAGAAATACAAACTACCATCAGAGAATACTATAAACACCTCTATGCAAATAAACTAGAAAATCTAGAAGAAATGGATAAATTCCTGGACACATACACCCTCTCAAGACTAAACCAGGAGGAAGTTGAATCTCTGAATAGACCAATAACAGGCTCTGAAATTGAGGTAATAATAGGCTATCAACCAAAAAAAGTCCAGGACCAGACGGATTCACAGCCGAATTCTACCAGAGGTACAAAGAGGAGCTGGTACCATTCCTTCTGAAAGTATTCCAAAAAATAGAAAAAGAGGGAATCCTCCCTTACTCATTTTATGAGGCCAGCATCGTCCTGATACCAAAGACTGGCAGAGACACAATAAAAAAAGAGAATTTTAGACCAATATCCCTGATGAACATCGATGGGAAAATCCTCAATAAAATACTGGCAAACTGAATCCAGCAGCACATCAAAAATCTTATCCACCACGATCAAGTTGGCTTCATCCCTGGGATGCAAGGCTGGTTCAACATATGCAAATCAATCAACGTAATCCATCACAGAAACAGAACCAATGACAAAAACCACATGATTATCTCAATAGATGCAGAAAAGGCCTTCGACAAAATTCAACAGCCCTTCATGCTAAAAACCCTCAAAAAACTAGGTATTGATGGAACGTATCTCAAAATAATAAGAGCTATTTATGACAAACCCACAGCCAATATCATACTGAATGGGCAAAAACTGGAAGCATTCCCTTTGAAAACTGGCACAAGACAAGGATGCCCTCTCTCACCACTCCTATTCAACATAGTATTGGAAGTTCTGGCCAGGGCAATAAGGCAGCAGAAAAATATGCAAAGGAACTGAATAGACATTTATTAAAAGAAGACATGCAAATGGCCAACATATCAAAATACTCAGCATCACTAATCATTAGAGATACGTAAAACCACAATGAGATATCACCTTGCACCTGTTAGAAGAATATAACTAAAAAGACAAAAGATAACAAGTGTTGGTGGGAACATGGAGGAAAGGGAAATTTTTTTTTTTTAAGATGGAGTCTTGCTTTGTTGCCCAGGCCATAGTGCAGTGGCACAATCTCAGCTCACTGCAACCTCCACCTCCCTTGTTCAAGCAATTCCCCTGCCTCAGCCTCCTGAGTAGCTGGGATTACAGGTGCACGCCCCTACGCCTGGCTATTTTTTTTTTTGTATTTTTAGTAGAGACAAGTTTTCACCATGTTGGCCAGACTGGTCTTGAACTCCTGACCTCAGACAATCCACACACCTCGGCCTCCCAAACTGCTGGGATTACAGGCATGAGCCACCACACCCAGCCGAGAAAAGGGAACTTTTGTACACTGTTGGTGGGAAGGTAAATTGGTAAAGCCATTATGAAAACAGTATGGAGTTTCCTCAAAAAAATTATAAACACAACTATCATATGATCCAGCAATCTCACTTCTGGATATGTATCCAAAGGAAACGAAGTCAGTATGTAAAAGGGATAGCCACATTCCCATATTCATTGCAGGATTATTCACAATAGCCAAAATACAGAATCAAACTAAGTGTCCCTCAACAGATGAATAAATAAAGAAAATGTTATACAGTCATGTGTCACTTAATGATGGAGACATATTCTGGGAAATGTGTTGTTAAGTGATCTTCTTGTGTGGACATCATAGAGTATATTTACATAAACCTAGAAGGTATAGCTAACTACACATCCAGGCTATACCGTATAGCCTATTGCTTCTAGGCTACAAACCTGTAGCATGTGACTATACTGGATACTGCAGACAATTGTAACACAATGGTACATATTTGTGTATCTAAACATAGAAAAAGTACAATAAAAATATGGTATGAAAGATAAAAATGGTATACCTTTATAGGGCAGTTACCATAACTGAGCTTGCAGGACTGGAAGTTGCTCTGGGTGAGTCTGTGAGTGAGTGGTGAGTGAATGTGAGGGCCTAGAACATTTCTGTACACTACTGTAGACTTTATGAACACTGGACACTTGGCCTACACCAAATTTATAAAAAGACTTTTTCTTTCCTCAATAATAAATTAACCTTAGCTTATTGTAATGTTTTAACTTTATATACTTTTCAATATTTTTAAACTTATTGCCTCTTGTAAAACTTAGCTTAAACCACAAACACATTGTACAGCTGTACGAAAATATTTTCTTTATTTTCTTCTATAAGCTTTTTTCTATTTCTAAATTTTTTATTTTCTCTTTTTACTTTTAAAGTTTTTGTTAAAAATGAAGACATAAACACACACATTAGCCTGCACAGGGTCAGGGTCATCAATATTACTGTCTTCCAACTTCACATCTTCTCTCACTGGAGAGTCTTTAGGGACAATAACACGCATAGAGGTGTCATCTTCTGTGATAACGCCTTCTTCTGGAACACCTCCTGAAAAACCTGCCTGAGGCTGTTTTAAAATTAACTTTTTTTTTTGTAATAAGTAGAAGGAGTACACTCTAAAATAATGATAAGAAGTATAGTATAGGCCGGGTGCGGTGGCTCATGGCTATAATCCCAGAACTTTGGGAGGCTGAGGCAGGAGGATCACCTGAGGTCAGGAGTTCGAGAGCAGCCTGGCCAACATGGTGAAACCCCATCTCTACTAAAAATACAAAAGTTAGTCGGGTGTGGTAGTGGCACTCCTGTAATTCCAGCTACTCGGGAGGCTGAGGCTGGAGAATCGCTTGAACCCAGGAGGTGGAGGTTGCAGTGAGCAGAGATTGCACCATTGCACTCTAGCCTGGGCGACAGAAGCGAAACTCCATCTCAAAAAAAAAAAAAAAAAAAAAAAAAGAAAGAATAGTATAGTAAATACATAACCAGTAATATAGTTGTTTATTATCATTATCAAGTATTACTGTACAAAACTGTATGTGCTATGCTTTTATACTGCTAGCTGTACAGTAGGTTTCTTTATACTAGCATCACCACAAACATGTGAGTAATGAGTAATGCACTGCACTACACCATTATGAGGGCTACAATGTAACAAGACAATAGGGATTTTTTAGCTTCATTATAATCTTATGACACCAGCGTAATACATGCAGTCCATCATTGACTGAAATGTCACTGTGCAGCGCATGACTGTATACACACACAAACACACATGCACACACACAATGGAATATTATTCAGCCTTAAAAAAGAAGGAAATTCTTTCATTTGCAACAACATGGATGAATCTGGAGAACATAATGTTAGGGGAAATAAGCCAGGCACAGAAAGACAAATACTACATGATCTCACTTATGTGTGGAATCTGAAAAAGTTGAACTTGTAAAAGCAGAGTAGAATGGTGGTTGCCAGGGAATGGGGGTGGGGAGTGGTGAGGGAATGGGGACAAATTGGCCAAAGGTTACAAAGTCTTTTTTTTTTTTTTTTTTTTTTTTTTGAGACAGAGTCTCGCTCTGTAGCCAGGCTGGAGTGTATGGCACTATCTTGGCTCACTGCAACCTCTGCCTCCCGGGTTCAAGCGAGTCTCCTGCCTCAGCCTCCCGAATAGCTGGGACTACAGGTGCCCACCACCATGCCCGGCTAATTTTTGTATTTTTAGTAGAGATGGGGTTTCACCATGTTGGCCAGGATGGTCTCTATCTCTTGACCTTGTGATCTGCCCACCTCGGCCTCCCAAAGTGCTGGGGTTACAGGTGTGAGCCACTGCGCCCGGCCACAGAGTCTTAGTTATACAGGGTGAATAGGTTCTGGAAATCTATTAGACGGCATGGTGTCTATAGGTAATGATGTATTGTGTACTCAGAAATTGCTAAGTGAATAGATCTTAAATGTTCTTACCACACATACAAAATGATAACTATGTGAGGTGATGACTATGTTAATTAGCTTGATTGTGGTAATCATTTCATAACGTATATGTAAATCAAAACATCAGGTTGTATATCATTAATATATCCAATTTTTATCTGTCAATTATACTTCAATAAAGAAAAAATAATGCTACTATAGGCAACAAAATGGAATGCAAAAGGCATACACCTTTAAGTATTTACCTAGTTATTTTTAATAGCATATTCAGGTTGTAAAAGAACACAAGCTCATTGTTATTAATTTTAAAATGCAAAAAAATTATAAAGAAGAGAGAAAACCCCATAATCTCATCATCCAAAGGCAACACTATTAATTTAATATTTTTATGAATTTTTCTTTCTCTGTGCATTTCTCTATATTTTAAAAAATACTGTCTAATATTCTATTACATTATACTGTGAATATTTACTCCATTAAATATTCTTTGAACAGTTAACTTTTAGAGGTTTTATGATATTTCATTGTAGGATGTGCTATAAGTTATTCAATTTCTCACTTGGGGACGTTTATGTTGCTTCTAGTTTTTAGGTATATTTAAGAAAAAATTCTTCTACAAGTGCCTTATTAATTATGTTGAACTGCATCAATAAGAATTTTCTTTACATACATTCTGAGAATTACTGGGTTAAGAAGCATAAACATTTAAAAATAACTTGATGCCTGTTGCCAAGTAATTTTCCAGAAAGTTAGTTCCAATTTTTCCTTCCGCTAGCTGTGCATGAGAATGCTCATCTCACTGCGCTCTTTAATGTCAGAGTAGGAAATAAAAGCTCTGCCAATTTGATAGGTAAAAGGACTGTTTCCTTAAATGTTTTTCCTTTTGAAAAATTAAGTGTACTTTGTTCTTTCTCTCTTTTAAAATCAATATAGTAGAACATTTGGAAAATACAGAAAACCATGGGGAAGAAAATAACAATTGCATGTATATCACTTTTGAATATACAGAGTGTTTTCACACATTTTCTATTGAGTCCTTCAAGCAATTTCATGAGGTATGGCCATTAGTGTTGTTCCTACTTTACAGGTACCCCTACTACAGGTCAGAGAGGTTAAGTGAGTTACCTACATCATACAGGTAGTGAGAGGTGGTGCTGGGTACTAGATCTGCCCTTTGGATGTTTGATCTCAAGATTTACCCACTGTACTGGTTTTCCTGGGGGGACTGGAGATGAGAGGATAAGGGTATCAAATACATTCCTGGTTACTCAGAGCAAAGGGTTCATTGTTTGGTGCTGGAATAATTAGTGGGGGTGGGGTCCAGAAGCAGTAGAAAGAAAGCCTAGGACCAAGAGTGAAGGGTCCTGGGTTCCAGTCCCACCTTGCCCATGGATTTGATGTGTGATATGGAAGTCATGTCTCCTTCTGAATCTCAGTTCCACAATTTCATAAATTAGGATGGGCCTGAAAAGCCAGGATAGCATTAGCTGCTGAGCCTTTCATACTCGGCTCAGCCTCATCCACCTCTGCTATAACTCTAGTGGCCGGGTCTTCATTTTGCCTCAGCAGGGAGAGACCGGTTTCCAGACCACATTGGAGGGAAGCAGGCACTGGGAACAACAGAGCGAGCTCTCCCGCTATGTAGTGATTCTTAGCACAAGTTGGGGAGGTAAGCCTCAGGTGGTACAGAGACCCTGACAGCCCTAGGGATTAATGTAGCACCCTGGGGTCCTTTCGACTCTGCTTCCACAGTGAAAGTTTGGAAGGTCATGAGCTATATCACAAGAGGTTGGCCCTGTTGTGGGCATTAGCTCCCTCTACATTCATAGAACTCTTCTGATTTATAACAGAAGGCCTAGGTTTGGGAGGCAGAGCCTGGGCTTTGTAACATGTAGGAGGTAGCCTCACACTTTCTGGATCACTTTAGCAATGAATACATTGTTATCTGCACTGTTGTCTGGCTTTCTTCCCTGTTTGCTCTAAACATACAACTTTGATTCTCTAGCCTTCCTTAAAATTCTGGTTTCTTGACTCCGGGTGCTGGCAGGCTCTGCTTCTGGCCCTAGATTTCACACCCCTGATGTGAAATTGCATCCTCTTCACCTCTCAAACAAGTTCTCTCCTCTTGGTTTGGACATTTCTTCTCCCTCTCCTGTTAGACTTCCTGGTTAGGACAGATTTACTGGGTCTGAGAGAGAAACAAACTGAGAATGGCAGTCTTGAGAATGCCTCCTTCCACTTCTGCCTTCTAGTTCACAGCAGGTCTAGATTTCATTTTAGTTTACGCCTTGTAATCATAAATTGTCAATGAAATGGCCACATAGGATGGTCTGAGATATTACATTTGGGGTTTTGGTTAGTCTTGGCTTTACGCAAAGACACAACATGGCAGCTGGGTGGTGTGTTAGTAGATGTATAAGGCTAGGGATCCAGGGATTCCCATATCCCAGCACTTGAAATTCCCAAGGGAACCTTATGCATAAGACAATATGCTGCAAACAGCCATTCATCCAACAAGTGCTTATTGAATACCTGTTATGTGTCAAGCTCTGTTCTAGGTGTTGGGATACAGTAGTGAAGAAAATAGACAAAAATTCTTGTCCTCATGGAGCTTCTTACATTGTAGTGAGAATGGGAATAGAACACAAGAGTGGGGGCAGCTCAGGGCACCAGGAAGGAGGGTGAGGGGTGTAATTTGTATAATCCCAGAGGCAGACTCGCCACATTTCACGATCACATGAATGACCAGTCTGGCTGGCTCTGCTGTAGTGCCATTTGGAAAGATGGCTGTTGTTTTCTGTTTTTAGATTATTCATAATTATAGCAGCCTTTGTGCCAGGTCTTTTTTTTTTCTGGCAGCATATTTGTGCCAGAATATGGCCTTTGTGCCAGGCACTGTGCAATATATTAATTCTTCCTCATGTTAACCCTGTAAAGGGGATATTATCGCCCCCATTTTATAGAAAAAGAAACTGAGGCATGTCAAGGTTAAATAATATTCTCAGTGTCACACAGCCAGATTGTCTATCTGCCTACAAAGATGTGTTCTGAAACAGTGTCCATTACTGCCCCAGCCCTGGAGAAATGCCACTAGGCCTACACAGGAAAACGGAGGCAAAGCCAAGCAGAAGGATGGCATGAAACCAGTTACATATTGTTCAGAGTCCTATTTAACTTACTCTTTTCTGCATCAAAGCCACCAAATAAAAACTGTTTATAAAACAGTTAGAGGAACTCTCTTACAGAAGCAGCTGGTGACAGTGGTCAGTTGCTAGGTGTTGCTAGGGCAACTTAGCTGGGAGTCTGATTGTGAAGTAATTAAGCAGGGTGTATAAATTACCTCAGCTGGTTTTCCCCAGAATAGGCAGTTCTCTGCATGAAAGGAGGTGACTAGGTTCTCTTTTCTTCCAAAGTCAAAACCAGATAGGAAACCTTTGAAGATGCATAGGAACATGTCATGGTAGGGTGGTGGGCTCCTCTTCAGATCCCACATAGCAGCTGGGGCCAGCCAGGGCGAGATCAAGGGTGAATGTAGGTAGATGCCAGCAAGGGAAGAGCATGATCAGAGACTATGAGTGGGCTGGGAGTGAGGGCAGGAGCCAGGAGGCAGGACCAGAGCTGACAGAAACCAGAGAACAGGCACTAAAGCAGGAAAAATACCCCCACACGTGCCACAGGAGGCCATGCCTTGCCAGTATGAGGACTCACCAGAATTTACAATGAGATGGAATGAAGGAACTACACAGGGCTAGGAAGGGATTCTCAAATTGTGATTGCAACCTGTCTACCCCTATTAACAGCAACATTTATTGAGTAAAGTGTCAGGCCCTGTACCAAGATTTAATTTAGATTTAATGTAAGATTAGATTTAGATTTACATTTTAAAATCTCATTTAGATTTAATGTAATCCTATTAAGGTAGGAGTATTATCTACCATTTTACAGAGGAAGAACTGAAGGATTCGTTATTTAACTTGTCCACTGTTAATCAGATAATCAACAGTGATTTCTGGAATCAAACCCATTTCTGTCTAGCTTTAAAACAGAGACCTTTAACCACCCTGCTAATTTGTAGTTATTCCACTTATGGAGGTTTCCATGTCCAGCTTGCTTTAAAAGCACCAAAGGACTTTTCACACTGCATGCCCTGGCCAGGGTTGGTGAGCTTGTTGAAGGCCTTACCAGCCTCCTGAGACCCTCACACTCACTTTTCAGTGTCTCTGGAGCCTTGCCGTGGAGGTAGTGTTCGTCTTGGCCTTTGACTACCTGGGAGAAAAAATAAATTATTTCCATAAATACAGTGATCAGAGTCAAAAGAAGTCACAGTGTGTATTAGTTATCTATTGCTGCACAGTAGATCACCCCAAAATTTAGCTGCTTAAAACTACAAACATTTATTATATCACACAGTTTCTGAGAATCAGGAATGCAGGAGCAGCTTAGCTGGGTGGTTCTGGCTCAATGTCTCTCATGAGGTTGCAGTCATGATGTTGGCCATGGTCTCATCTGAAAGTGTGACTGGAGCTGAAGGATCTACTTTCAAAATGGCTCACTCCCATGGCTATTGGCAGGCAGGATGCCTCGGTTCCTCTCTATAGGACTGTATGCATGGCTTCATGAAATGGCAACTGATTTTACCCAGAGTGACTGATTGGAGAGAGAAATTGAGAGATTGAGAGAGAGAGAGAGAGAGCGTGAGAGCGCAAGACAGCGCAATGCATTTTTTGACCTAGAGTCTGAAGTTACACACCATCACTTCTGCCATATTCTATTTGTTAAGAGTGAGTCACTAAGTACAAGGGGAGAAGAATTAATCTGCACCTCTCGAGTGGAGGCGTATAAAAATATGGGACATATTTTTGAAATCATCACACAGCATAACAAAGACCTGGGTGGAAAAAATTATATGGCTAAATGCAGAGATGTGGAGTGGACAAAAGTCCTTTTGAGATGGCTGCTGGTGCTAGGCAACACATTTGTGTTCTGAACACAGGGGAGCATGTGCTTGCACGAGTCTCTGATGACTGCCACCATCCAGATAACAATGATTCATTCCATTTTCTCTTTGTCTGGAGAAAAATCTCATTCTGGGCAAGCCAAGCTGTTTATGGATCTTTTTATCTATTCATCCATTCATATGGGACCCAGGGCATGATAACAGCTATTCAAACTGTGGAATGTTAATTAGATGGAAAAATGTACACATCAGCTATCTCCATTTCAACTGAGAAATCTGGCCGAGGTACATAATTTGCTTCAATGTCATCTGTGTCAAGATTTTGAAAGGGTGGCAATATATCACTGTGTTAGACAAAAGGCATGGGATAAAAGGGGAAGGAACTATTCATGGCAACATGGGTTTCAGGATATTAATAAGTGCAAATATTTGCTTCTCTATGGAAGCATTAAAGCTCGCTTCTTATTTCTTGGTTCTCATGCCCAACGTTATTTGCTTTTTACTACTGACATCGAAGCAGAATATTAGCTTATCTTTTGGGTCTGAAATGTAGCTTTTATGACAGGGAAGTGCGACAAACAACCTTAGTACTGACTAGTCCCCCTCTGTCTTGGCTGTGATTTAGGGAGTCTATAGTGAAGAGATTGATAGCCAAGTGTGATATTAAATAGACTTTGAGAGACAGCTCCTAATGGTGTCCACTTGGGCCCTGGCTCTTTTCCTCTCTGCCTTCCTTCCCCTCTCCTTTTCATGGTAGAATAGCTGACCCCATTGAGTAGATGGATGTCATCGGCCTTGACATCATGCACCTTGATCCTAGGGCAGTCTCAGTTGTTCCCTTGGAATATAGCTCAGATACCTCTCACATGGAAGACGATATCACCAAGGAAGTCAGAATTGCTTCCTAAGTAGAAGGGTGATGCAGACTCCTTGCAGAGGAGACAGGATAGCTCCCCCAAACTTCTGGTGACTTATAGCAAGCAGGACAGTCTCAGAAAGAGCACACTCCATATGTTAGACTCTGTGTGCTATGTGTATTCTTCCTCACACATTGGGTGGTGAGTGGGTAGAATTTAAACTACATACTTCTCTAGGCCACAAATATCCCACAAGAGGGAGAATAGACATATTTTTTCTCATTTCTCCATTCTCTCATGTACCCCATTAGTAGGGGAAGTAGGGGTTTATCTTGTGGGAGAGAATTAGTCTGGAAGGAAACTTCTCCTTGGGTTGTGAGATGTCTGATTTTAGACATAGTACAGGAACATCCACTGCAGCCCAGAGGGGGAAGACCTGCCTCTGTTTCTTCTACCCACAGGCATCACAGAACTAGAACCTACCCTCTTCTCCCAGAGGAGTCAGTGGACACTGTGTAAACTTGACAAGAGAAGGAGCCACTGACCCACATTACCTGCCTCTGATTTCTAAAAGCCAGATGGCTAGAGATAATAGCTATGAAATTGCCTTCATGTAGTGGGCTGTTGATCAATATTTGTTGAATAAATGAATAAACTCCAAGGTGGTACAAAGGTACAGCAGTATGATTATAGGTATTTATTTCATAGCCATAATCCTCATGTCAAAGCATGAAAGGTCTGGGTTCTGTCAGAGAACACCATCATGTTCTCTTCAGTTTACATTTCAAAGCCAGAGAAAATTATTATTTTCCTCCTCCTCCTCCTCCTCCTCTTTCTCCTTCTCCTCCTCTTTCTCCTCCTTCTCCTCTTCCTTCTCTTTTCCTTCCCTCCTTCTCTCCCTCCCTCCCTTCCTCCCTCCTTCCTTCCTTCCTACCTTCCTTTTCTTCTTCCTTCTTTCTTCTTCCTCACTACTATGTTAATGAGGAGAAAACTTCTTTTTAAAGTTTAAATTTTTTACCTAACAATACAGCTAACCAGGGAGGTGAAAGATCTCTACAGGGAGAATTGTGAAACACTGCTCAAAGAAATCAGAGGTGACAAAAACAAATGGAAAAGCTTTCCATGTTCATGGATAGGAAGAATCAATATCATTAAAATGGCCATACTGCCCAAAGCAATTTACAGATTTAATGCTATTCCTATCAAACCACCAATGACATTCTTCACAGAACTAGAAAAAGATATTTTAAAATTCATGTGGAACAAAAAGTGAGCCCAAATAGCCAAGGCAATCCTAAGCCAAAACCAAAAACCAACCAACCAAACAAACAACAAAGCTGGAGGCATTACATGATCTAACTTGAAACTATACTACAGGGCTATAGTAATCAAAACAACATGGTGCAGGTACAAAAACAGACACATAGACCAACGGAACAGATTACAGAGCCCAGAAATAAGGCTGCACACCTACGATCATCTGATCTTCAATAAAGATGACAAAAACAGGTACTGGGGAAAGGACTCCCTATTCAGTAACTGGTGCTGGGATAACTGGCTAGCCATATGCAGAAGGTTGAAACTGGACCCCTTTCTTACACTATATATAAAAATCGACTCAAGATGGATTAAATACTTAAATGTAAAGCCCCAAACTATAAAAATCCTGGAAGACAACCTAGGCAATACCATTGTGGACCCAGGAATGGGCAAAGATTTCATGACGAAGACTCCAAAAGCAATCTCAACAAAAGCAAAACTTCAAAACTGGGATCTAAGTAAACTTAAGAGCTTCTTCATGGCAAAATAAACTATCAAAAGAGTAAATAGACAACCTACAAAATGGAAGAAAATATTTGCAACCTATGCATCTGGCAAAGGCCTAATATCCAGCATCTATAAGGAACTTAAACAAATTTATGAGAAAACAACAAACCACCTCATTAAAATGTAGGCAAAGGACATGAACAGACACTTTTCAAAAGAAGATACACATGTGGCCAACAAGCATATGAAAAAAAAGCTAAGTATCACTGATAATTAGATAAATGCAAATAAAAATTATAATGAAATACCATCTCACACCAGTTAGAATGGCTATTATTAAAAAGTCAAAAAATAACAGATGCTGATGAGGTTGCGGAGAAAAGGGAACATTTATACACTGCTTGTGGGTGTATAAGTTAGTTCAACTATTGTAAAAAGCAGCATCTCAGTTCCTCAAAGAGCTAAAAAACAGAACTACCATTTGATCCAGCAATTGCATTATAGGGTATATACCCAAAGGAATATAAATCATTCTACCACAAAGACACATACATTCATATGTTCACTGCAGCACTGTTCACAATAGCAAAGACATGGACTCAATCTAAATGACCATCAATGACAGATTGGATAAAGAAAATGTGGTACATATACACCATGGAACACTATGTGGCCATAAGAAAGAACAAGATCACGTCTTTTGCAAGAACATGGATGGAACTGGAGGCCATTTTCCTTAGCAAACTAACACAGAAAACCAAATACCACATGTTCTCACTTACAAGTGGGAGCTAAATGATGAGAACTCATGGACACACAGAAGGGAACAACAGACACCTGGGTATACTTGAGGGTAGAGGCAGGGAGGAGGAAGAGGATCAGAAAAATAGGCATCTATTGGGTACTAGGCTTAGTAACTGGGTGATGAAATAATGTGTGCAACAAACCACCATGACATGAAGTTGTATAACAAACCTGCTTATGTACCTCAGAACCTAAAATAAAAGTAAAAAAAAAAAGTTTAAATTTTTTGTCAGAATTATACATGCACATAGTTTAAAGACTAAATCAGTCCTACCAGGTTTACTTAATACAAAAACAGCCCCTAGCCACCTCACCTATTTCCCCTTCCACGGAAGCAACCACTTTCACCTTTTCTAGTTATATTTTGATCCTTACCACCTTACCTTCAACAATATATCTGTATTGATGCTTCCTGATTTTTCGTTTGTTTCAGGCATCATGTATTGACCTCTCACTATGGAAATTGAGGATTTAGCTCTGTTTTTTTCCTCTTGTCCCACCAAACACATGCACCCTTCCCATTTTCCCATCCTCTCAATAACATAATTGTAGTTTTGGTTAGATCAATATTCAATGTTTAAAATATTATGGCCATGTATGCTGTTCAGGTCTGAGCCATTATAGTAAATAACTTTTTGGTTTCTCTGGACTTAATTGCCTTTTGTTCATGTGTATGTTGGCTATTTCATGTACTTATCATCAATTTGGCCCCAAACTCTCCAAAGATTGTCTAAATTTCCTTTCATTCACATCAGATATCCTTTCAATTCATCTTCTTAAAGTAGTTTTTTCCATAGCTTTCTGAACTGCTGGTTGGTTTCCCTAGTTGGTACGAAGCTATTATCCTGAGACATTCTTTCATCATCAATTTAGGGATTCCCTTTGCCTCTCTCCCCTGTGGTACTCTTATTTCTTGTATTCTATTCTTCCTCTTTTTTGGTTTAACCTCGAATTTGGGTGGAGCACATCCTCAGTAGCTTCTTGAGAAAGGGGAAGTGGGAGATACATTTTTTGAGACCTTGCCTATCTGAAAATTTATGTTTGGACTTTCACTCTTGATTGATAGTTTGGCTAAGATTTTTTAGACTACATATTTGTTATATACGACCTATTTTTTTTTCCCTCTGGAAATGTGTAGGGTCTTTGTGTTTTGAAAGTTCACAATGATGTGCTTTGGTTTGGGTATTTTTAATTATTTTGCAGGGCACTCCCTTTCAGTCTGGAAACTCATTGCCTATACATCTGGGAAGACTTTAATTGGTATTAGAGGGTCTTCTGTTTCTGGAATTCCTATTGTGGAGATATTGGAGCTACTGAATTGGCTCTTTAATTATCTTACCTTATATTCTTCCTTTTCCATCAGTCTGGGTAGTTTCCTTAGCTCCTCAGTCCTTCTGTTGAGTTTCTCATTTTCACTCTTATATTTTTAATTTCCTAGAGCTTCTCCTTGTTCTTTGAAGGTCCCACTCCCCTTTTATAGCATCCTATTCTTGTTTCATAGATATAATGTATTCTTTTAGTTCTGTGAGCATATTAAAGTTATTTTATTTTATTTTTTTTTAGACGGAGTCTAGCTCTGTCACCCAGACTGCAGTGCAGTGGCGCAATCTCGGCTCACTGCAAGCTCCGCCTCCCGGGTTCACGCCATTCTCCTGCCTCTGCCCCCGGAGTAGCTGGGACTGCAGGCGCCCGCCACCACGCCCGGCTATTTTTTTTGTATTTTTAGTAGAGACGGGGTTTCACTGTGTTAGCCAGGATGGTCTCGGACCTCGTGATCCGCCCGTCTTGGCCTCCCAAAGTGCTGGGATTGCAGGCCGTGAGCCACCGCGCCCGGCTAAAGTAATTTTTTAATGTTTTCCTTCTTGTATGGCCTGTTTCCTCCCCACTCCCGCCCCCTGTCCCATTTCTTTTGGTTTCTGTCCTTCATGCTGGAGACTTTCCTAAGCTGCTTGGTAATTCTTAGATATCTACTCATGCTTAGGAGCCGGGGACTAAAAATCTGTAGAGGATGTTTATACACCGGAAACTTTTCTGTAGGGTTATCCAGCTATGCCATTTGCTAGGGAAAACCCCAATGTCAATTTTCAAAAAATCTTTTCTCTTGAACCAGCCAGATACCTTTCATAGACCCTACCACTCTGCTGCCTGGAAGGCAAAGGCCTGGTTGCTGATGTTCTAGGAGCCCGGTGCAGGTAGCAAGATGAGAGTCTCAACACTTCATATGTGTATGTTCACTTAATTTAATGTGGTATCTTGGCCTTCAACTGGTTCTGTTGTTCTTCAGTCCAGACACCCTTTATTTTGTGCTCTACAGAGAATAAACCTCCTGTATTCTTGAGAATGGGGCAGGGTAGTCACCTGCGGGCATAGAGGCACGGAAAGAAGCTCTAATTGCTTCTTAAATAATTCTTGACCAATCTAACTTGTTTTACCTTCTCCATCCTCGGATCCAGAGGCATCAGTGCCGCTCATCTCCATGCCTATTATATTGTGTTAATTCTCAGCTTTCTCCACTGTCGGGTTAAGATTGACCGTCTACAGCTCTACCAAGTCAGTGACCATTTAACCAATTGCTTACCATTTCTCCAAATTTTGTTGTTGTGGTCTCTTCTCTATGTTCCCTGTCCTTGTTGTTCTTGTTTCTTATGAGGTTTCTGACCCTGGGTAGCTAGCTCTTGCTCTCCTGTGACTGCTTTCCCTCTTCCCACCACTGCCTGCTCTCTCGTGTCATCACAGTGAGGTCTGGGGCAGGCCATAGCACCTTCAACAACTTGGCACAGGGAGTTTTACCCAATTGCAGTGGGACTGTCTATGGAAGTGATCAAGAGCCATTTTGGGTACCAAAGCCAGCTCAGAGATTAAACAGAGGAAAAAGAGATGATTTCTGTCAACAGATTAAGAGAGGCCATCTGGGAGGAAGTGGTGTGTGAACCAGGTCCTGAGAAGACCATTCATGTTTCAGTTCAATTAAATTCAAATTCACGTGTTCTGTGAATAAGCAGGCATTGGATTGGGATAGGAAGTTGCTATAGCATAGGGATTTTAAATAGGGAGTTCCAGATAATGCCTGCATTTGAATCCTGGGTCCTTGATTACTGACTGTAATTTGTTTAGATTCTGTAATTCTCAGTTTCCCAGTTGAGAAAATGGGGGTAATAATAGTACCTTTCTCAGGGGTTATTGGGAAGATTAATTAAATGCAAGAGTGCATATAAACTAGTCAAGGAACTATAGCATAGTATATACAGACAGTGGCTCAGTATGCAGACTGTGCCAGAACACCTGGATCTGAGTCCTGGCTGTGACTTAGTAGCTCTGAGAACTTGGGCAGGTTACTTAAACTTTCTGTGCCTCAGTTTATTTATCTGTACACTGGAGATAATGTATTGTCAGGATTAAATGAGGTAAGGTGTAGAAAGAACTTAATACAATGCCTGGTGCATAGACGACAATAATACTTGTTAAAAGGAGTGTAACATGTTAGTAGGACAATCCTTGAACCAGAGTGCCTGTATAAATCCCACATCTGTCACAACCAGGTGTCCTGGGTTAAGTTCCTTGATATTTCTTTGCCTTAGTTTCCTCATCTATAAAATAAATATAATCGTACCCACTTTGCAGGGTTGTTGTGAGGATAAAATGAGTTAATACATACATAGCATGAAGTGCCTATAAGTGTTTGCTATTACTATTGCACCAGATTTAGTTGTCTTTCTTTTCTTTTCTTTTTTCCTATTCTCTTTTCCCTTTCTCTCTCTCTTTTCTTTTCTTTCTTTCCCCTCTCTCTGTTCCCTTCCTCCCTTCCTTCCTTCCTTCCCTCCCTCTTTTTTTTTTTTTTTCTGTTCCTTGTGGAGCAGGGCTAACCCACAGGCAGTGTACCAAGAGTAGCTCAGATTTAGTTGTTTTTCTTCTATTTGCTTTTTTCCTAGTGTATTCCACCAAGGGAGGATTCTTTCACAAGTGTACCTCACAGGTCATGTAGCAGGGATGTCCTGGGAACATGAATTGAACCCAGGACTGCCTGATTTCACATCTGATCACTTAAACTTATCACAGACCGCTCTATCCTGTTGCAGAAAAAGTGAGGAGAAAAAGCAACTTCTGCCAGGGTATAGACAATGGCCCTGTAAGAGGGTGTGGTTCAGCCAGGAGCTGAGTCACTCATAATCTGCTCTTCCTGCATTAAAAGGTGGTATCAGGAGGAGACCTTGGAGGCACTTCTGCCAGAGACAGGGGCTGCTGGATTCTCCAGGAGGTGATGGGAGAAGAAAGCCAGGCTCTTCTGTGGGTGTCATCTGCCAGGCCCTGGCCCTAACAGGTGTGTTGCTCGGAGCCCAGACTGATGGCAGTGAGGACAGGAGGCTGCAGACATCACTCAGTGGCCTGATAATTGGATATTTCTATAATGACAAATTACAGCTGTTTCTCTTGTCATCAGTGTGAAAACACTTCCGAGGCCGTGATTTCCCAGGAGGGTCTGTGGTTGTTATCCAGTTAAGATTATGGAAATGCTGGCATAGGGGACATGAAGCATGGCCGGATGAAGCTGTGTTTCTGCACCACTGGCTTCTGGGTATTTGGCCCTAACGTTGAATGCAGAGAGAGTATCAGGCTCCTGTCATAACACTATCACTGTTAATTCTGCATGAGTGTCATGTTGAGATGAGCTGGCCTTGTAGTTTGTTATTTGGCTTCAGCCTCTACTGTTTTTTAATTTGACCAAAAGACATTGTCAGATGTAAACATCAGTGGAAGGTCCAGCTTTTCTTTGCTTGGAAAATGCTGGAGAATTCACAGTGAAGAGTAATCTTGGAAGCTTGCTCTCCAGCCACTGGCCTGTTACCTGAGCACTGATGTTCAAACAGGGGTAAGAAAGTTCAAAGTGTCGGCTTTTCTGCTTTGTCCTCCAGGAAGTCAAACATCTGCTGTCCTCCAAAACTGAATCCTCATTGACAGAAATTCTAGAAGATAGGCTGAAGCCATCCTTGTCCTAGGGCTTGTTGGGGCTCCGAAGAAGAAAAAAAGCCCTTGGATAGAGGCAGTATCATGTTCATTTAACCTTTCCAAGTCTTGATTTCCTTATCTGCAAAATGGGGTTGTTGTGAGGATTGGTGGATAGTGCTTGACACATGGCATGGGCTTACATGTAAGTGTTAGCTATGAAGAATATGTGTTTCAGAGCTCTCAGGGTTTGAGCCCTTCTTGGCCTGCGAATCCCATGGAGATGGAGATGCAAACCTCTCACAGGAGCCAAGTCATTCTCCCGGTCTTCTGTGTTTTTCTGGGTAGATCGGCCTTCATGACCTGTCCTGGTGTCCCTGCTTTCCCCAGTCTGGCTCAGTTGCTCGCAGAGAGGACTGTCTGCCTGCAGGATCAGACCCACACAGGTGCTGAGCTCGTTCTTACTCAGGTCATCCATTCATCCAATAGTCCCAAGCACCAGTGCCAGACACCGGGTACAGAGATAAAAAGAGCAAGGCCTTTGCCCTCAAGGAGCTCACAATCTGGTGGGAGAGATGGGCATGAAAACAGATTATAGCCACATATTGTGAAAACTCTGAGGTGGACATAGAGACAAGAAGAGGCCCTGTGGCTGCAAGAACCAACAGCCTACCAAATGGCATGCTCCCCTGTCAACAGGGTGGAGCTGGAAGGCTCCTGGACTATACTTCCCAGCCCTCCTTGCAGCCAGGCATGACCTTGTGACTCATTCCCACCAATGGGATATGGGTGGGAGTGAGGTTACCACTCTGGCCAGAGATCTTAAGAAGTGGGTGTGCCTCTTCCAGTCCCTCTTACCCCTTTCATTAGCTGGATGTAGACGACCCTGAGACCCTACGGGTTATGGAGCCAAAAGACGCATCTCTAATTCCCGCATGAGGGAAAGCTGCTTGCCAACAAGGGATGCCTACTTTAGACTATCACAGAATGACAAACCTCTATTGCATCAAACCACTGAAATTTAGGAACTTTTTATCTAAGATTATCCTAATGGACACAAATGTCTAATCCAACGGGTGGCTTCAGGGAAGGATTCCAGGAGGAAGCGACACCGGGGTCTTAGCTGCTTACTGGGTCCAGGAGCTGGCAAGCAATGCGTGGGGGTAGTGATAGTGTCGAGATGAGGGGTGGGTGGAGGGAGGTGGGAGAAGCTGGGAGGATATTTTAGGCAAATGAACAAGTGAAGCATGGTGTGTGTGTGTGTGTGTGTGTGTGTGAAGGAGTGGTCTGTGTGTGTGTGCACCTGTGTGTGTGGTATGGGTGACAACAGGAAAGTTAGTATTCCTGGAGTGTCAAGGGTGGGGGCAGGAGATAGTAAATAAAGCTGCAGGAATTTGTAGGGGAACCTGTAGGACCTTGTGTGCCAAGGAGTTTTAATGACTCCTGTAGATAATAGGAGAAGCCCAATGGAATGGCTTAAAATGGACAATGTGATCAGATTGTGATTTATAATGACTGCTTTGCTGGAAGTGTGATGAATGGATTAGATAAGGTGAGTCTAGAGCTAGGGAGACCAGAGGGCAGTTATGAGGTGAGCTGAAGCCTCGTCCAGGAGAGGCACAACGGAGGCACGGCTGGGCAGTGGCAGAAAGGGCAGGAAGACTGAGTGGTTGATTGGATTGGTGGGGTGCAGAGACAGAAGCATTAAAGATGATGCCTGGGTTTGTAAAGCCATATATGATTTTTACTCATACAAGTGAATAGGAAAGGAAAAGGCAATTAAGTTTTCTGTGAAAGGAGGTGGGCATGGTGGCGTGTGCATGTAGTCCCAGCTACTCAGGAGGCTGAAGTGGGAGGATCACTTGAGCGACTCCAGCCTGGGCAACACAATGAGACCCTCATATCTAAAATAATAATAATTAATAATAATAATAATAATTCAGGATTAGGAGAACTTGCTTTAATTTTATTTTTAAAAGCTCTCCCTATGTAGCACATCCTAGCTGCCAAACAATTTTCTAAGCCCTTTACATATATTAACTCATGAATTTTAACAATAAATCCTTGAGTATCATGGGTACAATGACTAGCCTCATTTTACAGATGAGGAAATTGAGTCGCAAAAGGTTAAACACTTTGCCAGCTAATAAGTGGCAAAGTAAAGATTTGGAGCCAGGGAGTCTGTTTCCTGGTTCATGCTCCTGAACACCATGCTCTGTTTCTTGTTTCACATATGGTACAGTGTCCCAGTTAGCATCCTTCTTGAACCCAAGGGCCCATGTGGAATTTGGACACTGATGCCAGCCTGGACTGAACCTGAATATTCAGTGACCCCATCTGGACATTGAGATCTGAATTCTGGATTTTCCCATTCAAGAATCTGTTCTCCAGGCAGACTACAGGCCCGACTCCAGACCTGCACTTTCTGAGCTTCCTCCATCACCCCTCCTCAGCCCCGTCCCATTGCTGAGACCCAGCATGACTTGCAGCCTGGTGCTCACAGCTGTGACACCTTTGGGGCCCCCATACCCCCAAACACTAGGGCACTTGCCCAAAGCCACAAAGTCAGCAAGTAGTTAGGTTTGGATTCAAACTGAAGTCTGTCTCCAAAACCACATCCTTTCAACTATTCCCTGTGGCTTCCCCCATTCTCCCCAAAGGTCTACATTTAATCCTCAGGACTCCAAGATCAAGCCCAGGGCAGTTCCACTTCTCCTTGGCAATATAGAGTAAGACCAAGAATGCCAAGTCTCCATCCTTGGGGATATTCTCATCCTCCAGGAAAGAAGTAGAAGGGAAGCAGTGCCCAGGCTGGCTGTCCGGGTAAGCCCAGCAAGCTGAGCTGCAGCTCATGGACTTTGGCTAATTTGTTATTAATTCCTTAGGAGCACAGAACAACCCTAACAAGATGCAAAAATCAGTAGCTGAGGGAAAGACAAAGCAGCTTTCTGAGCACAATGTGAGGGAGGAAAGTGGTTTTTAAAAGATGTTGACAAACTATTTGCTGTGCAGACTATAAAGTGGAGAATAAATGACTTTGTTGCACTGATTCAGATTTTTTTTCCTAAGTTGAAAAGAGGAGAGTAGTAATGGGCTGGGGTAAGGGGCCTGGGTGGCCTTGCAATGCCAAGATAATTATTGTTTAGTTAGAAGACTGATGATTTTGTTGTTGTTGTTGTTGTTTTGTTTTGTTTGTTTTTTTGTTTTTTGTTCTGTTTCTTTTTTTTTTTACTTTTCAGAGGCAGAAAGAGCAATTGGGGCTGAAATGGGTTTCTAAGTGATGGAGAGAGATAAACATCTGTTAGCAGTTAGCAGTAATGGCATCGGCTCGAAAAAAAATCCTCTACAACCTGGAACCCAGGGCCTTCCTTCCTGACTCCTTTGTGCCCAGCAATGAGGAGAAAGGCTGAGCACAAGGACAGAGTGAACCCTGTAGAGCAGGGGTCCCCAACCCCTGGCTGCAGACTAGGAAGAGTCAGTGGTGGCCTGTTAGGAACCAGCTACACAGCAGGAGGTGAGCAGTGGGTGAGTGAGCATTACCACCTGAGCTCTGCCTCTTGTTAGATCAGCTGCGGCATGAGATTCTCAGGAGCGCGAACCTGTTGTGAACTGTACATGCGAGGGATCTAGGTTGCATGCTCCTTATGAGAATCTAATGTCTGATGATCTGAGGTAGAATAGTTTCATCCCAAAACCTTCCCCCACCCCCCTCCCATCTGTGGAAAAATTGTCTTCCACGAAAACAGTCCCTGGTTCCAAAAAGGTTGGGGACTGCTGCTGTAGAGGGATGGGGTGGGGCAGGAGATCCCTGGGTGTATGGCCTTTGTGAGGACCACAGTGCAAGCCTGTGTCTAGGCTGCCAAGTTCAATGCCAAGACACATGGTAGCCATTCCTGAGACAGCACTATAGCCCCCAACTAGAGGAAGAAGTTGGGCTGGTGTCACTTCCCTGAAGTTTCTTCCAGAAGCCCAGCTAAATCAAAGAGGTTGCCAGTGGCTGGGAGTCTGGGGGCCGTGGAGCAAGTTTAAATAGCCTACTGGGCCCTTTGCAATCAGTGCAGCCATCCCCCTTCATCCCTCTGGCCTCATTTCATGTCATTATTCCCTTTCACACCCTGCTAGACACCTGACTTTCTTGCTGTTTTTCTAACATGGTGGGGATCCTCTGCTCTGAGGCTTTGCTGTATTTCCTTTGCCCTCATTTTCCCTTTCCCAGAGAATTCGATGGCTTGAAATCTCACCTCTTTCAAGTCTTCACCACTCAAACACACCACCTCAATGTAGCCTGCCCTAATCACCCTTTTTAAAATGCAAACTAATCCCTGTTCTACTTTTTTCTTTTTTCTATAGCACCTAGATCTTTCTGAAAAAGTTAAATTATTTGTTTATTTGTTACATATTTATTATTTTTATTGTGTGTCTTCCCTCCTCTAGAATGTAAGCTCTGTTAGGGTAAGAGTTGTTGTCTGTTTTGTTCACTGATAGATTCCCACCTTTTGGAAAAGGGCTGGGACGTAAAAGGCTCTTGATAAATGTTGGCTGAATGAATTAATGAGGCAGGACCAGTCTTCAGAGGTCAAACATTCCAATGTGCTTCTTCACAGTTGGGATGACAGTGTGGGTGACAACAGGTAGGTTATCACCCCCACTCTAAATCTGTCTCCCAACTCCTGTTGTCACCCACACTGTCTGTTAGAAAACCTTGAAAACCATTTGCTCTGCAGCCTATAAAGTGGAGAATAAATGACTTTGTTGAACTGATTCTTTTGTTTTCCCTAAGTTGAAAAGAGGAGAGAGATAATGGGCTAGGGTAAGGGGCCTGGTTGGCCTTGTAATGCCACGATAGTTATTGTTCAGTTAGGAGCCTAGTAATTAAAAAATTTTTTTTATTTTATTTTTTAGAGGCACAGAGAACAATTGGGGCTGAAATGGGTTTCCAAGTGATGGAGAGAGATAAATGTCAATTAGCAGTAATGGCACACTTTCCGTTACAGTGTGGGTGACAACAGGCAGTTGGGAGACCGAGATTCAGATTGGGGGTGTGACTTGCCCAGGGAGTGCCAGAGCTGGGACTGGATACCATGTCTTTGAACTGCAACCAGTGTTCTTTGTTCATGCTATGATTTGACAGAGGGCAGAGATAGCTTCACCTGTGTCTGCTGTATGCCCCTCACAGCTGTACCTAGGCCTCCTCATTCCCTCTTTACCTGCCTACCAGCCCAGTAAACTGCTGGTTCCCTTTCTCCTGTTCCCCCTTCTTCTCTTCACTGTCCTCCCATTCCTCTTGGTCTTCAGGTCTCAGCTTTATTATTACTGCCTCTGGGATGGTCTTCCTGATGATCCAGACTAGACCTGACCCTGTTCGCTCTTCCCAAAGCCCTCTGCATGTCCTGATCCTTACACCCAGGAAACACACTGAAATCACCTGGCTCATTGGAACAGAGGGAGTGTCCTGTTGTCTGTATTTGCCTTGCCCGGGGCATCTGGGCATACACAGCCACTGGGATTTGGTTGGGTTGGTATCTTCAGGGATGGAGCGGGAAAGGGGTACTAGGTGCCCTGTGGTCTTCAGGATGAGCTAAGTCATGGTTCACAGGGGAGAGGTGAGGCTGTGATGCCAGTGAGTCCTTGCACAGGCAAAGTCTCCAGGGTTGGAGAATTGCAGGGGACGGGGGTGGCAGATACTGAGTTCAGAAAGGGAGCAAGTTCGTGATAAGAAAGGCTAGTTATGGGCTAAAACAGCCACTGTGGGCCGGCGGGGAGCTGGTGTAGGGGTGAGTAGCCTGCATCACTGAAAGAGAGTGAAGTGTCTACTCCACCATCCTGCAACCAGTCCAAGGCACAGGCTTCATACCCCTGCAGCTTCTGCCTCTGAGTTTTCTGGTACCTGGGCCAATCAAGTAGCTCTGTTCTCCCATCTTCACTCCATCATGTCCGCACTGGGTGCTGATGTCCAGCAGTGGGAGGTTTGTGTGTGTGTATGCATGCATGTGTGTGAGGTGCTTCAGAGTATGACGAATTAAGAGAAATGTAAGCCAAGACAGGAGATGGGGCTGCTGGTATTTGATGTCCCACTTTTACCTGATAGCAAGTTGGTGTTTGTTTCTGAGCCCAGGCTCTGAGCTTTGCTTCTTCACAGCCAAGCAGGGAGAGCAATGGACGAGGAGACAAGACATGGGAGACCTTGTCTTTGGTCTGCCTCTCACCAAGTGATAAGGGAGTTTAAAGTGTAAAGACAGGCTCCCACACATTAGCAAAAAGAGGTTCTCTCTCTTTCATCTTGGGGCAGGAGGAAAAGGGGACCTGCTTCCTGAGTCTGTACCTGCTGAGTATTATGGTGGCCACTGTACACACTGACTATGCCCTTGCAATTTAGTTAGTCTTTCTTAAGTATCAAAAGTCACCTTTTATTCAAGAATTTGTATATACACCAAAAAGATTAGCAAAGAAGTAAGCTTATCATATTTCACTTACTCAACAGTTAATCTAGTTGTAATTGTATTTAACATCAGCCATAAACAATATGAGGCACCATTTCAGAACGGGCGGTGTGCTGACTGACAACCCTGCCTTCCTGGGGTAGCACTGACCTCAAGACAGAAGCAACTTAATCACCATTCAGTTCCCTGCCATCTGCTTTGTCCTGATTCTGCATATTCTGCTGAATCATTTCTGCTTCCCATGTTGGCCCACAACCTGTACAGCCCCACGCTGGTCATTTCCTTGTTCAGAGTGAACACTTCACTCTCCCCAAACTCTCAGGCATTCCTGCTTTAGGGGATCAAAATTTAGTCTTCAAGTTAATGGAGTTTTCATTCGTGTGTTTCTAGCTATTTCTAATCCTATGTGCTACTGCACAGATTGATGTAATGGAGAAAGATTGAAGGTATGCTGTTCTCTTATATGAAATGACAATGGCTACTATAAAACACAATGTCAGCTCAGTTCTCACTTGGGCTCCCAGAGCCAAGCCCAATAGGCCAGGCACCAGGATCGACAGTGGTCAGTTTCCAGACCTCACTTCATCTTACTGTTTTGCCAGGGTGCAATTCTGGCAAATTCCTATTCCTCCAGGGCCTGAGTGGATGGGAGGGCTAATATTATGAGTCAACTTGACTGGGCCGCATGGTGCTCAGATATTTGGTTAAACATTATTTCTGGGTGTGTCTGTGAGATGTTTCTGGATGAGGTTAACATTTGATTTGGAAGACTGAGTAAAGCAGATTGCCCTCCCCAGTGTGGGTGAGCCTCATGCAATCTATTGAAGGCCTAAAGAGGAAAAAAGGCTGAGTAAGAAAGAATTCTTTCTCTCCCTCTGACTGTCTTTGAGCTGGGACATCAGTCTTCTGCCTTTGGACTTGGACTCAGACGGATTTATACCATTGGCTCTTCTAGTTCTCAGGCCTTTGCACTCAGACTGGAACTACACCATTGGCTCTTCTAGGTCTTTATCTTGCTGGCTACAGATCTTGGACCTCCCAGCCTCCACACTTGTGTGAGCTAATTCCTGATAGTAAATCTCTTTATTATTTATCTATATATCTGTATCTATCTACCTATTCTATTGGTACTGCTTCTCTGGAGAACCCAGACTAATACAGTAGGGCAAAGTCAATTGGGCAGGGCTGGGCAGGCAGACACTCCAATTTGTGTCTCTCCTCCTTTAGACATACAGACCAAAGGTGGGTATTGATCAGAGGGTCCTCTGATATTGATCTAGCTTGATCATTTTATTTTTTATATAATGTTTTATTCTTATGTCATTTTACTTTATGGGCTTGGTTATTTTTGCAACCGACCTCCTGCCTGGCTCTCTGCAGTTTTTCTGGATCACAGCTCTAGTCCCCAGGAGGTCCTCTGTCTAGGGGGCGCTGGCAGGAAAAGGAGCATATGTCAGGGGGCTGGGGAAGCTGGCAGAAACCTTTGTCTGTTTAATGTTTTATTAGAGTCCATGTAGCAACGTATATAAACAAGTCCCATGGTGAGAGAATTCAGAATAAATTACTGCCTGCAATTTCCCGTTTGGCATTGATCTTGTAGATTGGAGACTCAAGATGGAAACTGCCTGGTATTATTATCCCAACTTCCATGTTGGAGGGCCTACAAATTCCTCATGAATCCTATGATGTCAGAACCACATGAAGCCTTAGAGACCAGACAGTCTAACCCCACATAATATTGATCAGGCTCAGAGACCCAGAAAGGCCTGAGATCGCACGGCAAAGAGAGGTGCATAATCTTGGCTGTGATATTAGCTCAGCTTTAGCACCCCGAGGGACAGATTTTTAATAGGTATGAAAGATTATTTTAAGGCAGCCAAAGTCTGTTATTACTTATTGAGGGTCTCAGAGCAATTGGCCTGCATTTTCCCTCCCTGTTGTTTCTTAATGTGTGTTTATGGCCCAGCCTTGGCTTGGCTTTTTTTTTTTTGGGTGGAGTCTCGCCCTGTCACCCAGGCTGGAGTGCAGTGGCATGATCTCAGCTCACTGCAACCTCCGCCTCCCGGGTTCAAGCAATTCTCCTGCCTCAGCCTCCTGAGTAGCTGGGATCACAGGCACGTGCCACCATGCCCAGCTAATTTTTTTTTTGTGTGTGTCTTCAGTAGAGACGGGGTTTCACCATGTTAGCCAGGCTGGTCTCGAACTCCTGACTTCGTGATCCGCCTGCCTCAGCCTCCCAAAGTGCTGGGATTACAGGCATGAACCACCATGCCTGGCCAGTCTTGGCATTTTGAATTCTGATTCTTTTGGCAGTCAAAGGCAGCTCTGTGCTGCTGAGGGCTGTTAAGGAAGCAGAAAGTGCCCAGGGCTCAGGCAAGCCAATTTCCCAGTGGGACCTTCAGTTTTATCCCCTATTTTATAGGCAAGATAATCCCTGACCTGCCTCTGTCCCACAGTAACAGAGCTAATGCAAAAAATCTCTGTAAATGGAAAGATCTCTTTTGCAACAACAAAGCCAGGACCTGATAGAATTTAATGCTGAAAGGAGAAACTTCTCTCTAAGGTGACAACTCACCTCTTGAAACTGTTTCCCAAAATCTCACCACCCCCAGGCTCCTCATTTCTGCCAACACCCCAGCAGGAGAAAGAAATTGTCCTTTAACAAGCTGGCTAAGTGAATCTCATGCTGCCCTAAACTGTGTGTGCTCCAGTGTCTATACATTTCCTTTTCACTCTATTGCAAGTTCTTTGCATGTTCTATAGAGTTGTTTTAGTTATCTACTGCTGTGTAACAAATCACCCCAAAACTTAATGGCTTTAAATAACAATAATTATTTTTTCCTTCTCATAGTTTGTTTGGGACAGAAATTCTGGAGCAGCGTGGCTGGGTGGTTCTGGCTCAGGGTCTCTCATTAGCTTGCCTCCAATGTCAGCCAGGGCTGCAGTCATCTGAAGCCTTGACTGGGGCTGAGAGAGGAGGATCTACTCTCAAGGTGGATCACTCACTGGCAGGTGAGTTAGTGCTGGTCATTGGAGGGGGCCTCAGTTACTCTCCATAGGGCACCATGGATGTTTCACATCATGGCAGCTGGCTTCCTTTGGAGCAAGAGGTCTGAGGGTCCAAGGCAGAAGCTGCAAGGCCTTTTATGACCCAGCCTCATTTCTTCTGTATCGTGTTGGTCACTCAGGGCTAGCTGTGATTCAGTGTGGGAGGGGATTACGTGAGGGCAAGGATACCAGGAGGCACAGATCATAGGAGGCTGGCTACTTCCGTCTACCTCTGACTCCTGATGATTCATAGCTTTCCCATTGAACATACACTTGTCCCTTCCCAAGGCCCACAAAAGTCTCATCATATTATAGTATCAGTTTGAACTCCAAGGTCTTGTCATTTAATTGGGTCCAGGTTCAAATGAGGCTCCTTGGGTAAATTTCTCAAATATAGTACCTCCTGCACAGTTCCTCTTGATCTATAGACCCATGAAAAAAGAAACATATTATCTTCCCTCTACCTAATATATAATCGTAGGGCAGGCATAGGATAAGCATTATAGATCATCCTGTAAAAAGGAAGAAGAAAGGAAAATGGGAGGTACACTGGGGCCTCAGCAATTCTGAAATTCTGCTGGGAATATGGGCAATTTCTTGGTTAGAACTCAGTCCTACTGTCTGAGAATGGTTCTCTATGGCTCTTGGCTCCAATCTCTGGGCTCAGAGGCAGAAACTGAGTCATCTTCTCTTTTCCATAAAAAACAGCCAGTGTTTGCAGCTAAGTAGTTTTCTCAGCCTACTTTCTTATAGTGGTTTAAAGGTCCAAAGACCTATTTTCTTTTCTTTCTTTTTTTTTTTTCTGAGATGGAGTTTTGCTCTTGTCGTCCAGGCTGGAGTATAATGGCGCGATCTCGGCTCACTGCAACCTCCACCTCCTGCAAAGACCCATTTTCATTGTATATGGTCACTGTCCCTTTTAATCCATGCAGACAATATTTCACACAATGTAATAACCTTATAATCTATGAATAAGACTCTATAAATCCTGTTGGCATTCACTCCATTAGTTAAAAGTCACAACCACAAGTATCAGTGTGATAGGCTACTTTGCATCTTGAGTTTCCTGTAAGGCTGCTATGGGATACCACAATTAAGATTACCAGAAGCCCTATTGTTTATGGGTGAGGGGCCTCTTTTTTTCCCTGTTTGAAGCACCACCTTACATATTTCTGAGGTCTTAATAAAGGGCTTTGCATTCACTCTGTCAGTTTCATCTTTAGATCATTTTTCCTGCCAGGACACTGAATTTGATCTTTGCCTGGAGGACATTTTAAAATTTCAGTATCATTTCCTATCTGGAGAATTTAGCAATAAGACATTTTTATTTTTAAACTCAGCAAGTCCTGGCCCCTTTATGTTCAATGGTTCTTTCTTTAACACATCTTCTCACTTTTCACATTTTATTATAAGCAACCAGAAGCCAGGTGGCACCTTCAACACTCTGCCTGGAAATCTCCTTTGCTAGATCATCCAATTCATTAGGTACATTTTCTACTTTCCATTTTACTGTAGAAGATAGTATTGCTGAGTTTTCCCTCACTGTATACTATGGATTGAACATTTATGTCCTCTCACATATTCATGTGGTGAAGGCCTAACCCTAATGTGACTGTATTTGGAGACAGAGTCAGTGAGGAGGTGATAAAGGTTAAATGAGGTCACTAAGGGTTGGGCACTAATTCCATCAGGCCAGGGCCCTTAAAGAAGAGGAAGAGGGCTGGGTACCATGGCTCACACCTGTAATCCCAGCACTTTAGGGAGCTGAGGCAGGCAGATCACTTGAGCTCAGGAGTTCAAGACCAGCTTGGGCAACATGGTAAAACCCTGTCTCTACAAATACAAAAAATTAGCTGGGTGTGGTGGTGTGTGCCTGTAGTCCCAGCTACTTGGGAGCTGAGGTGGGAGAATCACTTGAGCTTGGGAGGTGGAGGTTGCAGTGGGACAAGATTGTGCCACTGCACTCCAGCCTGGGCAACAGAGCAAGACCATGTCTCAAAAAAAAAAAAAAAAAAAAAAAAAAGAAGAGAAAGAGACATCTGAGCTCTTGCTCTTCCAGGTGAAGACACAACAGTAAGACAGCCATCTGCAAGCCAGGAAGAGAGCCCTCACAAGGAATCAAATCAGCCAGAACCTTGATCTTGGACTTCCCAGCCTCCAGAACTGTGAAAAATAAAATAAATTTTGTTGTTTAAGCTACGCAGTTGATGGCATTTTGTTGTGGCAGTTCAAGCAGACTGATAGACCATATTATAAAGATTCCCTTTGCTCTATTTTCTAATATCATCTTTCTTACTTTCCATTAAGCACTCATGGATAGCCTTCTTGCAGTGCTGGTTGTAATCCCAAAAGACACAATTCCAAGTGCTGTATATCTGAATGTTGAAATACTAAAAGATCAAAATCCATAAAGATCAAAATCCCCAAAGTCTAAAATCTTATAAATCACAATCCTGAAAGATTAAAATCTAGAGTGTTGAAATCCTGAAAGCCAAATTTTGGGGGAGGAATTACTGTGTTTTTGATTGTACACAGGATGGTTGCGTCATGTTAGGTGGAACTATTACCTTGTTATTGTCTTTATTTAAGGAGATAAAAGGAGGTATGTGTGCGTGCCAAGCTGGCAAGGGGTGGAGTTGTGGACTTAATTTGAGGTGTCATCTTGACTGGAATAAGGAATACCTACAAACTTGGTGAAGCATTATTTTGGGTGTGTCTGTGATGGTGTTTCCAGAGATTAGTGTGTGAGTCTGGGTGGACTAGCTGGGGAAGATCTGCCCTCAATACTGGTGAGCACCATTTAATCATCTGGGGGCCCAGAAAGAACAAATGCAGAAGGTGAATTTGTCTCTCTCTGAGAGCTGGGAGAGGTTTTACTTCTGCTGCCTTGGATATCAGAACTCCAGGCTCACCAGCCTTTGGACTCCAGGACTTAACACCAGGTTTTACCCAGGTCCCGAGGCTTTTGGCCTCAGTTGGAGACTAACACAGCTGGCTGCCCTGATTCTCAATGTAGAAACACGGAAAATTCCTCAATAAATGATGATATGTCTTTTTTGTACATCTGCATTGTTAAAAATAAAATCTCTTGAAATCTCGGCTCTTTGGGCAACTGCATATGCAGTGGTGACCCATAATTGTTTTTGAAGGATCTTATCAAAAGACGTAAGTTGTCCATCACAGTATTTCAGACGACTGCAGTTATAAAGCTGGGTGCACACAACTACCAACTATAGTGACAGGTGTTTGTACATTTCACTTTTTGACCTATTTCTTTATGAATATGGTTAATCTGCTCATAACTGCTATACCCTTGTGACTGTCCCTAGAATACATGAGCACTTATGCTTACAAAAATATGTAGGTTATTGTTGCCTATTTTATCATACAAAGTGGCCTATGAAGTGCTCTGTCATTTTTAAATATGTTTCCCAAATAAAACCCCTTTTAAAATGTAAATCAATGTCTTTTAAATACTTTTTAAAATTATTTTTTCTGGAATTATATTTTTGGGATTTTAATCTTTCAGGATTTTAATGTTCAGAATTATGGCATTTGGGATTTTGTCTTTCAAGATTATGGCTCCAACCCACCTCCCTGAAGCCATCAGATGCCATTGTCTCTTCAAAGTCCTTCCAACTTCTGTCCTCAAAGACACTGCTCCATTTTTAGTTTTTGTTGTTGCATCATCACCTTCCTTCCGGGTACCAACATCTATATCAGTTATCTGTTGCTGCTAACAAATCACCTCAAAACTTACTGGCTAGAAGCAATAATAATCATTTATTATCTCTCATGATTTTTATGGGTCAGGAATACAGGACCAGCTTGGCTGAGTGGTTCTGGCTCAGGGTCTCTCATGAAGCTGCAGTCAGATGGTGTCTAGCACCATTGAAAATGTTTCTTGACTCATGTATCCAGTTCCCGGGCTAAGAAGCCTTGAACAGCTAAGGGCTAGAATAGCCAGGGCTTCTCAGGCATCTTTATGTAGCCTCTCCATGTAATTTCTGCAGCATGGGAAGAAGGGCTCCCAAGGCATGTGTTTCAAGAGAGAGCCAGATAGAAGTCATATGCTTTTCATGACCTGTCTCAGAAGTCACATAGCATCACATCTGCCACACTCTATTGGTGAGAGTAGTCACAAGCCCAGCCCGGATACAACGGGAGGGAACATAGACTCCATCTCTTGGTGGGGGAAATGAAATATGTCATAGCGCATGCACACACACACACACACACACACACACACACACACACACAGCCTCATTCCTTGGTATCCATGGGGAATTGGTTCCTTCCTTAGACACCAAAATCCAAAGATGCTCAAGTCCCTGATATAAAATGATGTAGAATTTATAGACTTTCCATATAACACAGACATCCTCCCATGTACTTTAAATAGTCTCTGATTACCTGTAATACCTAATATAATATAAATGCTATATAAATAGTTGTTATTCCATATTGTTTAGGAAATAATGACAAGAAAAGATATGTGGAACCTATAGATATGGAGGGCTAAGTATCTATATATAGTCATTTTTGGGAGATGTAATCTGAAATAAACACTCAGCACCCAGCATCTAGCGGGTCTTTGATGATTACTTGTTGCTCGTTTGTTGTTTTACTGACTTTGTGGCTTAATAATAATGAAAGTGGTAGTAAAAATAGTAATGATAAAATAACTACAACAACTATTCACTAAGCTCTTATTACTCTGTGAAGGACTTGTTTTAAAATTTCCCTTTTGATTGAAGTGTAACTTGTTGCAATAAAGCTCACAAAACTTAAGTGTGTATCTCAATTAATTTTTATGTATGTTTAAAAACATGTAACCAAAGCTAGAGCCAGACATAGGACATTTGCAATACCCCATAAGGTTCCTGTACACCTCCTCACTGCCAACCTCCCTTCCTCCTCCCAGGTAAACACTTTTCTCATTTCTCTCCCCATAGACTAGTTTGCCTGTTCTTGAACTTCATATAAATGAATCATAGTATATGAACTCTTTTTGTCTGGCTCCTCTACTGTGCAAAGTACTTTATGTTCATTATCTCACTTAATTCCTGCGACAACCTTACGAGATAATCAACAATTCACGTGCTGGCTATATGCTGCCCAAGTGCATTTCGTTTAGTCTGCCCAATATTTTTAAATGTTTGAGTCTGACTACTTTTAGGATTAGAATTGAATGCAGTCTCTAGTACTTGTTATATTATAGCCAGGCAATGTTATTTACCTTACTTTCCTGGTACCTACAGGCATTGGGTTTACATACTTTAAGGGGAGCATTATTATTGTCTCTAGCACCTGAAAAAATAGTTGTTCACCAGGGGTGAACCACTTGCATAAAACCTCATATCACAGAAATGGCAGAAGTGGGATTTGAACTCAGGTCTGTCTTCCTACCGCACTCCTAAGTTGGGATCAGAAAAGACAAATTTGTCCCCAAATTCTATCGCTTTGAAGTCTGAATGCCTTTGTCTGCACATCCTCCTCTGCAACTTCACACCTCTGCTTAGCCCAGGGGCAGTGCAGGGGCTGTTGCAGCCAGCCTCACCCTGACTCCAGGCCAGCCTCTGATGCTCACCAAAACACCTCTGAACTCCCATCTGATCCTGCCAGTCCCAAACACATTCCTCGTTTCTTGCTTCTGTATCTTTGCTCACACTGTTTTTTCCCGCCTGGCATGCCCAACCCTACTTAGTCATCCTTCAACGCTCAACTGAAAATGCTACTTTCTACTTGTTGCTCCCACATGCCCTGGCCAAACACTTCTTTTTCTTCTCAGGACACAAAGACTCAGTTTTTGAAATCTGTACGTCAATTACCAAATGATATATCAAATTAACCCCAAGTGACTTTTACGAATGTAACCAAAGTATCAGTCCCATAAAAGGCTATTTCATTTATTTAATCTCTGCTAAATGTATCACTACTTTTTAATTGATTCTTAAGGAAGAGAGATGAGAAGAATCTGTACTACCCCCACTGGGTTCCAAATGAACAAGCAGTCAGAAGTTTATTACTTCCAGATACCCCACTTACTTTCTAGATATCCTATAGGGTTTCAATTCCATCACAGCAATGCTTACTGAGCATCCCTGGGCTTGATCATATAGCTTGGGTGTCTGGGAACAAAAAGATGAGGCTGCATCTCTGGGCTAGGATGGGTTGGAGTCTGGTTGAGGGTGCCTGTGGAGACAATGGCAGGGTGGAGTGGCAGCTGGTTTGCGGGTATCTGGGGATGCTATTAGAGTTCAGGGTTGTTGACTCCAGCCCTATCTCTTCTATTTTCGGATCTTGGGATAGTTATTAACTTCTCTGGGCTTCAGTTTCCTTATTTGAAAAATGCATATTCCAGGTAACTTTATGAGTTTTTGGACCTCGGGCAAATATAATTGGATTTTTCTTATCATCCATGCTTTGAAAATTGGCTCAGAAGTTTGAGATGCAAAATTATATTTTCTTATAGCAGTATTCAGATAATAAAAGTAATAGATGTTATCTTCTATTGGACATTTACTATGTGCCAACCCTGTGCCAGGCAGGCTTATTATATGCATTATCTCATTTATTCTCACTACGACCACGGTCATCACCACTTGACAGAGGAGGAGAAAGCTCAAAGAGGCACTGATTTGCTTGATGTCACATGGTTGGTGAGCTACTAAGTTTTTTTTTTTTGAGATAGGTTCTTACTCTTTCACCTAGGCTGGAGTGCAGTGGTGTGATCATGGCTCACTATAGCGTCAAACTCCCAGGTTCAAGGGCTCCTGCCACCTCAGCCGCCCAAGTAGCTGGGGCTAGAGGTACATACCACCAGGCCCAGCTAATTTTTGTACTTTTTTTTTTTTATAGAGACTGGGTTTCACTATGTTGACCAGGCTGGTCTTGAACTCCTGGGCTCAAGCGATCTGCCCACCTTGGTCTCCCAAAGTGCTGGAATTAGAGGTGGGAGCCACTGCTCCTGGTCAAGTTACTGACATTTGACTGAGCAAATGATTGGTAAAATAATGGGTGTCATATCTATTTCCTGTTTCTGCTCAGCATCTCCCCCTTGCTCCTTTGCCTGTTGATAGCAAATCTAGCCTATTTGATCAAAGGCAAAGTCAATCATAGTGCTCCATGCTGCTGACCTCGGGCTTGGCCCAGGAGGGTGCACATGGTATAAACTAGGCAAATTAGAGTCCTTCCTGGGATCTTTCAGATTAAAGCCCGAGGGAGAGTGCTCCTCTTGCTTGGATCATGGCTTCAGGGGAGGGGCTATAGATGGTCATGTTGTCTCTTACGATTTAGGGAAAAGAGCAGAGGTGGAGTGAGAGTGAGAGAGAGAGAGAGAGAGAGAGAGAGAGAGAGAGAGAGAGTCAATCCTGAGTAATGGTGTCCCTGGTTCAGCTCCTGTGCTGGCCCCTGGAATATGCTGCAGACACTGTCCTTTGAAATTGTAGGAGTCAGCTAGGGCTGCCATAATAACAAAATATCACAGGCTGGTGTCTTAAACAACAGAAATGTATTTTCTCACAATTCTGGAGACTGGAAAGCCTAAGATCCGGGTGCCAGCATGGTTGATTTCTGGTGAGGGCTCTCTTCCTGGCTTGCAGACAACTACCTTCTCTCTGTGTGCCCACATGGTGGAGAGAGAGGGCTCTGATGTCTTTTCTGCCCCATATAAGGACACCAGCTTTCTTGGATTAGGGCGCCAATCTCATGACTTTATTTAATCTTTACTACTTCACAGACCCCATCTTCAAATCGAGTCACGGTAGGGGTTAGGGCTTCAACGTATGACTTGGGGTGGGGTGGTGGAGGACAGAAACTTTCAGTCTGTAACGGGATGAAGGGCTATTTACTTCAAGCTGCTGGGAGCTGCTGGCAGGAAGCCCTGAGCTGCCCGTCTCCTATGGTAACTCAGCTGAGGAGAGCTGCCTTGTCTAAGGTCACACCCTCCTTTATGGTGTGGGGTATACAGACCTGGCATTCCTGCCTCAACTCAGGGCAGCCAACCAACATGGGGAGATGAAAACTTGGCACCATCACCCCAGCTTCAGAACTCCCCTGGGGTAGGTGGGGACTCTGCTGAGTGATGCAATTTCACACCTCAAGTCCTCCCTTCGCCTAACCCTGCTTCCTTCCTTTCTGCAGGCTCTCCTTAATGAGCTAACGTCCTCCACAGGAATGTTCGTCTGCGGGGTTGCTTCCTGGGAACCAGCCTGTCCCGGGGTTCCTGAAGCTGCTCTGCTTCTTCATCGTCCCCTTCAGTTCTCTGAGCCACTCCAGCAATATATTCTCATTTTTTGTTAGACGTCTTTTGAGTTTAAATTTTGTCACTTCTAAACACTTCTGAAAGATTCCTGATGACTTCAGTGAGGAAACTGCTGCCTCTCTCACTCTAGCAGGGCCCACTGAAGAGGGCTAGTGGGATCTGGGAGTGATGGGTGAGGAAGACAGTGCCATGAGTAGATGGCCTGGTGGCAGCAGTACCAGTGGGAGTCAAGCTGCTGCCCAGTACATGGGATTGAACTGCCCAGTGCATGGGGTAGAGCTGCCCGGTGCATGGGGTTGAGCTGCCCAGTGCATGGGGTAGAGCTTCCCAGTGCATGAGGTAGAGCTTCCCGGTGCATGGAGGAGAGCTTCCCAGTGCTTGGGGTAGAGCTTCCCAGTGCTTGGGGTAGAGCTTCCCAGTGCATGGAGTAGAGCTTCCTAGTGCATGGGGGTAGAGCTTCCCGGTGCATGGGGTAGAGCTTCCCAGTGCTTGGGGTAGAGTTTCCCAGTGCATGGAGTAGAGCTTTCCGGTGCATGAGGTAGAGCTTCCCGGTGCATGGAGTAGAGCTTCCCGGTGCTTGGGGTAGAGTTTCCTGGTGCATGGTGTAGAGCTTCCCAGTGCATGGGGTAGAGCTTCCCAGTGCATGGGGTAGAGCTTCCCAGTACGTGTGGTAGAGCTTCCCGGTGCATGGGGTAGAGCTTCCCAGTGCTTGGGGTAGAGTTTCCCAGTGCTTGGGGTAGAGTTTCCCAGTGCATGGAGTAGAGCTTCCCAGTGCATGAGGTAGAGCTTCCCGGTGCATGGAGTAGAGCTTCCCGGTGCTTGGGGTAGAGTTTCCCGGTGCATGGAGTAGAGCTTCCCAGTGCATGGGGTAGAGCTTCCCAGTACATGTGGTAGAGCTTCCTGGTGCGTGGGGTAGAGCTGGCTGGTGCATAGGGTAGAGCCTCCTGGTGTATGGGGTAGAGCTTCCTAGTGCATGGGATAGAGCTGCCCAGTGCATGGGGTAGAGCTTCCCGGTGCATGGGGTAGAGCTGCCCAGTGCATGGGGTAGAGCTGGCTGGTGCATAGGGTAGAGCCTCCCGGTGTATGGGGTAGAGCTTCCTAGTGCATGGGATAGAGCTGCCCAGTGCATGGGGTAGAGCTTCCCGGTGCATGGGGTAGAGCTGCCCAGTGCATGGGGTAGAGCTTCCCAGTACATGGGGTTGAGCTGCCCAGTGCACAGGGTTGAGCTGCCCAGTGCACAGGGCTGAGCTGCCTAGCATGTGGAGTCTCAGTTGCTAGTTTCTATGAACAGCACTTGTCTGAAGCTCTGTGCCGCCGAGTCCAACCTGCCCCATCTTCTACTTCTCTCTCTTCATACCTCACCTTGCCCCTCCTTTGGCTCTGGGATACTTCCTTGTCTTTGCCTTTCTTCTCCCTCTTTTTCAGCCTCGCATTTACCTACCCCTCACTTACATGTCAGTATTCTCCAGATTCTGCTTACAGACCTCTTCTCTTCTTCTATTTATTCTCTCTGATTGAATTTCCCAGTGACTTCGATGCCACTTTTTGCTAATACTCCCAATTCTGTATCTCTAGCCTACATCTTCCCTGAATTCCTAAGCTATACATCTTTGCTGCTGGGAGTTTCCACCTGGAATTGAATAGTGTTGTGGGTTGTATCATTTTCCCCAAAATATGTTGCAGTCTACCTCTCAGTACCTCAGAATGTGACTTCATTCAGAAATAGGGTCTTTACAGAAGCAATCAAATTATAAAAAGATTATTAAGGTGCACCCAATCCAATATGTCGGGTATTCTTATAAAAAAGGGGAAATTTGAACACAGACACAGACACACACACACACAGACACACGCATGCATCATGGAATATGAAAGCAGAGATTGGATGGTGTGGCAGGGTCCAAGGAATGCCAAAAATTGTCAGCAAACCACCAGAAGCTAGGAGAGAGGTCTGGAACAGATTTCCCCTCACAGCACTCAACCAGCCCTGACAACACTGTGATCTGGGACTTCCAGCCCCCAGAACTGAGATAACACATTTCTGTTATCTCTGTTATTTCGCCTATAGAAAAGTAAAATGGTACTGTTAGTTTATTGTTTGTGAAGATGCTGTTTAACCTGATAGTGGAAAAATAGTTACTAATGTTTACCTGTGTATAATGTACACATTTGTATCAGTCAGGAAAACTGCTTAAGGCATTACATGCAGGAAGAAAGTAATACAGAAAACTTGATGTTTAGAACATATTTGAAAGAGCTGGAAGAGTGAAGATCAGGAAAAACTGCTGATGGCCTCAGAAAATCAAAAAGTTGCTAAAAAAACTCTCCACCAATGATTTCAGCTGCCTGAAGTACTGATGTGGGTGATTCCTAGGAGGACCTATGGAAACCACTTGTAAAATCTTCTGCCCTCCAATGTCTGAGTACTAATAATGGCTGGTTCCTCTTCCACCTTCCAAATCTCATGAGAATGCTTCTTACTGGTGGAATAAAAATCAGAACCCTGCTGGCAGAGGAATCTGGGAAAATGTAGTCTTTGGTTTCCAGCTCCTGGTGACACTAGAAGAGCTAAAAAGAGCTGGCATCGTTCTGAGTGCTAATAGTCAGTACACAGCACAAAATGCCTTTGGAGGTTTTAAGGGGATAACATTTATGAATTTTCTTTGAAAAGTAAACTGTGCCATGCAAATACAAGATGTTTTATAGATGGAGAGGGTTTATAATCTTAGAACATTTTAATAAAACAATTCATTATTTATGAGTAAAAAATCCAGACACTGGCACACTCCAGAGCTATTGCAGGTTCAGTTCCAGACCACTGCAATAAAGTGGATATTTTGATAAAATGAGTCACACAATGTTTTTTGGTTTCCTCGTGCATATAAAAATTATGTTTACACTATACTGTAGTCTATTAAGTATGCAACAGCATTAGGTCTAAAAAGCAGTGTATGTACCTTAATTTAAAAATACCTTTTTAGCCAGGTATGGTGGTATGTGCCTGTAGTTCCAGTTACTCAGGAGGCTGAGGCAGGAGGATTCCCTGAGCCCAGGAATTCCAGGCTGTAGCGAGCCATGATCATGCCACTGCACTCCAGCCTGAGTGACAGAGAAAGGCTGTGTCAAACAACAACAACAAAAACACCTCCTCCCCCAAAAAAACTACGAAAAACCTCCCCCAAAATACAAACAAATGAAAAACATTTTTTGCTAAAACATGCTATCACCTGAGCCTCCCAGTTAGTTTTAGTCTTTTTGCTGGTGGTGGGGGTGTCTTGACTTGGTGTTGATATCTGTTGACTAATCAGGGTGGTGGTTGCTGAAAGCTGGGGTAACTGTGGCAGTTTCTTGAACTCAGACAACACTGAAAGATTTCTCTGTAGCATGTGATGCTGTTTGATAGCATTTTACCCACAGTAGAACTTGTTTCAAAATTGGAGTCAATTCTCCCAAACCCTGCTGCTGCTTTATCAACTAAGCTTATGTAATATTCTAAATCCTTTTTTGTCATTTCAACAATGTTCACCAGGAGTAACTTCCATCTCGAAAGACCTCTTTCTTTGCTCATCCACAGGGAGCAACTAGTTATCCATTCAAGTTTTAAGTTTTATTATGAGATTGCAGCAATTTGGTCACATCTACAGGCTCCACTTCCAATTCTAGTTCTTTTGCTCTTTCTACTGCCTGTGCAGTTCCTTCCTCCACTGAAGTCTTGAATGCCACAGAGTCATCCCTGAAGGTTGGAGTCAGCTCCTTCCAAACTCTTTGTAATGTTGATATTTTGGCTTCCTCCCATGAATCATAAATGTTCTTAATGGCATCTAGAATGGTGAATCCTTTCCAGAAGGTTTTCCATTGACTTTGCCCAGCTCCATGAGAGAAATCATTATGTATGGCAGCTATAGCCTTATGAAATGTGTTTCTTAAATTATAAGACTTGAAAGTCAAAATTGCTCCTTGAGTCCGGGCGTGGTGGCTCACGCCTGTAATCTCAGCACTTTGGGAGCCTGAGGCAGGTAAATCACCTGAGGTCAGGAGTTTGAGATCAGCCTGGCCAACCTGGTGAAACCCCATCTCTACTAAAAATACAAAAAAATTAGCTGGGCATGGTGGCAGACGTGGAGGTTGCAGTGAGCCGAAATCATGCCATTGCACTCCAGCCTGGGCAACAAGAGCAAAACTCTGTCTCAAAAAAAAAAAAAAAATACTCCTTGATCCATGGGCTGCAGAATGAATGTGTTAGCAGGCATGAAAACAACATTCATCTTTTTCTTTTTGTACATCTCCCTCAGAGTTCTTGGGTAGTCAGGTGTGTTGTCAATGAGCAGGAATATTTTCAAAGGGATCTTTTCTTCTATGTAGCAGGTCTCAACAGTGGGCTTAAAATATTCAGTAAATCATGCCATAAATAGATGTGCTGTCATCAGGCTCTGTTTTTCCATTTATAGAGCACAGGCAGAGTAGATTCAGCGTAACTTTGTTTTTCATGAATGATTTCTTTTTTCTTTTTTTTTATTGACACGATACTTGTACATATTTACAGGATACAGAGTGAAATTTTGATAAATGCATACAATGTGTAATGACCAAATCAGTGTAATTAGCTTATCCACTACCTCAAACATTTATCATTTCTTTGTGTTGTTCAAAATCCTCTCTTCTAGCTTTTGATAACTTATTGTTAACCATATTTACGCTGCAGTGCTATAGACACTAGAACTCCTTCTATCTAGCTGTAATTTCATATCCATTAACCAGTCTCTCTATATCCTCCCTTCTTCCCTGTTCTTCCCAGCCTCTAATAAACAGAGTTCTACTTTTTACGTCTATGAGGATTTAGCATAATTCCCAAGGGCATTAGGATTTTCAGAATGGTGAATGAACTTTGTCTTCAACTTAAAGTTAACAGCTGCATTAGTCCCTAATAAGAGAGTTGGCCTGTCCTTTGAAGCTTTGAAGCCAGGCATTGACTTTCTCTAGCCATGAAAGTCCTAGATGGCATCTTTTCCCATCTGTTGAATCTACATTGAAAATCTGTTGTTTAGCTAGATCTTCTGGATAGCTTGCTTCATCTTTGCCATCAGCACTTGCTGCTTCACTTTGCACTTTTATGTTATGGAGATGGCCTCTTTCCTTAAACCTCAAGAGCCATGTGAAGCTAGCTCTGCTAGCTTCAAACTTTTCTTCTGTAGCTTCCTCACTTCTCTCAGCCTTCATAGAATTGAAGAGAGTTAGGGCTTTGCTCTGGATTTGGCTTTGGCTTAAGGGTATGTTGTGGCTGGTTTGATGTTCTATCCAGACCACTCAAACTTTTCTATATCAGCAATAAGGCTTTCTCATCATTTGTGTGTTCACTGGAGTAGCGCTTTCAATTTTCTTTAACAATATATCCTTTGTATTTACAACTTGGCTACTTGTTTGGCAGAAGAGGCCCAGCTTTCAGCCTATCCCAGATTTCAACATGCCTTCCTCACTAAGCTTAATCATTTCTAGCTTTTGATTTAAAGTGAGAGACATGCAACTCTTCTTTTCACTTGAACACATAGAGTCCATTGTAGGATTACTAATTGGCCTAATATCAATATTGTTGTGTTTTAGGGAATAGGAAGGACCAAGGAGAGGGAGAGAGACAAGAAAACAGTTGGTTAGTGGAGTAGTCAGAACCGACATGACATTTACCAATTAAGTTCGTCATCTTATATGGGCATGGTTCATAGTGTCCCCAAACAATTACAATAACATTGAAGATCACTGATCACAGATCACCATAACAGACATAATCATAATGAAAATATTTGAAATATTACAAGAATTACCCAAATGTGGCACAGAGACATGAAGTGAACACATGCTGTTGGAGAAATGGCACCAATAGACTTGCCACAGACCTTTGATTTGTAAAAACACAATATATGCCAAGTACATGAAAGCAAAGCCCAATAAAATAAAGTATATAATTATTTTTTATAATTGGCACTAAACTATTTTTGTGTTCATTTTCTGAATAATTATTTCAAAACTCTGGTTTTAAGTGAGTGAATATGTTTATGCACATCTGTCAATGAGTTCCCATTCGTCCTGTGATGAGTTTGTATGTGCAATTTTATGCCTTCTCTGTGTTTGTATGTGAGTCTATGGGTGAGGAGGCCTCTGTCTGTGTGTATGCATGTAGCCCTGGGCTTAGGCTGGGGAGTGTGCTCAAAAATCGATTCTATTAGCAAATCTGTCCTAGCTATTCCTGCAGCACCTTCAGAATCCAGACCAGACCCCTTCACCTCCCTCCTGCTTCCTCTTGTTCTCTTTCTCCTACATCCAGTTCTATATCCCAAACATCTATGTCCTTCTAGAATGACCTCTGCATCCACTGCCTCTCCTCTTGTGCAGGCTTCATCATCTCTCTCTTGGGTGATTGCAACAGCCTCTTCCCTATCACTTTTCCTCCCACCTCCAAACCTGCTCTTTTATTTCTGAGAAAAGTCATCTTTCCTGTGTATAAACTGAATGCCTATTTTATTAATTGCCATTGCTCACTGGATGTAGAAATTAGTCCAGAAGTCAAATGGCTTCAACTAGAATCCCCATTATTACATTACTACAGTGAACAGAAACTTGCAATTCAAGCCTCATTATTAGATTAGCTGCCAGTTGAGGAGGGTTATGCCAACCTGATTTGAGTCTTGACAAAGTGATTTGAGCCTTAGTTGCAGGAGGTGAGGCATCAAGACTTCAAATCTGGTCTTGTCCCTGTTCACTATCCTGGTGGTAGCCCCTACGGGAAGGCACTGAACACTCTGGATGGCAAGGTGGCCCTTCAGTAGCTGGTACTGAGCCAGGCTCCACAGGAGGACAGGCCTCCTGATTAGAGAACTTTTTTTCTGCTTTGGACTGGTCTTGACTTTTTTGGCTTTGTGACTGTATCTGGAGAGGGCCTTACAGAAAATGAATTCATCCTCCCAGAGCTGGAGGAAGTTATCATATTTTTGAGGCAGCTTCTAAATCATTCCAAATCACCAGAAAAGCAATTATGTCCCACCACTTCTGCAAAGGTCTTGCTTCTTCCTTTCTTCCTTCCTTCCCTTTCCACCATTCTCTTAACTGTGAATCACCTCCATGAGGTCAATCTGTCTGGTGTGATCTTCACTTTATCTCTGGTACAGAGAGCCTGGTACAGAACTGACATTCAGTAGATTTTGTCCCGGTATGAACATGCCAGGCACTGTGCTGATATTGTGATAAAAGGTGAATCAGACACAGATCCTGCCCTTGAGGAGGACAGAGACAAGGAAACAAACAATTAAAATGCAGCAAGGTAAGGGCAATGTGAGAGGCGAACGCAGCGCAGTAAGGGAGCTGAGAGGAGTGGAATCAGACTCTCCTGCAGTCAGCAATTATTTCTTGGAAGAGGAGACAACCAAGCTGAGTCTTAAAGGTTGCAGGAGTTTTCTAGGTAGAAACACGGGGAAGGGAGAGAGAATTCTAGGTAGAGAGACCAGCTTGTTCAAAGGCATGCAAGAGGCAGGAAGTACCATGATGTGTGCAGGGAGCTGCAAAATGTCTGGAGTGGCCGGAACATAGGGGATGAGGAGGCCAGTGGTGAAGCCTTGGGTCAGAGAGTCTGTTCCTATGGGCAGGGCTGCTATGTCTCACCGTGTGGGCTGTTTACTTTATGAGGTTGCCCAGCCAAGGGGGCGAGTGGGGCTAAAATACAGCTCTGGCTCTGTGTGACAAGTGTGTGCTTGTGGTCACATCCTCCCAGAGGAGACTCTGTAATTTACACAAAGGCTCCTGTGGGCTAGCAGCGTCTTTGTGGAGGGCCTTGCAGGTCTTGCAAAGGCTGCATCTCTATGTAGGGCAGTGGTTCTCAAGCTTTTCTCATTAGAGTCTCCCGGAAGGCTGCTTAAAACACAGATTGCCACAGGTCCTCCCTACCCTTAGGGTTTCTGGTTTGTAGGTCTTGGGTGAGGCATGAGATTTTGCATTTCTTTTATGTTCCCAGTGATGCTGATGCTGCTGGTTCGGGAACCACACTCTGATAATTACTCATCTGGGTAACACGAAGCCACTGGAAAGGGTTAGATAGGAGAAGCAGAGCCAAGCCACAGGTAAAAGGGGTGTTTTCTAGGATTAAGGTTTCTGATAGCCCTTGTGAACAAGTTAGGGCAGCTGATATATGGAGAGTAGGTACACACTATCCCCCATCTTGTCCTGTCAGGTGAGGTTTAACAGCCCTATTCATTCAAGTGGGACTTCTATCCCAGGGTCTTCCAGTTTAAGGAGATTTTGCCCACAGATGATTTCAGGAATGGCTGTATCATTACATGAAGCTCACTCTTGGAGCATTTAAATAGTGAGTTCCCAAATGATTTAAATGTTTGTTTGTGCTTTATTAATTACTCTCTTGAGAAGCTGGGGACAAGAGAAACCTAAAGCTACCAACTAAAAGATGAGTCACACATGGTGATAAAACTTCTTTGAAAACTCTTTTATCAGTTCAATAAATACCCGATTTCAAAATTGTAAGTGTGTGTGTGTGTGTGTGTGTTTGGAGAGGGAGGGGAGAAGGACATGGAGCCACAGAGTGTCAGGACCTCACACACATGAGCAAATGTTTGCTGAATGAGGGTGTGGCACGTGGATAGAGTATGGTGATGGGGAATCCAGGGATGGTCTGAATGAGGGAATCTGGGCTGACAGGAAATTTTCAGGTTATATCTGGCTCTGGGCTAGGGTTTAGAATCTTGGCTTGAGAAGCCAAACCTTCCTGGAGCCCAGTCATCTTTTTGGACCCTGAGTATATTAAACCCATTTATGCCTAGTGTTCCATTATTGGAACGCTAAGCATCTGGGAGTTATTTATATCCTACTGCTCAAGGTCATTGCCACAGCCTGATTTTTCACACATGTCTGTACTTCAAAAAAATTGCAACCTCTGGCATTAATGGGTTAATAGGATGTCCATGAGCATGGAGAGAGAATGGCTGTACCCTTTCTTCCCTTGGGGGCTCAGGCCCAGCTTGCCCTTAGGTTGGGGGCTGGAGCTCAGAGGTGGTAGGTGGTAAAGGGAGCCTATCTTTATTTTCTAGTTGGAATATAGTCTCCAGGATAAACTAGCTTTGGGACAGAGGTGGGGAGAATGGGTGCCGGAAAAACATCCAACCTGGTTACGTTTTGCCTGTTCCTAGACTTAGCCCCAGCCTTTCCTGAGACCTGGGACAGGACAGAGGCTCCGGAATCTCTGCTACTCACTGATTGATGTTGTCCATTAGGGAGCCTCCTGCTGGCTGAAGGGCTGCCACCCCCAACTAGCTCAACTGTCACCAACCACAGCCTGTCAGCAGCGTGACTGGGAGAAGGAAAGCCTTGTCAAAGGCAGCCAGATTCCGCTTCTTGGTGTCAAGGAGAAAAGGAGAGGGGAGGGGAGTTCACTCAGACGCTGCAATCAAGATCAGGTCGTTCTTAATTAAGACAGCTCCGCAGGCAGCACATTTCCATAATTTCCCATTAAAGAGATCCTGATGTATGAGTCATTGCGGGAGCTGTGATTCCCCGAGTCAGCACTGTTCTGTGTCTGAGGCTCCTCAAATCAAAAGGCTAATCAATTTCAATCACCCAGGCTTTCTGATTCCCTAAGAGGTGCCCAGCCCCATGCCAGACTCTGTGCCCAGCCTGGAGAGGGACACAGCAATGGATCTGGCTTTAGTTTCTGCTACCCAGGGAAAAAGCCTTGTTTATTTCCTGACCTTGGGAGAGAGTCATGGATTCAGATGCAAATGGGCAGGGGGCTATTCCAGGTGGGCTCTGGTGCTTTCTGTGATAACGACCAGGAAATAGTGTGGGACTGAGGAAAGAATACTGGATTTGGAGATAGGAAGTCTGAGTTTCATTCAGCAAATCTTTGTTAGAGTCACCTTGTCCAGAGGCTTGGGATTCAAAGATGAATACTAGACAATTAGTGTCCTCAAGAAGCTCTAAGGGCGGGGATAGACTCTGAACCGAAAACTTGAGTTCAGTGTGGTAAGTGCTATATCGGGCAAGCACGAAGTGTTTTGGGAGTGCAGAGGAGGGAGAGCCTAATTGGCTGACGGAGGAGGGGTGGTGGAGCGGTTAAGAAGGTCTCATTTTTGGCTTCCTCAATTATTGTGATCATATAACCTTTAGTGAAACTCAGTTTCCTAATATGTAAAATGGGCATAATATAATTTTCTCAGGGCTGTTGTGAAAATTCTTGAGAGGGTGTATAGAAAGGTCTTGGCGGAACCTTCTTTGTACTTGTTCTTATATTTCCATGGTTGACTTTTTTCTAAGTATGAGCATCTTGAGAGCAGATGTTAACTGTGAGGCTGCCCTGGCATGTAGCACAGCAGACTCGTGTCACTTGTCATCTAGTCCTTTTGTATTGGTGGCATCCTGTGTATGGGGAAAAGACCAACAGACCACAGTAGTCCTGACGCATGTTCCTCTCTTCCCTTCTCAGCTTGGTCGCTCAGGCTGGAAGCAACAACTCCGAGTGTCTAAGACAAGGTAAAGTAATTTTTATTCTTTGGAAGAAGGCATGCAAGTGTGTCATACGATTTTAAAATATTTTTATTCCAAATAGATCTTAATACATGTTTTTAGGTTTGGCATCACTAGTGACCGTGAAACATGAACATTTCTATTTTGCAGGTGAAAATATATTTAGAGATCCTAAGTTACCTAAGATCACATAGGTATTACATTTTGCAGAGCTAAAATTCAAAGCAATATCTATGGATCTTGAAGCGCTAAGGTATTTCTGTGAAACCATGCTGAAGTTCACACGTGTAACTTCATGACTTATACACTGATGTATCCCCACCAGTTATCTGCTCATTAATGACCCAATTTTGACTTCACAATAGTTAAAAAATATTACATGCAACATGCCAGTAAGTTCAGTTTGATCTCTGGTTCCAGCAAGATGGCAGATTAGGAATGCATAAAACTTTCCACATAAAAACACCTAGAAATGCTGGGTAAGGTATTATAATAACCACTCAGAATGAATAGCTGAGTTTTCAAGAAAAAGAGATCCCCTAGAGGCCCAAAGTGAAGAAGGAACTGAAAACCAAAGCAGTAAATACAGAGCTGAGTTTGTAGCTGGTGTGTGTGTGTGTGTGTGTGTGTGTGTGTGTGTGTGTTACTGGTCTTGCTAATTTTGGTTATATCATCCACAGTAGGATGAGAGGACAGTCTTGACCTTGCTTAAGGCAGACTATTAGAATTGAGACCCTGGCATGAAACAATATGTTATCTCACCATAAAAATTACAAAATAAATGAAGAAATGATCCATCCAGAATAAAAGTCAGGGGATATAATAAAAGGGATAATTAGATATCTAAGAGTTTAAGACACCAAAAATCAATATGAAAAAGAATATATAATAAGGATTTTTAACATTATCAAGATAAAAGAATGAGCAAATTGAAAACAACAAATATATATTTTTTTGTTTTGTTTTTGAGATGGAGTCTCACTCTATTCTATTAGCAAATCTAATAGAATAGAGCATAGAATAGTGTTGCAGGAATAGCTAGGACTCAATTCTATTAGTAAATCTGGCATGCAGTGCAGTGATCTCAGCTCACCGCAACCTCCGTGTCCCGGGTTCAAGTGATTCTCCTGCCTCAGCCTCCCGAGCAGCTGGTACTACAGACATGCACCACCACGCCCAGCTAATTTTAGCAGAGACAGGGTTTCACCACGTTGGCCAGGATGGTCTCCATCTCTTGACCTTGTGATCCACCCACCTCGGCCTCCCAAAGTGCTGGGATTACAGGCGTGAGCCACCTCTCCCGGCCAACAAATATAATTTTTAGATAAAACTATAATCATTGGAAATTTAAAAAGTCATTGGATTTGTTAAACAGCAAACACAGTTGAAGACCAAATTAGTGAAATGGAAGCAAGATCTGAGGAAATTCCCAAAAAGAAGGACAGAGAGACAAAAGTATGGAAAAATATGTGTGTATATGTGTGTGTGTCTGTGTGTGTATACCAGAGAGTAAGCATAAGAATTTCATATAAATGTTCCTGCCTGTGTGCGTGCACATGCATGTGTGTGTGCATGCGTGTTTCTGTGTATGAAGTTCCAAATTCCAAATGCACAGAATACAGAGAATGGGGTAGAGATGGTATTTAAAGAGTTAAAGAGATATTAGCTGATACTCTTCCAGAACTGACAAAAGGCAAGGAACTGCAGATTCAGAAATGCCATGAATCCTGAGACTTACTGCAAAAAAGCCTTATATTAGAGGGGCTGCAGAGCTCTGAGAACAAAAAGAAAATCATAACAGCAACGAGAGAAAAAAGACAAATTGCTAATAAAAGGACACTAGATTGACGACAGTCTTCTTAACTGCAACAATAGATTCTAGAAGACAATGAAAGACTATTTTCAAGAGCTGAGGGAAAATAACTGTCAACTGAGAATTCTGTTCCATTATCACTCAAGAGTGAAGGTTAAGTAAAAGCGTTTTTAGGTGAGGACTGTATAAATTACCACTAACTGACCCTTCCTTAAAGAACTAGTCAAGAGCACATTTCAGAAAAAAATGAAAACAAACCTAATAGGAAGAAGTGGGATGTAGAAAAATGACAATGAGCAAATAAATCATTACAGTTTTGGGTATATACAAAGGATACATCCCTCCTTACTGTATAAAATGAGAAAAATAACAACCAATTCCTATGGTATACAAATAATACTGGTCAGTGATAACATAAATGATAAACAAATGTAAAGTTAAAATATATTGTTATTAGTAAGAGCAGTAAAACAATATATATATAAAACTTAGATATTGTTAAAATAAGTATGCATGTTCAAAAATTAAGAGTAACCACTATAAGAACTGATAGATGGTAGGCCTTACAAATCAATAGAGGGTAGAAAGAGAGGGAATAAATAAAACTCAATCCAATGGCAGGCAGGAAAAAAGAAAACAAAAAGAAAAACTAGAGTAAGTAGAAGGCATAAAATAAGAAGGTAGAAACAAATACAAATATATCAATAAATGAAATAATTACAAATGAAACAAACTCACCACTTAAAAAACAGAAGATCTTGGCCGGGCGCGGTGGCTCATGCCTGTAATCCCAGCACTTTGGGAGGCCAAGGCGGGTGGATCACCTGATGTCAGGAGTTTGAGAACAGCCTGGCCAACATGGTGAAACCCTGTCTCTACTCAAAATACAAAAATTAGCCAGGTGTGGTGGTGCACACCTGTAATCCCAGCTACTCAGGAGGCTGAGGCAGGGAGAATTGCTTGAACCCAGGAAGCGGAGGTTGCAGTGGGCCGAGACTGCGCCACTGCACTCCAGCCTGGGCGACAGAGTGAGACTTTATCTCAAAAACAAACAAACAAACAAAAAACCCAGAAGCTCTCAAACTGGCTACAAAACAAAATGCTATTTAGGGGAGTTATTTCAAAAACATAGGAACTGAGAATGATGAAAATAAAGAAAATAAAAAATAAAAATGGAAAATTAAAAAAAGAAAATATATAAATGAAAATACCGATCATAAGAAAACTAGTATAGATATGTTAGTAAGATAATACAGGTTTTATTTTTGTTAAGTAAAAAGAGGGTTATTAAATAATGATAAAACAATAAAGCAGGAAGCTAAAATAATTATGAATTTTTATGCAGCCTTAAAATACACAGAGCAACACTGGTAGAATCATAAGACAGAATTGACAAGCCTATAATCATAATGGGAGGCTAACATTTTTCTCAGTATTAGTAGACCAAATAGGCAAAATTTAATAAGGATATAGGAGATTTGAAGAACAAAATTAATGAGCTTAATTCAATGGAAATATACAGAGCTTTAAACATAATCATTTAAGAATGCAAATTCTTTTCAAGAATACCTGGAACAGTTCTAAAATTTGACCACACACTAAGCCACAAAGTGAAGACTCATTATCAAACAGCTATATTGTCTGTCTCCAATTTAATAAAGTTAGGCATCATTAATGAAAAGGTAACCAGCCAATCCTTCATGCATTCGTAAACTTTAAAAATTCCAAATAATTTATGACTCAAAGAAAAAATAATTATTGAGACGAGAAATGTTTTTAGAACTGAATGACCAAAACAAAACGAAATAAACACGAAAACAAAACTCTACAACTCACTAGACATGTGAGATACAAGTGAAACGTACTTAGGGGAAATGTATACCCTTAAAATTTACCAAATATTAGAGAGAGGAAGACTGAAAAGTAATGAGTTAAGTGTCCACTGCAAGAAATTTGAAAAAGAACTAAATAAATCTAAAAAAAAGAACATAATAAAGACCTGAAAATATATCGTAAACAAACAAACAAACAAAGAGAATATCTGTAAAACTAAAGCTAGTTCTTTGAAAAAGCTAATCAGATAGATGCACTTCTAATAAGATTTAATTAGAAAAACAAGAGCTATGTCTCAAATATATATTAGAAGGAAAATGAGATTTTAACTTTAAAAATCATGAAGAAGACTATTAGCAACATCATTCCAATGAGTCAAGCAGCTTCCAGGCATCATTGACTACTGCAGTAGTTACAAGGGTTTATCACCCAGCCATAGATTTGGTTGATAAAGACAAAACAAGCCTACAGTTTACTACTTACATAGATAGCAAAAGCACGATCAGTATGGTGTCAGCTCCCTATGTACTTTGTCCCCAGGATGACACCAAAGTGAAAGGGTCCAGATGACAGATGATATGAGCAGTAGGTTGCTCTGTTATGGGGGAAGCAATTCTAGACTATAGATAAGCAGTTTTATAATGTGTGGCTGTACTCTAGCAGGGTGGGGGATGATTATGGTTGAAAGCTCATGCTTCATCAGAACTAGGCAGGCATATAAGAAACTGACTCATGACAACCTCTTGCAAAATAGGGAGTATTTGTCTGCCATGCTATGTATGTTCTTGGGAGGATGGCAGGGCGCTCTGCAAAGATTTAGGTCAAACTGTGGTCACACTTTGCCTATGTGACTTAGATGAATCTGTGCAAAACCATAATGGTGGCATGCTAGAGGTATTTTATTCTCTTTGTCGAGATTATAAATGGGAGTTCATTCACGATTTGGCTCTCTGCTTGCCTAATGTTGGTGTAAAGGAATGCTTGTGATTTTGCATATTGATTTTGTATCCTGAGACTTTGCTGAAGTTGCTTGTAAGTTTGAGGAGTTTTGGGACTGAGATGATGCAGCAGAACATAGACCTCAGAAATAACACCACACATCTACAACCTAAAATGCACATGAGAAAGTACACTTAAGATAATTTTGAAGAAGCAGCAGATTTGGGGAAAGGTGGTGGGATACTTCCAGACTTTTCATAAAGGCAGTGTGACTGGGAGAGGGATAGACAAGTAGACGAATGGAACAAAATAACAGAGCCCAGAAACAACCTCGCGTATATATGGCGTCTTAAAATATGGCAAACGGGCCTTATGAATTAGTGAAGATGGGGAGGGCTAATCAATAATCTAATGGCTATCTGTATGGAAAAAATAAAATTATATTCCTACCTTTCACCTAATACCTGGAATAAAATATACTCCAGTAGGCTAAAGATGAAAAGCAAAACTATGCAACTTTTGGAAGAAAGTATAAGAGATTATGTTTATGGCAATAAGTTAGGAAAGACTTTAAGTTATAAAAAGCAAAATCAGCAAAAGATTGACAATGTTGACTACCTTCAAATTGAAAGCCACCACCATAAATCAAGGGAAATGACCAGACCCAGATTAGGAGATTTCTTTCCAGTCAAACAAGAATGAGTGTTCAGTATACCTAAAGGACTCATTTACATTATCAAGAAAAAGAAAAAGCCTGAAAATCAGGCAAACAATATGAGCAGACAATTTACAAATGACCAACAAATATATTAAAAGATGCTCCTGCTCAGCCTCATTGGAAAAAGTTATAAATCAGATCACACCAAGTTTTGGAGAAAATGTGAAGAAATAGGAACTCATACACAAATGTGTGGGGGTACAGGTTGATACAGGTCTTTTGGGGAGCAGTTTACAAAGACTATAAAGCTGAGGATGCACGTTGTGTCAGCTAGGGCCCTGGCAGAAACAGTTGGCACCCTCAAATTTGATAATTTGAGGGCAGTTTAATAATGGGACTATTTAGAAAGATATGGACAAGTTACAGGAAAAGCACAAGGGATGGGGCAGTACCCAGGAATTAGTGTCAGTGGGACCTGACCACCCTTAGGCCTGAAGGGCAAAGCTGCCGGAGCAGTTACTGGAACCTGGAGACAGAGAGGGCTGTGACCCTCAGTAGAGGGGCCTCATCAGCCTGCGCTGATCCCATGGGGAGGAAACTGGGGAAATAAGTACCCTGATCGCACTTTCTTCCACCTCCCAAACTTCCCATTGGTCTTCTGCATTGGCTCAACACAAGGGACAGAAGGCAAGGGAGCCGGCTGGTTAGTCCACACTATGCAGCTCTGGGGGCCCAGAGCAGGATGGGAATGAATGGAAAGTGGACTCTGGAAGGGTGAATGGAAGATAATTTATCATATTCCCACCTGTTGACCAGCTATTCCTCAAAGGAACATGCCCTAGAGAAACTCATATATTTGTGCACAAGGAGATGTATACAAAGATTTTGAATGTAACACTGTGAATAACAGAGAAAAGTGGAAACAACCGAATTGTCTCTCATCATGTTGTTACATAACTGTTAATGTAAGCTGTGGTTTATTCATAAAATGGAATGTCATGTGCAATGAAAGTGAATGAACTAGATATACATGTGTCAATAACTATACATCTCAAAAACATAATACTGAGTGGAAAAATGTGGCCAAAAGACACATGTGATATGACAGTATTTATGGAAAAACGGTACAAGCCTGTAGCAAATTGTATAGGTTTGTAGTGATGTGCAAAAAACGTGAATAGGAAGGAAACACTCCAACTTTAAGAAATGACAACCTGTGGAGAAGCAGGGAAGAAAAAGAGATAGGGATACTTTAGCTGTATATTTTTTATTTTTTTTAAAGATGAGCGGAAACAAATATGGCAAATGTTAACATCTGTTTAATGTCAGTGATGGGTACATAAGCAAGTTATTTACTATTTAGTCATATTGTCTGTATGTTTGAAATATCTCATAATTAAACATTTAAAAACAAGAATGAGGGAAAGGGGTGGATGATTTGAGAGACATTTAAAACATTAAAAAGGAGCAAAATGTCTCTTACCTAAAGCAGGATTTGACAAAGTTTTTTCTGTAAAGAATAAATCTTTTTGGCTTTGTGGGCTACACAGCCTCTCACAACGACTCAACTCTGCTGCTGCCACTGGCAACATATAAGTGAATGGATATGGCTGTGCTCTAACAAGGCTTTATTTACAAACCCAAGTGGTCAGTTGGATTTGGCCTCTAGGCCATAGTTTGCTCACCCCTGATCTAGAGAATCTTCTTGTCAGGTATACTTCTTTCCCCCCAAAGTGTATTTTATTTTTTGTTTTTATTTTAATTTTATTTTTTTGAGATCGAGTCTCGCTCTATTGCCCAGGCTGGAGTGCGGTGGCACGATCTCGGCTCACTGCAACTTCCGCCTCCCAGGTTCAAGCCATTCTCCTGCCTCAGCCTCCCAAGTAGCTGGTACTACAGATGTGCACCACCACACCCAGCTAATTTTTGTATTTTGAGTGGAGACAGGGTTTCACCATGTTGGCATGTTGTCCAGGCTGGTCTTGAACTCCTGACCTCAAGTGATCCAGCCACCTCAGCCTCCCAAAGTGCTGGGATTACAGGTGTGAGCCACCGCACCTGGCCCAAAATGTGTTTTAAATAAAGTTCTGTGGTGTAGCTGTACTCCACATTAACCAACAGCATTTTTGTTGTTTAGACTTCTTACTACCGGTCAAGGTATACAGCTGAAGAGCGGGCCCTTGTCTGTTTCCAATTTTGTTTTGCTGTGGGCATTAGAGGTCTTTCTAGGCTTCACTTAAGCTTGTTTGTGTGCATACTTTGGAAGAGCTGAAAGTGCTGCAACCCTAGAGGTACTGTTGACTGGAGCCAATCAGAATGACCGAAACAACAAAGGATTAGCAGAAATTTTTGAAACACGCAGGAATCATTAGTAGAGGCGGTTGCAACTTGGAGATCTGGCGTGTTGATGGGATTATCTAGTTGGTTTCATTTTATGGGCCTAACTAGAGGCACCTTAGTGTAGTGGTTAGGGACTTGGACTCTGGGGCTGAGAACAGCACTCATCTCAAAGGAAACCCAAGCCTGTGTCAGTCATCTAGTGCAGCATAGCAAGTCACACCAGAGCAGTGGCTTCAAAACAGTTACTTTTCTCTCAAACCTAGGAGTAGATGGTTCAGGTAGGCTCTCTCTTGGTTTTAATGGGGGCTGGGGTCATCTTGCAGCCTTCCTCTAAGTCTGGGCCAGGCCTGGGAACACTCAAGCAACTGGTGGCTGGAACAACAGACAGCCCTCTCTCTCCACGTGGACTTCCTGCAGCCTGCCTCAGACTAGTCGAGGTGATTACCCTGAAGTCAGGGGGTGTCGTTCTTGCCACATTCAACTGAATTCCCTGCAGCAGTCACAGAGGCTGTGAAGATGAACACAGGTGTAACATATATGTCAATAAATGTAAAGTTCTTCAAGCCAGTGCTTGGCACAAAGTAAGTGCCATGTGGAAGTGTTAATAAAATAAAAGAAAAAAGAGAGGCAGGTACAGTGGCTCATACCTGTAATCCCAGTGCTTTGGGAGGCCAAGGTGGGAGGATGGCTTGAAACCTTGGAGTCTGAGACCAGCCTGGGCAACATAGCGAAACGGTCTCTACAAATAATATAAAAACTAGCCAGGTGTCGTGGCACACACTTGTAGTCTCAGCTACTTGGGAGGCTGAGGTGGAAGGACTGCTTGAGCCCAGGAGTTTGAGGCGCCAGCGCACTGTGATAGCACCACAACACTGCAGTCTGGGCGAGAGAGAGCGAGAGAGACAGCGAGAGCGAGAGAGAGATTGATTCCTGAATTTTCTTTTTCTTTCCTTTTCCCTTTCCTTTCGCTTCCCCTTTCCCCTTCCCCCTACCCCCTTCTCCCTTCCCCTTCCTTCTTTCTTTTTCTTTTTCTTTTCTTTCATCTGTCTTACTATGTTGCCTAGCCTTGTCTGAAGCTCCTGGGCTCAAGGGATCCTCCTACCTCAGTCTCTCAAGTAATTAGCATTACAAGCGTGTGCCACTGTGCTAGGCTTAATTCTCGAATTTTCCAGCTTGAGACTTAAATACTTACAAATAGACACGGCCTTTCTAGCTAGTCCATGGAGGGGAACCTGACTCCTCCCAGACTCCACCTGCTGCCACTACTCATGCCTTTCTTTTCACAGCTCTTTCCTTCGCTCCACACAGATCTGCCAACAGCCTATCTGTACCTACGTATCATCAACCATTTGGACTTGCCTTGAACTTACTCTCTCAGTTACTCAGCAATCATGGACAGAGCTCCTCCTATGAGCAGGCCATCGTTAAAGGTGCCAGAGATAGGGAGTGAGGACGTCATCTGCATCTTCTGCCAGCATCTGTGAGTCTGTGGCAGGCCAGCTTGTTAGCTTACAGATAGATAAAAATCTCAGGCCATTCACGGTTGACTCCATGCAGTAGGATATTTAGGATTCTATAAAAACTGACAAGATGAGTGTATGTGTGTGTATAGGGGAAGAGGGTGAGATTTAGAGGAAGGACAATGGATGTGGCATGAGGATGTGTGTGTACATTTGGTGGGGGGCTATCAGAGGAGGCACCATAGGAGAAGTGGTACTTGAGCTGGGGCTCAAAGGTGGCAGGCGCTTTCCAGGCAAACTCCGCAGGGAAGGGCATTTCCAGCAGAAGAACAGAACATATGAGGGCTCAGAGGAAGGTTTGGTGATTATATGCAGTTTGATAAGAGCAGAAAGAGTAGAGAGGCAACTCCAGGAATCCTTCCCAGAATTCCCAAGTTACCCCTTACCCATACTCATGTGGCCTCTGGGAATACTGAAGCTTTGAAGTCAGGTAGAGTTGAACTTGAATTTCAGCCCTGGTACTTAGCTCCTCTGTGACATAACATAAGCCATTTAATCTCTCTGTGCTACAATTTTCATATCTGTAAAATGGGGATAATGATCTTTCTTACAGAAGTAGGTAGGGATAAAATGAAATGATGTGTGAAAGAACCTTTTGGCATTGTGCCTAGCATGTTGTGGTTACTTGGAAATGGTAATTATTACTCCCTTTATAGAGCTGGTGAGTTTATGTATGTGTGTGTGTGTGTATGCATGTGCACATAAATATATGCACATAATCACAGGAAGTTATACGTGGAAGTTTCCTTTCCTCCTTATTGTCTAACACGGTCTCCTTAACACTGAAATAGCTTATGTCACAGCAAATAACGGGAAGCAAATTAATGTAGAGTTAAAAATAAAATTTGAGACCGAACTATACCTCTGCCACTTACCACCTAGGTAATTCTGGTGGGTCACATCCCCTCTCTGAACCTTCATTTTATTATCTGTAAGATGGGAGATATTAAGACATAATTCATAGGGTTGGCATGAAGGTTAAATGTAGTTAATAAATCCAAAGTGACTGGCATGTTCTCAAGTACTCAAAAACTGTTTTTTGGTGATGCAAAATTGCTTTGTGTGGCATAAAACTCTGTGTAAATGTAAGAGATTATTATTTTGTCAAGGCAAGATTCATGTTTTCAAAGGTTAATGGATATTTCAAGTCGAGGTTTCACTTTTCTGCTGACTCTGTTGTTGGAGATGGTGTGGTAGAAGAACAATGCTTTGATTCCCTGTACTATCAAGGGACTAACGTTGTTCTCTGCACTCTGCACAGAGCCCCAAAGCAACCCACCCAACATCACAGCAAAATGCTGCAGGGTCGTTTTGATGTTCCAGGAGGAAAGAGCATGTTGGTTATTGAGTGAAATGTGTTGGAACATGAAACATGGACAGTATAGTAAATAAGTTACATTAGCTGTGAAACATATATAATGATTCTAAGACAATTTAAAATTTGAAATGGAAATTTTCTATAAAACCCATAAATTAAGAAAATTATGAGCGCCATCTTGTGGCAAGATCACCCTTAAACCATCATACCAGAGAACACTCCTTTCCTTAGACAGAACCTCTAACAAAGTCAAAGAACATTCATCCATCCATCCATCCATCCATCCATCTATCCATCCATCCATCCAACAATCCACCCACCCACCCACCCACCCATCTATCCATCCATCCACCCACCCACCCATCTATCCATCCATCCATCCATCCACCCAGCCACCCACCCATCCACCCATGCTGCCATCTACCTATGCATTAATCCATCTAAAAATCTGTTCAGTCATTTGTCCACTTACTCAATATTTATTGAATGCTTTCTATGCTTTGGTTGGAGATATGCCCCCTGCTAACAAGAAGACCACAGGAGGTGATGGCAAATACGGAAAAACCAACAGTCCTGGGGAACCTTGTTGGAGCACATTTAATCCAGTTGTTGTTGTTGTTACTGAAGTAGAGGAGACAGGCAGATAAGTCTTCCCGATGGAAGTGACACCAAAGCTGAGATCTGAAGGATAGTAAGAGTGTGTTATACTAAAGAGGATGTCTCCTGTGTTCATTCTCCTCTTGGGGTGGATGTAGCTGAGAGAATAAGAGAGCTTTAGAGTCCCAATTGAGGTTACTTTTTATGTGCTGTTAGTGCATTGGTGGCCCCTCCAGCCCTCACCTTGGTAGTTATGACAAATCAGAGAGTGTCCAGCAGATAGTGATCAGGGTGGTGGGAGGACACTTAAAGAAATTGGGAAAAGCTGTGAAACGAAGTGCTTGGTAAGTGGACAGATTCTATTGCATAAGATTAATGCTGCCTATTAATATTAGAAGGTATTAATAGCTGCCATTATGTTAGGTTTTTCATTTAATAGAATGTGTTATACCCACATCAGCAGGGCCGTGTCAGTGTGGGCTGTTGGCCAAGATGTGGGAATGGCATCATTATGTGTACCCAGACACGTAATGGTATTCTGCGTTGGGAATCTACTTCTATGATCTGATATAGGTTGTTAATTAATAAATGTATTACAGAAAAAGATGCCCAGCAGCAAACTGGTTACACTGGAGAATGGTTGGCCCAAATCCAAAGGATGAATGTCCTTTGAACATCATTTCATCCTCTGCTCCCTTTGTAGGCACCTGGAATTAATGCTGAGAAGAACTGATGTTTGCCTTAGCAAGGCATATACAGTGGCTTCAGCAGGCCTGGGCAGGGCCTGCAATTTTCAGACCGAGTGCTGCTGAGTTCAGCACACCATCTCTTAACTTTAAACTGTGTGTCCCTTATCCTTTGCAGCACCCTTGCACTATTGTTTCCCTTATGATATAAAAGTATTTGTGTGTATCCATGTCTTTAGTAACAATGAAAACCCATGAAAGGTAGCCCAAAAGGGGTTGTATGTTTCAAGAAAAATGGCAGAAAGCACAGTTCTTTGTGGGATTAAAAAGTATGTGTATGTATTTAATATAAACCAAGTGTGTCTGCATATAAAAGCTTGTCTACCTCCTTCGTTCATATAGCTCTCTTGGATTTTGTGGGTATTTGCTTCAGGACAGGCAGGAACTGTTCTAGGCAGTGGCCCAGAGCGAGCATTACTAACCTTGACTGTCATTCTGTCCCAGGTGGCATCCCCTCCTCAGATCCCAGCGCTGTCCATATACATGCTGGTCACATTTAAAGGGCCATGGATGGGGCTTAAGGGCAAAGCTCTAATATGTCAACAATTTCTTCTAACGGGATCTTGCTTCTCTTCTTTTGTATAGCTCAAGTCAGAAGTAATGTGATGTTTTATTGGGATGGCCTTGGTGTTTTGTTGTCTACACTTAATTATATCTAAAATAATTTGTTTTCTCTGTGGCCAGCAATGGATCTGTGAATTCACCAGTCTGGGTCCTGCCTCTCAGCCTTTGCCACTTCACAACTGGGGCCGGTGGATTTTCAGCTGCAGGCTTGGTCCTCCAGGCCTGTTTTTAATGGTTATGGTGGGAGGAGATCAAGATAACCCAGGGTTGAGCATTGGACTGTCCTGCTGCCTGGGTACAACTAAGTCTTACCTAGATCTGATGCTGGGTTTCTGCTTTTCCCTTCTGACAAAATGCTAGCCCTTGAGGACTTGCCTTGAGAACCTTCTAGGACTTTATGTTCTACTCCTGTTTAACACTACTGATCATTTCAGCATTCTTCAGGAGCATGGATTTTGAACAAGGAGGCCAGAACAAAGTAAAGAAGTTAGTCTAACCATTAGAATACATTAGACACACCCATTGACCAATGGGGGGCAAGTGCCACTGTATTAGAGAAATTGATGATGTAATATTCAGAGAATAATAAATAGTGCTTCCAGCTTGAATGATGCATAGTCTCTTTTTAGAAGAAAACAATGCTGACAAATAATTTTATTATCATAATTAATTTAAATATACACAGATGCTAAACTAAGTATAATCTTAAAAACATAACCCATGTATAAATTTAAGTATAAGCAATACTGTGTAAACATTAACATTTAACATAAAAGCTTAGACAAGCTTTTATGAATTTATAAAATACAAACAAATCCACAAAATCAATAGAATTAAGATTAATCTTTAATAGGATCAATGATGTTGGTTTGCTAAAACAAAATCATTTCTTGCCATGTGGATATGGTCCTGGGGCTATGGCACAGGTTTGTGTGAGTTGGCCACGACTCTGCTGAATGTGCTGCATGCCGCATGATGACTCAGTGTGTCTTCCATCTTCCTCTATCCTAAATATCATGACACTTTTGTTTCTACAGGATGCTGTGAGGTCATTTGTTCCTCACTTGTCAATGATCACATTGTTTGTGTTGAAGTCCATCACACTCATTTTTCACTAGTCTGAGAGAATTAAAGCAGTTCTATTTGACCCTTATGCTGTCATAAACACAAATCTACATGTGGACATAGAAATTCTGTGGTTTGAGTTGGTCATTCAGTTGACCCACAAGATATGAATATTGATTATTTTTATATTTTCATCAATATGAAAACAAATTAAAAAAACAATATCAGAATCTCATGAACTCAGAGAAAATGTCCAGTGGGCTTAGTTTGAGAAATACTGGCATGAAAAGCCCAATGGCATGACTAGCTCCCTGATATGGGGCAGGAATTGAGGGAAAGATCAGGGGCTTAAATTGCCAGAGGGTGACAAAATCAGTTTCTACCTGCTGTAATCTATATCCCAGCAAAGTTGGTCTGTTCTCAGATTTACTGGCAAACTGAGGCAACTTAATTGCTCATTCGCGTTCTGCTCTTCAACTATTATTCTGTATCTGGTATGGTGCTGCCATGCCTCTCTGATAGTGACCACTTGCCGTCCTGCCCAGTGGTAGGCTTAGGAATTAGGGGTCTAATCTGGCTGCTCATTGTCCAGAAGCACAGACTGGAAACTCTAGTCTGAAAAATGTTTATGCTATTCTAATATTTGAGTGTGTATCTGTATCATCAGGAGAATTTTAGATAATAGCCATTAGGAGGTCCCAAGAGAATGGCCTATATTTCTAGTTGTAAAGGGTCTTTTGGAGTAAAGAAGGAACACTGACCAAGGAAACGTTCAGACAACTACAAGGAATCCATGAGCTTGGTTGCCTTTTACAGGAGGGGCAGATAAAAAGGATATGGGCTGTAACTGGCTTTGATAACGCCCCAACCCAATGAAGAATTTTGAGTTGTTAAAACATGTTGTTTCTAGACTCCAAACACTGACCCACTTGGGAGAAAATGAGGCAGCATGGTACCAGATCTGTGGGATCTGTTCCCAAAATCCTATTGACAGGCTTGGTCCACTTGCAGGTCACCCTCCATGGTCTTTGGTCAACTTTTCTGTGGTCATCATAGCTTGATGGGACTTTCTCTGGCAGTTGTCCCATTCAAACCAGTTGTCCACAGCCTTGCCTGCTTCAAGAGTCCAAGGACCAAACCTCAAGGAGTACCTCAGATTGTTCCCCAAGTGCTGCCACTGACCTCATTTGGACTGACGATGCACTTAACAATTTGACTTTCCACTCTTATTTTTCCTGAAACTCAATACTCCCAATTGAGTTCTACTAGCTGTATTTGTGAAAAGTAATCACAAACATTTTTTTAGAATACAGTGAAATGTGAAGGAATGATTTATTGTGTACATGCATATGGCAGAATATGTGTAAGTGGTTATAGATCAGTTCTGGAATTAGACAGGCCTGAGTTTTAACTTAATCTTGCCACATAGGAGCTGTATGAACTTAGACAAATTACTTAATCTAAGATGTAGTTTTCTTATTCATAAACATGGATCATAATAACACCTATTTCATAGCGTTATTGAGAGGACTAAACGGGATAGCACAGTGTCTGGCACATAATTGGCACTCAACAAGTGGTAATTTATTATTATTAATTGAGCATTTATATATGCAGGCCTCTGGGTTAGGCCCAAGGGATGCAAAGATCTCCATCCTCAAGTAGCTCACAATAGATCTGAGTTCTTCCCAGGGGACACTCAGAAGGGGTCCAACAATCAGATTTGATGTCAAATCAACTGAATTTGCGACCAGAGTAAACAGAATTTCTCCTCATTGCCCGACCCTGATTAGGATGGGATTAATTGTATAGCCTGCGTTCTAGAATTAAACTGCATATTGAGGCTGAGAACATCCAGGTGGGGAGACGGGAGGTCAGCAAGTCCAGTTTCCACAATTTTATGGTTCAGACTTGGCCTAATTTGGCCATTCTGGGAAGTCTTAGAATGGCAGCAGAGAGGCTCCTCAGCCCTTGTTGAGAGATGCTAATGAAGAATTTGTGTCTCACCAATGGCTACTGCATGAGAAAGCTAGAAGGAACCTCAGGCCATCGTTTCTTACTAATGGTCAAAAACATATGCCTCAAGCATGATTCATAAAGATATCATTTTAGTCTTTGCCTCCTTATTTCTGAGTCAGTACACAAATAGCTTGTTTTCTGAAGCTTCAGGGAAGCCCAGATTGACACATTAGCCAGGGAGTAATGTGCCTTCTTTCTGGGCTGGCTGTCCATAATGCATTCAAATCCAGAAAAAAAGTAGGAATTTGTTCAAAATTTATCAATTGGGCCATTTTCTCAATGACAAACAGATGGCTCCTTTGAGTTATTCAGAGGGAGAAGATTTTTTTTTCCTTTTGTTCATCTCAGTTTTTATGGTTTAAAAGAATTAGTGTTTAATCCCAATTCTAAAATTGTTAATTAGTTTGTATTTGCTTCACTAAATCTGTTAAATAGATTTTTATCACTTTAGCTATATCTCTCTGGCAGCATCTGGTGTCAACTTTGCAGAAATAATGTTGGTTTTACAGCCAAAAATCAGAGGTTAAACCTCCAGGACTACAGATGTGACAGCATTAAAGGGAAATTCATCACCCCCAAAGCTTTCATTCCCATATAGTTTAGAATCAGCCCAAACATGAACCAATGTTCTTTTTTCCCTTTCATTCTCCAGGAGCACTGTGGCTCAGTTCCTTTTTGATTTATGAGTGTGGTTGTTGCTGATGAGATCTCCCAGGGAGACCTCAATCTGCCCCAGCTAGAGGCTTGGAAAACAGTGGAGGATCTTCTTGCTCAACCCCCTTTCTGTTGCTTTCAGGGGATTCCATCCAGGGCTAGGGCTATCCATCAATTCATTTGACAATGGGCATGTATGAGGTGAGGGCTGTGCGGGTACAAGCTCTGTAGTGTCACCTGCCGGCAGGGGGCACAATAGGGCAGAGCAGCAAAACGAAGGCAGTGTATGTTACAAACGAGCTACTCTGAACTCAAATCAGTGCACCTGGGGGAATAATTAAATGAAAGACAGCAAATCATCATAAAGGCTGGGGAATTTGAGTAACAGGGAAAACCTGTTGGGCAGCAATCAATTTAGGTCTCTGTGGTAGGCTGAATAGTAGCCCCTAAAAATATCTACTTCTGAATCCCCAGAACCTGTGAATGTTACTTTATAATATGGCAAAGGGTATTTTGCAGCTGTGATTAAGCAGCTTGCAACGGGGAGATTATTCTGGGTTCTTTGAGTGGACCCTAAAGGTAATCATGAGTGTCCTGATAGGAGAGAGGCAGAGGGAGATTCCACAGAAGAGGAGAAGGTGATATGATGGTGGAAGCAGAGATTGAATTGATGAACTTTGAAGATGGAGGAGGAGGCCACAAGCCAAGGAAGACAGACAGGCACCAGCCGCTGAAAGAAACAAGGAAACAGATTCTCCTTTCAAAGCCTCTGGAAGGAATTAGCACTGTCAACACCCCAACTTTAGCCCAGTGAAATTGGTTTTTGGGCTATGTACTACCAGAACTGTGAGAGAATAAATTTGTGTTGTTTTAAGTCACCATAATAATGGTAGTTTGTTGCAGTAGGAATGAATACAGTATCTTTTCCTTGCTTAATGCCAAAGAGTTCCACTGCAGCTGCCAGAGGTATTTTACAGGGCCAAGAGGAGATAGCAGGGATCAGCATAGTGCATTGACTTCTTCAAGAAGAGCTCCTTCTTCTGAAGTCCATCTGTAATACAGGTGTGGGCAGCTGCAGCCTGAAGCAGAAATGGGACTAGCAACTGGGAAGCCCTGTGTGATTGGCGAAGAACGTTTCTGAGTGTCATGGACCCTAGGCAATAGCAGACAGTGTGAGAATTCTCTGCAATTAACATATTTGCATAAATATTAGGAAGAGGCCTGATTAGCACAGTGAGCGTGACTCAGAGGAAAGTGGAGGGCAGAGGTGATCAGGGAAGAGGCTCTGAAGAGGGGTGAGGACAGAGATGCCACCCTAGGCACATCCAATGCTCTGATGGAGAGGGACTGGTTGTGAACAGCTAAGTTGCTATGGCCTTGCCCTTCAGATGTAGCTGTGGACAGTGGGAGGGGAATCTGTGGGCAGACCTCTGGAGCTACCATCCCCATTTCACTCAAATGACTCCAATTTTATTTGTTGGACACATTGGGCTTCCAGGTGGAATTTCACTTAAGAAAAAATTTTACTGGTGGAAAAAGATTTTGGGGGGTAAATTTTAATTTTGATACAATTTTACATGTACAGAAAATTGCAATAGTACAAAGAATTCCCATTTACCCTTCCCTCAGATTCACCAAGTTTGCATTTTGGCCTATTTGCATTATCATTTGTTCTAAGTATTAATGTTTTTTTTCCTGAACCATTTGAGAGTAAGTAGGCATTATATTCCTTTACCTCCAAATATATCAGTGTGTATTTTATTAGAACAGGACATTTTGTTATATAACCATGGTACAATGATGAAAATTGGGAAATTTAACACTGACAAAATGCTGTCATCTAATCTTCAGCCCAAATCCAAATTTTGCCAATTGCCTTTATAGCAATTTTCCCCCCGGTCCAAGATTTGATCCAGCATTGCATTTATTTCTCATATCTCTCCAGTCTGCTTTAATTTGGAATATTTCCTGAGCTTTTGACCTTGACATTTTTGAATAGCACAGGTCAGTAATTTTGTAAATTGTCCCTCAGTTTGGGTTTGTCTAACATTTCCTTATGATGAGATTCAGATCTTGCATTTGAGCTTGAAACTCACAGATGTATGTTGTGTCCTTCTCAGAACATGGTATTTGAAGGCACATGTGGTTGCTTTGTCTCATGGGTGATGGTGGCATTGATCCCTTGGTTACATTGTTGTCCTCCAGGTTTCTTTACTGTAAGTTATAATTTTCCCCTGTGTAATTAATAAGTAATTTTTGAAAGATACTTTAAAACTAGGCAAATATCCTGTTCCTTATTGAATCATCACCCACTAGTTTTAGCACCCACTGGTAATTCTTACTTGTGTCAAAAGAAAAAATTACAACAAATTTAGTTTAAAGATTGAATTGACTTCCATTTGCCATTCCAGAATCAGGCAACATCTCATTAAGAATGACTGTTCTAATGAGCTGAGCAGAGGAGATTGACTTTATAGGCTGAAAAGCACTGAAGAAAGCAGAAACAGAGAATAAAAAGTGGATTGGTTGTTTCAAAGTTGCTCTCGTTATGGGGTTAAAACAGAGGGGACTTCCTTATGCCGACTCAGGTAGACTAGAATCTCTTGTTTTTTGGAAAACTTGCCTATTTCAAAGTTCAGTTTGATGGCATGGCACTCAGCACAAAATTTCCATTCTGGTTTGGTCTGGTCTACTTGGTCCTGATGCAGGAGGCTCGTCCAAAACAGGAGCCTCCCATAAACTTTGTTTAACTCTTGAATCTATAATAACTGTGATGATTGCAAAATGGCGATTTATCTAACTCCATCATTTTTTCTACATTAATTTGTTGGCATAATTCTAAAAGAAAGATCTTTCTCTTATCTCCCACTTGTTTATTCACTTATTTAATTATATCAGCATACACTCATAGATTCTTATTTTATTCAATGAGTTTTTTTTTTTTTTTTTTTTTTGAGATGGAGTTTCACTCTTGTCCAGGCTGGAGTGCAATGGCATGATCTTGGCTCACTACAACCTCCACCTCCCAGGTTCAAGTGATTCTCCTGCCTTAGCCTCCCAAGTAGCTGGGATTACAGGCACGCACTACCACGCCAGGCTAAGTTTTGTATTTTTAGTAGAGACGGGATTTCACCACGTTGGCCAGGCTGGTCTCAAGCTCCTGACCTCAGGTGATCTGCCCGCCTTGGCCTCCCAAATTTCTGGGATTACAGGTGTAAGCCACTGCGCCTGGCCTTCAATGAGTTTTAAGTCATTATTATTGCTATGTATTTTGATGTTCACATTGACCCAGATTTGGCCAGGAGAAGCCCCTTCAAACTGGCCTTTATGTTTTTTGATGTGCTGCTTCTTCTTCATTTTTTTTTTAAGCACTTTTTTACTTTTAAGATATCCCAGGTCCTTCTTGGCTCAAACTTGCAATCAGCCATTTCTTCAAGAAACCCTCAAATTATTGTAAGAAACAATGTTTAGAAGACCTGGGCCGGCATGGTGGCTCATGCCTGTAATCCCAACACTTTGGGAGGCCAAGGTGGCCAGATTGCTTGAGCTTCGGAGTTCAAGACCAGCCTAGGCAATGTGGCATATCCCATTTCTACAAAAAATACCAAAATTAGCTGGGTGTGGTGTGCCTGTAGTCCCAGCTAGTGGGAGGCTGATTATATCTGTAAATCCAGCACTTTTGGAGGCCGAGGTGGGTGGATCACCTGAGGTCAGGAGTTTGAGACCAGCCCATCTACCCTGTAGGGAACCATTCTCATTAGTTTCTGGCTTATCTTTTCTCAATTTCCTTTCACAACTAAGTAAGCAAATACATGTAATTTTCTTATTTCCTCTTCCTACACAAAAGGTAGAATATTACGTATACTCTTTTGCACTTTGCTTCTTCACTTACAAGATATTTCCTGGAAATCACTCCACATTGCTTCATCTTCATTCTCTTTTACCACTGCATAGCACTGCATTGTGTGGATATAATTTAGTTTATTCAATAAATCTATCTATGAGCATTTAGGTTATTACCAATATTTTGCAATGACAGATAATACTGCAGTGAATAAACTTGTACATATATAATTTTGTATTTCTGCAGGCTTATTTTTAGAGTAAATTCCTAGAAGTGGGATTTCTGGAACAAAAGGTAAATGCATATATAGTGTTGTTAAATACTGCCAAATTCCTTCCCATAAGGCTGTATCATTTTGCATTCCTACCAGCAATGTGTAAGAGTGTCTGTTTCTCCTCAGCCTTGCCAACATAGAGTGTTGCCAAGTTCTAAAATTTTTGCTTATTATTCATAGGTGATAAATGTCATTTCACTGTAGTTTTAATTTGCATTTTTCTTATAATGAATTGAACAACTTCTCATAAGTGTTTAGGGGCATTTTATATCTTTTTTAGGTAAATTGTTTGTTCGTGACTTTTGCTCATTCTTTTTTATTTCTTTTCCTTTTTCTTTTTTAGAGATGGAGTCTATCTATGTCATCTAGGCTGGTCTCAAGCTCCTAAGCTCAAGCAATCCCTCCCGTCTCAGGTACTCCTCATAAGCAGCTGGGACTACACGCATGTTCTACCATACTTGGCTTTATTCATTTTTCTATCAGGTGTTTTTGCCTCTGTTTTTGGCCCTCACTTTTTTTTTTTTTTGAGGCGGACTCTCCCTCTGTCTCCCAGGTTGGAGTGCAGTGGCGCGATCTTGGCTCACTGCAAGCTCTGTCTCTTGGGTTCACGCCATTCTCCTGCCTCAGCCTCCTGAGTAGCTGGGACCACAGGCGCCCACCACCAGGCCCGGCTAATTTTTTTGTATTTTTAGTAGAGACGGGGTTTCACTGTGTTAGCCAGGATGGTCTCGATCTCCTGACCTCATAATCCGCCCGTCTTGGCTTCCCAAAGTGCTGGGATTACAGGCGTGAGCCACCGTGCCCAACCGGCCCTCACTTTTTAAGATTTCCTTGTGTATTATAGACATTAGAACTTCAATTGTGATATATGTTGCAGATATTTTTCTAAAACTTTTGTTTAATACCACTACTTTAACTAGTTAGCAACTAGCTATAAATATGTATGCTTGTGTTAACTGTTAATGAACTCTGTTGCTTACTCCTGTGCCTGTGTGGGAAATGATTATAAACCTCAAATGTCTTTAATTTAGCCTAGATTAAAATTAAATTTAAGTAGACTTTCCAACAAATGGTATTGGAGCAATTGGACACAAAGGCAATAAAAAAATACCCAACTCAATCTAAGTCTCATGTCTTATGCAAAAATTAACTCAAAATGGATCACAGATTTAGATATAAAACATAAAACTATAAAACTTTTAGAAAAAACAAAGAAGAAAATCTTTGGGATCTAGAGCTAGGCAAAAGTGCTCAGACTTGACAACAAAAGCACAATTTGATAGATTAGATCTCATCAAAATTATTAACTTTTGCTCTGTGAAATCTCATGTGAAGAGGATGAAAAAACATCTGTGGACTGGGAAAAGTTATTTGCAAACCACGTATTTGACAAAAGACTAATATCTAGAGTATATAAAGAACTCTCAAAACTCAACAGCAAAAAAGCTAAACTATCCGATTAGAAAATGGGTAGAATGTATAATATCAAAATAATGGCACAACCACTCTGGAAAACAGTTTAACAGTTTTGTTTAAAAAAATGCAACTGCCATACCACCTAGCAGTTACAGGTTCAGGCATTTCTTCCGGAGAAATACTTAACATTTACAGAGAAACCAGTGCACAGATATTTATAGCAGCTTTATTTGTAATAGCTAAAAACTGGAATCAGTCCAGATGTTCTGCAGCAGTTGAATGGTTAAACTATCTGTGGTACATACATATCATGGAATACTACTCAACCATAAAAGGACCGAGCGCAGTGGCTGACGCCTGTAATCCCAGCACTTTCGGAGGCCGAGGCGGGCAGATCACGAGGTCAGGAGATCGAGACCATCCTGGCTAACACGGTGAAACCCTGTCTCTACTAAAAATACAAAAAAATTAGCCGGGCGTGGTGGCGGGTGCCTGTAGTCCCAGCTACTCGGGAGGCTGAGGCAGGAGAATGGCACGAACCTGGGGGGCGGAGCTTGCAGTGAGTGGAGATCGCGCCACCGCACTCCAGCCTGGGCGACAGAGCGAGACTCCGTCTCGGGGGAAAAAAAAAAAAAAAAAGAAAATGGGCAGAATGTATAATATCAAAATAATGGCACAACCGCTCTGGAAAACAGTTTAACAGTTTCTTTTAAAAAAATGCAACTGCCATGCTACCTAACAATTACAGGTTCAGGCATTTCTCCCCGAGAAATGCTTACATTTACAGTAAGCAGTGCACAGATATTTATAGCAGGTTTATTTGTAATAGCTAAAAACTGGAATCAGTCCAGATGTCCTGCAACAGTTGAATGGTTAAACTATCTGTGGTACGTACATATCATGGAATACTACTCAACCGTAAAAGTAACAAACTACCTGTACTCATATATGCAACAATTTGGATCAATCTATAGGGAATTTTGCTGCATGGAAAAAGCTAATACCAAGAGGTTGCATACTGCATGATTTCATTTATATAACATTCTTGAAATGAGAGCATTTTAGAATTGGGAGACAGACTGGTGGTTGCCCAGGGTTAGGACCTAGGGGAAGGCGGTTGGCGTGGGAGGAAGATAGGTGTGATTATGAAAGGTCAGATGAGGGATCCTGGTGGTGTTGAAATGTCTTCACTGTGTGGTGGAGGCATGAGCGTAACACAGGTGATAACAATGTGTGAAACACCCCCCACCCCACAAACACACACAAATCCGTACAGGTAAAGTAGGAAATCAGGATAAGATGTGTGGATTGTGTCAGTGTCAATCAGTGATATTGTACTATAGTCTTGCAAAACAAAACAAACATTTTGTTACCATGGGGAAGCTGGACATAATGTACAAAGACTCCCTCTGTATTATTTCTTATAACTGCATGTGACTTTATAATCATCTCAATAAAAGTTTCAATAAAAAATAAGTTAAAGCCAAAGCCTACGGGTTTTTAACAAAAACCTCGAGGAAAACTTAAAGAGCTGTCCACCCCTGCTTTGAGAATGTAGAGTCCTGGATAAGCAATTAAGTTTTGTTGAGACCAGCACTTCTTTTTTTTTTTTTTTTAATTTTTTATTATTATACTTTAAGTTTTAGGGTACATGTGCACAATGTGCAGGTTAGTTACATATGTATACATGTGCCATGCTGGTGTGCTGCACCCATTAACTCGTCATTTAGCATTAGGTATAACTCCTAATGCTATCCCTCCCCCCTCCCCCCACCCCACAACAGTCCCCAGAGTGTGATGTTCCCCTTCCTGTGTCCATGTGAGACCAGCACTTCTTAATTGGGGTCAGTACCACCCCATGGGGGTGTGTTTGAAAATGTCTGGGAGTGGTTATGGTTGTCACACTGACTGGGGGATGTCTTTGGTACTCAGTGGACAGGACCAAGAATGCTAAATATCCCGCAGTGCCTGGGACAACCTGACACATGGTGAGAATATTCTTAACCCCAAATGCCAGCAGCATTCCACTGAGAAACAAGATTAGATGGCTAAAATCTTAGCAACTATTTAGATAGTTTGTGCCTTAACATTTAAGTGAAATCTATGCTTATTCTATATCTTGTCATCATAAAATTGAGTTTCTAAGTCTGTTTATTAATGGACAAAGAGCCTTCCCTTAATATTAAACATTTTTAAAGTTTAATTTTTAAATAATAGTTTTAAGCTCAAGACTCTAAAATTGTTATAGGAAACATTTATTGCAATATATTTGTTGTAATGAAGAATATTTCATTTTTTTTGGAGAAAACAGTCTTTTTTTATCTTGTTTAAAGTTGTGAACTATATTTTCTGCAGAAATTTGATCTTCACCTTACCTAACCTTAACCTTAACCTTCTTAACCTTAACCTTAACCTTTGTGATGATGACATCACTGATACTGTGCTAATTAACTCAATTAGTAGAAACGGACAGTGTGAACTACTTTAAAAGAGAAGCATAGCTGGAGATAGGTTTTTTTTCAAAGTTTATTTTACAAGTAAAATATAGTGAATTTGATTACCTCAAAAACATAACAGAGAATCTCTTTTTCATGCCATTTCTCAGTAAGGTTTTTAGCTCTTCTCATTTAACTTTTTCTTTTCTTTATGAAGTCCTGAGATAAATGAGCCATTTCTGGAGGAACAATCCAGATGGCTTTTGCGGTCACCATCCTGGAGTATGAATTGAGGAGGAAGGCGTTCTTTTCAAAATGAGCCACAAGCAAAACTCCTCCTGGTTGGTCATCCATTCTCTGCCCTGACATGTTGTGTGCAGAAACCCATGTGACAGCATGAGTGTGTTGTGTGGATATGTGCTTCCCAGGACAGGATTATGTACAGGGGAGTTGTACAGACATGGAGTGTACAGATACATTGTAGAGACAAATGTTAAAGAGACATACAGTGTACAGAAATTGGATTGTAGAGATATGAACTTCACATACAGGAGTTACAAAAGCATGGTATGCAGATTGGATTATTGAGATGCAGGTTGTCTAGACACTGGCCCTGAAGGCATAGGTTGTGTAGACACAGCCTGGGACCAAGCTCTTTGGTCCTGGCCTTAAAGCAGGGTGTGCAGCATGAGCCCAGTGATGGTTGCCTGGCTATGTGCCAGAAGTGGGACTCTGATGTCTGTGCAGAGGGTGAGGGCAGGACGGTATATTCTGCCACTCTACTTTGAGCACTGGCTTTGAAGCTTTCCCTCCAATGCCATTCCCACCCCCAAGGGACTCAGGAAATGACTTCTGTCTTTTCTTTGATAGAACAAAGAAAGAGAGAGTTCTAATAGATGAGAGAGAGAGAAAGAGAGAGAGAGAGAGAGAGAGAAAGAGAGAACACCAGATTCAGACACAGAAGGTTCTCAAGGATGACCATGGTGAAGTCTGGGCTTCAGCAGGTCTTACAGACCACCAGGGGTCAGTCTTGGGTTCTACAAGAGGAAACCAGGAGGTATTTGCTCAGCACTGGTTCTCACCTGAGGACCATTCAGAGGAATTTATTCCACTTTAATATACTATGGTGTTAGCAGCTTTGAAATTCTTTACCGCCAAGGGGGCCTTAAAGCCAATGAAGCAGGAGTCTCAGGAATGACCCGTATGTCAGGCCTGCTTGTTTATAATCCTCAGGACCACAATAAAAGGCAAGTTTAATCGCCTGGTGATTCGGGACTTGGGGGCCCAAGTGTGCTAACCCACCCGTCAGGCCCAGGGGTCTGCCTGAGCTTGGGAGGGAGGGAGTTTGGGGCTGGGCCTGGTTGGGAAGCCTCAGGCCTGGGCTAGGTCCAGGGCTGGGCTGGGCTGAGGCTGGGGCTGGAGGGGGCTTCAAGTGAACTTTGGTTCTGAGGTCACTGGTTTTCCTGTTGTAGTAACTGACTTCACAGACTCTGTCAGGATGAAGGAAGACACAATGCTGCCAGTACAGCTGCTTCTACAGGAAGCCCCATCCCTGATAGCTAAGGCTAGACTCAGCTTGGTACTTAGTGATAAAAACAAGAACACTACCACAGCTATTGCACATTTACTATGTGCCTGGCACCACTGTAAGCACTTTTGTGCTTCTTTAATCCTCATAAGAATCCTAGGAGGTAAGTACTAGTATTATCCCCATGGACAGATGAGGGAAGTAAGGTTTAAATAACCTAAGTAACTTGCCTCAGGTCACTCAGCTGGTAAATGCCACAGCTGGGGTGAACCCAGGCACTCTGGCTCCTTAGCCATGCTCACAACCCACACTACTAGATAATACTGCAACGTTAAGAGCCTTTGGAGAGTCTATATGTCAGCCCTCTTGTGGCAGATGAGGAAACTGAGGCCCAGACCCAGGTCACATAGCTGGTGAGTGGTAGAGTTTGAACCCAGACCCAGGTCTCTGGCTCCCAGCTTAGAGCTCTTGTCACAATACCATGCAGCCACCATTTGCACCAAACCAAGTTGCAAGACATTTTAGCTAAAATGCAAGCTTTGGGTCAAGGAATTGGAAAGGGCCAGAATTATCCTACGGTCTCCCGGCCTCATGGGGTTGAATGCTTCATAACTAAGCCCAGGCACTATCAGCTTGTCAGAGGGTAGGGGCCAAGGACATGGCCCCTCCAGCTGCAGACAAACTGCTGGGCAGGATCCAGGCTGGGGTCAGCTAATAGCCCCTACACTTCCACCCCCATTTCCAGGCCAGGGGGACACATCCTGGACAAGCGAGAAAACCTGGCAGAAAGAAACAGAGAATTTTTCTTCCTTCAGGCAAACAGGCTCCTCTCAGATCAGAAACTGTGACAGGGTTTTCATGGGAGGTACAGGCTGTGATAGGAACAGAGAGCTCTGGTATAAGCAGCTCTGAGAGAAGGAGTAAATCATCTCCTGAAATGTTCTGGGCAGCTGCTCACTCACTAACAAAAATACCCTGCTTGGCACAGCTCTGGTCACTCAAAAACTACTCCAGGGACCTGGCAATTTTCAAGGTGTGGCTCTGCTCTTGAGGAAGGCAAAAGGAACTGTTGGGAGAAGAGTGCAGTGTGTGCCAGGCCCTCAGAGCGGGGATGCAGGGGAGCCCAGAGGAACTCTGAGCAGGGCTAGGGGTAGAAAATAGCAGTGCAGAGCTCAATGGTGCCTGCGCCTCCCAGCTCCCCAGCAACCTGCGCTTGTGCCTAGCTCAGCAGGTGTTTGTTGAGTGGAACTGAAATCAATAATGAGAAAATCCTGAATGAAGGCTCCAAACAACAAATTGCTCAAGTGTAGGACGAGGAAAGCTGGCTTAGCAGAGGCCAGGGTGCAAAGCTCTGGGGAGCTTTAGCTGAGTGAACACTCATTATGAGCCAGCTATGTGTTGTGGCTGTCAGCAAAGCTAATGAATCTATCCTAAATTGTGCTACCGTCAGCTTCGATTCCAGATCAAAGGGGAAGATAATCCCTGCAGGCTTTGCTTTGGTCAGCCCATCAGTCCAGATCTGAAAATCCATGTCCACTTCTGGGCCTCACATGTTTAAGGGGATTTGGGCAAATTGGAACATATTCAGAGAAGAAAGATGCAAAGATATGAAGCCATGTCATGCTGACTGATGCAGGACTGGGACTATTTGGGCTGCGAAACATTGGTCTGGAAGCAGGGAAGAGGAGGGGAGCTGGCGGTTGTTTTTGAAACTGTGAAGGGCTCTTGTGGGAAGGGAGAATTAGGTATTCTGATTTGTACCAGAGGCAGCAAAGAGTTAAATAAGAAGCAGGAGATTTGGAGCCAGACAGATGTGGGTTCATGTGCTGGCTCCTTCTCATTTTACCAGGTGACAATGGTCAAGCCACATGACCTCCTCAAGCTTCAGTACTAAATCAGTGAGATGGAAACAGAAATGCTTATTGCTCAGCACTGTCGGGATTATACACCCAGCACAACACCTTCCCCATAGTGGCTACCCAAAGACCTTTTCCCTTTCCGTCCAGAAGACAGAAGCTTCCCAAAGGAGTACCATGGCAGGAGGAAGGGCAAACTTCCTCACAGTCATGGCTGGCTTCAAAAGCCAACTTGCTTTTTATGTTGCTTTGTTTATGTTTTTCTCCTAGAAGAATGCTTACTTTTTATTCCCTTTCCTTTTGGCCTGTGTTATCATAGTTTCTAATATAAATTATTGAGTCACTTTGCATTTTTTAAAAATGAGAAACAGAACACACAAGTACAAGGCATCTAGCCCTAACAATTGTTTATTTTCAACCAGGGGCTGCTTGTCTCTTTGGTTAGCGCTGAAGAGGCTCTTTTAAGTCTGAAAATGGACTTCTCATTCTGGGGCTGGATGACTCACCCGAGCTTAATGTCCCTAGATGGGGTCCCCATCCCATCCCCAAAGCCTCTGTCCTAAGTTCTGCAAAGGGTTAGAGGCCAATGTCTCTGTCCTAACCCCCACCAAGACAGCTAACCTGGGGTGAAAGATAACTCAGGGGAATTATTAGAACATGTCTGGCTGCTTCTGTAAATGTATGAATAGAAGCCCATTGTCCCTATCATTCCTGACTTCTGTTGGGCCAGGCCTCAGTTAGTCCATGCTGATGGGCACGGTGGAGGCTTTATCTGTTAGACTCCTTGGATGGAGGCTCTCTTGGAGCCTAGGACTAATATCCATCAGCAGAGGCAGGACAGTTCTCACTCTGACGTTCTGCAACTCCCTGAAAGTGTAGAGAGAATGGGTGCAGTCAGAAGAGTTTATGGACTGTCCGGGTGGCACTGATGGGCCCAGTGAGCTGTGTAGTGAGTGACCTATGGAGTTTGGAGATTGGGGGGCCACTGGCATGTCATTAACTCAAAGCAGCAAATGAGGCAGCATGGTTGGAGGGAGGAGCTGGATTGGAGGATGTGGCGGGGGAGCCCAGGACTCAGTGAGATGGTAGTCTTGCGTGTCGCTTCTGGAGAGATGGATGAAGTCAGAAACAGGAGAATGAACAATGAGGCCTGTAAACAGCAGAAGTGAAGAACAGGATGGGATAAAGGCCGTGGAGCAGGACACACAGTTCAGGGCTGATGCCATGAGCAGTGAGAGGGCTGGAGGGCGTGGCAGGGGTACGGGATAGTGGATTGAAGGGCCAGGGAACACGAATACTGGCCAAGGGTTTCCCCAATAGGCCTCTATTGATTCCCAGCACAGAAAAGTCACGACCTCAGTTGTACATTGTGGAGCATGGTCAAAGCCAAGTCCTGTCTTTGACGTTCATGCCAAGCCTAATTGGATCCAAATAAGGTCCGTATGCTACAATTGTTTGATGTCTCTCAAGTCTTGCTTCAGTTTTTCTTTAAAGTTTATTTGTTGAAGAAAGAGAGTCGTATGCCTTGTAGTTTCCTACAGGCTGACTTTTGCTGCTTGTCTTCCTGTGGTGTTATTAACACCTTCCTCTGTCTTCTGTATTTACCCTAGCTTGGTAGGTAGATCCATAAGTTTGGTCAGATCCAGGTTTGAGTTTAGACCATCAAGAAGTACATAACATCTAAGTGCCTCATACTCTGTGATGTTACAACTATTGAAAATCATTGGCTGGATCTGTCAATTCATTTTGGCTGGATTGCAAAATGATGATAGTTTACTTCTACCATTTCTTCTTTGTTTATTAAATTATTACATCTATGGAGAGAAGTTTCCCTTTATGAGCTATTTAATTATCCTGAAGTACAGTCATATAGGAAAGGCAGGAAAAAATGCTGGATTCTTTTTTTTTTATTTATTTACCAATTTGGAAAGTGTAAACACTTGATACGGTTCGGTCCATGGGGGTGCTTATCCCTGTTGGTGCTCGTATTGTCCACCCCATCACTGGCTGACCATGAAGAATTTATTCAAGGGTCTCCAGACCCTTTACCCCAAGCCTAAGAGTCTTTTGAAGCTTCTTTGCTTTCTGGTATGACAAAATGTTCCAGGCTCATCTTGTACATTCCTTCCCGTAATCTGGAATGAGCCATTTCTCCAAGAATTCTCGCTTTTGTTTTGTTTTTTTTTTTTCTAAGTGGGAAATGGTTTTAAAGAACTCCGATTTGGGCACTAGGGTTTTTGTTAACACTCTTTCTAATCATTTTAATCATTGTTTCTTGGCTCTATAAAGAGATGGCACTGGAAAATATGTGTTTATTTTTAAAGATAACATATACTTTGAGGTTTATAAAAATTGATAGCTGTAACTCAAATGCGTAACTGCAGGTTTTTAAAAATATCATCAACCTTATACCTGTACCTTCTTTTACTCATGTTAAAAATCCAGGCTGTCAATGACATTAGTATAATAGCTTATTGTTTTATCTCATAACTATACACACAACAATCTCAGAATAGCAATAGCGACCCTACCACTAACAATGTGACTACTGAAGAGAGTTTAAGATTATTTTTCATTTTTAAAACACCTTTTAAAGGCACTTGGAATAGTTCTTTTCTGTGTGATTATGCCTCCAACATTGTAAACATTTAGATTTGTTTCATTTTACTTTCGATTTTAGGAATTACCTTTTGAAATGTAATTGTGTTTTATAATTACGTAAAATATTTAAATGCTTCAAAACCCAAGTCTAAAATGTAAACTGTATTTATAAAATATAATTTCTATTCCTGTTTTTGCCACCTTAGTCTCTCCTGCCCCTATCAGTAATCATTAAAAAACGTTTTTTTAATGGTTTACCCCTTGCCATGGTTTGGGTTTTTCTACAAAGCAGAGTCTGAGACAATGGATGCGTGCGGGTAATTAATTTGGGGACGTGACCCCAGGAGACAGTCATGAGAGACTGTGGAAGAGGGAAACAAAAGGAAGGAATGCCAAGCTAAGAAGGTGTTGTTGAGCTGATGACAATGGGCAACTGGGGCTCAGGCCCACAGAGGACCTTCTGAGGAACCATGCAGAATGTGCCTGAGGATCGCCTGTCCAGGACAGGAAGATGAGAGTATTGATCCTCTGCCCCTGTGTGTTCTTGTTCCCTGTTGATCAAGGATTGCCCTGGGGGTGTTAACGCCCTTGGACTTCCAAGTGTGCTCATAAGCCAAAGAGGTTGTCAGCAGTGGCTGAGACATCTCAGAGAAACCTGCAGGAGATATATACAGTGCAGCTTGGGCAAGGAAGGGGCTGTGTCAGGCTGCAAGTGTGCACAGCTATAGTACACCTACAGCTATAGTAGTGGCTGGATGGAGCCAAGGGGTGGCCTATGAATGGAAGACGGGCATAAAGAGTCCAACTCTCCTTTCATTGTGGGTTTTTTTGAAAACTATAGGCAAATAGGTATACATATCCCCTCTTGCTTAGATAAATGGTAAAATAATACTGTATACACTGTATTCCAGCTTGCTTTCCTCACTTACCCTGTTGTAGCAAACACTCCACAGTATTACTTAGAGATCTTTGTTGCTTTCCACAGGTGCCTCATGCCCCTTCACACGGACCCACCATCATATAATGAACCAGTCCCCTTTGGATGAGGGTGTTTGGGTGATTTCCAGTTTTTGCTTTTATAAATACTGCTGCAATGAATAAATGTTCCTTTACTTTTTTATCCTTTTGTGTTTTACAAGTGTTCCTTTGACTCCTAGATGTGGGATTCTAGCTTAAAAGATGAATAAGTACGTAGTTTTTCTAGATATTGCCAAATTCTCCTCCATAGGAGCTGTACCTTTTGCATTCCCATCAGCAATGTAAAGAATGCCTGTTCCCCCTGAGTTTCACCAATAGAATTTGTTGTCTAACTTGGATTTTAGCTGATTGGCTGATGAGAAATCAAGTCTCGATATAGTTTTAATCTTCATTTTTCTATCATGAGCAAGGTTGCACATTTTTTTCATACTTCTATATTTCTGCAGCTGAGATGAGCCCCCTATATTTTGGCTTTCACTTTGAGCCTCAGTCATATCTGGGCTTTTGCCTTGCAGGGCATGCTGTGACTTCTTTGGCCAGTGGGGTGACGAGGAGCATTTGAGGATACCTCTTAAGCCTGTGATCTTAGCTTTGCCTCTCTGAGGCCTACAAGCTGGAGATCAGCTTCAGTCCACCTGGGAACCAGTGAAAAACAGTAATAATCAAAACAGGCTTTACACCTGTATAGCAGTTTGCAAAAAATCTCAGATGAATTGTGTCATTTGGTCTTCTCAATAACCCCATGAAGCGTGTGCTTTCAACCTGTTTACAAATGGGGAAACTGAGGCTCAGAGAAGTCAAGTGACTCACCCAAGGGCACACAGCTGGAGAGTGGTAGAGCTGGGCCTCTTCTCGGGTCGGTTTGATCCCAAAGCCCTGGCTCTTCCCACTGCACCATAGAGAATCTGAACTTGACAGATGCTTTACCATTCAGGCTGCCAAGTGGAAACTGCAAGATGGATAATGAGGAAGTCATTTTTCAGGGGATCAGTGTGGATGAAAGATTAATTGATGAAATGCTGCCAAAAGGAGGATTCAGAGTCTGGATTATGTTCCAGGAACTCAGGGCACCAGGAGGAGGGAGAACATTCTAGAAGAGAAAGATAACAGGAGAGGAAAGAAGGAGGATGGAGATCAAAGCCGGACACTTGACATCCCAAACAGCTGGTCTCAGGCACTGCTTTTGGGTGGCAGCGCTCACGGGATACCCCTGCTTAGAGGCTGGCCACCTACTGGTCCCTCTGCCCCAGTTATCTTGGGGACCTGGGGTTTCTCTGTCTCCTGCCCTCCCATGCCACACCCAAGGCAGTGGCCTCCGTGGGGAGGCCTGCCTGGTACACACTGCTCAGATCCATCTGCTCATCTCCATGCTGCCAGCCCTGCCTCCCTGGGCTGGCTCCACTCCCTGCCTTCCTCTTGGACATGTTTTCTAGGGAGGTCATGTCTTGCTGCTCTCAGAGGCAGGCAGAGCAATGCTGAATTCTGACCCCATCACTTTTTGTGCTGCCTTAGAGAGGTCGTTCTCAGAACCTCCCTTCCCTCAACTGTAAAATGAGGATGGTATGCCTGCCAAGAAGAGTTGCGGTCAGGGTGAAGTAAGGTCTGGAAACCTCCTAGCCCAGTGCCAGGCCTTGGGAAACTGCTCCGTAAGAGGCGGCCATTTTCATCTTGGTGATGCCACCTTGGCCTCTCAGAAGCATGCCTCCTTCCCTGTACTGTGCTCCTCTCCAGCCTTCTCTCAGATAATGCTGGCTGTGATACTGGATTCCTGGGTGTTGTTTCATCCTTCCCCTTCCTGGGGAATTATTGCTTCTAACCTAGCTGCCCTGGGCTGAGAGGAGGGGCTGGGTCAGCGGGAGGCAGGAAGGGCAGCTTCGTACACAAGCCCTCCCTGGGTCTTGCTAACTTCCTGCCCACTCTCCTGTCCCCAACACCTTCCCACTCTGCTCCAGCCTGGGGGAGGTGGATGCAGCTCACTCTGTGTAACCAGTCCCTGGCAGAACCCTGTTCCAAGGGAGGACTCCCCAGGTCATCTCAGCTGGTGCTCCTGGGCTCTTTCAGGAATCTCTGCCTGCAGACCTCACCTGCTACCTCCCCTCAGCCCTTGGTAGAGCCATGATGGACAAGCCTCTTCACTGGCTTGGCCAGGAGAGCCTTAGGCCCTGGAACTAGGTGGGAGGGGCTGCCGGGGTACAGCCTCAGAGCTCAAAGATTTAACTCTCTTTCCTGAGGGGCCAGTTATAGTCCCTAAAATGCTTTAAGAGGAGGATCCTACCTGCCTCTTCTTCTCTAGCACAGCTAGAGTGATAACTTGGTAGGAGGACTGTGGAGGTACAGCAGGACCAGGCCTGTGGGCAGGAGAGGTGCCAGGACTGATCAGACTGGAGCTTGGCAGGGTTACTGGACCAGTTCCTGTGGTGGCTGCCAGGTACCCCAATGAAATAAGCCTGGTGCAGGCTGGCATCATCTGGTGCAGGGGCCTATGGGGAGGGGCAGCAGGCATCTCAGGAAAGCAGGGAGCCCGGAGAGGATCAGAATGGCCCTTTAATGAGCCCCTCTTGTGTGTTGGCATTGCATCTGTGTCAAGTGGGTGGTAACAGCAGAGCACAGGAGGCATATCCTGGAACCCAGAGAAAATGATGGCAAGAGCTAGGCCAGGAGCCATGCTGCAGCCTCGGAGACCGAGGCTCAGGGCACAGCCAGTTCCGGCAGATAATTGACATGCTAGGCAGGAAACAGAGGCAGAAGCCCAGTCATATGACCTAGATTAACATGATAGAGCTCAGGGGAGCCAACGAGTCTGTGAGAACACAGTGGTCCCGAGTTCTCTTGGGTCCCACCTGCTAATGGGGCTGAGACTCCCAGCCTTCTTCCCATCCTGCTCAGGGAAATCTCAAGGACTGGCCAGAGCTGACTGTGTAGCTGTTTTGCTTGAGAGCTGAGAGCCAGGAGGGGCTGGAGAAAACAGGATCTTTGGCTTTCTCCCTGGCTATAATTCACCATTTCTACTTCCCACCCAAATACTATGCTTTCTGTAGCTGGGATCTAGGTTTGAGTTTTCCTTCTTCTTACACTGCCAGCCTCTTGGCATCCATGGGCTCTTTTGATTAGCAGCCAGCAGAGTGTCTTCTAGTGGTAATGATGCTCCCAGGTTTGAAAAGTTCTTCTTTATTCCCAGGGATGAAATACTTCAAGCCCTTCATTATCTCTGTGTCGATGAAAAGAGTCAAACTCTGTGAAATATTTCAATAGATTTATTCCAGGCCAAGTATGTCACATTGCCTGTGACACAGCCCTCAGGAGATCCTGGGAACATGTGCCCAAGGTGGTTGGGGTGCAGCTTGTTTTTTTTTTTTTAATACATTTTAGGGAGGCATGAGACATCAATCAAATACATTTAAGAAATACGTTTGTTTGGTTCAGAAGGGTGGGACAACTCAAAGTGGAGGCTTCCAGGCTATAAGTAAATTCAAACATTTTCTAGTTGACAATTGGTTGAATTTGTCTAAAGGCCTGGGATCAATAGAAAGGAATGTGTGGGTTGGGATAAGAGGTTGTGGAGACCAAAATTTTACCATGCAGATGAAGCTTTTAGCTAGAAGCCTTCAGCGAGAATAGGTTGTACAATGTTTCTTATCAGACTTAAAGTCTGTGTTGACGTTAGTGCCAGAGAGGCATGATGAGGCATGTCAGACCCCCACTTTCGTTCATGGCCTGAACCAGCCTTTCAGGTTAAAATTTAAGAGCCCTGGCTGAGAAGGAAGCCCATTCAGATGGTTGGGGGCCTTTAAATTTTATTTTTGATTTATATCTGTTAAAGAAATGCTTACCTCTGTGGGGAAGCTGAGGTGGCAGAGGGATGGAGCTCTCCTGAAGTCCAGAGAAGAAGGAGGAAGAAGCATGCACATGACTCCGACCTCTAAGGAGACTGCTAAATGAAAGCATTACAAATGCAGATGGGGTAGGGGTGGAAACAGAAGTCAGTTGTGGAGAAATGATTGCACAAAGATCCAGGGTGGTATGTGGGCAGATGAGGAGATACACATTCACCACTGGGCGAATTGTTTCCGAGAATCTATGCTGAGTCCTGTGATGGGTTCTAGGGACACATAGATGAGTGAGGCACTGTTCTTGTTCTCCAGGAATCCGTAACCTAATTAGAGAGGCAGGCCAACCAATGGACAATGTTCAAACAACAGGGAAAGCAGAGAATATTATGAGAATGGAGAAGAGGGGGCCTTAGGCTCAGCCTGGGATGCAGAGTGAGGGAAGGTGGTACAAGGAAGGCCTCCTGGAAGGTCAGATGGCTGAGCTGCTTCTTAAAGGTGGGAGAGGCAGCTGGTGAAGAGGGTTGGGAAGGGCAGTCCAGGCAGGGCAACAGCATGGGTAGAGGAGTGGAGGGAAGCTTTGGACAACTGCAAGACACTGGGTGTCTTGGAGAATACAGCAAGAGGCAAGGAGTAGCATGGCAGGAATCAGGAGGTTGGAGATATCCAGGGGTGGGCTCTCTGGTCTTTGTCAGCCCCAAATGAGCCAGAAGTCCCCAAAGAGGCAGGAAAATTGGCCAGGCACAGAGGAGAAGGGCTCTGTGATGGAGGTAACTCAGAGTCCAGGAGAATCCAGCCTGTCAGGCTAATGTGGTCATGAGTTTGGATCAGGGGTTGACAAACTATGGCCTGCTGGTCCCATCTGGCCCACCCCTGTTTTTGTACCTAAAGTTTTATTGGAACACAGTCACGTGCATTCATTTACATGATGTCTCTGTGCTTTTGTGCAGTTATAGCAGAGACTATATGGCCCACGAAGTCCAAAATACTTACTTTCAGGGTCTTTAAAGAAAAATTTTGCCAACTTGTGGTTTAAGGCAATGACCAGCTGGATGGCAGGGTTAGGAGGCTGGGCAGCAAGTCAGCATATGTCTTTTGCAAGGGTGTGTACAAGGTGGTCTCTGCTCAGGCCAGTGTGGTTCAGGCTGGGCTTGGGTCATCTGAGCTGGCTTTAGTAGCCACTGGTTTTAGCTGGTCTGTTGAGATGCTGCGTGGAGCTCCAGAGGGCTTTGCTCTAATGGCACCTGGCTGATTGATAGAGGCCTTTCACTCAAGACCCTTCAGAGCTACCCAGCTGCCTGTGTCCTGGTAGCAGAGCAGCCTGGGCTCTCCTCAGATGAGGTTTCCTCCCCTTTCAGCAGTTCTTAAAATGGTATCTGGGTCTGGGGAAGTAAGGATCTGATTCTAGGATTTCTCTAGGGTGGACCCTCAGGTTTGTTAGGGTCAGTGGGTGAAGACCCTTACCTGCAGCATGGATTCTGGCTTCCTAATAGGCCTCATCCCTGGTCCGGCCTCTTGGAGTCATAGATTTAGTGCTGGAAGGATCCATAGAATTTTCTATTCTAGTTTGACCCCTGTTGTGAAAGTCTGTAAATTCTCTAAGATTCCAGCCCCACAACATTCCTTCCAAAAGCCATCAGCTGTAACATCTCCACTGACTTCCAGATCTTGCTCTTGTTCCAGGCAGCCCATTTCATGACTGTGAAGTTCTAGGGAAAAAAAATTATCTGTGTCTTCTTTTAGGCTGTCCCATCTGTCACTCAGGGAGCCATACAGAACACAATTCCCTTTCTCCATGGCAGCCCTCAGATTTCTGAAGAGAAAAACTGTGCACCAAGTCTTATCTCCAGGTTAGGAAGCTGCGGTTCTTTCACCTTTTTCTGGGTTCTGGGACTTCCTGGACACACAGCTGCCTGCTGATCTTCAACTCAAGTTACAGCACCCCAAACTGCCCACAACAATCTGGGGGTGTTCTGACTTGGATCCAAGGTCACCAAAGGTCAGTAGACTTTCTCTTGGGAACAATTTCTAGGAGCCATGACCTGTAATGGTGGACTCCTTTGACCTCCAGGTTGAGGCCCACATCAGGCTCACTTTTGATGAAATATGCCAGGAGCATGCACAGCTGGGGAAAATATTAGGTGCCTCAGAGAATCTGGTACTAAGGGATTGCTGGAGGACTTAATGGGATTGAAAAATAGAATTAGACGATACCTGTGTAGGATCAGATCACCTCTACAACATTTAGTCCTTGGAGGAGGGGCTTTGTTCTGCATCTTGCCTCAGTTGGACAGCAGAGAAATGGATAATCCAGAGGTGTTCTGCTACTCTGCACATCCTCAAAAGCTGACCCAAGGAACCGAGGCCTCACCTTGCATCTGGCTTTTGGGACAAAGCCAGGTAACCAGGAGGTGCACTGTCTTATGCTACCCAGGACCTAGTGACCTTCTGGTGGGCACTGGAAAAGGATTGGGATGGGAGATCTGCTGCTCTAAGCAGTCACATCAGACTTGCTTGCTTCCTCCCCTTTGAGTTAATTTTTGTGTAACACATGAGACTTCAGTCAACGTTCTTTTTTTTTTTTTTTTTTTGGTCTTTGGATGTCCAATTACTCCAGCACCATTTTTTGAGAAGGCAATCTTTCCTCCATTGAATTGCTTATCCACCTTTGTCAAAAATCATTTGGGCATTTTGTGGGGTCTATTTCTGGGTTACCTATCCCTTCCATTGATCACTGTGTCTATCCTTCTGCTAATACCAGATATCTGATTAGAGTAGCAAGGCCATAAATATTGAAATTTGATAGACTGATTCATTTCACATTATTCTTTTTCAAAATTGTTTTAGCTATTCTACTTCTTTTATCTTTCCATCTGAATTTTTAAATAATTATGCTTTTATCTACAAAAATCTTGTTGGGATTTTGGTAAGAATTGCATTAAGCCTGTGTATCAATTTGAAGAGAATTGACCTCTTTACTTTTTTGAGTCTTCCAATCCATGAATATGAAATATATTCATTTATTTAATTCTTCTTTGGTTTCTTTCATCAGTAGTTTTCAGCTTATAAGTCCTGCATTTGTTTTGTTAGATTTATCTGTAAATATTTTATATTTGTGGGTTATTATAAATGGTATTATATTTGAGTATCTGTATCCATGTGTTCATTACTAGTATATAAAAATATGGTAAGTTTTTATTAACCTTGTAGCCTGTGACCTTGCTGAATATGCTTATTAGTTCTAGGGGTTATTTTGCAGATTCCTTGGGATTTCTAACATAGACAATCATATCATCTTCAAATAAGGATAATTTTATCCTTTTCCTTCCCTTCTCTTTCCTTTTCTTGCTTTATTGCACTAGCAAGAACTTCCAGTACAACCTTTCATGTTTTTATGTTGATAAGAATGGTGAGAGTAGACATCCTTGCCTTCTTCGTGATCTTAAGGGAAAAGCATTTAGTTTTCTACCATTAAGTATAATGTTAGCTGTAGGGTTTTTGGAGGTATACTTCATCAAGGTGAGAAAGTTTCCCTTCTGTTTCTATTCCTGTCTGCTGAGAGGGTTTTTTTTTTTTCTTTAAATTTTGAATGGGTGTCAAATAATTTTGTCTCATGCTATTTTGCGTGATTGATACAATCATGTGATTTTTTTCTATTTTTACCTGTTAATCTGGTGGATTATGCTGATTAATTTTTAATATTGAACCCACCTTGCATTCCTGAAATAAACCACACTTGGTCATTGTGTATACTTTTTAAAAATACCATGAATACTATTTGCTACTATTTCATTAAAGGCTTTTTATGTCTTTATTTATGGGGGACAGTAGTCTGTAGTTTTCTTTTTTGTGCTGTTTTTGTCTGGTCTTGGTATGAGGGTAATATTAGCTTCTAAAATGAACTAGGAAGTATTTCCTCCTCTTCTGTTTCCTGGAAGAGTTTGTGTAGAATTGGTGTTAATTTTTCATTAAATATAAGTATCTGGCTCCAAAGATTTTTAAAAATTATGACTTTTTAAAAATTATTTTCAATCATGAGTTTTAAGATTATGAATTAAATTTCCTTAATAGTTACAGTGTTATTTAAACAGTCTGTTTATATTGGGTGAATTGTGTTTTTCAAGGAATTGACTCAATTTGTCTAATGTTTCAAGTTTATGCAAGTGAAGTTCTTAGTATTTTTTTTTAATCATCCATTGATGTCTGCTGGGCCTGTGGTAATTTCCCCTGTTTAATTCCCAATGTTGATAATTTATGTCTTATTTCTTTATTATCTTTGTCCCTTGCTAGAGGTTTGTGAATTTTATAATCTTTTCAAAGAACCAGATCTTTGTTTCATTGATTTTATCTATTGTTTTACTGTTTTAATATCATATCACTGATTTCTGATTTTATCTTTATTATTTTCTTCCTTTTGCTTGCTTTGGGTTTATTTTGCTTTTCTTTTTCTAGGTTTTTGAGATGGGAGTTTAGGTGATTGATCTGAGAACTTTCCACTTCTTTAGGGTAGCATTTACTTATAGAAATTTCTCTCTTGGTGCTGGTTTAGTTGTGTCCCACAAATTTTGATAGTTTTATTTTTATTTTATTTAGTTTTTTAGTGTATTTTTAATTTTTTTGAGACTTTCTCTTTGATCTGTTGATTATTTAGAAATGTATTGTTTATTTTCTAAGTGATTGGAGATCTTCCTCTTACCTTTCTGTTAATGATTTTAAGTTTTATTTCAATGTGATCAGAGATCACACTCTGTATGATTTAAATTTTTAGAAATTGTTTATGTTTATTTTCTGGCCAAGGATAAGATCAATCTTGGTATATGTTCCATGGATACTTGAAAAAGCTGTGTATGTGGCTATTGTTGGATGAGTATTCTGTAAATGCTGATTAGATTTCTGTGGTTAATAGTGTTCTTAAGTTCTTAATCACTTTTTCTGATTACTTGTCGTATAACTTGTTGAGAATGGGGTGTTGAAATCTCTAACTATAATCTTGCATTTGTCTGTTTCATCTTTTTTTTTTTTTTTTTTTTTGAGATGGAGTTTCACTCTTGTCACCCAGGCTGGAGTGCAATGGCACAATCTTGGCTCACTTCAATCTCTGCCTCCTGGGATCAAGTGATTCTCCTGCCTCAGCCTCCGGAGTAGCTGCGATTACAGGCACTCGCCACCATGCCCAGCTAATTTTTGTATTATTAGTAGAGATGGGGTTTCACCATGTTGTCCAGGCTGGTCTCTAACTCCTGACCTCAGGTGATCTGCCCGCCTTGGCCTCCCAAAGTGCTGGGATTACAGGCGTGAGCCACCCGCTGGGCCTCTCCTTTCATTGTTGTTAGCTTTTGCCCTCACATACTTTGCTGCTCTGTTTTTTGGTGTGTACCCACTTAGGATTGCTACATCTTCTCTGTAGGTTGATCCTTTTATCATTCATAATGTCTCTGATAATTGTGCTTTTTGCTCTAATACTAATATAGTCACTTTTGCTTTCCTTTGTTTAATGTTCATGTATCTTTTTCTATACATTTCCTGCCCCCCACCTATATAATCAGACTTGAAGTGAATCTTTTATAGACAACACATGTGAGATACATTTTTTTAAATCCACTCTGACAATCTGTGTTTTTTGTTTGATGTAGTTTGACTGCATTCACTTTTAATGGAATTATTGATATGTTGGAATTAAGTCTACTATTTGGTTTTTTGTTTTCTGTTTGTTTTTGCCATCTTTCATTTTTCTGTTTTCCTTTCCCTGCCTTCTTGTAGGCTACTTGAATGTTTTTTAGAATTTCATTTTGATATATCTACAGTGTTGTTTAGTATATCTCTTTGGTCACTTTTTTGGTGGTTGCCAAATGTAGGTACTACGTTATATATATGTAAATCTCACAGTCTACTGGTGCCATTATTTATCACTTTGAGTAATGTGTAGAAACCTCACCTCCCTTCATGTTTCTTTACTTCTTCCCATTTACAATAAAATTGTCTTAAATATTTCATCTACATATATTTGGAACCACATTAGACAGTGTTATAATTTTTGCTTCAACTCTCAGGCATATTTTAGAAAACTCAAGAGGAGAAAGATACTCTATTGTTCTTATCTATATTTTTGCTTATCATGTCCCTTTTTTCATTCTGTTGTTCCCAAATTCCTCTTTTTATTATTTCCTCTCTGTTTAGGGAAGATTCTTGGCTAGGAATGGTGGCTCAGGCCTATAATCCCAGTACTTTGGGAGGCTGAGGCAGGAGGATCACTTGAGCCCAGATTTCAAGACGAGCTCAGGCAACATGGCAAGACCCAGTCTCTATAAAAAAGAAAAAAAACCCTTTAGTTATTGAGGAAGGATCTGCTGGTGACAGACTCTGTTAGTTTTCCTCTACCTGAAAATGTCTTGATTTCCTTTTCATCCCTGTAGAATATTTTTAAATATAAAAAATTCTGGGATGATAATTGTTTTCTAAAATCAGCACTTAAAATAATGTTATGCCACTTTCTTTCATCCTCCATAGTTTTGGATGACAAATCTGTTGTCGTTTAAATTGCTTTTCTCATATATGTAAGATGTTATTTCTCTCCTGTTGTTTTCAAACAATTTTTTGTCTTTAGTTTTTAGAATTTTAATTATAGTGTATCTCATTGTAAATTTTTTTGGGTTTATCCTGTTTGGGGTTCACTCAGCTTCTTGAGTCTGTAAGTTTATATCTTTTGCCAAATCTGGGAAGTTTTCAGCCATTCTTTCTTTTTTTTTTTTTTTGAGACGGAGTCTTGCTCTGTTACCCAGGCTGGAGTGCAGTGGTGCGATCTCAGCTCACTGCAAGCTCCGCCTCCTGGGTTCATACCGTTCTCCTGCCTCAGCCTCCCAAGTAGCTGGGACTACAGGTGCCTGCCACAACACCCGGCTAATTTTTTTTGTATTTTTAATAGAGACGGGGTTTCACCATGTTAGTCAGGATGGTCTCAATCTCCTGACCTTGTGATCTGCCCACCTTGGCCTCCCAAAGTGCTGGGATTACAGGCGTGACCCACTATGCCCAGCCAGCCATTATTTCTTTGAATACTTTTTCATACCTCTACTCTTGTAGTCTCCTTCTGAGACTCCAATGACATGAATGTTAGATGTTTTGTCATAGTTTCACAGGCTCTTAAAGTTTGTTCGTAATTTTTTCAGTCTATTTTCTCTCTATTGTTCAGATTGGATAATTTCTATTGTTCTGTCCTCTACTTCACTAATTGCTTCCCTCTGTCCATTCTGCTGTTGAGCCCATCCACTGAGATTTTTATTTTAGGTATTGTATTTTTTAGTTCTCAGATTTTCATTTGGTTCTTCATTATATCTTCTACATCCTTCCTGAATATTTTATTTCTTTGCTAAGGGCTTTCCAATTTTTTCATCAAGCATGTTAGTAATTTCTCATTAAAGCACTAAAAAAATTCACAGCTGCTCTAAGATCTTTGTCAGATAATTCTAACATTTCTTCCATCTTGGGGTTGGCATCTTTAGATTGTATTTTTTTCATTAAGTTTGAGATTTTCTGGTTCTTCATATGACAAGATATTTTCAATAGAAACTTGGACTTTAAACAATTATAAGGCTCTAAATATTACCCAAATCTTCTGTTTAAATTCAATCCCCTCTGGGGAAGGCACTGTTGCCTCATTACTGCTAGGTGGAAGTAGAAGTATAGGTTTCCTACTTAGCCTCTGTTGACACCCTATGGGGTTACCCTGTTGCTGCTGGGGTATGGTGAAAGTCTTTATTCTCCACTAGGTCTCCTCTGACACCACTCCAGTGAGTAGTGGAAAGATGCCTTATTACTGCTGGGTGGGGGTGAAGGTCCAGAATCCCAGTGTGGTCTCCACTGACACTGCAGGAGGGAGAGGTAGTTGGCCTCATTACTGTCCAGCAGGGACATAAGTCCCAGCTCTTTCCTTGACTTTTGACATCATCATGCCTGGATGTTAGGGTGCTGTAATGATTAATTTTAGTGTCAACTCAGCTTGGCTAAGGGATGCCCAGATAGCTGGTAAAGCACCATTTCTGGGTGTGTCTGTAAGGGCATTTCCAGAAAAAATTAGTATTTAAATTGGTAGACTGAACAAAGAAGATCTGCCTTCACCAATGTGAGCAGGTATCATCCAGTCCATCGAAGGCCTAAATAGGACAAAAAGGCAGGGGAAGCACTATTTTCTCTCTTTCTCCTTGAGTTGGGACATCCATCTTCTCCTGCCCTTGGACAGCAGAGCTCCTGATTCTTAGGCCTTTGGACTTGGATTGAATCATACCACCAGCTTTCCTGGTTCCCCAGCTTACAGATGACAGATTGTGTGACTTCTCAGCCTCCTTAATTGTATGAGCCAAAAAATATCTACATGTCTTAAGTCTATTTGTTCTGTTTCTTTGGAGAACCCTGACTAATATGGGTGCCTTGTTAACAATCTCACATGAATGAAGTCTAGGCTCCCCACTCAACATTTGCTGGCATGGGTGGGGATCGGGCCACAGATTGTCTCATGTGGTGTTTGGTTGGGGTGGAGAGGTTATTGTCTAAAATTTCTGTGTTACTAGGATGTTCCTTTTCTGATCCTTTATCTAGAAAGAATAGGCTTTTTTGTTGAGGCTTTCTTTTTTTTTTTTTGGTCTGCACCTCTTGGCATTTTCTGGTTGCTCACTTCTTTAGCTCCATGTCTAGGATATGTGAAACAAAAGTAAAACCCAGGGAACTCATCACCGTGTAATTCCTTGGTTCCAAAGTCTCTGCTGATCTGCCTACTTCTCTCTATCTGCCAGACTTTTCTTCCTTTCTTTTTTTTTAAAATAATGTCAAGGTTTTTAGTTACACATAGCAGGAGAAATAGAAGAAAGTATGTTTACTATATCTCCCCACAAAAGAAAGTCCTCCTCTCTGGGGAGAGATTTTGGATTCAGAAGACATCAGTGGAAGGTCCCAGCTCGAGTGAATAATGGTTGCCTGTGCCATGAAGCATTCACTGAATACTTTCCTATGAATGCCAGTCATGGGACACTCCAATTACCTCACACATCTGTAGTTCAGATACTGGCCTCTCCACTTGCTTTGGGGATTGGCATTGTATCCTCTGCATGGAAGAAAATTTTCAACTGCAAGAGCAGAAGAACTTTCTAATGTTAGCTACTCTCCATTCCCTGGAGAATGTGAACTCTCCATGTTTGGAAATGTTTTAGCAGGGGCTGAAAGTCCTGGATTAGGAAGGAGATGGCACTTGACAACTTCTGAGGCCTTTATCTTCGTTCTAAGGTTATGAAACTTTGAGTTTACTTGCTCTTTCTTGAATGAACACCCAGGAGGCAGAGACAAATTTTTCACTTGTCTCATTCAGGTCCTCATGCTAGGCTTTGCAAACAGAATGTTCAGTTTGTGTCACTAACAAAGTAATATCTGAGTGGCTGCATAACTGAGGTTCTGAATCCTGAATACAGGATCTAGCTGTGTTCATTCAAACTAGCTAGACTGAAACACATGGTGGGTAGGTTAGCAGGGTTGGCTCATATCCAGATTATGTTGTAGGCTTGGAGAAGAGTATTGATACCAAACTCTCCAACCCACCAGCCCTGTATATTACAAAATGCTTAATCAGTGCTAGCAAAGATGGGCTGACTTAAAACTCACAGCACAGCAAATATCCTTAGAGCATGTGCAAGCATTAACTTGCCTTGCCACTTTATCCTTGGCTCAGAACAGTTGGTTTCTCCTGGATCTCCTTACAGCATTAGAGCCAGTAGATACCTAGGGCTCAGATTTAAAAATTTAGAAGTCCATTACGTAGGGAAGAGAGTCAGCTGATGGAGAGAGCTAGATCAGCATTTTTCTTCAGAGTTATGTGCAGACATCAGCTAATTAAATAAACCCATTAGGAAGAGAACACTGAAGAATCCTCTCAAGAGCATGGTGCTCATCTGGAGGAAAGAAAGTTTTATGACTAGAAGAGGAATTCAGAGATCTCTGGGGGAAAGTGTCTCTTCAAAATGATTTCTTCAAAAGAAATAGAGAACCTACCATATTCCAGGCACTTTCATATCAGTTATCTCAGTTAAGTCTCATGGCAACTGGGTTTGTTAGGAAACAGACTTTGAAAGGTTAAGGAATTTCTCTCAAGTTACATAGCTGGCAAGTAGCAGAGCTATGATTTATACCTTGGTTTATCTGACTCCAAAGTTTATGCTTCATCATGCCATCATTTTGGCTCTGCTAGGAGGAGAGGACCAAAGGCGGAATTTCTTGGAATAGGAATATAGTCCAAGACATAGGAAGATATAAAAAAGAAAAATGATCCTAAAACATTAGGTTTGTGAAAAAAGTATTTAAAAATGTAAAAAGAAAATCAGTGTGTATTTTTTAGATTTACATATTTATTGCTTTTTAGTCATCATTTCTTCTTGCATTCTATATCTATTTGTGATCATTTTTCTTTGCATGAAAGATGCTCTTTAGTGAATATGTCAGCCAAGGTCCAATCAGGAGAAAGAAATCACACATTAATTTGTGCAGGGAAAGTTTAATACAAAGAATAATTAACTATAATGGGGGAATGCAGTAACAAGGGATTTGCAGTAAGTAGTAAAGAGAACTTTAAGAGGAATAGCAGCTATAGAAAGCAATCACCACTCCTACAAGCTGAGATAGAGCATCCAAAGAATGAGCTCCGCAGGGCTGAGACCCAGACCTTGTTAGAAAAAAGCATGATTATGGCTCACTGAATGGCAGAAAAATTGCTGTGGTTCTACACTGGAAGAACTTGCTAAAAATATGTCCTCTAGGTTGCCAGGGAAAGCTATTATTCATCAGGAGCTATTGCCAGAGGTGCTCCACCATGAAACCACCAAAGGGAGTAGTTGGAGGAAGCTGTTGTCTGCTGGGTGATGCTGATTGCCATGCACTGGAGGAGGCTGGTGCTGGGCTTACTCACGGAGCTTTCTGGGAGGTCAGGAATTGGAATCAGCACGGAAAATCCCTATGTCCTGCAATATCCCTCCAGTACATTCTATTGACCATAACATGATACCAGCTTAATGTGATGCCAGCTGGCAAAGAAAAAATATTTAAAGACCTTCTCTCTACCTTTACCTGGCCTCAAGTGATCCTCCCACCTGGACCTCTCAAAGTACTGAGATTACAGGCATGAACCACTGTGCCTGGCCAAACATAGACTGTCACACAAAGCTCCTGTATAGGGGTATACAGGAGCAGAGCAGGACAAATTTGTATCTGAGAGACAATAAATTGATAGCTGGCATACTGAAGGTCTTCTGATAACACCTGTCTCTAAGAATTTCACCCCCAGTCTTGATGGGTGAAATTTTGCTGGGTGTACAATTTATTTTTTTCTCAGCATATGAAGACTTCCTTCCATTGTCTTTAGGTTGTTATTTGTCTTTTTTTCCTGGTTCTTTTAAAGACATTTTCTTTGCTTTTGCTGTTTTGCAGATTTACTGTGATATGTCTAGGGATGGATTTTATTTATTTATTTATTTTTTAACAGAGTGTCATTCTGTCATCCAGGCTAGAGTGCAGTGGCACAGTCTTGGCTCACTGCAACCTTTGCCTCCTGGATTCAAGCGATTCTCATGCCTTAGCCTCCCGAGTAGCTGAAATTACAGGTGTATGCCACCACGCCTGGCTAATTTTTTGGTATTTTTAGTACAGACAGAGTTTCACCATGTTGCTCAGGCTAGTCTCGAATTCCTGACCTCAAATGATCCACTTGCCTTGGCGTCCCAAAGTCCTGAGATTACAGGCAGGAGCCCCAGCACCTGGCTCTTGTCTAGGGATAAAAGGTTTTTTTTTTTTTTTTTTTTTTTTTGAGACAGAGTTTTGTTCTTTTTGCCCAGGCTGGAGTACAATGGCGCAATCTCAGCTCCCCTTCCCAGGTTCAACCGATTCTCCTGCCTCAGCCTCCCGAGTAGCTGGGATTACAGGCATATGGCACCATGCCCGGCTAATTTTGTATTTTTAGTAGAGGCAGGGTTTCTCCATGTTGGTCTGGGTGGTCTCCAATTCCTGACCTCAGGTAATACGCCCGCCTCGGCCTCCCAAACTGCTGGGATTACAGGCGTGAGCTACTGCGCCTGGCCTAGGGATGGATTTTTAAAAAATTATTCTGCCTGGAATTCACTTAATCTGAAGATTAATGTCTTTTTAGTCTCAGAAAAATCTCAGCCATTCATTCTTCGAATAATATTTCTCCTCTACATCTCTCTCTTCTTCTTCTTTTGAAACTTTGGTTAGATGTAAGTTAGACCTTCTTGCTTTAGCCTCAATGTCTCTTGACCTCTCTTTCATATTTTCAAAAAATTTTTTTAATTCTATGTTGCATTTTTGGGTGTTTTAAAAAATTTGCCTTAGAGTTGACAAAATCTCTCTCTTTAGGTATATCTAATAATGTTACCTCCATTCATTGACTTTTGATTTCAATTATTACATTTTTTGTTTGTAGATGGTATCTTTGGTTCTTTTTTCAAATCTATTTGGTCATGTTTATAGTTCAGTATTGATTTCTCATTTTTATTTCTAAACATATCCATCATTTTGTATTTTATGTCAGATAATTCTAATATCTGAAGTCTTTATGGGTATGATGAGGCTGGTGCTGTTTCTGCTGGCTTTTGCTCAGGTATCATGTTTCCTTGTGTGTTACGCTTTTTTGAGTATAAACACACATCTTTTTTAACTATATAGGAATTATTTGAGGCCTGGGTTGGAAATGAGTTTCTCTAGAAAGAATTTGTATTTGTTTCCAGTAGCCTCCTGGGCACTATTAAACTGGAACTGTTTCAAGCTTGAGGTTTTATGGACAATCTGGGTAATATCAATTTGAGCTTCAAATCCCCTTTGTGGCCTGAGTTTGTAGTTGCAATTCTCAGATGTTTTTGTTCTGTCCACCTAGCAGCCAGATTCTGAGGTAGTCAACTTTCTTTGCTGTTCCCTCTTGTGAGAGGGTGGGCTGTTATTTCAACTTCAGCCTTACACTGAGAATAAGGCTTTGAGTTCCTAGCTTTAAACGCAGGTGGTGGTTCTCCTATTAGACTCTCCGCTTTAAATGGGCCATAGTCTATGTCTCTTGTTTCCTATAAACTGCTAGGTCATGAATACTGAAGCTCATGGTCACCTGGGTTTGGCAGATGCCCACAAAGGAAAGTTGATTTCAACATTCTCTCTAGGCTTTCTACCTTTACTTAGTTTTTGGCCTCTGAAAATTGTTTACTTTTTTTAAACTCAATTATTTCTATACTTTAGGGTGGTTGGAGGGTTTGTCAGAATACCTAGTTTGCTATGTACCAGAGATAGTAGTTTGATCTAGTCTACATATAATGCCACATTTAGTACTCATGATAATCTTGGGATTATTAATCATTTGTCCCAGGAAATGGAGACTCATGGAAGTTACAGAGCTAGCAAATGGCAGAGCAGTAATGGAACGTAAATCTACATCTTCTGGCTCCTCTTCAACCTTTGTTCTCTCTACCACACTACTCTGGTTCCCTGGTTTTTCTCTCTTTATTTAATGCAAATTCCAGGACTCCTTGGGATTTGGGCTATTCCTAAAGCCCAGAAGTGCATTAAGAATTCTAGAGGCTGGCCTAGTATGGTGGCTTACACCTGTAATCCCAGCATTTTGGGAGGCTGAGGTGGGAGGATTGTTTGAGCCCAGGAATTTGAAACCATCTTCGGCAACATAGGGAGACCTCATCTCTACAAAAAACAAAAAGAAAAAGAAAAAAAGAAAAATGAGGTGGGAGGATCACTTGAGCCCTGGGGGGTCAAGACTGCAATGAGCCATGGTTGTGCCACTGCATTCTCTCCTGGGTGACAGAGAAAGACCTTGCGTTAAAAAAACAAACAAACAAACCAAAAAAAAGTATGTTTATTGCAGTACTATTCACAATAGCAAAGACTTGGAAGCAACCCAAATGCCCATCAAGATAGACTGGATAAAGAGAAAGTGGCACATATACACCACTGAATACTGTGCAACCATAAAAAAGGATTAGTTCATGTCCTTTGCAGGAATATGGATGAAGCTGGAAACCATCATTCTCAGCAAACTAACACGGGCACAGAAAACCAAACACCGCATGTTCTCACTCATAAGTGGGAGTTGAACAGTGAAAACACATGGACACGGGGAGGGGAACATCACACACCAGGGCCTGTCAGGGGGTGAGGGGTTAGGAGAGGGATAGCATTAGGAGAAATACCAATGTAGATGACAGGTTAATGGGTGCAGCAATCCACCATGGCACATGTATACCTATGTAACAAACCTGCACGTTCTGCACAGGTATCCCAGAACTTAAAGTATAATTAAAAAAAAACACAACAAAACAAACAAAGAAACAAACAAAACAGGAATTCCAGAAGAGTATTGCTTTAACTGTCCTCTCACTTGACCAGACATAGTTCAGCTTCTCCTGAGGATTCTATTCAAGTGGAAGATCCAGCTAAGACTGGACAGACTGACTAAGTGGAGCACCGTAATTGTAGCCCATGTGTTCCTGGAGATCTGTACAGAATGAGGGAGCAAAGTCTCATCTTCAGGCATTTTCTACTTCATATGGCATATAGAATGTGCTTGCACTTGTAGAGTCCCTTTGGGAATAATGTACTCTCTAGGAGCAGTCCCCCTTTCTGACAAGGCCTCTCTCTCTTTCTTTCTCCCTTTCTCTTTCTTATGTAGTCCTCCCTGCCCTGTCTCTTACCAGAGACTTCAGGATAAACTCCAGGGATTGAGTGCTGGTGTCAAATAAACTTCAACATGGGAAACATCGGAAGAATACATTCTGCACTTCTTCCAGACTTGGAAAGAACTGGGGCCAATTAAAAGTGAACTTTTAAGAGAAATGAACATCTTGCATGCCAGGTTTCAGCTGAATGTCACTGCAATTGCCTAAATTATAACTATCAGAAAAAATTCATTCTAATTATGGAAATGCCATTAGGAGGAGTTCCTTCTGCCTGGAACCAGCTTACAGGATGATTACCACCCACCCCTACCCCCCCTACCTCTATCCCATCTCTCAACAGCAATTCTATATTTCAGAAGGAGAAAAGGCAATGTGTTAGAGTGAAAAGAAAATGTATACCATACAGGATGTAGATTTGGATCCTAACTCCACTATTTATTGGCTAAGTGACCTTGGGCAAAGCAATTTACTTCTCTGATCCTCAGTTTCCATATTTAAAATGAGGATATTAATATCTACTCCACCAGTTTGTTGTGAAGATTAAACAGTAAGAGATGGCATATACTAAAGTATGCAACACCTAGCCTGGCACGTATTGGATTGCTCACTGGAGTGGGGCAGGGGTGGAGGGACAAGGATAATTGTTAGGAGACTGCGGAGAGAGCTCTGATACCACACACTGAGATGCTACTCTTTGGTGCCTGCAGGGTTGGATGGCAAACTCCACGCAGGAGGAGATGAAGACAAAGACCTGGATCTTCCCATAGAATCTTGGGGCTTTCTCCTTCTTCCTCCTGAAAGATTTCCATTCTGTGATCTTGGTAATATCTATTAATAGTTTGACCTCATGAGGGGTAGCAGTGTTTCTCTGCTATTGCAGAGCATCCTATGCCCCATAGTTTGGATCAATCTTTTCCAACAGGTGGACCTTGGACCCTGATAGTTGGGAAATGAGGATTTATTGCAAAGAGTTCCATAGATCCGTACACTCACCAAGCATTGCCTATAAACGAGTATATTTTGAAATTATGTATTCACTTATATTTCAAATGTATATAGATGCTCTTTTGAACAAGAAAATACTTAAGACCGGTAGTTGCTTCAGGGATGTATTTTGGAATTGTGTTTTCTCAGTCAATGAATACTAAAAGCACAACTACTTGTGTGATTGTGGGCCTGATAATTTTTTGTATTTCATGTGAAAGGGTTATAAATACCCACGGGTCTGATGAAGGACTTACATTTTGGTAAGCTAACATCCCTCTCTGCTCTCTGCACTCTTCCATTTCCTCAACCTACCAGGCAGGTGTTGAGGAAGGTGACATTACTACCTTCCAAGAGGCATCTTTCTGAAGGACACCTATGTCCTAGCTATGCTACTAGCTGTTTATCTGCACCCCTGGAGGCCTCATTAGCTGGGTTTTAAGTGCTTGGGCCATTAATTGTAATCTTTTCCCCTACTCTCTTTGTGAGCTCCTAGGGTATTTTATTTGCCCCCAGGGTTCTGAAATTTCCCTTCTATGTATGCTTTAGAGTGACTGACTGTATTAGTCTGTTTTTGTGCCACAATAAAGGAATACCTGAGACTCGGTAATTTATAAAAGAAAGAGGTTTAATTGGCTCATGTTTCTACAGGCTGTACAGGAAGCATGGCACTAGCATCTGCTTAGCTTCTGGTGAGGCCTTGGGGAGCTTTTACTCATGGTGGAGATGAAGTAGGAGTAGCTATGTTACATGATGAGTGTGAAAGCAAGAAAGAGAGAAGGGGTTAGCAACACACAATAGACTAAGAAAAAATAATTAAAAAGAGAAAGAGAGAGAGACAGAAGGGGGAGGTCCCAGTTTCCCTTAAACAACCAGATGTCACATGGACTGAGCGAGAACTCATCACCAAGAGGATGGTGTGCTAAACCATTCGTGAAGGATCCACCCCTGTGATCCAATCATCTCCCACCAGGCCCTACCTCCATCTCTGGGAAACACATTTCAACAAAGGATTTGGAGGGAACAAACATCCAAACCATATGAGTGACTATTTTCATCCACTGTGCTGGGTACTCAATGGGCCTTTTCACTCTAGAAATCCATGTCCTTCAGCTCCATGATATTTTCTTGAACTTATGTTTAGTGTCTGTCTCTCTACCATTTTATCCTTTCTACGTCTAGAATTCCTATTTTTCAGTGACTGGATTGTCTGAGTTGATCTTTTAATTTTTTAAATCTTTTCTCTCCCTCATTTTCCATCTCCTTATCTTTTTGCTTTGCTTTCTGGGTTATCTATTCAATTTTATCTTCCAGCTTTTGTATTGAATCGTTCATTTTTCCTAACAGGTTTCTGTTACTTTCTAAGAGTGCTTTTTGTGTGTTGTCTTCTGAATATTGCTTTTTAATAGCATGCTGTTCTAATCTAACGAATTCAAAATCTTTAGATACTTCCTCAGGGTTAATAGCAATAGATTTTTTGATGTTTTTTCCCTGTATAGTCTCTGCTTTTCTCAAATTGCTTTTCCCCATCTGCTTTCGTCTGTCTCCAGGCTAGAGGCATTCCTCACATGTTTGGGGATCCTCGTCTGTGTGTGTATGGTTGGGATTCACCACCCCTAGGCCTCAGTGTGGGGTAACTTTGCTGTGCTGCCATCCAGTACAATAGCCACTAGCCACATGGGGGCTATTGAGCACTTGAAATGTGGCCAGTGCAACTGAGGAACTAAACTTTAAAATTTTAATTTAGGCCAGGCGTGGTGGCTCACGCCTGTAATCCCAGTACTTTGGGAGGCTGAGGCAGGTGGATCACGAGGTCAGGAGCTCGAGACCAGTCTGGCCAATAATGGTGAAACCCCATCTCTACTAAAAATGCAAAAATTAGCCAGGCGTGGTGGCGGGGACCTGTAGTCCCAGCTTCTCAGGAGGCTGAGGCAGAAGAATCGCTTGAACCCGGGAGGTGGAGGTTGCAGTGAACTGAGATTGTGCCACTGCACTCTAGCCTGAGTGACAGAGCGAGACTCTGTCTCAAAAAAAAAATTAATTTTGATCAATTTACTTTTCAAAATATATAATCTATTCAGTATAGAAAAACGTTTACATATTCTGGAACAAATTGGGTATCTGGATCTACTTTTTCAACTGTAGATTTTATGAAATCTAACAACAGATCAAGTATTTTTAATGAAAATTCGAGATGTGCTATAATCATAAAATACATACTTTTTGAAATGAAAAAATGTAAATGATCTCATCAGTAATTTCTTATATTGATTACATGTTGAAATGACATTTTGTACATATTGGGTTCAACCATAATATTAAAGTTAATTTTACCTGTTTCTTTTTAGTTTTAAAAATGTGGATACTAGAACATTTAGAATTATGTATGTGGCTTGCAGTATATTTCTATGGGCAGTACTGCCCTAGAGGCTAGAGAGGGTGCTCCAGTGGGGATGGGTGGTCCTCCAGCTTGGGGCTGGGTCTCTGCCTCATAAATAGACCTCGAGCCATGTTCCCATTTGAGACCATTATTGGGCCTTTGAGACTTCTGTGGGGGCAGATCCTGTGGTTGTTGGCTTTGTTTACCATACTCACCTTGAATCCAGTTGAATCTTTGGGCTTGCTTGTCAACCACCAAGTGATGGTTTGCTTCTAGGTTTCTGAAAGTTTATTGCTATTGACTCTTCACCTTTAATCTTTGTCCTTGGGATATATATATCATTTACTGTTGCCTTAGTGGGGTTTCAGGAGGGAGCAGAGATAAAAACACATGTCTTCAATCCATCATCTTGAACTGGAAATCCTAAATATCTTTTGATTCCTTCTTTTGATCCCTCCTACTTTTGTATCCTCATGGTTTCCTGAGAGGAAGGTTGTGTCTGCCTCTGCCAGTGAGAGCCCCAGACCACGTCCAGCCTCTCCCCAGGGTAAGCTCTCTTCTAGGCTGCAGATCTGATTCTGTTGCTTCTCTCTTTAAAATCCTTCACCAGCTTTCAACATGTAAATAAAACACTCAAGCTCCTCAGCATGACAAAGATTCCCTATGGGGTGACCCCTTTGTACCTCCCTACTGTATCTGCTACTACTCTCCAAATTCCATCTTCCATCATCCCAGGGACAGAGCAACTCACATACAAGCTACCATTGACGCCTCTGCTTTGCCCATGCTGTTCCCTCCACTCCCCACCTTCTCCGCTGGGCTAACTTCCCATCTAGCCTGGGTGTCCTGCCCACAATAACAAGAGTGGCCAGTACATACAGCTTGTGACAGGCACTCTTCTGGGCCCTTTTACGTATTTCAGCTCATCGCTGCTATCCTCATTTTCTATGTGAAGAAAGAGAGGCACAGAGAAATTCGATGACTCTCCCAAGTGAACCAACAAGTTGGAGTTTGAACTCTAGAGTTGCTGGCTGTGTGTGTATGAAAGGTACCCTGAACGTTTACCATGCTATAGTGGCTGGCTCACCATTCTATCATCCCTACTGGACTGGGAGCTGTCTGAGGCCAGGGTCCAGGTCTTTTTTTTCTTCTTTTTAGAAATTTGTATCATAAATGCCTAGCACAGGTCCTGGCATACAGTAGGTACTCAAAATATATTTGTTGAACAGACTTGCCATTCCTAATTGTCTAATTGTGGCCCCTCTCAGCTTCTCTCCTGTGCATGCTACAGTCCCATAGGCAAGGTTTTCTGGCCAATTCCCTTTTCATGGTAGTTACTCAGAAAATCATGACTGTCAGTTCCTAACGGTATTGAAAGGGAAAAAAGACCCATCAAAAGACATGGTGAGCAGCTTCCCAAGCATTTGCTTAAACATGTTTTGTGTGCTTTTGGAATGGTAGTCATATTATTAGTGGTATTATTATTTTAAGAAATCACTGGTTTAAATCATCACAGAGGCTTAAATGATGTGGAAAATTCTAATGATTTTCCTTTGATGAAAAGATTTTTTCCCCATACTTAGCATAATCTTCCTTTGAATTATGCCAGGAAATCTTAAAACCGTAGCTAGTTTTTTTTTTTTTTCCTCTCTCATTGCAATTTTCCTCTTTTTGGATGCAGGTCAATGAACCATGGGATGGAAGGAGGTTTTTCCAAGCATGATGGGGAGGCTCTGCAAGAGGCAGCTTGGGTGCAGAAAGCCCCAAAGTTTGTGAGCTGGGGAGCTAGGGCCCATGGGAGAAAGCAAACTAGCCAGGGCACAGGCACAGCTTGCCAAAAGCTGTCCTGGCCTCAGAGCTTGGTTCTAGGGAGGACAGATACTGGTATCAAGAGGTTTGCCTGTAAGTGGTCCTATCCCAGGATAACGATGGAAGAATCAAGTCAGGATGGCTCCAGAGTTTTCATGTTGGAAGGCTTTAGGGGGTGACAACTTGGCTAAAACAAGATCGAAGCTGTTCTTGCAATATACATAGAACTAAGAAGAGTGTAATAGTTCAAATTAAAGTCGGGGGGCAGTTGGCAGAGTGAAACTCTGATCATCCTATCTAAATAGCAACCCCCATTACTCCTTCCCTCTAGACTACTTTTGTTTTTCTTCCTAGCCCTTCTGAACAAATGATGGAAGGGATAAGGCCTCTCACTACTCCCTTCCCTGGTGAGGCAGGCCTGGTACTGTCACTAGCCGGATGGTGCTGCCCCAGGTGTGGCAAGATAGGGTAGCACTTATAATCGTGGACTCTGGAGGCAGGCAGATCTGAGTGCTAGTTCTGGCCCTGGCATGTATTAGCTGTGTGACACTGGGGATTCTACTCTTGGCTTCTTGGTTTCCTCATCCATGGAATGTGGATGACCTCTTGGGGTTGTTTGGAGGATTAAATGAGATTCTAATGTGTGTAAAGCATTCAGCAGGGTGCTTGGTGGCATATGGTAAGCTCTTGTTATTACTAATGTTTTGTTACTAACCGAATGAATGTTCCCTTCTAAAAGGGTACCAGGAGGCCATGGGGAGCTCCAGGAAGTTGAATGGGCTCTGTGGGGAGCGGCTGCAGGAGCTCAGGGTTGGGCTCAAGTTTGGAGCGAGGATGGGATACACAGCAGGGAAGACAGCCAGTTATGGGGACAGGGTTGAAAGAGGAAACTCCAGGGCTGTGGATGCAGAGGTCTGTGAACTGGGCTCAGAAAGAGCCTCAGAGCTGCATATGCCTTCCCAGGTCTGGGGCAAAGGAACTCACTTTCAGGCTGACGATGGGAGCTGAAATCCCTGAGATGCTCTCTGGTGGGATGGGGTTGGGGGATCTTGCAGTGTGGGCCCACTCAGCAGTATACGCAGCACCAGGAAGCAGACCATGATACCCTTGGAGCACCTTTTCTCCAGCCTGGCTGACTCTGCCTGCTGAGGGCCTCCACCTGCTCCTCCAAGTGAGGGGTGTCTCCAAGTGTGTGTAGGGAGGGGCAGCGATGGTGCCAGGACTCCAACCATCGGGAGGTAAGGGAAACGGAATCTTCTCTTAGAGTTCAACCATAAAGTAGGTCAGGTAGGATCAGGTAGAGCTTAGCAGAGCCACCTTAGAGAGGCAGTGAGACATGGAGACTGCAACCTCTGGAAAGAGGTGGGGACAGTCAGGCAGAAGGAGGGCTGGCCAGCTTCAGGAGCCCTCATCACGGAGCTGCAAGGGCAGAGGTGGAGGCTTCTGCAGGGAGAGTGGAGGGTGAGGCCTCCATCTGCTCCTCTGGCAGGCTGTCTTTCTGGGGGAAGAGGTATCAAGCCATCCTGGCCCAAGAAGCCTAGTCCTTCCCAGTGACCCTGAGCTGGCTCCATGCTCCCTGGCTGCCTGCTGCCTGCTGGCTTTGTACAAAGCTGTCTCCAGGGGGAAGGGACCTGCTCGGGCTCACATATCCAGGCGTCTTGGCACTGAGAGCCCTGGCTGCAAATGAACACACTGGTAACTGGTTTAGACGCCGATCCCTTGTGAGCTTTGGGTGAGAATTCACCTTCCTGAGTCCTCTTCCTCTGGGGAACTGACAGAATCTTGTTTTTAGGCCTAAGAGGATGAGGGCCAGACCCTAGACTAGGGAATTTGCTAAAGTAGTGAATGCTACCCTGGGAGACTGTCAGGGAACAGACAACAGCCTTGCTGAAGTGAAACCCACCTTTACCCTGGACCTTTTCATCTGACGGCTAATAATATATGTATATGGCTGTATAGGCACACATGCAGCCATATATGTGTGGCCGTGTGTGTATGTACACATTCAGCCAGGCATGTGAAGGGTGTAGGGAGCATGGGACATGGGAGCCTATACTACTGTCTTTTCCTACAGCCCTCCCTACTCTCTTTGGGTGTCACTATGTGTTCAAAGCCACATATGTGGCCTTAGCCCACGACTTAATATCCTGGAGGTTAGGAATACCTGTAAGTCCCACCTTACTTATAACATTATGGAAAATAGCATGGGAATGAAGTCAAATAGGCCCTGGTTCATAAACTAGATGGCCCTCTTTCTATGAATGGTTATATGTTTTGGGGCAAGCCTTTTAAACACTCTGAGTCTCAGTGCTGAAATGGACGCCCACAGTCATCATCCATTTCAAAGCCCATTTCTCCTGTTAGAGGCATATATGGTTGTGTTAGCATATCCATCGTTTTTTATAATAAATTTTCCTCTGGTTTTAATACAATACACTTTCTGGAAAGAACCTATCAACCATTCATACTTTAGTGTGAATTTAGGTCACAGTGTCATATAATCTTACAGTGGCAACAGACCTTGAATTGCATCTAGTTTTACATTCCACCAAATGCAGAGATTCTCTGATTTGTGACTCTAACATGGCCACCTAGACTGTCGTTTAACTCCTCCCATGGCAGGAAACTCACCATGTGCCACTCCTCCACATCCAGGTAGCTCTAATTGCTAGAGTAGAATGAACTGAAACTTGCCTCTCTGCAGCTTCCTACCAGCAGTCCTCACTCTCCTCTCTAGAGCAATTACAAAACAAATTGTTTCCCCCTTCCCATGACAGCCTTTCAGGTCCATGCGAGCTCTCATGACCCTTCTTTTCTCTAGGCCGAGTGTCCTATTTTCTTTACATATTCCCAATAGGACTAGTTTTGGGTTCTCCCACCATCCTGGCCACCTAGGCATCTGTATACGCTCCAACTTTAAAAATTCAGCATTGAACATATTCCACCAGGCAGGGTCTACCAACACATTCCTTCTCCTGGGGCATTTGACATTCAAGCCTGGCCTCTCATTGTGGGAGGAGAGGTCTTCGTTCCCTAAGACAGACATTTCAGATACCAACTTACAGCTGTGGGAGACATGAAGAACCAAGTGCCACCTATGCACAACCACATCCAGGACTTAATTTGCATAGCTTTTTAATCTGTGGGGGACAATCTGCATGCCACTTGGGCCTGCTCTGTTAGTCTGTAAGTTTACCCAGGGCAGATATTGAGTCTAACCGTTCCTGGATCCCTCCAAGCACCTGCTGCATTGGTCTGCCTCCCTTTAGCTGTCAATAAATGCAGTTGATTGATGGACTCACTGGGGCTTAAGAAGTCATTTTCCACTTTGTTGCATCTCAGAATCCAGCTGTGTCGAGCTGGAGCCAGCCCTCTGCTTACTTGTTTTCTCTGTGAACATGGGCCCAGATCTCATGGCTTGCCCATGCGTTACAATAGGATGAATTTCACTTTGGAGCTCTACTCTCTTCTACCCCCAACTAGCGGGAAACCAGAACCCTGAGGGCAGCGGCACATCCCACACTGCAAAGAGCCCTGGGCCCCTTCCCCTTCTTATATTTTTTCTGACAAAGGCCCAGTAATGAAAATTTCCTAGCTGAAGGCATATCACTTGAGCTGCAAGTTATGGAGAAGAGGGCAATGTACCAGACAGATGTTTCCAATTGTATGTTTATTGAGCTTCTTGCCTTTGCTGCTCCTCCTGCCAGCCCCTCCCTCTCTATCCCTCCTCCTCCCTGTTGCTGCCACTAAATCAAGCATCTCTTCTTAAAATTGTAATCACCAAAATAAGGTGGTGATTTATAAGGAATTCTGAAATACCAAATAATCAGCCGAACACTTCACTTTAATGGCAGCAATAAGTCAAGTGTTTCCACGCTTATCTCTGGAGGAAGCACATTGGTCTTGGTTGTTGCAAAATGACAAATGCTCTTTTGTGAGTTGTAACAAATCAATTATCCACATGTTGAAAACTGAGCAACTCCTTTTTAAAGACAGAATTTTATGGATACGTTCTAAAAAAAAATGTCCCAGGGAAGTGGGGGTACTGGAGCTCTTTAGTTGTTTTTCTGGCAAAAGAAAATTGGAGAAATAATAGCTCCAAGGAGACAGCTGCCCAAAATGACATCAATCAGAGATGCGGTCTCCCTGAGCCTATGGAAAGTGCACACAGAATGCTCAGGTTTGTTTCTCATCCAGTCTGAGCAGGTAACCAGGAGTCCGCCTCCACCTGCGGTGGCATTTTCAGTAGAAACTGCTGGCTCCCCAAAGAGCCCTGTGGGGGCATTCAATCCTCAAGCTCTCCTTGGGCACATATGTCTGCCTTGTAGTTCTCATTTCAAGGAGAATTTCTACTTTTTCCGTTAAGAAGGAAGTCACGCCTCAGTAGCTGGCTCTGGGGTTGGAACCTGTGTTATCTCGTTATATATGGCCCCATCTGTTGGGGCCGCCCAGAAAGACTCGCGTGCCCTTTCCCAGGTTCTATTTTCCTCTCCTCCCACGTCACATCCATTTGCCACACAATCAAATACAACAGCATCTGCTGTAACCTGTCCTGTCAAAGCAGGTGGAACTCATTGTCATCCCAAACCTTCTCCCAGCTGTGGGTTTGCCAAAGGCCCTGAGAAGGTCATGCTGTCACGATTCCAAATGTGGCAGTTGTGCCCGTGCATGGGGCTTCAGCTGCATCTGGTGCCCTGGGTACTATTGCGTGCAACACTGCAAAAGGATCTCAGCAAACTGGAATGTATCATGGGGTGCACAGAAGGTGGATGGCTTGGCCACTGTCTCATGATGAATTGTTAAGGGACTATGAATGCTCTGAGTACAGAAGAAGAGACTAGCATGTGGGGTTGATGCAGAACTGGTGCTGGGACCCTGTCCTTTGTTAACAGTGTCCAGGCAGAGGAGGATTGGCTGGTAGGTAGCAGGTGAGCAGGTGGATGTGCCAGACCTTGCATCTCAGGCTGTGCATGGCTCTGTCCCTCTGAGTGCTGAAGCCTTGGCTGGCATGAGCCTGCAGTGCAGCTGCTGTTTTGGTATTAGACTCTCTGTCCCTGCTGTCCACTGTCCTGCCTGGCCAGTCCTCTACCACTTTCTCCCTAGCCCAGTCCCTCTGCTTGGCTCCCCTTAGCAGTCTTCCCTTCCTCCTTTTTCGTTTGTCCTTAAATCACTATTTTTCTCAATAACTTTCTTTCTTTTGTATTCCACCCCACCCCTTTTCACAGTTCTCAGCTTTCCTGGTTTGGATGCTCTGTGGATGACTGTTACGATCCACTCAGTGGTTCCTCACTTCAGCAGTGATGCTGAGTGCTTTCTATGTGTTGAATAAATACACATGCAAACAGTACTACCTTGTGAGGGTGAAAGCTGGTGTTGTTAGAGAAAATAACAAGAAGGACCCACCTGAGGTTGCATAGTCAGGGACTGCTCCTCTGAAAAAGCAATGTTTAGAATTGAGACCTGAACAATGAGTCATTCAGGTGAGCTCAGGGGCCAGAGTGATGCAGGTAACAGAATAGGATGTGCACAGGCCCCGAGGCAGAAAAGAGCTGGGAGGGTTCCAGAAACTGAAAGAAACTCCCTCCCACCTTTTTTTTAAATCAGGATAAATGCATGACAAGACCCAGGACGCTTCCTGCCGATGGCCTTTAACCTTGCTATTCCCACTGCCTGGGAAGCTCTTGTGCCATATGGTCACATGGCTGGTTTCTTCCTTTTGTTCATATCTCTGCTTAGGTGTCACCTCCACCAAGAGGCCTACTTTGATCACTCATGCACACTCACTATCCCTTACCCAACTATGTGTGTGTGTATATTTTGTGGTGCCTACTAGTAAATGAAGTTGTTATTTATTTGATTACCTCTTGATAGAAGATATTCCACTATCAGAATGGACACCCCACAAATACAAATCCTGTACTAATAGGCTGTCATATTCCCAGCACCTGGCAAACAACAGGCACTTAAGAAATGTTTTGTGAATTAATGGATGATGAATGATAGGATGGAAAAGCAAAACATTGGTAAGGAAATGTAGCTTCATTATGACCAAGCACTCATAGAAAAAATGCTAAAAGGGAAGAGGGAAGATGTGTTAGAGATTCCTGCCAGGATGTTATTAAAGAGGTAGAAAAAATGTGTAATGAGCATATTTATTATGTGAACGTAAAGGCCAGTACTTAAGCTCCTTGCTCTTAAGTAGGCTAACATTTCTCCTGTTTGCATTATGAATTTTCTTAGCAACTCCCGTTGCCTTTATGATAAATAAATACAGACACATTTTTAAAAGCCGTTGTTAATAATTAAGGGACTGCCAAGCCCCCAGTGAGTTCACTGCTTGTCACTGGTTATAGCAAATGCTCTATAGTGAGTAACTCTCACCTACAATCGTGGACACCCTTTGGTGACCATGCCCTTTCAAAGGTTCATATCTGGTTGTTTAATGTTTGCACCGTTGGGAGGGGATGAAAAGGACAGCTGTCCTGCATTAGGTTGTTCATCGTTCTTTGTTGAGCCTTTAAGCTACAAGCACTCATGATTCCCTTTTGCTTTTCCTAGCATGATATTCCAGTTGCCATTTAGAAAACATAGTTCAGTTGTCAAATCCCAACATAAGGCAGAACAAAGTAAAAATATTTAAGCACCCAGAGAACAAAACAGGTTTGGAAGGTTGAATGGCTTGTTGGATGGATACTTAGATGTTGAGAGTGATGAAGAGACAGGAAGTGAGATGATACTAGATTTAGGGCTTAAGTGACTGGGTGGAAGTTTGCATCAGTCAGAGCTCAATCAGAGAAGCAGAGCATGAGGCAATATCTATCTGTCTATCATTTATCTACTCATCTAATCTTGTATCTGTCTGTCATCTAAGTATCTATCGCCTCTCTAATCTATCATCTGTCTATCTAATCTATCATCTGTCTATCTAATCTATATCTGTCTACATATAGATAAACACACAGACGTAGATATAAGCAGGGATTTATTATAGGGGTTTGAACTCATGCACTGCAGGAACTGGGTCAGCAGTTTATTAACAGCTGGTACTTTTGTGTCCACAGAGCAGGCAGCCAGGAAAGGAAGATGGATATGATGTGGGGAAGCAGGTCAAAAGGGGACCTGCAAGGATGAGCCAGGACTCTCGAGGTAGGACTAGAACTCGTGTTGATGTTTTCACCACCTTTAAGCTTTCATTGCAGGAGAAGCTTGTTTCCTCCATCACACAGCCTAGGGTGCTCCTGTCCCAGCCGAAGGGCGAAAGCCAGAAGGAGCTGGAGAGGCAGCCCACCTGGCTGCTGCCTCACATGGGTGAGGTGGGCAGACAGAGAGACAGCAACAGCACCTGCTGTCTTGCAGAGGCTCTCTGAGAGTGAAAGGAAAATGGTCTCTGCTTCACTTCTGCCTTTCAAGTCTCCTGTAAATGCCTCTCGTGGTCCATGCTAACACAAAACTATGCAGTGAAGGGAATCATTGGAAGCATAGTTCCAACCCAGGTAGGCCAAGAAATCCCTAGCAATGGGATTGGCAAATCCCCAAGCAATGCAGGGGAAGTCTTGGCTGTGGAAGGGATGACTCAGGAAATATAATCATTCAAAAGATGAGCAGAGGATAAAAACCTGCTGTGGAGAATAAGGAGAAATCAGAGAAGTAGGGGAGAACCTGGAGGGCTGGGGTGGAGTTTCTGGTAGAAATGTTTGTGAGAATATCAGTCCTTAAATAATGACAATGAGGATGATAATAGTGATAGCCAGGCATGATATTGAATGTAATGACTTGTGTCTATGGCACTGATCAATCAGAGTGGATGCTGGCTTGTAAGGGGTTCTGGGGTCCCAAGAAAGAGGCCCTCACACCACCATAGTGATGGTGATATTAGTGGTGGTGGTGGACATTGGGCGGGCAGGGGCTAGAGAGAGCAGCTATTTACCATCCAGGAGGACAGCCATTTTGACAACTACTATGTCAGTCTGGGTGCAAACTAGCTGAATATCAGCCCCGTTGATAGCTAACATTAGTTTCTTGCCTAGTACATTCCAGATGCCCAGCTAAGCTCCTTGAGTCTGTATGATGGTGGCGTTGCCTCTGGGTGCTTTGCCCCGCCCTGACTGGCTCTGGGAAGAATCAGGATCTTAGATCCTGGAAAAGCAAATTGCCAGGCCCATCATCAGCAAACATCTGCTGCCATGGTACGCACCACTTTAGCAGGAGGATATATTTTGGGAGGCTTTGCAGGCCCGGCTCCATGCGGGGGAGAACATTTGAACACGCAGCAGCTGTTAATGAGCACCATGCTGCTAATTAGGACAGTCTGAGAGGAGCAGCTGCCCGCACAGTGGTGGTTTGGAATGACAAAGGCAGCAATATCTAACTGTTGGAGTCCAGGGGGATGTCTCTGTGGGATAAGCTCTGAGCTCATAGGATCCACGTGGACTCGTGGAGCATTAAACTTGGAAGTTCTTTGCTTGCCTGACCTGATGTGGTTGTCTAACCACATCAAACACACCAGATTTCCAAGGTGCCATTTTGATTGGCAGTTTGTGGATACAGCTTTGGGTAGAATGCCCAAGTGGACTGCATCCTCGGACGTCACCTGGAGCTCACTCCCTTTGACCTCATTCTGTCAGCTGCAGCACAGGGAGGATTGTTTAACCTCTGCTTTCTGATGAGTCGAGATTTGTCCTGCTGCCTTTCCACTTCTCAGAGAGAAACACTTTGAAGAGGTGCCAACATATCTTAATATTATCTTAAGTGATCTGGGGGTTTGTGTTAATAATATCACCAAATTGACCATGGGACATATCCAAGATCATTCCATTCCCAAATCGTCTGTTGTCGTTTGGCTTGGCATTTGTTGAGGCCAAGGTGAACAGGTTCAATTCCCAGGTGAGGCAGGCAGCCTCACTCTGGCCACAGATGTTTCTGTAACCCGGGCCACTGGGCCATCCACAGTGTGTGCCTCTGATGGTGGTGGGATTATGGGAGAGGGAGGGTGTGGGTGGTTCACCGACTCTTTCACCTTAGCCACTGGGGGCAGCACAAAAGCCCGTGCTTTATGAAGAGGGGTCAGTCAATGTCGTTTTGATTTACAGGGTATGTCATTTGACTATACATTTTTAGTCTGCATGTTCCTCCCTTGGGCATTTTTCCCACAAAAAGAATGAAATCAGCAAATGGTGGCAAACTGGATTTAGAGTTGTGGCTTTCAAGAGGTTTACTTGTCACTCCAAAGAGCTGATTTTACAATATGGGTTTCTTGCCAATAAGTAGCAGAGTCTTCTTAGTCATGTGGTGTGAAACACCAGGCTCTGGAGCTGGAACTTGGAAGGGAATTCCAGGCAGGGGCAACGGCACAAGCTAAGGGGTGAGAAAAGTGAAGTGGATTAGTTTGGGGAGGAGTGGCTGGGCCAGCCGCAGGCAGGTAGTATGAGCAAAGCTCTCATTTTTATTTTAACAGCTCCCAAGGAAAGATTGCTACTGTTTCAAATGCCTGAAACTGTAAACTGTGGATTTATATTGTCAGTCAATAATGGGGCTCAGACAAGGAAAAGAAGAAGAAAAATTTAATCCATTTTACATTCAGTTATATCTGGTTACTAATAATAATTACACATTTTCAACGATTACAACCTCCTACACCAGTTATGTTTTATGACTTCCCGTGATTATCTAAAACATGTTTCACAATTCTTGATGTTCGTGTAAGAACACTAAAGGTTTACATTTCAGATGGGTAAAAAACAAGCCTGTCAAAGCAGTTTGACAGGAAGACAGCCCTTATCTCTTTCTATGAAGTGGCAACTGAGAAATTTGTCACCTAAGAAGAGCATAATCATGTTTAGTTTTACTGAGACCTTATCTCAATCTGACTTGCAAGCATATAGATTCTTTAACTACCTAGATTGTAAACAATTTTTATCCTCCAGCTTCTCTCATTAGGCAAGAAAAGCATTTTACAGCGTAATGCCTGAATAAACAAAAGCACTTTTAGGTCCAAGTGATTTTCTTCCATTTGTCTTTAATTAAAGCTGATTTGCTTCTTAAAAGGTGATTCATTTCTCATATATATACACACATATATATATACACATATATATACATATATATACACATATATATACACACACATATATACACACACACACACACACACACACACACACACACATATATATATATATATATATGTATCTTTTTTTTTTTTTTTTACCTCAAAGAGGGGATCTATATGATTCTGGTTTTATGGAGGCTGGTATGCTTCCCCGAGACTCAAATGTGAGATGGCTTTTTACAGCCCCTGGGGTAAGCCACAACCCCCGACTTGCCTACAGCGTGCCTGGTTTTGCCTCTTGCTGCTCCACCGCCCCCAGCCTCATCCTGTGCCTCTTTCACTCCAGCACTGTTGACCTTGCCCTTGTTTCGAGTGCCATTCTCCTTTCCACTACTGAACTTGTATGCACAGTTTCCTCTGCCTGTAACATTCTTTTGTGTTACCTTCCTTCACTAACTAGTAGTCAACTTTTTTCTCTTATTTTATCTTCTTTTTTCGGTTTTTTTTTTTTTTTTTTTTGAGACAGGGTCTCTCTCTGTCACCCAGGCTGGAGTGCAGTGTTGCCATCATAGCTTACTGTAGCCTCAACCTCCTTGGATCAAGGGATCCTCCTGCCTCAGTCTCCTGAGTAGTTGGGACCACAGGTGCCAATACACCCAGCTAAGTTTTTAAATTTTTTGTAGACATGGAGTCTCACTGTCTTGCCCAGGCTGGTCTCAAACTCTTCGATCCTCCTGCCTCAGCCTCCCCAGGTGCTGGAATTACAGATGTGAGTCACCACATTAGCCCTAGTCAACTTTTGTCTCAGATGTAATATTACTTCCTTGGGGAACTTACTCTGACCCCTGCCCACCTCTTGCCCTGCCCCATACACTCCAGAAGCCTCCAATTGCAGCATTTTGCTCACTTGTAACCACCTAATTGTTGACATTAATTTATTTAGCATCTGCCCTCTCTGCTAGACTGTAAGGTCCTTGGGGACAAGAACACAGCTGTTAGGTCACCACTGCACCCCCACTGTGCTTGGATGTGCTGGTGCACAGTTAATATGTGTTGGCTCCTTCACATAAAATAAGTGTTTATTAAATCAGTTAAATGCATTAAAGTATTATAAAAGAATACACACTTTTAAATATTAACACTGTATACTTTAAAAATATTTAGAAACCAATATTTGATTCAATAAAGTCTACACATATTTCAGTTCCCTTTTCATTAGTCCTTAGCTGCTCCTCATCATGAGAATGTTGCTGATGTATCCTGGACTCCTTCTCCTAAGGGCAGAAGCACCTCGGAATGGCGTTTGCTCTGTGACTTCAGCTCAATGATTTCAAGATAGTTTGGCAGTGGATGTTCTTCTATCTTAGGGCTGTGGTGGCATTTTTTTTTTTTTTTTTTTTTTTGCCTGAGTCATGAGGGGTTTATTTATCTGCTCGTGGATTCAAATCAGAGAAATGACCTCAGTTACCTTCCTAGCTTCCAGCTAGGAATACGTCCAACATGGAATGAATGACACCTGCAAAACAGTCTTCCTTAAATCACAAGGAATAAATTTTTTCTTGTAGTCTCACAGAAGCACAGTGAAATGATTTCTCCCTTATTCTACCTTCACTAGGTGTTGCATGCCACAATGCCCCAGTAATCTGTGATTTTTATGAAGTAAGATCAAGCTACTACCCTCAAAGAACTTATCATCTAGTCAGGCTTGAAAAGGTAAGAAGCAACTCAAGGCAGGATATGCTCAGAGATGTGTGAATTTCACAGGCAGTAAGTTCTGGAATTCAGGGGTTAGGGTGGCTTATATACAGCTTATGTTGCCCTCTGTTGGAGGAGAGGACTTTGAAGCTCTTACACCAATTTTCATATAACTAGTTCTCATTTCATTCATGTCTCTGATCTGAACCCCTCCTCAAAGAAGCCTTTCATGACCACTCTACTCTGCCTAAAACACACTCATGCACACACACGTGTATGCACACACACACAGACACACACATAGAGACACAGACAAACACACACACATACACACTGTGCCATTATTTATCCCTTTCCCCCGCTTTATTTTCTATCTTCTCCAGGAGAATGTGAGTTCCCAGGGCAGAAAGACTTTGTCTTAATCATCACTGGGTTCCTGGCACCTAGAGGAGTGCCTAGCATATAGCAGGCACTCATTCACATCTGTTGAATGCATGGATGGGGTGGGAGTGGTGAATGAATACACAGGGAAAATAGAAATCCGGATGGAAGAAATGGCATGAGCAAAGGAACGCAGACTGGTTTAAAGTAGGCTACTTTGACAAGAGTGGGTTGCTCATTTGAGTGAACAGTGGGATAGTGGAAGGTTGGTTTATGAGGTAGGATGAGGCTGGCCCTAGAAGCCTTTGAATGGCAAGCTATGGTTGAGAGATATGTGCATTGGGCCCCAGCCTAGGTACAGACAGGGCAATAAGAGTGAAGAGGTGGGGAACGTTATGGAGAGTCCATCGGTAGGATTTGGCAAGTAACCAGATATGAGGGAAAGGGAGAGTCCAAAGAGGTTGTGTAATAGCTGTCGAACCTCCCAGAATGTTGGTGCTTCTGATAATATTAGTGAAGTCAGAAGTAGAATCTGGTTTTGCAGACAAGTTGGTGAACTCAGTTTGAGCTAGGCAGAGGCTATGGAAATGGCAGGACATCCAGCAGAGATGACCTGCAGCCATAGTGCTGTCAGAGGCATGCTCCCAGGAGAGCTCAGGTCCTGTTTCCTGATGCTCCAGTGGCTATCCCTGGTTTCTACTACATTCTCCCAATAGTCTCCATCACTATAGCATCCAGTGGTTCACCTGTGCATCTCCTTTGATCCAACTAGATTTTGTTAAATCCCTCTTGCTCAGTCCCTGTGCAACCCTTTGTCCATTCTGATGAGGCTCATATCATGCCTGAGACCTGATGGCTAGGCATAGCAAGCCTTGACCCAATCCATGTCATTAATCCCAGTTGTGATCAGCTGTTTACCTCCCAGATCTTCCTCTGTTGCCCAAAGGGCCAACCCTCCAGAGAAAGAGATGTTTTCTTTCTTGATAAAGGCCAATACTTATTTAGACTGATGAACACTTTATTTTGAGAACCAAATCAAAAGTACAAGTTGTCTTTGGACCCCCTACATCTATGCCTACAATTTTCTACCTCCAGGCCTATGTCCTGTTCTGGCTACCCTCTCCCACCCTCTATTGGAAGCCCACCCAGATCTGCCCTTCCCAGTAGGGTCCCCTTTCTTCCTCTAGTGGTCTAGTAGGCTAGGATGATTTTCAGAGGCCAACAGACTTTGAATTCTATCTAGGGTCTATTGCTATCTGCTAAGTGACTTTGGACAATTTACTAAATCTCTATGACCCTAATTTTCTCATCTGCCAAATGCAGAAAATGCCATCTCACTGGCTTGGTGTGGGCATCAACCAAGTCTTGTTCAGTCTTCCTCACTGCGGAGTACTGACTGCAGTGCCGGACATATCTAGGAGCATTCCACAAAAGCTAGTTTCTCTTGTGTGTGTCCTTTTTTGGGGAAAGGATTTGGTTGAGTATGGTCTAATTCATGCTAAGCTGTTAATAGCTGACACCTTGGAGCTGGACATCCCTTTACCCTAAGGAAGAGAGAAGCAATGGTGAGATTTTTAGGTACAAAAAAGAGTGTCTCTAAAATTTCAGCACAGGGAAAGGGAGAGCCCAGAGAGGTTGTCTAATCTAATGGTTGTTGAACTTCCCAGAATGTTGCTGCTTTAGCACACTTGTTGATGCACCAGCACACTTGGCCATAAGGACACTTTTTTATCTTCTCCTTTTTAGCACATGGGCGGACACATCCTCTTTTTCTTCGAACAAAGCCGTAAATGACCTGAAGTAGTATTTCTGAAAGCATGCTCCTCTGTTTACCTGAGGTGCTTGTTAAAAGTTCAGATCGTCAAGCTTCATTCTTAACCCCCTGAACCTGTCTCTTTCTGCTGGTGGGATTTGGGGATCTGCTCTATAAACAGTCTCCCCAGTGATCCATTTATACCTGAGTGACTCAGAACCACTGGGCTGGAGCCAGAAAGGGGAGAGTTTTACTGAGGTTCCAGAGTAAATCAAGAAAATCAGTAAATGTAAAATGGGTAAAATTACAAAGTTCGGGCTCTGGATGCAGCAAGATCCTGAACAGAGACACCTAAATGTCCAGCTGAGGTCTGGCTGCCTTGGAAGACCTTCCAGGACTGATGGAACCTTACATTCTCTCAAATTCTTCAGCTTTCTTTCATCTCAGGCCTTGATTTCAGGCATTCCTGTGACTCTGGTTGGACCTGACCCTTGGGTCCTGTCCAGGTTGGATACCCTTGCTGGAAGCAGGAACTTCCCTGCCTGGCCATCAGAGAAACAGCCTAACTCGTTGTCTCAAAAGGCTGCTCCAGGACCTCCACCCTTATTCCTCTTTCCATCTTGTAAGCACTCTCCACCTCTTTCCTTTCCCTTCATTTTCCATCTAGGTCACACATATGTCAGCGTGTGTACGCACACATACACACACGCACATGCACACATGCTGACCCCATCTTACGTGGAATCAAAGCCTGAATAATTCAATGAAACAAATGCCTGGCACACAGTAGGTGCCTAGTAAATGCTAATTCTCTTTCCCTGACTCCTTTCTATTGTCCTCTTGCTCCATTTAAATGCAAAACTGTCTGGAGAAAATGGGAGGGAGTGAGAGAAGGTATACATTATGACTAAATTCCAAAATCTGATCAGTGTGTGGGGCTGGCTGCTGGGTTTTCATGCCTGCATACCAATGAAGCTGTGTCTGGAGCAGAATAGTTTGTGCCCATAAACCGTGACCTTCATTATCCATGGAGACGGGCAGCAGCGGCAGTCTCTGTAGAAATCTTTCCTATCCTGATTGTGGGGATGGCAGAAGCAACAAGACTATGCCATTTGTTTCAGCAGAGCTAACAAATTCTTTCTATAGCGCTGTGCAAAGTACTCTCTTCCCCTGTTCTTTCTGGCTGGGATGGGCTTTTTTTTTCCAATTAAAAATTAAAATAGAGGCTGAATTATATTCGTTTCTTGGGTCTGCAATTCATGCTCCATTTCTCATAAGCAGTCTGCATTATCGTGAAGCTCATCTACTTATACTGGTTCTTGGAAAGAGCCACTTAAATCTCTGCTTGGTTAAAAATAGTTCCCTCGTGCCAGAGTGCCAGAGAATCAAGTAACAGAGTGAGATGAGGCCATGCAGCCCCATCCCCTTCCTGGGAGAGACTGCCCCCCAATGCCACCAACTTGCCTCTTCCTGGGCAGCTTCAGGTCAGGAGCCACAGGTCGACTTGCCTCTTCCTGGGCAGCTTCAGAGTCAGGAGCCACAGGGAGGCAGCTTTCACTCTTAGAAAGTGCTTCTTCCTGAGTAGCCACAGTTTGCATTCCTGCTTCTTAGCTCTGCCCTTTGGGCCACACAAATCAAATCTTTTACAAGACAGTTCTTAGGATACATGAAGACGGTTCTCTTGCCCTCTTGTATGGGTTGAATTGCGTTATCCAAAAAGGTATGTCGAAGTCCTAACCCCCAGTACCTCAGAATATGACTTCACTTGGAAATAGGGTCTCTGCAGATACACTTAGTTAAAATGAAGCCACACTGGCATAGGGTGGGCCTTTAATCAAGTATCACTGGTATCCTTATCAGAAGATACACAACGGGACAACACCGTGTGAAGATGGAGGCAGAGACTGGAGTGATGCTGCCAGAAGCTATGGAATGCTGGGGGCTACCAGAAGCAGGAAAGGACAAGGAGGGATCATGGCCCTGTGAACATCCTGATTTTGGATTTCTGACCTCCAGAGGGGGGAGAGCATACATTTCAGTTGTTTTAAGACATCTAGTCTGAGCAAACTAATACATTCCCTGGGGCTTCCCTGGGCTGAACACCTCCAGTTTTTTCAACTCTTTCTCATATAATATGGCCTCTATCCTTTTCTTTCCTTGATTTCCCTTCTTTGAGCATATTTCAAGTACCAAGCAAATCACTCTAGAAGGGGTCTGAGCTTCATGCCTTGTACTGGGCTATCACTTCTCTCATTTCTGGATTCCTTACCTCAGAGCACAGCCACTTTCTTGACAACTTCTTCATACCTCAAATTCCTTCTGAGTTTATGGTCAGCTAAGACCCATGATTCTTTTCCAAGAGTACTGCTGCTAAATCACATCTCTCAATTGGTATGACAGCTCTGTTATAATCTCTCATCATATTGATTATTGCTCTGGCCTCTTCAGATATTTTAAATCTTGAGTGGATTCACCAATGCATTAAAAATTTTTCCCCGCTGCATTGTTATATTTTTTATTTTTTTTCAGAAATCCCTTTATGTTCTCATTGAATTATTAATCATGGTAGGCTGAAGGCCAAGAACTCTAGCATATCATCAGAGATTTCTCTGTAGACTTGCTGTGAATCCATACATTTGTTCACTCCATAACTATTTACTGGCTGCCCGGTACCTGCCAGACATTATTGTAGGCACTGAGGATTGGTGATGAAAAAGACAAATCTTGGCCCTCATGGAGGTTAAGTTCTCATATTCTTCAACCTTTGGGATATATGTGACCATTAGTAGAATGTGTGGATACCCGGGTTTCTGCAGATACTTTATCTGTTTATAAATGCTAGTTTCGAACCTTCTGGGTCAGGGGCCTGGTAAAACACTATTCCTGAATGAAGGATTGAATGTAGGGTTGTTCTTTCCAGCAAGCAATACGGTTCTTCTTCTTCTTGCTTTCTCTGTGACCAAGTGTAAATCTAGAGGTTTCTGTCTCATGTTGCAACCTTTCTTTCCTTTTGACCTGCTGAAGGTCAGAGCAGCCTGGGATTTGGATGGGAGGAGCAGGAGGGGAGCTGCATTCCAAGCAGGCAAGTAGAGTTAAGAATTAGGAATGAGGTAAGTGCTTCTGACTTTGGATCCTGGGGGCATCAAGCAAGATCAGCCTGGAGTTTACACAATGGAGAAAATCAGAGTGGGGAGAGAGGGCAAACTGTGGTCAATGAAGAGTTGGAGGAAAGACTTGGAGGAGGTGAGACCTGTATTGCAATATTCACGCAGATGAATTTCTTTCCCTAACATCTGACCAGGTACAAAATGCTACACATTTTGGAAGGAACCTAGATGGATTTAGATGAATTCATGTGCCAGATGCCAATGACTGTAAGGCTTTAACAGCAGCTTTGCTGTATGGTGTCCAGCTCTCTAGTGGTCATAGCTGTTGTAGCCTCTGGCATTGATCTCTTTTCAATAGCGTCTGTGCTTCTTTTTACACGTCATTCTCCTTTCTCTTTCTTTTTCCAATTAACTAGATTATCTTTGCATTTCCCTATTCAAATTCGGAAAGGACAGTGTCTGACTTGCTTAAGAAAATCTAGTTAGGTGTCCATTAGATTAGGGTGGCTCTGGCACTTTAAATTCCTACATGAACAAATGAAAGCACAATGGAAACAGTAAATTGAAACTAGAAACTATGCTAATCAGAAACCACCACCTAACTTCTAGCCAATCAAAATTGCTTTTTTTGTCTTGCTTCTCCAATGCTTTATAAAAGTTTCCTCTTTTGCCCCTTCTGGCGGAATGCTAGCCCCTTGTGATCCAGTGTTACCCCAATTTATGAATCATTGAATGCTCAAATAAACTCTTTAAAGTTTAAATGTGTGATTTTTTTTTCCTTAAAAACAATCTGTCCTAGTGTTACCATCAATACTATTGGACCAAATTTTGTATAGTCAGATACTTCTTTGGTCTCTGGACAGCCTATGAATGAGCTGATCTTGGCTTATGTGCCTACTCTGCACCTGTTAGCTGCCATTCCTTGCTCATTTGCCAAGTCTGGATGGATGATTCTACTTCTTGAACACTTTTCCTCTTCATTCATTCTGTTTCCAGGTTTCACCTCTGTTTCACTATTGTAACAGTAAATTTACCATACTCTGTTTCACCATGAGAACAGTCAAAGATATCTTTCAGCCTTGGTCTTGCTTCATTTGTCATAGATCATGTCACCATAACCTTTCTAAGATACACATATGATGATATCACATCCCTGCCTAAAACCTTTCAAAAACTCGCCATCATTTTTTAAGTAGAATGTCAAACCTCCTTTGCTTACCAATGTCATCTCCCATTACTATCGCTCCAGCATTCATCTCTTGGCTCTTCATTTGCTCTTTATATTCAATCAAGGTGTAGCATATTATTTTGTTTTTCAAGTCTTTGTAATGTTTTCTCCCTCTTTGAGTGCTGGGGAAACTCTTATTTATGTTCAAAACACATCATAGGCATCACCTTCTGTGGGAAGCCTACTTTGGTAACCACCTCTGCTTCTGCCTCAGAGCTAATCACTTTCTCCTCTGTGCATTGTACATGATTCTATTGTTGTACTTATCATGCTGTATTAGAATTTCTTTATAAACACTTCTTTTTCTCCTCCTAATTAGCATGCATCCTAAGAACAGGAGCTATTTGTTATGCATATTTGCATCTCCAGCATTTACCACCAGTGCCTCAACAAATGTTTGTTGAATAAAGGAACGAATGAGAAAATGATTGAGAAGAACATAAATTAACCTATTTTATACCAGGCACTGTGCTAAGTGCTTTACATGGACTATCTCATTTAGTCCTCACAACTGGAAGATAGGAAGGGGAGGACCTTGGGGAGATCAAGGACCTTTCCCAAGGTCATGCAGCTAATAAAATGAGCACAGGTTTGTCTGAATGCTGTTTCACTGCATTAGTAGAGGGAGAGAGCTCAATAGAGACAGACTCTAGCTAAATTAAATAAATCATTTTTAGATTTTTAAATTTTGTTTTTATGATTGGAACTATCCAAAGTGGAAATGACTACCTCCAGAGTTCCTATGTCAACAGAACATAGGAACAGCTGACTTACAGGAGGTAAGTTCCAGGGAGATGATGAAGTATAATTTTCAAAAGGTTAAAAAATTTCATTTTGATACCAATACAAAATGAGTGTATGTGAAAGAGTTTATTCCAGTCATTAATTAATGAGGGAACTAGTAAGATGTTAGAACTGGCTCAAATAGTGTTTAAGAAGCCAGGTATTTATAAAAAATGCTAGTAGAAGATTGCTGGGTTAGATCCAAAATGGATTAATGGCCAACAGGCCCATAATGTAATTTTAGGCATTATCATTTTCAGTGGATAGAAATTATCTGTATCTCTAGTGGACAAAATCAACAGTAGGTACCTTTGTTAAATCTGAGATTTTAAATCAATAGTAAATTATGAGTTGAACCAAATACTATCCACTAGACATTCCTCGTGTGCCCTTCACCCCACTATGGCATTGAAAGGATGTGCCATACACCCTTTTGCCATACTTTTTCTGATAGAGCTGTACTGCTTACCTCAGCCCCAGGGGCTTCCCTAGGACATGCTGCTTCAGAGCCTGGCTGGAGGGTAGGGTCAGTGTGCAGAAATAATCCAGTGTCTTTTCTTATCACAAGGCAGGAATCTGCCCTCCCATCCCCGTGGGGAGCTAAAGGGAAGGAGAGGAGGCCTCAGCCAGAGGGCTCCATGTACTACCAGCTGGGGTTGCAGCAACTAATCCTGTAGCTCTGCTGGTAGGAGACCAGCTTTATAGCCTTACCAGTTTTCTGGGTTTTTTTTTGTTGTTTTGTTTTTAACTTTTAGTGTGACAATTTTCAAACATAAAAAAAGTAGAAAGTTTGATCTGTTCCCCAGCTCCCTCACTTTTTGGCTAGAACACATTGGCGAATCCCAAACATCATGTCATTTCACTCCTAAATTACTTTAGTTTGTACCCCCTGTCATAAACAGAAAGGGAGAGAGAGAGAAACATTTTCTTATGTAACAATGTCATTATCACACTTAACAAAATTATCAATAATTTAAGTCATCTAATTCATAGTCAATATTCAAATTTCTGTATGTGTTTTTGTAGTCCTTACTTCTAATATTTATTGCACACATAATTGAGGTCAGGCTTGTTTTAGGTGCTGGGGCCATGGTGAGGAATGCTATGGACAGGACCCCTGCCCTGGTGGGGCTTATGTTCTCGTGGTTCATAAGCTATGAAGGCCAGTCCTTCCCACAGCCTGGGGGACAAGGCCATCTTGGAGCTGGGCTTGGCTCAGTGAAGCTGCTGGGTTCTGGGGTAACTCCCATGGTGGTTGAGTACTCCCAAGACTACTAAAACAGTCAGGCCCGGGTTGCTGCATCAGTTTAGATGGTAGGTATCTTTTACTGGCTTGTACTCCAGACCTCAGCAGGAGGTGGAGTAGGTGGTTGCAGAGGCCACAGGCTGAGGACAGCAGCGTTCCTTGAGGAAGAGGAAGGGATTGGGGTCCTAGGATAGTGCCCTCCTGCTTTGGGAAGTCCAGGAGAGGAGAAGGTCCACCAGAAGAGGAACAGAACCTGAGGGCACACATATAGTGTGTAGTGGGGGAGAGGGCAGAACAATATGGTGTGAATGGGATCAACTATGGTTTAACAGGTATAGGCCCTTACATTTTTCTCTTATAAGTCTCATCTCGACATGTTGGGTTTAGTGGTCCAGCCTGTGAAAATCACTCTGAATTTTGATCCTGTCTGCCCCCAGCTTCCAGTTTCCTGATATCTGTCTGTGTGATAATTATGGCTTCTGTGTCCTCATTCAAGTTGGAAATGAAAATATTGAAGAGGACAGATTAGAGAATAGAGCCTTGTGTCACTGCCTTTCTCTGGTTAATGGCAAATGTTTAATCCTAACATTGCAAACTGACAGCTATAGGTTGTATTTGGCCCACAGTTGTGGTGTGTGTGTGTGTGTGTGTGTGTGTGTGTGTGTGTGTGTGACACAGTGTTTGTTTTTCCATTGGTATGTGCTTGCAGCACTTTTAATTGGCAAATCTAGATTTCTACCTTCACTGGGGTCTGGCTCCAACTTGGCCAGGCCTCTTGTGGCCACAATAGGCTACACCTGGGTGATGGCTTCTTCCTGTAGCTGACCCTATCCCTTTCTGTTGGCCAGAGAACTCACCACCACTCATATGTAGGCATTTGAGTCCCCCTTCCCATACCCTCCTTTGCTCTATTAGATGATGCTTTTGGATTATGATTGATCTACCAACCATGGACCTGCCTCACTTGATCCTTCTCCAGCCTTCATCTCACCCACCACTCTGCAGGGCCCTGTGAGATACCTTATCAGGATCTTCTAGAAACTCAGATACATGCTCTCTACTTGATTTCCCTGCCTGCACATCTAATAACCCATGAAGAAAGGAAAATACTTGAGTTGACGTGGCCCATTCTTGGTAAACCTGTACTGTTTCCTAGCAGCCACTGCCTCATTTTTAAGTATTTAGGAATTGACCCCAAGTAGAAATAGAGGGTGAGCTGAAGTTTGGGGTTTGAGGTTGCAACAAACTACCCTCTCCAAGGAGGACCATACTATAGAAAAAAAGACAAGGGCTTCAAATTTAAAAAAAATAAACACAGAACAACCGAGAATTTGAGTTTGGTCCAGGCACTTATGAGTGCCATTGGGCAAGATGAGTGTCGTGTCTTTGTGCAAGACTTTCTCTCCAAGAGTTTCAGTCTCATCCACAAGTGGGAGCTGATTTGTAAAATGAGGCTTCAAGCTATGAAATGAACCAAATGCTTCTCAGTTGAAAATAGAGAGGGCTGGAGTGGGGCAGAGACCCTGGGGATGAAGCTAGACTATCTGGAAATCTCTGACCTGGACCATCTGGTTTGCAGGATTTCCTGATCACTGGCACTAAATAATGACATCTATGCCTCTACAGCTTCTAAGAACCAGAAGTTAACTCGGCCCTCATCCCTAAATCTCTCAGTGTACAGATGGGAAAACTGAGGCCCAGCGGAGGGGAAGAGACTTTTGAAAGATCGGAAGTCTGATCTTATTGGGGGCAGAATGGAGATTTTAACCCAGACTTCCTGACCGGGGGCTTCCAGTATAGAATAGCAGATTCTATTCGCTATGCCAGTGTATTTCCCACTTTTATGATCCTGACTCAGACTAAGAAATACATTGATAATCACTATCTAGAATGCAGCTACACACACACATATGGTATATTTGGATAAAAACATATTTGTAACAAAATAATCACAAAACAATACTTATTTATCCATATGCTAAACTCTGCATATTCTGTTCTAGTCTACCTTTCCCATTCCATCCCATCCCATCCCATCCCATCCCATGCCATTCTAATCTAGTTTGTTTAAAGATAAAAGTTCTGGTTGCCACCTGAATTTTTTTTCACTTTTGTCACTGTAAAGCAGGGTTGTCCAAATCCTGGGTGCCACCTGCTTTAGTAAATAAAGTTTTATTAGCACACAGCTATGCCTATCATTTACATATTGTCTAGGTGATATTGTTTGGCTCTGTCCCCACCCAAATCTCAACTTGAATTGTGTCTCCCAGAATTCCCACGTGTTGTGGGAGGGACCCAGTGGGAGGTAATAGAATCCTGGGGGCCAGTCTTTCCTGTGCTATTCTCCTGATAGTGCATAAATCTCATGAGATCTGATGGGTTTATCAGGGGTTCTGCTTTTGCTTCTTTCTCATTTTCTCTTGCTGCTGCCATGTAAGAAGTGCCTTTCACCTCCCGCCATGATTCTGAGGCCTCCCCAGCCATGTGGAACTGTAAGTCCAATTAAACCTCTTTTTCTTCCCAGTCTTGGGCATGTCTTTAACAGTAGTGTGAAAAGGGACTAATACGCCGTGGTTGCTTTTGAATTAGGACAGCAGAATTGAGTCATCGCAAGAGAGATGGTTGGTTCCACAGAGCCAAAAACATTTATTCTCTAGCCATTTACAGAAATAGTTCATAGACCTCCTGTAGTAGAAAGGCTTCTGGCCCCTGAGTCCACATGTGCCTTCAGAGATTTTAGCGAGAGAGGAGAGGGCAGAGTCAGAAACCCTGGGACTCTAGGTACCCTTTGCTGGCCTTTCATACCCTGGAGGCTTTCTGAGTGCTCTTGGCTTCTGCAGCTCCAGTTTTGGGCTCATGGACCACTGGGCAAGGGCCACAAAATGTGGCTTCTGAATTAGCTCCAAGGGGTGGATGGAAGGTGGAAGGGACAGGACCACACCTGGTTTCCAGGCCAAAATCTTGCAGCTGAGGCCCACAGAGAAGCCTATTCACCAGTCACTGGTTGGCAGTTCTTACTTTAGGCTCTTCTGCCACAACAGTTCTCAGTGAAAATGCTGTGGTTTTCAGTTCCATTGGCTCACACTTTGACAGGTGCTGGGTTGTTACCAAGTCTTTGAACAGCCAGTCCTCCTGGTCTGCTGTCTTATTAATGCATGACGAATGGGAGCTGCCATCTTGTATGCAATGCAGAGACCCAGAGTGCGTCCTGGGCACCATGGAGATACGATGACGCTTTTCTCAAATGAAACATGACAAGTAGCACCTCAGGAACTGGGGTTAAAATTGGTTAGTAAGACTAGCAAGACAGATTTTCTGTTGTTGTTAATTAGGAACAAATGTTCGTATGCCCCTGGTTTCACTCCTAGTGGTATTGAAATTGTTTTTGTGAGGTGACACAGTTGGTTCTGTATTTGAAGATCACATGTCTGTGCCGGATCCCTTATGGAAACAGATTCAGCTCAGTTCCTGCCTGCGTATCTCATACAAACAGATGATAGAGTTCACTGGCTTATATATTTTGTGTATACATCTATGTGCATGCATTTATCTATACAAAGTATAAGTCATGGATACAGGTCCATGTAAGTAATGACTACAGAAAGGAAATACATTTAGCCAATAATGAAGTATGCTTCTGTCACACTGCTCAGGCTTACTACTTGCTTATTTTTAATAATGATGATGATGATGAGAAAAGAAAAATCGCTCAAAGCATTCTGAGCTATGCAAGGGTATGCAAAATTTATCAGGCCCAGAGAGACATGAGTATGGAGACTTCAGTCACACCCTACCTCCCCACAACTATGCCTGAGGGCAGTTGTTTAACAGCATTTTGTTCCTGCCTTACCCATTGTCTTCCTGTTCCTGGAATTTGTGGTACAAAGAACAATGTATAGCCAATCAATAGCTTGTGTTATTTTAATATAAATTCTTGGTAAACAACTTAGGAACTACCTTTTCTTTTTCTTTAAAAACCCACGTGTAACTTCTGCTAACGGGAGCTTATATTCAGGGCAACTTGTGAAACTGCCTTTGCAAAAATTATAACAGTGAGAAAAATCTAACCTAACTCAATGTTGCCTCTAACCTCACAAGCTAACTGGCTTTGTTAATTTTAAAACAAAGATGATAACAATCCCTTCCTGAAACTAACCCCCTCCTTGCTTAGGGACCAAAACTGCTGTTGTAAGACTAATGAAAGGCCACAAGATTAGGATTATAGAAGGGGCCTGAATTCTGCTAGGATGTAGGGGTAGTTAAATGATGACCAGCCATTGTTCCCTAGCTTGCCTTTCTATAATCATTTACTTCTGTGGAGGTCACAGGATTTATAACTTCCCCAGTTGTTCCTATAGATACGTTCACTATTGTCAAAACCTAAGATTGGTCTTGAGATATTTTTCAGACTTTTGCATTCTGGTGACCAATTGACTCCATTTGGACCCATGACTCATATCAAGGAACAGATTCCCAACCCTGAAACCCCCAACCCAGAAACTGACTCAGTGCATGAGGACCATTTTGGACACTCCTATGATTTCATTACTAGCCAGTCAGCAGTACCCATTCCCTAGCCCCCTGTCTGCCAAATTATCCTTAAAAACCCTAGCCTCCAAGCTTTCAGGGAGGCAGATTGTAAAAATGTCTAGCATCCTCCTGCTTGGCTGGCCCTGCAATAATTACACTCTTTCATTGCTGCAATACGAGCTGTTCTCAGTCTTTGGCTTTTCTGGGCAGTGGGCAAGATGCACCTGTTGGGCTGTTACACTTGGTTCTATGCTTCCTGGTTGCAGTCCTCAATCTTGGCCCAAATAAACTCTCTACCTATATTAAGTATGCCTCAACAAGTGTTTTTTCCTTTAGGTCAACAGTGACAATAATAATAGCAACCATTTGTTGAGTGCCTCCTATGTGCTAGGTACTATATTAGATGCTACATGTAAATTTATCTCATTTAATCTCCCCCGCAGCCCCTTCTAAGTAGATGTATTCGTTTGCATTTGTCTCAGAGCAGTGAGCAGAGTAGGGCTGTTCACAGTCACAAAGCCTCCAGCTTGCTGCTCTGGAGGTAGGTAACTGAGTATCCTGAGGAACCTCCTCTGCTCTACACAGTGAGGTTCTTTAGTGCCTTGGGAGGACTCAGCTGGGATTTGCTATTCAATTGACACCTACTTGACTCCATCACACACTGGCTACAAGTCATGTTTCTGCCCTCTGCCATAATTTCTCACTGAACTGTTGAGGGGCATGGGTAAGGCAACACAGTGGTTTTTGTATAGTCTATTCAGGGACTCTAAGGTTTCATAGGTGCTTCAGGATGGCTGTGAGGGGTGAGGGGTGCCACACAGAGGCCTCTCACCCAGCCTCATCCAAAACTATTCTGTCGTTCTCTATAAGATCTTCTCTATAAGATCTCAACAGCAAACAAGTTTTGTTCTCCCTAGCCACATACACATACACACACACATGCACACCCTTTTGGAAATGCTGCATGTAATGTGTTTGGAACATGTTAGAGATTTCATCAATGCATTTGACATATCTATTTTATTCCTACTGTGTGCCAAGGACTGTGTTAACAGCTAAGGACACAGTGGGAAACTGAAAAAACATGGTCTCCGTCCTCACCTAGTTTATATTTCAGTGGGAATGAATAATTCTAAAGTGTAGTAAAGATTAGGAAGAAAAACATAAAGTTCTGTCTAGGCACACACCAGGGCAATGTGCCCCAGCATTATCCCATAGAAATAGAACATGAGTCCTGGCTAACATGGTGAAACCCCGTCTCTACTAAAAATACAAAAAAATTAGCCAGGCATGGTGGTGGGTGCCTGTAGTCCCAGCTATTCGGGAGGCTGAGGCAGTAGAATGGTGTGAACCCAGGAGTAGGAGCTTGCAGTGAGCTGAGATCACGCCACTGCACCCCAGCCTGGGTGACAGAGTGAGACTCCATCTGAAAAAAAAAAAAAAAAAAAAAAAAAGGAAATGGACCATGAGGCCAGGTGCGGTGGCTCACACCTGTAATCCCAGCACTTTGGGAGGCCAAGGCAGCTGGATCACGAGGTCAAGAGATCAAGACCATCCTGGCCAACATGGTCAAACCCCATCTCTACTAAAAAAAAAATACAAAAAATTAGCTGGGCACGGTGGTGTGCTCCTGTAGTCCCAGCTACTCGGGAGGCTGAGGCAGGAGAATTGCTTGAACCTGGGAGGTGGAGGTTGCAGTGAGCCGAGATCGTGATACTGGACTCCAGCCTGGTGACAGAGTGAGACTCAGTCTCAAAAAAAAAAAAAAAAAAAAAAAGAAAGAAATAGAACATGAGCCACAGATGTGGGGAACCACATATGTCATTTAATAATTTCTGGTAGCCACACTAGCAAAAGTAAAAAAAAAAAAGTGAAATTAATTTTAATATATTTACCCAGTATATCTAAAATATCATTTCAACATGTAATCAGTATTAAAAATTATCAATGAGATATTGTGTATTATTACATTTTACTAAGTTTTCAAAAATCTAGGGTATACTTGACACTTACAGGGCATCTCAATTGGACTGGCCACCTTTCCAGTGCTCGGTAGCCACGTGGTAGTGGCTGTGGTATTTGATGATACATCTCCAGACTGAGGAGTTCAGAGAAGTCTCCCAGGGAAGGGGCATTTTAGCTGAGATCTAAAGTAAAGCTGAGTAAGGTTTGAGGAGGTAAAGGGGGCATACGGGGAGAGTGGTCCAGAGAGAGGGGACAGCATATGTGTAAAGGTCAGGGTACAGTTGAGGAACTGGAAGAGTCAGTGTGGCTGGATCTTAGTGAGTCAGGGCAGAGTATGCAAGATGAGGCTAACAGTGCCTTGAAGACTAAGTGAAAAAACATGGCTTTTAAATCTCAAAAACAATGGGAAGCCACTGAGAAATTTTACGATCAAACAAATTAACATTCAGTAAATGGGAATGAAGATCACTCGTGTTTTGGGGCCTCACAAAAACTGTCAACTTCTTTTCTCCAGATGGGAGACTGTGGCTTGCCTGCAGGCATGAGCTGCCCTGATTCAGAGAGCAGCTGAGAGTAGGGCCAGCCTCTCTGCATGGGTCTGCCATATCCTTCAAGAGCAGTTAACACATAGCCCACAGACAGGTGTGTCCCGAGACAGATGCTCCCTGGATGTGGGGTTACTTTGCTTCTCTCCTCTATGAGAAGAGGGCACAGCTGGGTTCTCAAAGGCATGTCCCCTTCCATGCTCCAATGACCACCCCAAGCAACCACCCCTGGAACTGCCCTGGGTTTGGAGGTGACAGGACAGTGTACTCTGCTGGGAGGGGTCCAGTCCATGATGTCTCACCAAAACTTTCTCATGTCACACAAGGCACAGGGTGCCACCTCCTCAGGAGTCCCACCTCCCATGGTTCTCTGGTCTCTTGCTTTCTGTTTGGGCATCTCCCTGCTCTATGCCATTGAGTCGTTGAATGAAGGTTTGGGAGGAAGGAAGGCCAGTAGAGCCCTCCCCAAGGCTCAGACCTCTCCCTTTCTCTTTGGGAGGCCTTCTTCAGAAAGTCCGCTCTTAAATCTGGGGGAGCAAACAGGGAGGGGTGTCACCTAAGGAAGGCCTTTGGCACAGGCTTTAAATGTCCAAAGGGAGGGTCAAGGCAGAACCAAGACCAAGGTGTGGGAGTTGCAGGCAGGTAGACTTGCTTTCATAAAGGAAAGTGCCATCCAATAATCGGAACTCTCAGATATGTAACTGATTGCCAGGCAGTGAGGAGAAGTCAACTAGATGAACAGAACCTCTGAGGAGACCTCAGAGACCTTCTGGAGCCGTGGCTCTAAAATTTCAGTCCTCAGGCTGGGGCTGATCCAAGGCCAATTTCTACTGGACCCCAGTAAAATAGAGAAAGTGGGAAAATTTTCCATAGAACTCATTTTCAATGCCGAGATTATCTTCCCTGTGTTTTTTCACATTTAGGTACAACTTGTTGTGTGAAATGATGGTACTAACAGATTATTACTTTTTTATTGCACCTTGGTTGCCAATATTATAAACTCTCCCAGAGAGTATTTTTGAAATTGTAATTGTCCATGAAATCCAAATGCCTGGGAATATTGATCTAATATAACTGTCCTGTTCCCAAAATCTAAACCATCAAAATCACCTTCACGCCACTCAACCAGCACCACACCCAATGGAAGCCCCAGACTTTTCACCACTTATGTGTTAGTCTTGAGCCTAAAACCTCAGCTGCATGTCTTACTAATGCATGGGATGTTGGGGATGTTGTCTGAAATTGCCAAGCTCTTATTCACAACTTGAGAAGGGCTTGGCCATTGACCATGCCAGAACATCAACAACAGAGACCTTTGGGGATTGATGGGCAACAAGCACTAGTTAGGCTTGAGGACTAGCAAATGGCCTGGCTGTGAGTCTGGTGCTGGTGGAGATAGTGGGTACTGTTTTGTCCAAGAGCCAAGGAGCTTGTCATACACAAGAGACACCCATGCCAGGGCCACTTGGTAGTGAGGTAGGATTGCCCAAGTGATAGATGATTTATGTAGTCATGCAGGGGGAGGGGCAGGAGTATTTCCAGTGTACATTTCAGCTGCAGGAGGCTCCCAGGAAGGAACAGGACATCTGGGAACCAAGAACAGCCCATGGGGAGGGGTGACAAGAAAGAGGCATACCAAGTGGAGTGGGGTTCAAGACAGAGAGTTCAGACCCAGGATAGAAATCAACTGCTGGGCAGGAAAACTGGACAGAAGAGGCCTAGATACATGGACTGAGCCACCCCATGGCAAGGAAGTGGGTTGGAAGCAAGAGCAGGTTGTGCTCAATTGGCACCTGGGAGTTGGAGTGTTGCTTCTTTGTCTATATGACCTTCTTGAGGCTCCCCAGTTGGTGAGGCTGAGATTGCTAATGTCTTCCTGCCCTGGTCAAGTTGGCTGCAGAACTGGGCTGGGAAGAATGTGCAGGGAAAGGCCTCAGCACCTGGAGCTTTGAGGTGAGAGAAAGACCAGGACTCATGCTATAGAAAAGCAGTCTCTTCAATATGTTCCATGCAACACCAGCAGGCAAGGGAGTTTGGTTAATTCTGCATACTCTATCCTCCTCTGGGAGACTTGTAGTGTACATGAATATATTCAAGGCTCTGAGGAGTTCTGTGGAACACAACTAACTTTGCTTAATCCAGCATTCCCAACATGATTAAAGCCTGGGACCCTGTGTTAACCACAAGCCTATTAACCTTCCTCAACACTAATGTTTGACAGGAGATCCTGTGGGAAATCCTGCTTGATTTGCCTTAGACTGAACCTTGAGGCCAACCAAATCCCTTGTGCCTTGAGGCTTTTGTGTGTGTGTGTGTTCATATGCATGCACATGCTACAGCAAGAGAGAGAGAGAGTCTTCAAAATTGACTGCGGAAATTGCATGATAATGCCACCACCTGCTGCCACCCGAACTGGTCACTTTAATGGGCTCTGACAAGAATACCAAATCTTCACTTTGATTTGGGTCCATTAATTTCATTCTTTGCAGAGGGTCTGGTTGACTCACTTTGACAACAGAAATATGAAAATTTCAACAGGACAGATGTCCATGACAATGCCTTGACTTCTCCCTCTCCTGCCCAGTGTCAAGGCAATTGTATTTCAATTTGTTTTTCCATGGTATTTATGACCAGCAGATGCCCTACGATGTGTCCAAGGCAGTTGGCAAGTGCTAAGAGAGAGAGAGCTGCACACAGGAGGGCTTTACTTGTTACAACAGAACACTGAAGCTGGTCTCAAGAAAGAGTATTAAACTTGCAAGGATGCCTGACCACCAGATGTGACCTGGTTGCCTTGAACTTCACCTTCTTGGAGGAGGCAGCTTCATCTAGTGGCCCGGAGTCTGTGTAGGCTGGAATTCGACTGTCTGTGTTTGAATTTTGCCTCCACCACTTACCAGCTGTTTGACCTTGGGCAAGTTGTTTAACCACTCTCTGTCCTAGTTCTCTAATCTTCAATAACATTTATCTCATAGCATAACAGTGCAGATTAAATATGTGTAAAGTTCTTAGAGCATAAATAATGGTACAATATATGCTAGTTAATATCATTGTATTAGTTCGTTTTCACACTGCTGTAAAGATTACCCAAGACTGGGTAATTTATAAAACAAAGGGAAGACGTTTAATTGACTCCCAGTTTTGCATGGCTGGAGAGGCCTCAGGAAACTTACAATCATGGCAGAGGGGAAAGCAGCCCATCTTACATGGCAGCAGGTAAGAGAGCATGTATGTGTCAGTACAGGAAAAACTACCATTTGTAAAACATCAGATCTTGTGAGAATTCACTCACTATCATGAGAACAGCATGGGGGAAGCCACCCCTGTAATCCAATCACTTCCCATCAGGTCTCTCTCTAAACATCTGGGGATCACAATTCAAGATGAGATTTGGGTGGAGACACAAAGCCTAACCCTATCAATGATTAGTATTGAAAGTTTCCTTCATCCTCCTGCCTAGTAATTACTAACCCTTTCCTTTGTTTGGCATTCAGAAGTAGGGAGGTGTTTCCCTTTTAAAGCTTGGCTCAGGTGTAGATATAAACTCCATTTTTCCTTTCAGAGAGTCTTGCCTAAGAAAGGGCAACAGGGAAATGAACACTAGGAATGCGAGAAGCATCATCACAATCCAAAGCATACAACACAACATTTACCCTCCTCCTCGAGATGTAATGTGAGGAATAAATAAGATAGGGTATGCATAGTACTTAGCACAGTGCATTTGCATAATAAAGTTTCATTAAATTTTTATCTATCAGTATGCTCTCAGTGTCTCCAGTGGTGTTAGAGTTGAGGGAGAAACTTACAGGTGTTACATGTGTTTTCTAATTTAATTCCCCTGTAATAAAGCATTCTGATGGAAGATGAGGGCTTAGGGTATAGTCAATATCCATCTTCTCACAAGGACCTTGTATTAGTCCATTTTCATGCTGCTGATAAAGGTATACCCAGGACTTGGCAATTTACAAAAGAAAGAGGTTTATTGGACTTACAGTTCCACGTGGCTGGGGAGGCCTCACAATCACAGCAGAAGGTAAAAGGCACATCTCACGTGGCAGCAGGCAAGAGAAGAGAGCTTGTGCAAGGAAACTCCCCTTTTTAAAACCATCAGATCTCATGAAACTTATTCTCTATCACAAGCGTAGCATGGGAAAGACCTTCCCTCATGATTCAATTACCTCCCACCAGGTTCCTCCCAGGACAGGTGGGAATTGTGGAAGTTATAATTCAAGATGAGATTTGGGTGAGGACACAGCCAAACCATATCAGACCTTTTTTTTTTTTTTTTTAAATATGTAAGGAGACTTTTGTCTTATAATTGAGAAAGTTGGAGAGTTTAGCTGAGGTCAGGGACCACGGGAAGAATGGAGACAAGGACAACAGATAATATGACTTTTGTTCTCTACCTAACCCTTTGGAGAGTGTCTGAGTCCCTAAGGTTAGGAAGGTGAAGGTTGGAAGCTGAAAGAACTGACCAAGTTTTAGGAGATAATTTGGTGAGCTATGGGCATAAGTAGAACTGCTTTGGAGTCTTGGGGGAAAGGCAAATACAGTTTTGTCATATTCCATTCTCTCCAACTCTGCGTGGAACTCAGCACTGTTCTGGCTCCCAGGAGTATTCTGGGTGCATTGGGAAATGACACCCTGGCCTGGTTAAGGCAGTTTCATAAAGTGCACCCTCAACATGGGCAAAACCAAGCCTCCTCTAAGCAGCTTTTCAGACCATGAGCTCAATCAGGGAAAGCAGGGCAGGAAAGGAAGAGCATGGTGGACACACTACATGGTAACAGTAGGGGATATATTTACAGGTCCACATGAGTCTGAGCTCTCCTAGAAGTACCAGGGGCACACCTGGAGGGCAGGATCTCTAGCAGAGGTGGCAAATCCACAGCATTCTTGCTGCCACTCTTATTCCCGTGTATTCAGTGCCAGGACAGACATCACTAATCTATTACTGCCGTCTTTCTGATGAACTCAGATGCAGCCTCAGAATCCTCAACTTAGTGTTCCAGGCAACCCCAACCAACTGATAAAAGCTGATGGAGAAGGTAAAAAGCTATGTAGTCTTTGACCTATCATATAAAATCAGTGATTTCAGACAGAGCCTTCAAGATCCTTCATGACTAGGATCCTGTCTGATAGCTAAGCTGAAGCCTGCCTGAATACTCTGTGACATTGTCCCACCTTATCCCTGCTTTTTCCTCCTCTCAGAAATGGACTTTGCCATCTTTTCAACTTATATATAGTGTATGGAAGTTTAAATTTTCCCCCTGAAGTTTTGACAATTTTAGTTTATAAAACACACTGATAATAGATAAATAGGAAAAAAGGCATACAAGTTTTGTTATGTGCACATTTGTGTGTGAGAGTCATACCAATATAAAGACTCAAAGAAATGGCCAAATGGTTGATGCTTTTATGCTATCTTGAGGTTACAGAAAGAATTGGGGATTGGAGCATGGCAAAAGAGATTGTAAGAGGGAGAGAAGAGGAGGCCTGGCTAGCAAAAGTGGTCTTGTTATACAGATGAAACCTCACAGGTAGCAGCCCTCAGAAGGAATGATGGTAGCCAGTGGTAGATGTTTCTGTCAGAGCTTTAAGGGTGTCAAAGTCTCAGTTAATCTTTCCTAGATTCAGATAAGGAAGAGTTTCAGAGAAAGCTTATTTGCATCTGTTGTTTACTTTATTTCCTTTAAAGATGCAAATCTCGCCCACGAAAGGCAGCTTTTTAGTTATTCTTGTGTTTGTAGCCCTTCTGAATAAGCCATCTTGAAATATGTCAAAGAAGTGTATTTTGGGGTAAAATATTTTAGTTTCTTCCGTTTAGCACCTCCTTTGAAACTTTACTTTCAGAAAGTTTCACATATTAAAAGCCAAGTTGATAGCTTTGAAGAAATTTGGGTTAGAATTTTTGAGATAAGAGATAGGCAAAGGGGAAGAAAAAATAGAGATTAGGATAAGCAGAGAAGACCAAATTTATGCGTATCATATCATATCTTCTTAAATCAGTCTCCTAGTCCTGAGAATAGGTCAGCTCAGTTGAACAGTTGCATCTTATTTCAGAATGTGGCATTGCAGATGGGCTTTCAGAGCCAGGCTTCTACATCTGAGGTAGACATGAAGATCTTTAAGAAAAGGCATTTGTGTGGAAACAGGAGAAAAACAAAGGTTAATGTTGGAAGTATTCTATAAACTAATTTTCCTAGATCTCTGAAGCATTGCAGATTGCAGTGGCAACCTGACAGATTTTCCTGGATTGTAGTTCTAATTGGGTGATCCAGTGAGTTCCCTGAGTAGTCCATACATCAACAAGCATGAAGGCTGTTTATATATAAGTTGCTGTAGTGGTTTAACTTAAAGTTTATATCAAGTTGTCTAGATTCAGTTAGCAGGGCTTCAAGAAAAGCACAGTTTTAATTTCTAGTGATTTTAAGTCAGAAGAGCAGGAGAAAGTTGGAAATGTTGGTTTGGAGACTTAAACCTAGGTACGAATTCAGGAGTCAGTCAAAATTGTAGCCAGATAACAAAAACTCAAAAACAATGGTTAGACTTGCAGTATAATAACATGTGTACTATAGTTTTCTTCTGAAACATAGCTTTTCTCTCTCCAGTCCCCCATTTCGACCAAGATGAATTATAGTAAAACTAATTTATTTGCAAAGTAAGTTTCAGGTTTATTATATTTGGCCTGATTATTTGGATAAAGTACAGCAAGAAAAGTGTTTGGCTATATAGGCTCTTTTGAGTTGGCTTTGCTAGAACATTCTTGCAAGAAAATCTGGATTAGACTTTTAAAAATTTCTTGAGGCTTAGGAGCCAAGACAAAAACTATCTGTAATACCAATATAAACTGGGTGAATTCTTCTTTTCTTGAGGTCCCTAAAATATCTTGAGGTTTCTGGGCCTGTCAGAAAGTGACATTCTTTACTTACTGAAAGGTCAGCAACCCTGGAAAGACTGTGTAGACATGGCATCAGGTTAGTTTGTCCATGGGGCTTTTATCAGCTCTATAAAAGTTAACTTCAATTCCTCAAAGCAGTCTGGTCATATATGAAAATATGATCTCACAATCAAAGCCTTGGTAAAATAGTCATTGTTTCCAACTGTGTCCTGTTACCAAAAAACCCAACAACAAAACAAAAAACCCAAAGCACAGATTCTTATTGAACTCATGCAAATAACTATATTGCCATAAAATAAGAGTACTCAGAATTCTTGAGAAACCAGGTAGAGAGAAAGGTAAATCCTTTAATTTTGCTCAGAAAAGTGTATTTTACCCAATTGCTGTAAAGCTATAGATAACTAAGAAGAAAAAAAAATTGATGCCGACAAACAACACATAAAAAGAGTCAGAAATGTTTCAAACAAAAAAGTCATAAAAATTATTTTAGTCCTCCATCAGTTTAGTCTCATGTAATTGATTTTTAATCTGTTTGTTGTTATGTTAGAAATTTTTTTAGTACAGTTATTTTTTTTTCCATTGAATGTTTTGGAATTATTACCCAGTCAAAGTCACCAGCAAAGGTCTATTTCAAGTGCCTGTCAGAATCTATTCAACCTTTCCAAGAACCTCCTTAAAGACATAACCTAGGATTATACTTGCTTGTAGTGATCTTTTAGAGGAAGCATCAGCATAAAACAATTTACTATGGACAAGATTTAAAATGGTCATAAAGACAGAATTAACAAAGAAATTTGGTTATTTTCTGTGGCCTATGACAATTTTACATAATAATAATATGTCTGATAACATGTATCAAGACACATCAGGTTTTTAGGAATCTCATACAATTTCAGAAGACATTAATAACACGTTTATACAAACATAACTAAAAAATAAACATTATTTCTATTTGACAATGATTTAACAAACCAAATAAACTTGATGCCTCTCTTGGACTTACAGGGGCCCTTTTTGGAAGATCAAGAAGGTAGTGCAAGGTCAAAAAGACTTAATCTTAGAATTTTGAGGTTAGATTTTGGGAAGCCTGTCAAATACCAAAAGTATAATACACTTAATCAAAATAAGATCACGGGTCACTGTAAAATAATATTTATTTAGCCAAAGTTATAATTAATGGATTCTAAAAAGCAAAGGTATCTTTAGTCTTCGATAGGAGACTTGCTTCTCCAATCAAAAGACTTAACAAAGATAGCACGATGTACAACCGCCCTCCCCACTTCTTTTTTTCAGTTTACTCAAAAGGTAAACAAAAATCTTTTACCATATTTTATTAATACTACATGAAAATCTAGTTCAAAAGAGAAAACAAAGTTCTACATTTGCATCAGTGTATTATTAATACTAAAACTAATTTTAATAAAACCTTAAAAACAGATCAGTCTAATCTCTATCGGCTTTGACCACACAAAAGAGTTCCTAAGCCTTTTATAACCTCTTATAATTTTTCCCATTCTCTTTCTTTCTTCAACTTTCTATATTCATTCAGTTTTATCTATCATGCGTTTTTCCTTCACACTAAAAAAAATTTTAAATAACCTCTAAACTAGACAAAATTACTTTTCCTTGAAAAAAATACCACATTCTCATGTCTTCCTTGTAAACTTCTTCACCAAAAACACATCCTAGTTTCCTTTGTATATAGGATTCTTTCTCTTATATCTTGTAGCTGTAATTAAATATATTAACTACAATTTTAATTCTTAGTAACCCTAACTTTCAGTGAAAAACCTAGGAAGTAAGCAATTTTAATTGTTATGTATCAGATACAGAGCTCAGGACAGAAGACAGCTGTGAAGACAATGCCTGGAGGATCTGACCTCTCTCAGCCTGGCTGGGAGACAGAGCTAGGCCAGGAGAATGAGATGATATTAGGCCTGGCTCTGCCCTGCAGCTGGTGGCCCAGGCACTATGTACACACATATGTCCCCAGGCCTCACAATGACTACTTGTAGAGACCCTGGAATCTAACTGCTCAAAACCAAAGACATAAGCTAATGGACAAATTAAGCAATTATCAAAAGTATTACAGAAGCAATGGTTTTATTGCTTAATAAACAATTGAAACATCCTTAAAACATCTAGCAAAGACAGCATAAATCTGTCCAACCAATAGACCTAGGAAAAAATGATAGGTGACTTTGATAGGAGAATTGCTTTTCTGAACAATCAAAAGACCTGATAGAGAAAGCATGATGTACACTCTCACCCCCTCTTTTTTTTCAGTTTACTCAAACGAAAATCTCTTACTGTATCTTATTAATGTTACATGAAAATCTATATTGATACTACATGAAATACTATATTTTATTAGTACTACATGAAATGTTTGATTTGTAGTTAATACTGACAATTCTGAAGACATTCTTATTTTATTTTACCAACAATTTTACAGCTAACTTTACTTACCAAAAATTACTAAAGTCACATCAACTTGAAAAGCATATGGGCTTATTTATGTAATTTATGAATACTAAATTGTTTCCAAGTCATTTTGGTACCATGTAGACACTATATAAACACAGACATGAACACGTGTATACTTCAAATGATAGGCAAAATTTTTGTATAGTTTTGATTGAAAAATTTTAGTCATATGACAGGTAAAACTCATGAGTTTAAAAGGGTGGTTGGATTAAACTGTCAATCTGTAAATGGAACAGGTTAAAGTTTATCTGTCCCACGTGGCCAAAGCCTTTACGGAGTTTTAGAGAAAACAGGGTAGCAAATTTACACTTCAAAGCACAGAGAGCATAGGCTTTCTAAAGAAGGAGTTTGGTTATGTTAGAGGAAGATAAATAGATAACCAAGGTAACATAGCATTGTAGGGATTCACCACAGTATTTTATAAGCAGGCCAATTTCATTTAGATAGGTAGCTTCTAATTTAGTCTGTTTTCCAGGTGGAACACTGAGCTCAGGATGGAGCCCATTAACAAATACTGCCAACACAGCATTTGCAGTTTCCAGGGTCCAATGCTTATATATGTGAAAAGCAGACAAATCTCCATGAAAGGCAGCTTTTTAGCTATTCTGTGTTTCCAGCATTTCTGAATAACGCATCTTGAAATATGTCAAAGAAGTATATTTTGGGGTAAAGTATTTTAGCTTCCTTCAATAGTCTAAGTGTCCATCAATACCCCTTCTCTGTGATGTTTTCCTGGATCGTCCCAGGTACTTCCAATACCTTAGAAGATCTAAGATACTCCTCCACTCCTGGCAGATTTGTGCCTCAGAGTCCCTGAAACAGTGGAGCAGTTGTAGCTCATTGCTGTAAATGGAATGTGCATCCCCTTCAAATTCACATTGAAGCCCTAAGCCACCCTGTGACTGTATTGGAGACAGCACCTTGAAGGAGGTGATTAAAGTTAAATGAGGTTGTAAGGTGGGGCCTTGATGTAACAGAACTGATGTCTTTATGGAAGAGGAAGAGACACCAGAGATCTATCTGTTTTTGCCACATGAGGACACAGCAAGAAGATGGTCATCAGCGACCTAGGTAGAGAGCTCTCATCAGAAACTAAATCCCACTGAAACTTTGATCTTGGACAGACTTTCCAGCCTCCAGAACTGTGAGGAAATAAATTTCTGTTGTTTGAGCCACTCAGTCTATGATATTTTATTATGGCAGCCGAGGTGAGTAGATACTCTTGCTCACTGTGGAAGCTAACATGCATGGCCCTGTGGTCTGCACTGGGAGTATACAAAGAGGAAAGGCACGGCCCCTGACTGAAGAGACCTCATTGCCTTTACCAAGAGCAGCAGGTAGAAACAGACATACCAGCAGAGATTTACTTTTTATAAGTTACTTTTTATAAGTCTCTGAACCTCAGTTTCCCCACTGTAAAAGAGGGATAATAATAACTTTTCTTCAGAGGGTTATTATGAGGATTAAATGAGGTTAAGCAGGTTAGGTACTTAGCATAGACACATGGAAAGCACTGAGAGTTATTTCAGATATTACTGGTAATAGTATATGGAAAGGGTACCAAGGCATATTGCTAGAAGGATGATAAAAAAAAAATCTGAGGAGATTAAAGTAGAATTGAGTTTTACAGGAAAAGTAGCAATTAACCAGAAGACATTCCTGGTAGAAGAAACAGAATTTGCAATTATTGGGGATAGGAAATAACATGCCACACTTGAGGGACTTCCAATAAATTGGTAGGACCTGATAAGCTCCAAATGAGTGCAAGGGCTGCAGGAGGAGGGCTTAGGGAGGAACAGTGGGTGAAGGGCAAGAAAAGCAGTCAGGAACCAGGGAGACAGAGTTTGAACCTTATTCTGGAGATTTGTAGGGAGCCATTGAAGGATATTGAACGTGGAGCTTCAAGTCATTGGATTTAGATGGGAGGAGGGTCACCTCTTTCATTGAGGAGAGAAGGAAGAAGAAGAGATAAATGCAGATGCAGGTAAGTTTGAAGATGACAAGAAATGAATGTGGTCTGGATGGCTTGGAATTCTCTGTGGGATAAGAGGAGAGGTCCTCTGATGAGACTGAGGTAGGAAGCAGGACTTGACTCCAGAGGTGGGGCTCATACACTGGGCCAGATTGAAGACTAGCTAAAACAGGGCCAGGATGGAAGCAGCTTTCAATCAGACATGCCAACCAGTATGCCACATCTATTTACTGTTGCCATGGCAACACCGGGGAGTTACCACCCCTTTCCATGGCAATGTCCCAGTTACCCAAAAGTTAATACTCTTTCCCTAAAAATTTTTGCATAAACTGCCTCTGAATCTGTATGCAATTAAAAGTGGGTATAAATGTGACTGCAGAACTGTACTGAGCTGCTACTCTCTGTCTATGGGGTAGCTCTGCTCTGCAGGAGCACAGAGCTGTAACACCATTGGAGCTGTAACACTGTCTGTTCAATAGAGCTATTTTCTTCTGCCTCTAGCTTGCCCTTGAATTATTTCCTGGGAAAAGCCAAGAACACTCAGAGGCTAAGCTCCACTTTGGGGCTTGCCTTCCTTGCATCAAGAAGAGGGCATGAAATGAGGCATGGCAGTATACTGGCTTGAATTGAAACAGCCTTTGCAAAAATTATTATGACAGTGAAAGAGATCTGACCTTACTGACTCCATCTTGCCTTTAACTTCCAAGCTGCCCTTGGTCATTTCTGGGTGTAGGCCGAAGTAACTTTGGGAGGAATTTAGTTTACAGGTTAACTTTGAAACAAAGATGTTAACAGTCTCTCCTTGAAATAAACTCCTTCTTACCTGGAGGGAGGAAGACTGCTTTTGTAAAACTAACAAATTAGCCACAATATTAGAAATTATGGATTAGCAGCCATGCAACCAGAGGCTACAAGATTCTTAATCTTCCCAATTGCTCATCTGGGTAATATTACTTTTGTAAAACCTAAGATTGGTGTTTGAGATATTTTTCGGACCCTGCATTCTGGTGGGTCAGCTGGCACCACCCAGACTGGTAAGCAGGCTTGTCTGTTCTTACAGCTTCCACCCAGGAACCAATTGAGCTCATCCCTGCCAATCAGCATTCCCCACCCTGCCTTCTTAAAAAAATCCATCTTAAAAAAAAATAGCCCCCTGTTTCCTAGCCCCCTGCCTTCTTAAAAAAAAAAACACACACAAAAAACTATCTTAAAAAAATCCTAGCCTCTGAATTTTCAGATAGGCTGATTTGAGTAATAATAAAGTTCCAGTCTCCTGTTTAGCTGGCTCTACATGTATTAAACTCTTTCTCTATGGCAACTGCCCTTTCTTCACTAATCAGCTCTATCTGGGCAGTGGGCAAAAAGAGCCCATTAGTTACAGAATGGGGGAGAAAGCTGCTGGGGACGTGTAGAAGATTTCTTAGCAGCACTAAAGCTTTAGCATTTGTAGTGGGATCTACATGGGGCAGTAGAGTTGAGGATAATAAAGAAGGAAGGATTAAAGTGCTATTGAAACCGTCATTGCAAAATTATAACTGAGACAGTGAAAGAGATCTCACCTAACCAACTCCATCTTGCTTCCAACCTCCAAGCTGTCCTTGTTCATTCCTGGGTGTAGGCTGAATGGGACTTTGGGAGGAACTTAGTTTATGGTTTATAATTTAAAACAAAGATGATAACAGTCCTTTCCCAAAACAAACCTCATTCTTGCCTGGGAACTAGACTGCCTTTGTAGGACTAACAAATTAGCCTCAAGATTAGAAATTATGGTTTAGGAATCATGCATATGGAGGCTACAAGATTCTGAACCTCCCTAAATTGCTCCTAAGATCAGTGCTTGAGATATTTTGCAGACTCTGCACTTGATGGATCGGCTGGCCCCACCTAGATTGATAAACTGGCTCATCTGGTCTTGTGGCCCCCACCCAGGAATGACTCAGAGCAAGAGGACAGCTCCAACTCCCTATGATTTCATTTCTGACCCAACCAATCAGCACTCTTTACTCACTGGCCTCCCCAACCCACCAAATTATTCTTAAAAACTCTGAACCCTGAATGCCTGGGGAGACTGATTTGAGTAATAATATAATAAAACTCCGGTCTCCTGCATAGCCAGCTCTGCGTGAATTACTCTTTCTCTATTGTAGTTCCCCTGTCTTGATAAATCAGTTCTGTCTAGGCAGCAGGCAAGGTGAACCCGCTGGGCAGTTACACTATCATCAAAAAAGGAAGGAAGCTACAAGGAGAGAGTCAGATTGAGAGATTATGGCCTGGCCAATCCACTGGAGGTCTCTGTTAGATATGAGAGATTTGCATGTTGGAATTTGAAAACTGTTAGAGTGCATTACAGGCTGGTAAAATTAAAGTGGTGGAGAAATGCAAGTTTCTAGATGTGTTCATGGGTGTCTGCGATCAGTAAGGGAAATGAGCAGCAAGCTTCTGGATTAAGAAGGGCAAGAAATTGTGAGGGCCAAGGTTTTGGATGGGTCTTGTACATCAGCGCTTTCCAAATTTTAATGTGCATATGGACCACAAGGGATTTTGTTAAATTGCAGATTCCAATTCACTAGGTCTAGGGTGGGGCCTGAGATTCTGCATTTCAATAAGCATCCCCAGTGATGCCGATTCTGCTGATCTGCCGCCCACACTTTGAGTGCCATGTCTAAATGGATAGTGAAAGGGCCCAGGATGCAGGCAGGTGGTGGTGGGGAATTCTATGCCTTTGGACCTCCTCATCAATGGTGCTGTCATGGAAGGGAGAAGGAGTCAAAGCAGAGGTGTAGGGGAAGCCAGCTTTGCCCGGCATGTCCCATAGCAACCTTTCTGCAATAAGGGAGAAGGCTGCTAATTGGCTAGCAACACTCAATATTAATTAACTCAATAGAATTGGTCCCCTGAAGCCTGTTTTGCATAATTAATGAGTGCTCAGCTATAAGCTGCTGAAAACACTGACGCCGAAGTGTTACAATTTTCCGATCAGCTAAGCAGAAACACCGCAATCCATACTGTTTGTGGACACAGCAAAAAGCTTAGCTCTTCCTAATTACTGAGATTGGCTATAGAGCCCTTGGCTTTGCCATATCCTAATGGGGAGAAGCAGGGCTGGACTGAGACACATGGGCACCCCAGGCAGGCTGATAATTTGATGCCTCTTCAACTAAATACTCTTTAAATATTTGTTCAGCTTTCAAGAAAAGAAGCTGAGTACTTCCTTCTGGAGGAGCAGAATAGGAAAATGCTGGGCCGGGTGCAGTTTCTCCTTTGTTGTCCCAAGCAATTCAGCTCTGGCTCAAACTCTCATAACAAACTCAGCAAAACAAGATCCTGCAGTTATAGGCCCACACTCCTTAGGAGGCAGGTTGCCACCATCTCTAAAGATCTCTGGAAGATGCCTCTGGGAGGCCTTGCCTTCCATCCCAAGTTGTTCACTGAAGGACTTTCCCTGAGACATCTCTCTTTTGTGTTTTTCTAAATTTTTAAGTTTGGTAAAAATACACATAACATAAAATTTACTATTTTTACTACTTTTAACTGTACAATTCATTAGTGTCAGGTACATTGACATTATTGTGCAACCAATCTCTAGAACTCTTTTCATCTTGCAAAACTGAAACTCTACCTATAAAAAAAAGCCCATTCTCGGCTCCCTTAGCCCCTGGCAATCACCACTCTAACTTCTGTCTTATAAATTTGACTACACTAAGTACTTCATATGAATGGAATTATAAAGTGTTTGTCTTCTTGTGGCTGGCTTAGTTCACTTAGCATAATGTCCTCAACATTCATCTATGTTGCAGTGTGTGTCAGAATTTCTTTTCAAGGCTGAATAATGTTCCATGTTTTGCTCATCCATTCATCAACTGATGGACAATAAGGTGGTTTCTACCTTTTGGCTATTGGGAATAACGCTGCTGAGAACACGGGTGCACAAATATTTCTTGAGACTCTGCTTTCAATTCTTTTGGGTATGTACCCAGAAGTGGAATTTTTGGATCATATGGTAGGTAATTCTATGTTTAATGTTTCAAGGAGCCACCATACTGTTTTCCACAGTGGCTGCACTATTTTACATTCCCACTAACAGTGTACAGGAGTCCCAATTTCTCCACATCCTTGCCAATACTTTTTATTTTCTGTTTTTATGATGCTACCAATCCTAATGGGTTGAGGTGGTATCTCATTGTGGTTTTGATTTGCATTTCTCTAATAATTAGTGATGCCAAGCATCTTTGAATGTGATTATTGGCCATTTGTATATCTTCTTTGGGGAAATGTCTGTTCAAGACCTTTGCCCATTTTAAAATCAGGTTGTTTTTCTGTTATTGAGTTGTAGGGTATCTTTATATATTCTGGATAATAACCCCTAATTAGATATAAGATTTGCAAATTTTTCTCCTATTCCATGGGTTGCCTTTTCACTGGGTTCTTTGATACACAGCTTTTAATTTGGGGCTAATCCAATTGACCTATTTTTTCCTTTGTTGCCTGTGCTTTTGTTATATCCAAAAAATCATTGCCAAGTCCGCTGTCATGAAGATTCCCCTCTATGTTTTTTTTTTTTTAAGAGTTTTATAGTTTTAGCTCTTATGTTTAGGTCTCTGATCCATTTAGAGTTAATTTTTGTATATGGTGTAAGGTAAGGGTCCAACTGCATTCTTTTGCATGTGGATATCCAGTTTTCCCTATATTATTTGTTAAAAATGAGCTCTATTAACAAATAGGTTTTTTTTTTTTTTTTTTTTTTTTTTTTTTTTTTGTATATTGGTACATTTCTTGAGAAGTTTAGCTTCACTTTTAGATTGGCACCATGGAGAGCTTTGTCCAGCTGTTGGGATGGTCTGTAATGGGTTAATTTCCTTAGCATTCAACCAGGGCAGAAGTTAGTGTGGAGAACTGGTTCTCCAATGCCTACTTAAGCCATTGGTTGAATGGTTTGAAGAAAATTTTTTTTACCTAGAAGCATAGATTCTGAGTCAAACTGCCTAGCTCCAAATTCTACATCTACTATGTATGGATAGTTACCTGGTCATACACAAATTACTTACCTTCCCTGAGCCTCATATTCTCTATCTGTATAATAAGGTTAATAATAGTGGCCCTTTCTAATACTCAGTGACATTAAGAATTAAGTGAGTTAGTAATGAGCACTTAAACAGTTTCTGACACATAATAAACATTTCATAAATGTTAACTATTGTAATTATTATTATTCTGTAGCTGTATTTGTTATCTGTACTGTATAGCAGATTACCACAACCTACTAGCTTAAAACAACTCACATTTTGGCATCTTAAAATCAATGAATGTAATGACCATATCAAGAAAAAAGGACAAAAACCATATGATCATCTCAAAGGATTGCAGAAAAAAGTGTGGAACAAAATCTAACACCTCTTCATGACAAAAACACTCAACAAACCAGGAATAGCAGGAAACTTCTTTAACCTGATGAAGAGAATCTATGAAAGTCCTACCAAAAAAGCTAACACCAGACTTACTGGTAAAAGACTGAATGATTTCCCCCTAAGATTAGGGTAAGACAAGGATATCTGCTTTTACCACTTCTATTCAACACTGTACTTTTCGGTTTTCAACAGGGCAAATAGGTAAGAAAATGAAATAAAAGTCATCAAGATTGGAAAGGAAGAATAAAACTATCTGTATTTGTTGATGACATGAGCTTGTCTTTAGAAAATCCTAAGGCACCCACTAAAAAATGATTAGAACTAATAATCAAGTTCAGCAAGGTCGCAGCATCCGATATCAATATGCAAAAATTAATTGTATTTCTATACACTTGCAATCTGAAAATAAAATTAAGAAAAACAATTTCATGTAGAAGAGCATCAAAAAGAATTAAACACTTAGAAATAAATTTAACAAAAAAGTACAAAATTTATACTCTGAAAACTACCAAGCATTGTTGAAAGAAATTAAAGAATATCTAAATAAATGGGAAAATATTTCACATTTGTGGATCATAAGACTTAATATTATTAAGATGTCAACCCTCCCCAAATTGGTGTACAGATTCAACATAATTCTACTCAACATCCCAGATGATTCTTTGCAAAAATTGACAAGTGGATTTTGAAATTTATGTGAAAATTCAAGAAGTTTAAATAACAAGACAAAACAAAACAAACTTGAAAAAGAACAAAGCTGGATGACTCCCACTTCCCAATTTCGAATGTACTACAAAGCTATAGACAATGTGGAACTGGCATAAGGATAGACATGTAGATCAATGTAATAAAATTAAGAGGAAGAAAATAAACTTTCATGAAATTTATGGTCAGTTGATGTTCAATAAGATTGCCAAAGCAATTCACAGGGAAAAAGTATACTCTTTTCAACAAATGATGCTGGGACAACAGGAAAGCCAGATGCAAAAGAATGAAATTGGAACCCTACCTTATATCATATGCAAAAATTAACTCAAAATGAATCAGAGACCTAAATGCAAAAGCTAAAATTATTAAACTGTTAGGAGAAAATATAGGGATAAGTGTTCATGACCTTAAATTAGGCAATAGATTCTTAGATATGACACCAAAAGCACAGGCAACAAAAGAAAAAATAGTTAAAAGGAACTTTATTAAAATTAAAAACTTTTCTATTTCAAAGGACACCACCAACAAAAAGACAACCTGGAGAATGGGGAAAAATATTTGCAAATAATATATCTGATAAAGCACTTGTATTGAGAATACCTAAAGACCTCTTAAAACTCAATAGTAAAATGACAATCCAGTTTAAAAATGGGTGAAGAATATGAAGAGACATTTCTCCAAAGCAGATAATGGTTGCACAACTCTAAATATACTAAAAACCATTGAGTTGTACACTGTAAATGGGTGAATTAAATATCAATAAAGCTCACTGACACACACACACACACACACATTTATTGTCTCATAATTTCTGTGAGTCAAGGGTCCATGTTCTGTGGGTCAAGGGTTGCAATCAAGGTGTCAGCCAAGGCTGGGTTTTCCTGAAATTTGATTGGAGAAGGATCCACTTCCAAGCTCCCTCAAGTTGGCAGAATTCATTTCCTTGTGGCTGTCAGATTAATGGTAACTTTCTTCTTCAAAGCTAGCAATGGAGAGAGAGGCTCTAACAAGATGGGTGCTATATGATCATATAAACATAATCATGTACCTACCTCATCATCTCTACTGCATTCTGTTGGTTAGAAACAAGTCATACTTGCTGACCATATTTGAGGGGAAAAATTATTAAAAAGTGTTAATTAAAGGAGGTGGGAATCATGTGGACCATTTTAAAGTTTGTCTACCACAGTAACATTCTTAGGACCAATTTTTATAATTATGCAAACTAAATTAATTTCTAGTACCATTTCTGATCCTAGTTCGTAGAGGAGCTTCTTGACTGCTATTTTGGTATTATTTTCAAATTTCTAACGTATAATCATTACTATTAATTGTTACAATTTATGGAGTATTTGCTTAGGGGCTGACATTACTATGTACTTTTTATATATTATTCTATTTCATACTTGGAAAAACCTATGAGGAAACACAGGCTCATTGAGGCTATTTCTTCCAAGGTCACATAGCTAGTAAGTGATGGAGCTGGAATTTAACTGAGGTATTATGAATCCAAAGCCTACCATGCCTTTAAATACTATCATATAGTAATTAGATTAACGTGTGTTTGTGTGTATGTTTGTTGTGTATGTTTCAAGCATTAAGAATGTGTTATTATAATTTCTATTGGAGTAAGCCTAAGTAGAAATATCATTTATTGTTTAACTAAAAAGCGTTAGACATTTTATTAGGCACTGGTGGTACAAGGCAAACTAAACGGACTGTTTATTAACTCCTTCTGTGGTCTTAGACAACCTCGGCCTACTTTGCTTAATGTTTTTTGTGGCTACGTTATTTGGTACATATATACATAGAATTCTTATAGCTTCCTGTTGGGTAGACTCCTCTATAATTATGAATTCTCTCTTTTTGTCTTTAATAATGCTATTTCCTTGACATCTATTTAAATATAGCTATACCAGCATTCCTTTGATTAGTGTTTTTGTGGTATATCTTTTTCCATCACTTTACTTTCCTCCATTCTGTGGACATATGTTTTGGGGTCTCTATTGTAAGTAAAGATTATTTTTTAAAAAAACCTACTCATAAAATATTTCCTTTTAATTGGAATTTTTAGTCCATTTACAATTAATGCAATTACTGATATATTTTGGTCTAAAACTTTCATCTTTGTATTTGCCTCATTTGTTGATATGGTCTGACTCTATGTTCCCACACAAATCTCCTCTTGAATTGTAATCTGAATTGTAAGCTCCATGTGTTGGGGGAGGGACCTCTAGAGAGGTAATTGAATCATGGGGGTGGTTACCCCCATGTTACTGCTCTTGTAATAGTGAATGAGTTCTCATGAGATCTGATGGTTTTAAAAGGGGCTTTTCCCTCTTTGCTTGGCACTTGTCCTTCCTGCCATCATGTGAAAATTGACGTGTCTGCTTCCCCTTCTGCCATGATTGTAAGTTTCCTAAGGCCTCCCCAACCATGCAGTCTTGGGCAGTTCTTTATAGCAGTGTGAGAACAGACTAATACACTCATTCTCTGTTCCTCTTTCTCTTTTATTTCCTTCTTTGAAATTATTTTTTATTTTTTCTTTTATTTACTCATTCATTATATACTTTTAAAGTGGTTACCCTGGAGATAAAGAAAAAAATCCTTTTCTTTTTCGTCACTTTCTGGCCAATGTAACACTTTAAACCCTCCTCCTTTCTTATGTACTATTATATAATTCTCTATATATTTAAAGCATTATAAGATATTATTATTGTTCCATTAATTCAATTTTGATTTAAATTTATCCACATATTTTCCCCTTTCATTTGCTCTTTACTTATTTTTTTTGTCTTTTTATGCTTCCTTCTGTATGTAGTTGTCCCAGTATCCATGCGGGATTGGTTCTAGGACCTTCTCTGGATACCAAAATTCATAGATGCTCAAGCCTCTGAGTTGAAATGGTGTCACATTTGCATATAACTTGACTGCTATTTTGGGATTGTCCTCCTGTGTACTTTATATTATCTCTAGATTACTTATAATACGTAAGACATTGTAAATGTAATGCAAATACTTGTTACTCTGCATTGTTTAGGATGTACTAACAAGAAGAAAAGTCTGTACATGTTCAGTATAGATGCAGTTTTGTTTTGAATATTTTCAATCTGTGGTTGGTTGACTGTATGAATGCAGAACCCATGGATATGAAGAGTCAACTATATTTTCTTTTAGTTCACCAATTCCCTCTCATCTATCTATAATATGCTGCTAAATATATCCATTAAATTCTTCATTTCAATTATTGGAATTTTTAATTCTAGAATTTCCATTTAATTCCTTTTGATAGTTTTTCTGCCAAAATTTTTCTATTTTGATATTTAACCTTTACGTTTATTAAAATAATTATTTTAAAATCTGTGTGGGATAACTCTAATGTCAGGATCTTTTTTTTTTTTTTTTTGAGATGGAGTCTCGCTCTGTCACCCAGGCTGGAGTGCAGTGGTGCGATCTCAGCTCACTGCAAGCTCCGCCTCCCAGGTTCACGCCATTCTCCTGCCCCAGCCTCCCGAGTAGCTGGGACTATAGGCGCCCGCCACCACGCCCGGCTAAGTTTTTGTATTTTTAGTAGAGAAGGGGTTTCACCACGTTAGCCAGGATGGTCTCCATCTCCTGACCTCGTGATCCGCCCACCTCGGTCTCCCAAAGTGCTGGGATTACAGGCGTGAGCCACCGTGCCGGGCCAGGATGTTTTTTAAAATTTATTTTTTATTGTATATATTTAAGGTGTACAACACGATATTTTGATATACATGTTGATATGATTCGCCTCTTTGTCCCCACCCAAATCTAATTTGAATTGTACTCCCATAATTCCCATGTGTTGTGGGAGGGACCCGGTGGGAGATAATTGAATCATGGGGGCAGTTTCCCACATACTGTTCTTGTGGTAGTGAGTAAGTCTCATGAGATCTGATGGTTTTATTAGGGGTTTCCGCTTTTGTGCCTTCCTCATTCTCTCTTCGCCTGCTGCCATCCATGTAACACAGGACTTGCTCCTCCTTGCCTTCTGCCAGAATTGTGAGGCTTCCCCAGCCACTTGGAACTGTAAGTCCAATTAAAACTCTTTCTTCTGTAAATTGCCCAGTTTCAGGTATGTCTCTGTGAGCATTATCTATTTCTTGTTGACATTTTCTCCAGAGTTTCAGTCTTTTGCGGTACCAACCAAAAGCCTTTGGGGTTTACTGAATCCCTTCTTCTTGGAAGACCATGAACTTTATTTTTTGTCACTCTAGCTCTGTGGTTTCTGAAAACGTCACTCAGTTTCTCAGCCTCTCTACCATTGCTTTTACATTTAGAATTGGCACTTAACTCTAGGGAAGCCTCAAATGCTAAGCTAACCTCTTGTATTTCTCCATTTTATTCTTACCGTTCCCTAAAATTTTTATAATCATAGCAGTTTTACTATGCCTCCAAACAGATTTTTAAAATATTTTGTTTAGATTGTTCCACCGTTTTTAGAGAAAGATTTGGACTCAAATAACCTAGTCTGCCATTGCCAGAAGTAGGGGCACCACTTAGTTTTTTAAGATGCTCTTCTGAGCTTGACTTACTGTGCAAAGTAATACCATAGCCGCAGAATTTAAAATAAGACTGTTCTGCTTACTATGGAAGAAAGGAGGGAAGTGCTTACCAACTAGAAGTTCGGTGACCACCACCATATCCTAGGTCTTTAGCCCCTGAAAATCATGGCCTTTTTTTTTTAATGCACAAGTATAGTGCAAGATCTCCTCTGAGAACTGGCTTATGGTTAGCAAGAGATGAGTTGGTCTTTTGGTACTTAGGTGGGAAAGAGCTCATGATACTCAGGGGAAGTGAGGGAAACCTAATAGTCCTGCATTAGGGAATTTCAAAAAGTTTTTGTAAGAGATACTGATAACGTGCATTTTTGAGATATCTATCATTTTGTTGAGATTTTAACTTTTTTGGCAACATTTTACATTTTGTACATCTTTCTTTTTTATATCATGTTACATTACAGAGAGAGATGCAGGACTTACTTCTTCCTCACTTGGTACTGGCTAGTACTGTTTCAGCTGGGGAAGGAGACTTGGAAAATAGTATCTTTTCCAATATTTAGTAGAAAGAAGGGAAGGCATTTATCTCTTTGCTCTAGCCTGCTTTCAAAAAGGACTAGAGAATTTCTGAAAAAGTTCTCTGACTTCTTGGAAACTCCCTATTCCAACAATGGCTTTGGCTAAAATTTATGCTTTTCTTGGGGCCTGTTGATTATTCTCTAAATAGTGTGCTAATGCATGGAAAACTTCCAAAGTGGCTGTCATCTTGAGTGACACAGTTATAGCCTGTGTGCAAACCCTTGATAAGAAAATGGAAAAGAAAAAAAAATCATCAAGATAAAAAAATTGCCTGAAGATAATGAAGGTGAGCAATGAATAGTGAAGGGCACAGAACTGCTTTTTTTTCCAGGGATGGGAAAAAGAGGCAGAGAGGGAAAAGTTCCATGTTGATCCCAGGGGACAATTCCTTACCTTCCTTGTTCGCCTGATAGTCAAGTGAGAAATGGCTTGCATGACAAGATACTGCATGGAAAAAGCCTGGGCTTTAGAGGATAAGGAAGGAAGACCATGTACTGGTTCTACCACTTAATCAGTACATCATCTGTGAATATTATTCACATCTTCGAGGCTCGTCTGTAAGATGGGGATAATTCTTCCTTCACTGGCTTGTTACGAGTATGAATGTAGAAACCACTGTGAAAGTGTAATATTAGCAGCATCAGATAGAAAAAAGAAAAGCCTGGTTTGGTTACTTTATTGTTATGGTTAAATGTGGATTTTGGCAGCAGACAAACTTGAGTTTGAATCCCACTTTCTACTTCCTCATCTTTCAGAATTAAATGAAGTGATGCACGTAAAATGCTTAGTGTAGTTTCTGTCATACGGCGAATAAGGGTTTATGTGCCCAGTAAGGGTTATCTGCTATTATTATTGTTCTGGTGATGATGATGATGATGATGATCATGATCATGATGATGCAGGGGATCTGCTTATTTGTTTTTGCCCATTTGGTGATCAGAACATTGTTTATTATAGTCAGATTTGGCTTTCCAAGTCCAAACATATGTCTTTAATTAAATAGCATTTTAATGTAAGATCTAAATAGATTGACAAAAGCATTTCGGGAGAATTTCTGAATTCATGTTCTAGAATGAGAATTAGATACAGTTCATTCTACCTTAACCTCAGCATAAATATATGCAGCCAGTTAAAAATGACCTAGAAAGTGTTCTGAGGAAAACATCTACTGGTTCCTCACTAAGGAACAGATGAACATCCTTATCAGAGAAGTTACGGGGATATGTTTGTTTTGGCTTGGCATGTATTTCTCTTACTCCATTCTAGAGAGTCCCATCTGTGCCATCTGATGCTCTTGTTTTACAGTATTTGAGCTGAGATCCTACCTTCCTGTATAACAAGAACCTTAACATCACAGTCAGCTCTTGATTATCTGAGCCAGACAGACTGGTTTGAAGAGCAAGATATAGCAGTGACCTGGTAAGTGCTTACCTTCCTAGAAGTACTAGGGAGCTAAGTGGATTGCTATTTACCCTTCCCGCCTTGGGACTAGGAGAAGGGCGACAAAATCTGAAGCTGAGCTTAAGAGATGATAGAGAAGCTGAGAATGAGAAAATGCTCTACTTTAAAGGAGGTTGTAGGCCTATATGCAGAGTTAAGTTGGCAACAGAAAAAACATTGAATTTTTAAATTATTTTTTCTACTTTCCTTGACATTATATTGCCTTTCTTTTTTCCAGCTTCTTGATTTAAATGCCTAATCTATTAGAGATAGTATATATATCGGGAACGAAAGAGATGAAAGGGAATGACTTTTTCTCTGAATAATGCTTTGGCTGGACCCTACAGGGTTGAATATGTAATTATTTTCTTTTTTTTAATTACATTCCAGATATTTTATACATAAGTTAGGATTCTTTCTGTAGCAAATAACAGAAAACTGACAATTGCCTTGAGGAGTTGTTTTTCCTAAGAAGTTTGAGGTAGGAGGGTTTCAGGGCTGGTTTATTCTGATCATTCTGTTCTGCCACATTTAGTATATGGGGATTGTTCTTAAGTAGGTTTCCTTCATGTTGGTAAGGTGCAGCTTTGAGTGTCACATGCCCATGACAATTTTCAGACGTAGAAAGGGGACAGTTTCTTTTTAGCATTGAAGTAAACCTTTTGTGAGAAGACATTCTTCTGACTTCCCTTCAAAGTTCATTTGTCAGGATGTTTCATGTGACCATTTCTGATCACTAGTGATAGTAGTGAGACCGCTATGATTAGATTCAGACCAAACAAGATTCTACCCCCTAGAAACAGGAGTGGAACCTACCTCACCTGAAACAGATGACTTCTTGGAGAAGAGGGAATATTTTAAAAAATCAGGTAAAATTTGAAATAAGAAAGGAAGAAAGAAAAAATGGTTATTGAAAATGCAATCAGCATTAGCTGCTACTTCCTGCAATTGTAGTTTTAGTTACCTCTTAAACTTAGTAGTTATGTAGGGTCTTAGAGAAAGTTTTAAGATTTAAAAATGGTCAAGGATTTTGGTTTGTTTCTACTTAATTTTGGATTGTGGTTAATAATGTGGTTTGATGCTTTTACTTTTTAGAATTTTTGAGTTTATTTTTGTTTAAGGTATAGAGAATGTTTGCATTTTATGACCACATGAGAAGAAAAGAGTAGTTTTTGTTCTTGGGTCAATATTGTTAACTACATCATTCAGATTTTATATATTTCTATCTTTTATTAACTTGGTATTTTTCTAAATGTTCTATTTTGGAATAATTTTAGATTTACAGAAAAGTTTGCAAAAATGGTACAGTTTCCCCACACTTACCTAGTACAGATAGTTCCCCCTTTGTCTACCTTTCCTGAATGTTAATCAGCATAACTGCAGTATATATGAAAAAAACTAAGAACTTAACATGGGTACAATTCTGTTATCTAAATCGCAGAGTTTGTTCAGATTTTACTAATTTTCCTACTAATGTTTAACTTGATCTTTAAAGACTGAGAAAGCTGTATTAAAATACCTCATTGCTATTGGAATTTGGCCTCCTTTTACTTTGCATTTCCGATAATTTTTTGGCTTCGTATGTTTTAATTCTGTATAATTTACCACATATAGCTTTAAGATAATTTTACGTTAATGTGGATCTTACCCTTCATCAGTATAATGTGATCTTTTAAATCCCATTTAATGACCTTTTTTTGAACTCAGCATTTTCTGAGGAAGACAAACCCTGACTTTTTGTTTTTGTTTTTAAATTTTCCTAGTATTCCTTTCCTATTCTTTTATTTTCAGCTTTATGCGTAATTTTGTTTGAATGTGTATAAGTCAAGGTCCTGGCAGGAAACAGATGCCATGCTCAAATTCGGTAACTTGATGAGAATTTAATAAAGGGACTGTTTAGAGAGGTGTGAGCAAGGGTGTGGAGAAACCACAGGGACAGCGTAGCACCCTTGGACTTAACCATTGGGCAACATTACCACCCCTTCTTTGCCTGACAGAGCCTGAAGAGAAGGTGCTGCCTAATGGCAGCTATGGCCCTTGGAGGCAGGAGGCAGCCCACTGTGGTGATTCTGCACAAGGGAGCCAGGGAGATAATGCCCCAACCTCACTCTCCTCCCTCCTTCCCTCCCTCCCTCTCTCAGACCTCAGGCTGGTGCTTCCTATGACCAAACCCAGCTGGAAGCTGGAGGCAAGGCCATGTGTGAATACATTGGTATTGGTTGGCCTCCTGGTTCAGAAAGCAGTGGAGTGTAACAGAGTAGATCTAGAAAGCAAATGAAAGCGATCTAGTAAAAGTTGTATTGTTTTTCTATAGAGCATTTATGGCTAGATTTAGTTCATATTAAATCTAATCTGAGAATTCTTTTTATGCATTAGGTTAACTTTTCATATTAACATTTACTGTTGTAATAGATGTGTTTAGTTTTTATCTGTCATCTAATTTCTATTTTCTGCTTTTTTTTTAATTCTTTCTTGCTAGTTTCTAGTATTCTATTGTTGCATGTTTGTTTGCTTTTTTATCTTTTCTGCTTCATTAATTTGGATGGTATTCAGCTCTACTACTTGGTAAGTCTGCATATATATACTTAACATAGTTAAACATAATAGCCATGTTCCATGTTCCTTATAATGATGTTTCAGTCAGTGGTAGGCTGCATATACAGTGGTGGTTCCATAAGATTACAATGGAACTGAAAAATTCCTATCACCTAGTGACACTATAGCTGTTGTAACACAGTAGCTCAATTACTTTATTTAAAAAATAAATGTAGTGTAGCCTAAGTATACAGTGTTAATAAAGTCTACAGTAGTGTACAGTAATGTCCTAGGCCTTCACATTCACTCACCACTCACTGATTCATTCAGAGCAGCTCCCTGTCCTGCAAGCCCTATTCATGGTAAGTGCCCTATACAGGTGGTACCATTTAAAAAAATCTTTTATACTGTATTTTTACTGTACCTTTCCTATGTTTAAATACACAAATGCTTACTATTGTATTCCAATTGCCTATAGTATTCAGTATAGTAACATGCTGTACAGGTTTGTAGCCTGGGAGCACTAGGCTACCATATAGCCTAGGTGCGAAGTAGGCTATATCATCTAGGTTTAGGGAAAGTACACTCTGTGATGCTCACACAGTGATGACATCCCCTAACAACACATTTCTCAGAACATATCCCTGTTAAGTGACACATGACTGTGCTGTTAGTCTTAGATTATCAACTTTATAGATTAAACAATATCTGCAGACAGCCCCATCTCCCATGAAAGATAAAAAAAAATTAGTACACATACTTCCTCACGCATCCCCACTTGTAAGATTTTATTGGTATAATCTGGGATTTTTGTTTCAGCTTATAATACATACCTTTTTCTAACGTGCTTTTTATGTCAAGAATTATACATTTCACCTTGTATTTTGTAAGTATGTTAGCTTTAGTTACAACACTTAAAGGCTTACAAGGATTCATTGCTCTGGGTAACTGTGCTGACTTGAGGCCAGATTCTGTCCTGTGCTATGTTCTTCTATTTTGGAGTGAGCTAGTCATATTTGCATAAAATCTTAGAGATTCCTGGCTTTTGGTTTGAAAAGGCTTGTTATTTTTTCCTCCCACCAGCTAGGCCTCTTGCCTTATCCTTAGGGGCATCTTCTCTTGTTTCCCGCCCATGCTGTGCTCAGGAAGTTATTTGCGCTGGGGAAAGGTAGTTTTCTGTGGGACATTCCACAGTTTTCCTCTGCCCCATTTTAGCCCTGGTCCCTCTTACTCCCATTTATGTGGTAGGGTGGGTATCAGTAAGATTTTAAATAATTTTTTCCTTTTAGTATTCATGGCTCTGTTTTGCATTCTCTTTGTCAGCTCCTAGAGTCAAATAATTTTAATTTCAGTTACAGGATAATAGTTCTTTGTGGTGTGAGACTGAGATCCTTACAGTTTCAATGTTGATGGTATATTTGCTATTTACTTCACTTACGTAGGTTTGTTCACTTGCGTAGGTTTGTTCACGTATGTAGGTTTTGGATAACAAAGTTTTATAAACTTGCCCATATACTGTCGTCTTTTCCTGAATTTTTTTTAATGGTTATTTTCCCCAGCTTTATTCAGGTCCAACTGACAAATAAAAATTATATATTTGAGGTGTACAATGTGATGTTCTGATACACATATACAACATATACTGGTGAAATGATTGCCACAATCAAACTAATTAATGTATCTATCACCTTGGTAATCGTTTATGCTTTTTTTTTATAAAACACATTCACATTTAAATCTTGAACTCATCTGATACATATTTTTCTGCATGGTATAAACCTGACTTCATTTTGGCCCAGTGTTGGTGTTTTGTACCAATATAGTTTATTGAATAATCAGTTCGCTCACTCACTTGAAAAACGACCTCTGCTGTGAGCTAAATTCCCATATGCACTTGAGTTCGTTTTTGGCTTTCCATTTGATCTCACTGATCTCACTGATTTCTGTCATTGCTCTACCTCCTCCCCACCACTCCAAACCCATTCACTGTGTTTGAGGTGTGACTGCCTGAGCCATTAACTGCTCTTGAATCCAGCATTGCCTGTCCTCTTTCTTCCCCTTAAAGTATGTTTTCTGTCCTCCTTCCCTGTCTGGCCCATTGGTGGCTCTCATTCAGAGATACTCCGAGTTTTCAGAGGCTCCTGTCAACCTCTCACTCAGTTTGGATTTCTAAGGGACCAGGGAAGGCTTTCAGGACCTGAAACGTCTGTTCCCATCCACAGTCCTGGCACAGAGGATGAAAGAGATTTGCAAGGTGTGAGCTTTCAACCATCTCCCACCCACAGATCCCTGTACTCCTCCCTACATGGTAAAATAATTACTTCTCTCTCAGAGCTCCAGCATGACCTCAGGGAGGCCCAGACTCTCAGACTGCCTCATCTCATTACCAGCAAGGTCTTGTCTAAGAACTGCTCCGTAGAGCTATTTAAAATTTGTTAGTGGGCTTATCTTCCCCAATCTCATGCATATATGGATGACTCCACAAGCTTCCCAGAAAAGTGCACAACTGAAGACACATTTTGCTATGTGTGATTGTACAGGGCTGCACAAGAACTCTCAATATTTGAGGAATTTCAACTTTTCAAGAATTTTAGATCTATTGGAACAGAGGCATTGGCAGAAATATCATTTTTTCTGTTTCATTTAAAAAAGACAATTTTAGGGAAAATTGATATTTATTATATAGTTACATTTTTAGCACTCTATAAATCTGAAGCCATGTTGATAGCTGCAGAACATAAAAATGTACTATGGATAACTTGGTTTGCTCATAAAATGGTCATGTTTGGCATATTAAATGTCAAAGCGTGGTTTATGAAGACAGCAATTATACATTTACTAATTGAATTGACATTCAAACACATTCCAGTTTATAAAAGAAAGAATGACAACACAGTAGTGTTTAAGGAACAGAGCACCTCACAGTACTTCTAAAAACAGCACATTTCTTTGTTGCTTTGTTTTGTGTTTGTATTTCAATAGCTTTTGGGGTACAAGTGGGTTTTTTTACATGGTTGAATTATATAGTGGTGAATTCTGAGGTTTTAGTGCACCCATCACCTGAGTAGTGTACATTGTACCTGATGCGTACTTTTTTTTGTCACTAGCCACCCTCCCACTCTTCCCCTTCTGAGTCTCTAAAGTCCATTATGTCACTTCTTATGCCTTTGTGTACTCATAGCTTAGCTCCCACTTATAAGTGAAAACACATGGTTTTTGGTTTTCCACTCCTGTATTACTTCACATAGAATAATGGCCTCCAGCTCCATCCTAGTTGCTGTAAAAGACATTATTTTATTTTATTTATTTATTTATTTATTTTTGAGACAGAGTCTGGCTCTGTCATCAGGCTGGAGTGCAGTGGCACGATCTTGGCTCTCTGCAACCTTCGCCTCCCGGTTTCAAGTGATTCTCCTGCCTCAGCCTCCTGAGTAGCTGGGACTAAAGGCACACGCCACCACGCCCAGCTAATTTTTGTATTTGCAGTAGAAACAGGGTTTCACTGTGTTAGCCAGGGTGGTCTTGATTTCTTGACCTTGTGATCTGCCCGCCTTGACCTCCCAAAGTGCTGGGATTACAGGCAAAAGCCACTGTGCCCAGCCTATTTTATTCTTTTTAATGGCTGGGTAGCATTCCATAGTGTAAATATACCACATTTTCTTTATTCATTAGTCATTGGGCACTTAGGTTGGTCCACATCTTTGCCATTGTGAATTGTGCTGCTATAAACAAATGTGTACGAGTGTGTTTTTCATAATAATGACTTCTTTTCCTTTGGGTAGATACCTAGTAGTGGGATTGCTGGATTGAATGGTAGATCTTCTTTTAGCTCTTTAAGGAATCTCCATACTGTTTTCGATAGAGGTTGTATTAATTTACATCCCCACCAGCAGTGTATAAGTGTTCCCTTTTCCCCACATCAATGCCAACATCTATTGTTTTTTGACTTTTTAATAATGGCCATTCTTGCAGGAGTAACGTGGTATCTCACTATAGTTTTAATTTGCCTTTTCCTGATGATTAGGGAGGGTGAGCATTTTTTCATGTTTTTTGGCCATTTGTATATCTTCTTTTGAGAAATGGCTATTCATGTCCTTTGTCTACTTTTTAATGGAATTATGTGTTTTTTTTTCTTTGTGATTTGAGTTCCTTGTAGATTCTGGATATTAGTCCTTTGTTGGATGCATAGTTTGCAAATATTTTCTCCCAGTCTGTGGTTTGTCTGTTTACTCTGTTGATTATTTCTTTTGCTGTGCAGAAGCCTTTTAGTTTAATTAAGTCCCATTTATTTATTTATTTTTGTTTTTGTTTCGTTTACTTTTGGGGTCATAGTCATGAATTCTTTGCCTAGGCCGATGTCTAAAAGAGTTTTTCCAATGTTGTCTTGTAGAATTTTTATGATTTCAGGTCTTATATTTACGTCTTTGATCCATCTTGTGTTGATTTTTGTATATGGTGAGAGATAGGGATCCAGTTTCATTCTTCTACCTGTGGCTTGCCAGCTTTCCCAGTATCATTTATTAAACAGGGTATCCATCCCCCAATTTATAATTTTTAATGCTCTGTCAAAGATCAGTTGGCTGTATGTATTTGGCTTTATTTCTCAGTTCTATATTCTGTTCCATTGGTCTATGTGCCTACTTTTATGCCAGTACTCTGTTGTTTTTGTAACTATAGCCTTTTAGTATAATTTGAAGTCCAGTAATGTGATGCCTCCAGGTTTGTTCTTTTTGCTTAGGATTGCTTTGGCTATTTGGGCTCTTTTTGGTTCTACATGAATTTTAGAATTATTTTTTCTAATTCTGTGAAAAACGATGTTGGTATTTTGATGGGAATTGCATTGAATCTATAGATTGCTTTGGGCAGTAGAGTCATTTTCACAATATTGATTCTTCCAATCCATGAGCATGAGATGTGTTTCCACTTGTTTGTGTCATCTATGATTTCTTTGAGCAGTGTTCTGCAGTTCTCATAGAGATCTTTCACCTCTTTGGTTAAGTATATTCCTAGGTATTTTATTTTTCTTGCAGCTGTTGTAAAAGGGATTGAGTTCTTGATTTGAGTCTCGGCTTGGTTGTTATTGGTATATAGCAGTGCTACTGTTTTGAGTACATTGATTTTGTAACCTGAGACTTTCCTGAATTCATTTATCAAATCTGAGAGTCCTTTGGAGGAGTCTTTAGGATTTTTTAGGTATACAGTTGTATAATCTGCAAACAGCAATAGTTTGATTTCCTCTTTTTCAATTCAGATGCCCTTTACTTCTTTCTCTTGCCTAATTGCTCTGGCTAGGACTTTCAGAACTCTGTTGAATAAGAGTAGTGAAAGTGGACACCCTTGTCTTGTTCCTGTTCTCAGGAGGAATGCTTTCAACTTTAACTGATTTAGTATGATGTTGGCTGTGGGTTTGTCATATATGGCTTTTTAAATTTCGAGGTAAATCCTTCCTATGCATAGTTTGTTGAGAGTTTTTATCGTAAAAATGTGCTGGATTTTGCTGAATGCTTTTTCTGTATCTATTGAGATGATCATATAGTTTTTGTTTTTAATTCTGTTTGTGAGATGTATCACATTTATTGACTTGTGTATGTTAAACCATCTCTGCATCCCTGGGATAAAATGCATTTGATCATGATGAATTATCTTTTTGATGTGTTGTTGGATTCAGTTGGCTAATATTTTGTTGAGGATTTTTGCATTTATCAGGGAAATTGGTTTGTAGTTTTCTTCTTTTGTTGTGTCCTTTCCTAATTTTGGTATCAGGGTGATACTAGCTTCATAGAATGATTTAGGGAGAATTATTTCTTGCTCAATAGAAATTTCTGGAATAGTTTCAGTAGAATTGGTACTACTTCTTCTTTGAATGTCTGGTAGAATTCACCTGTGAATCCAACTGTCCTAGGCTTTTTTTTGTTGGCAATTTTAAAATTACTGATTCAATCTCGCTGCTTGTAATTGGTCTATTCAAGGTTTCTGTTTCTTCCAGATTTAATCTAGGAGGGTTGTATGTTCCCAGGAATTTGTCCATTTCCTCTAGGTTTTTTAGTTTGTGCACATAAAGATGTTCATAGTAGTCTCGAACGATCTTTTGTATCTCTGTGGTATCAGTTGCAATGTCTCCAGTTTCATTTCTAATTGAGCTTATTTGGATCTTCTGTCTTCTTTTCTTGGTCAACCTAGCTAGTGGTCTATTGATTTTATTTATTTTTTCAAAGAACCAGCTTTTTGTTTCATTAATCTTTTGAATTTTTTTTGTTTAAATTTTGTTTAGTTCTGCTCTAATTTTTATTTCTTTTCTTCTTCTAGCTTCAGGTTTAGTTTGTTCTTGTTTCTCCAGTTCCTTGAGGTGTTACAACAGGTTGTCAATTTGTACTCTTTCAGACTTTTTGATATAGGCATTAAGCACTATAAGCTTTCTTCTTAGCACTGCTTTTGCTGTATCTCAGAGGTTTTAATAACATCTCATTATTATCATTCATTTAAAATTTTTTTAAAATTTTCATCTTGATTTTATTGTTAATCTAGATATCATTCAGGAGCAGATTATTTAATTTTCATGTATTTATATAGTTTTAAGGGTTCCTTTTGAAGTTGGTTTCCAGTTTTATTCCACTGTGATCTGAAAAGATACTGGAGATAATTCTGATTTTTAAAAAATTTATTGAGACTTGTTTTATGGCCTATCATATGTTCTGTCTTGGAGAACGTTTCATGTGCTGATCAGAAAAATATATATTCTACAGATCTTAGGTAGAGTGTTCTGTAAATATTCATTAAGCCCATTTGTTCTAATGTGTCATTTCAGTCCATTGTTTTCTGTTGACTTTCTGTCTCAAAGATCTGTTTAGTGCTGTCACTGGTGTATTGAGGTCTCCCATATTATTGTTTTGCTGTTTATCTCATTTCTTAGGTCTAGTAGTAATTGTTTTATCAATATACGAGCTCCAGTGTTTGGTGCATATACATTTAGGATTGTAATATCTTTTTGTTAAATTGATCCCTTTATCATTATATAGTGACCATCTTTGTCTTTTTTTTCACCGTTGTTGTTTTGAAGTCTGTTTTGTCTGATAGAAGAATAGCTACTCCTGCTTGTTTTTGGTTTCCATTTATGTGGAATACTTTTTTCCACCCTTTTACCTTGAGTTGATATGAATCCTTCTGTGTTAGGTGAATCTCTTGAAGATAGCAGATATTTGGATTGCAATTTTTTATTCACTCTGCCATTCTGTATCTTTTAAGTGGAGTGTTTAGGCCATTTACGCTCAATGTGAATATTGAGATGCGAGGTATGGTTCTCTTTATCATATTAATTACTACCTAGTTTTGTTTTTCATTGTGTTATTGTATTTTAGGCCCTGTGAGTTTTAAGCTTTCAAGAGGTTCTATTTTGGTGCATATCAGGCTTTGTCTCAAGGTTTAGAACTCCTTTTAGCATTTCTTAGAGTGCTAGTTTGGTAGTGACAAATTCCCTCAACATTTGTTTGTCTGAAAATGACTTTATTTCTCCTTCACTTATGAAACTTAGATTTGCAGGATATGAAATTCTTGGCTTACAGTTTTTTTCTGTTTAAGGAGGTTAAAAATAGGACCCCAGTCCCTTCTGGCTTGTAAGGTTTTTGCTGAGAGGTCTGCTGCTCTAACTTCAAAGAGCAGTACAATAAAAGCATCAGGTAACCTACAAAAACTGCTCTTAGAATTCTTCCCTTCATGCTGACTTTAGATAGCCTGATGACTCTATGCCTTGGTAAAGGTCTTTTTGCAATGAATTTCCCAGGGGTTCTTTGAGCTTCTTAGATTTGGATATCTAGATCTCTAGCCAGGCCAGGGAAGTTTTCCTCAATTATTTCCTGAAACAAATTTTCCAGACCTGTTATTTTCTCCCTCAGGAACATCAATTATTCTTAGGTTTGGCATTTTTACATTATCCCATATTTCTTGGAGACTTTGTTCATTTCTTTTGATTATTTTTTCTTTATTTTTGTCTGATAGGGTTAATTCAAAAGCCCATCATTGAGCTCTGAAATTCTTTCTTCTACTTATTCTAGTCTTTTGTTAAAACTTTCCACCGCATTTTGTAATTCCCTCAGTCTGTCTTTCATTTCCAGAAGTTTGATTGGTTTTTCTTGATGATATCTATCTCTCTAGAAAATTTTTCATTTATATCCTGAGCTGCGTCTTAATTTGTTTATGATAGTTTTCACCTTTCTCTGATATCTCCTCAAGTAGCTTAACAATTGACCTTCTATAGGTTATTTTAAAGATTTCATCTTGGCCAGGGTCCGTTGCTGGAGAGCTAGTGTGATTTTTTTGGGGGAGTATTATAGCACTCTGTTTTGTCATATTACCAGAGTTAATTTTCTGGTTCCTTCTCATTTGAGTAGATTATTTCTTCTAACTATTCTTGAATTTATGTTTGATTTGACTGTATTTCTTTTATTTGTTTTTAAATTTCTTTTTTCTTCTTAAGGATGAGACTTTAATGCTTATAGTTAATTATAACCTAATTCAGTTCTTGGTGCTTTCATGGGTGAAGACTCCGTTAAGAGTTTCCTGGTTAGAGAGAGTCTTTGTATGATAGCTTTCTCATATGCTGGTTGTAGTAGCAATGTGCTTGGTGTGTGAACAAATACACTATCTCCTATGGGGCTGAAATGGTACAGGTATCTTAAAGCTGATCTCATTCTCCGGTGGCATGCACTTTTTTAATTATTTATTTTCCCCCAGTAAAAATAGCACATTTCTTTCTGCTTCTTTGTGAATTTCACAGTTACTGAATCAGGTGGAACTCAGTCAAGACTTTCAACTTTCAGAACTTTAGGCCCTCTTTCCCCATGTATCCTGACTCAGCACTGTGTAGTGGCAAATACCAAGTACTAGAGACAGAGTGCTGGGGTCTGAATTCAGTTAATCTCTTTGTACTTCAGTTTCCTCATCCATAAGACATATAATAAAAAATTTATTCATAATACTGTGGTAAGGAATATATATATATGGTCTTCAGAGGAATTCTTAGCATACATGGACTTTATAAACATTGGCTATTAAGACTTCACAATAATTCCTTAGGTTCTATCCTCTACTAGGAGTAAATGAATGCAACTACCAGGTAGTTTATTTTCCTAGACTCTCATATTTGGAGTAAAGGACAGGAATACATTAATTTGTAGTTTCGGGACTACAAATTAGTGGCACTGGGAAAGCAAATTCAGTTCATAGATGCATTTTGTTTGACCTGAAAATGTTTACAGTTTTTTTAATTTGAGGGCCTTTGGGTGAGACATGCATTCCCCAATTAGCCACAGTCCCTCACCTTTTCTTATCACTTTAATTTCTATTTACCTGCCTGACTCCTGTAAATGCTTTATTTAAGCCAGCAAGAAGAGATCTACTGTAAAAGCAAAAGAAATACGCAGTCCTTTAGTCTTTCTGCAATTGCAGAAACAACTTATAAACAGGCATAATTTCACAGGGGGTCCAGATATTGAAGTTATCTGGTAAACTTTTAAAATAACTATGATTATCATGCCCAAGAGAGTAATAGAAAAGGTTGAGAATGTTGGCAGATATCTGGAAGCTCTAAAAAGAAACCAAATGGGGATTCTGGAAGTCAAAATACAATAACTAAAATAAATATTTTAGTGGTTGAGTTTACTAGTTGACTAGACACAGCTGAAGAGAGAACTAGTAAGTTGAGTATAGCTTAGAGAAAAATATTAAGAATGAGGCAGGAGAGACAAAAGGCAAGAAAATAGTTCATAGAGGGTAAGAAACATGGAGAGCACAATGAGATAGTCTAAACATATCACTGAAGTCTCAGAAGGAGAGAAGAAAAAGTAAAACAGAAACAAGAAGACGTAATAGTTGAGAACTTTTAAAAACTGATGAAAGATCTCAAGCTACAAGAATATCTAAAAACTCCAAATAGAATAGACAAAAAGAAATGCACAAAAAGAGAAGCACATCATAACAAACAGCTGAAACTCTTAAGCAAATTGAAAAAATTATGAAAGCAGAGGAAACAATGCAGATTATTCTCAACGATGCAACAACTAGACTGTTGATTTCTCAAGAGAAACAATGGAAATTAGAAGGCAATGTAATTTACATTTAAAATGCTGAAAAAAATAACTGCCAATCTAGAATTCTATACCCAGTAAAAATATTCCTCAGAAATGAAGATATTATAAAGGCACTTTCAGAGAAACAAAACTGAGACAATTAGTTACTTGTAGACCCTTAAAAGGAATTAAAGGGAATTCTAAAGTACATTCATCAGACAAAGGAAAATAATTGCAGACAGAAGATTGAAGACCCAAAGAGGAATGAAGAACAATGAAAAGGGTAAATAACATAGCTAAGTCTACACGGATATCGACTATATAAAATGACAAAAATAAAGTCTTATTGTGTTTGAAAGATACATAAAATTAAAAGTAAAATGGTGAGAAAATTGCATTAAAGTACTCTAAGTTCCTTGTATTGATCAGGAAGAGAGTAAAAAAATTACCAATTAACATTTAAACTTTGATGATTCAATAATGCAAACTATGACAAAAGCCTCTGGGTCTAAAAAATAGTAGTGGATGACAGAGTCCAAATCTCTCTAGACATCCTCTGAAAAAGGCACCCCTTGTTCTCGGTTAGGACATCTCAACATCATCAAGATGTCAGTTCTTCCTAATTTAATTTATAAACCTATTGTAATCAAAATAAAATACCAAGAAACTTTTTTGTCCTGGAGCTAAAGTGCCTGGAAAAATTAAGATACAAGAATAACTAGGAATAATACTGAAAAGCAAGAGCTCTGAGATGGAACTAGCCTTATCACTTATTAAACATACTACAAATCCTCTAACTAAAATGATGTGGTACTGGCACATTAATACACAGAAAGACTATTGGAATGGAAGAGAAAGTCAAGAAACCATGTATATAATACAAGTAGTATATCAAATCACTGGGGCAAATAATTGCTTTTTAATAAATGATATGGAAAAATAGCCATTTGTAAAATATAAATTTATATCCTTCCCTTATACCATACACAAGAATAAATGCAAAATGAATTAGGTATCAAAATATGCAAAATTAAACTATACAAGTACTTGAAGAAAACATGGGTGAATGAATTCCTGTATATCCTGAGTGGAGGGAATATTTTCAAATTGTAACTTAAAATCCAGATGCAAACAAAAAAGATTGTTAAGTTTGACTACAGAAAACAATTTTTTTTTTTTTTTTGAGAAGGAGTCACCCAGGCTGGAGTGCAGTGGCACAATCTCGGCTCACTGCAAGCTCCGCCTCCCAGGTTCACACCATTCTCCTGCCTCAGCCTCCTGAGTAGCTGGGGCTACAGGCGCCTGCCACCACGCCCGGCTAATTTTTTGTATTTTTAGTAGAGACGGGGTTTCACCATGTTAGCCAGGATGGTCTTGATCTCCTGACCTCGTGATCTGCCTGCCTTGGCCTCCCAAAGTGCTGGGATTACAGGCGTGAGCCACCGCGCCAGGCAGGAAACAATTTTTAAAAACATTTTTTAATAGCAAAGAATACCGTAAGTAACTCAAAATGCAAATGACAAATTGGGAGAAAATACTTGCAATATATATTACAGATGCAGGTTGATATCCCTAATATATAAAGAATTGTTTTTGATTGAGAGGGAAAAGTGACAAAAATGGTAGTAAAGTGACAAAAGACATGAGCAAACAATTTATAAAAAATATTAAAATAGCTCTTAAATATACGAAATACAAAACTTCACCCAAATGAAAATTTAAACTAAACTAAGATACTATGTTTTAGCCATCAGATTGGCAAAAATTCAAAAGCTTGAAAATATGTGTAGTAGATGAGGTTGCAGGGAAATATGGAGTCTCATGTATTGCCGGTGGGAATGAAAAAAATGGTGTAATCTCTGTAAAGGGGAATTTGAAAATATCTGATACAGCTACATTTTCGCTAAGCCTTAGGCTTAGTAACCCCGTTTCTAAGAATTTACTTTATGCCAACAATGTGCATAAAGTTTTTCACTGCTGCATTTTTGTGTGAATGCAAAATATTGGAAATTGCTTAGATGTTTACATATAGGAGATTGGTTGAAAACAAAATATAGCACCTACATACAATGGAGTATCTTGCAGCTGTTTAAAAAAAAAAAAGAATGAAGATTATCTCCATGAACTGATGTGGAGTAATTTTCAGAATATATTTTTAAGTGGCCAAAAGCATACTGCAAAAGTGTATGTACAGAATGCCATCTTTTGTGTAACAAATAAAGGGAAACAATAAAACATATGTGTATTTGCTTACTTCTGCCAAAAGAAATGAAGGGCGAAAACAGTAAAAGAAGTTACTTACAAATATAAAAGGAATGGGATTGAAGGGGCAGGGCAAATATTGCTACTTCTTTCTACATGCCTTTTTGCATAGTTTTGACTTTTGGAATCATGTTAATGTTCTACATAACCCAAAAAGCAAAATAAAATAATCAGGAACAGAGAAATTAACTAAAACTAAATGCAAGCAGACATAGAAATTCAGCTGTATTTCAAATTAATAATGTAACCACATTGTAGGCGGGGAAAAACTCTGGTCCAAATAACTTCTGAACACAGCTCTTTGACTCTACTATATATCCTCAGTTTAGAGAAAATAACTACAAATTTTGAACTATTTTTCAGAAAGCTTCCTTTTGGCGGTGCAAGTAAAGCTATTTTGAAACTATTTTAAATGCACTGTAGGACTGAGTGATTGAGTAAATGGCTTGGTGTTTGTGGGAGCTAGGATTCTAAATGTGGAAGAGAGAGGTCTCAACATTAAATAAGGGAACGTGGGGAAGAACTCTGTGGAGCTGGATGGGAACTGTAAATGCCAGTATGAACTCAGGATTTCTTATTTATAAGATATTCCTTAGCTCTACAATGAAAAGACATAAAAATAGTGACATTCCAGTAGCAATGAGTATACCTAGTGCCAAAGTCATTAAAGGGAAATCGTTAAAAAGAAACCAGGGATCGTTAGAGAAATGGCTCATTTCTCAGGGAAGGTACAAGATAGATCTGGAACATTCTTTTTTTTTAATGCCAGAAAACAAGAAAGTACTCAAAAACAAATAAAATGAGGAGAGTGTGTTACAAAGATAAAGAAACCACCTTGAAAGGTCACTGACTGGATCAAATCTGGGACAGTTTGAGCATCAGAACAATAGGGACATATAATTATGTTTTATACATATATATAATTATATATTATAACCCATTTAAATAGGGATGAGTTTAGGTAAGAGATAGGTGATAGACAGGTAGATAATAGACAGATAGATAGATGAGAAGGGGGGTGCTCAGTTGATATATGCTGCAAATATTTCTTACAGTAGAATGCCAACTGGTAAATGTGGAGGAAGTAGTAGAAGTGGAAAAATCACTATTTTATAACCAACATGATAAAGACTGGATCAGGTATAAATCATCAATATATGTGAAATTGAAGGAGAAAATCTGATGAGGAGCAGGATATTTTGATGGTCTCAAAGTATCTCCCCATAGATCTAGATACAATGTCTAGATAGGACATTCTAGAACCCCAAATTACAGTATTTGAGATTTAGATCTCAATGCACAGGCTTAACTGCAGATCGGACACAGCAGGTCATTATTCAGTATTCAAACCTTGACATAGAGAAAAATATTAAAACACAGAAAGTTTGAAAGTAAAAGAATGGACAAAATTTTATTATCTAAACATTAATGATAAAAAAGTTTATATAGTTATATTTTTGCCAGACAAAGCAGAATTCATGGCAAAAAACCATGACTAGAGATAAACAGGGACATTTCAGAATTATAAAATATTCAACTGAAAAATAAATTTAAAATGTTTATGCACTTAATAATACACCTTCAAAATGTATAAAGATTGACACAGCCATGAAGAGAAGTAAGCAAATCCACACTTGTATTGGAAGATTTTTTTAACACATTGGTCTTGATATTTGACAGGCAAAAAAGGGAATAGAGACATTTAAATAGCATAATTAGCAAATGACCTCATAAATATTTTTAAATACTCCACCCAACAAATTAAGAGTATGCATTTTTTTCTTTTCAAGTATACATGAAATAATTATATTCTAATTGACCTTATGCAGGGTCATAAAACAAATCTCAACAAATTTCAGAGAACTGAAATCATACAGAGAATGTTCCCTGTCAATTATACAATTAAACCTGAAATCAATAACGAAGACATAATTATACGTTTTTCATATGTTTAAAAATTTAGAAATATATTTCAGCATAACCCATAAGTCAAAGAAGTCACACAGGACAGTAGAATATTTAAGCTGAATAATAATAAAAATATCAAAATATGTGTGTGTGGCATGTGTGTGTGTGCAGTAAAGAAGAAAGACTGAAAAAAGCATTGACTCAGGCACGTTTCTCAAGAAGCTAGAAAAATAACAGCACATTAATAGAAAATAAAGTAGAAGGAAATTAATGATAAATGTAAGCATAAATTAATGAAACAAAAATACAATGGAGAGTATCAACAAACCCAAAGTTAGTCCTTTTAAAAGACAAACATCCTTGGTATACCTCTATTGGGATTGAGAAGAAAAGATGGGGATCGGGTGGCTGGAGTGGCGCAGCTCTAGCCAGCAAATGACCTGCGACATAACTATTTGCAAAACTAATGGGGAAGGCCATTCAAGATAAAGATAAGTTATATCACAGGAAAGCAATTGAAAATGCAACAATGAAGCCTCTGAATGAAGGACTAATTACACTGAATTCAGCGCTTATGAATCTTATCTGCAGACATGTACAGACTACATCCTAAGATTGACTTCTGCTTCAATGGAAATACATGAGCCAGTGCCTTATTGGAAGTGATTTGTGTGTTTTAAGAACGGGTGTATATCGGTAAATCAGGGATTTCTTCTTGGTTTGGATCCATTGCTGGATATGAAAGATGGCAAGTCCGGATAGAAGTAAAGGGAAGACATTAAAAGCAAAAAAAAAAAAAAAAAAAAAAATGCCCCCAGCTTGCTGGAAGCAAGTGCAGATTCTGAATAAGTCAAGGCATGTTGAAGCACTGAAAGCAGCAGCAACTGGGAGTAATGTTCCAAGTGGTAATCAGAATTTCAGTCCTAGTGTCATAACTAGCAAATGTAGACATTCTGAAAATGGTGCTTCCTCATTGGACTCTAATAAAAATTTGTTACTAGAGAAAAGTAAAGTATTCTCTCAGAATTGCAGAAAACCAGTAGAAGAAATCGTTCATTCAGAAACAAAATTGGAACAGGTTGTTTGTCCGTATCAAAAGCCAAGTAAAACAACAGATTCCCCAAGCAGAGTCTTTATACAAGAGGCAAAAGATTCACTGAACACTTCCAAAAACTGTTCTGAAAACCATTTTGAATATTAGACGAATGTAACAGGATCCCTTTTTGAGCAGAAAGGGGCTTGTAGTCTAAAGTCCAGTTTCTGTCCACCAAGTTTATTGAGTGGTGGTGTTCAGATGCCAAAGTCTGCAGCAACCAGTACTGTGGATAATAAGAGAACTGACCAGATGGTTTTCCATTTAGAAACAAACTCCAATTTGGAATCACATTTGCCTTTTATCAAAGAAAAAGTGACAACATTTTAAGTTCAGAAGACTTAGGTTTTGTGCCTGTTGAGAAAACACCTAACTTGGTGAATTCAGGCACTTGTAACAACTGTGCTGATGACATTTTGAAAACTGAAGAATCTAGTAGAACCTGTCCTTCCAGCATTTCAAATTGTGAAAGTGCAGATTCAACTTGGCAGTCATCACTTGACACTGATAACAACAACAGCCATTATCAAAAAAAGAGGATGTTTTCAGAAAACAAAGAAAATATTAAATGCATGAAAACTTCAGAGCAAATTAATGAAAATATTTGTGTAGGTTTGGAAAGGCAAACAGCATTCCTGGAACAGGTCAGACATTTGATCATAGTATAAATTACGAACTATTTGACAACAAACTGAAAGAATTGAACAAACACACTGGGAAGATAGAGCGCAGGAATAAACATGAAGGAATAGCTGATAAACTCTTCGCCAAAACAGCAAAACTCCAAAGACATATTAACACAGTATTATTCTCTCAAAGTTATTGTTTGGAACCAAACATGTTATCCAGTAATGGAGCCTGTAAGGTTGCAAATTCAGAGATTATGAATTTGGATAAGAATCTGGAGTTAGGGCCAGGCACGGTGGCTCACGCCTGTAATCCCAGCACTTTGGGAGGCCAAGGCGGGAGGATCCCTTGAGGTCAGGAGTTCAAGACCAGCCTGGCCAATATGGTGAAACCCTGTCTCTACTAAAAACATGAAAATTAGCCAGGCATGATGGTGGGTGCCTGTAATTCCAGCTACTTGGGAGGCTGAGGCGGGGGAATCACTTGAACCTGGGAGGTGGAGGTTGCAGTGAGCTGAGGTCACAGCACTGTACTCCAGCCTGGGTGACAGAGCAAGACTCTGTCTCAAAAAAAAAAAAAAAAAAAAAAGAAAAAAAAATAAAGAAAAGAAAGAATCTGGAGTCAGTTAATAGTCCAGTTTAAAGAGGTCTTCTGTGAATTATGAGCCTTCTAACCCTTCAGAAAAAGGAAGTAAAAAAATTAGTTTGTCACCGATCAAAATGAGTCTGTTCTGAAAGTAACAATGATGATCTTATGTTGATTTCTGTGAAAAGTCCTAATTTGACAACTCCGGTTACATCAAATCCAACAGATAATCGGAAAAATTACATCAGGAAATTCCAGCAATTCTCCCAATGCTGAAGTTATGGCTGTACAGAGGAAACTTGATTCTACAATTGATTTGACAAAAGAAGGCCTATCCAACTGCAATACAGAAAGTCCAGTATCCACCCTGGAGTACCTTTGAAAACTGTTTTAAACTCAAAGAGCCTCATTGGCACAAAATGCAGCCCAGGTTCCTGAGTCCTTTGAGCACCTGCCACCACTCTCAGAACCACCACCACTAATACCCGAATTAGTAGATAAAATCTGAGACACACTTCCTCACCACAAGCCTGAGCTCAAAGTGAAATGGGTTTTGAGACCCAGGGGCATTGCCCTGACTGGCAATATAACCAAAATCAATCCCAGTGCACTCCTGTAGAAAGCTACCACCTCTTCCTGTGTTATGAGAACCCTAATAATAAGTTGATTTGGAAGAAGACTGGAGAAATTAAAGCTTTATCACTCCCAAAGGCCTGCCCTTTATCTCAGTTTTTAGTTTCCAACAAATATTATTTTTCTGTCCAATCAAAAGATATTTTTGGATGCTATGGACCATTCTGTGATATCAAATCTGTCCCTGGGTTTTCTGAAAATCTTACCTAAAAGAGAGGTCTTCAATAATTATGTATTGTACTACATTTTTTCCATATTTGAGTTGTTTGTTTACAATATCACTGTAATACTATTTGCCATTATAAAAGGTCAGCTCAGATTGTAAGCCCTTTCTATAGAAACAGTCTACTTCTATATGTTGTTAGTGGCCAGTAATTTGATGAATTTCTGATATGTATTAAATATATCCTTCCAATGGGTAAGTTCTAAAACATACGCTCTCATGGACCCATGTTGCTGAGGTGTGTTGTGAACAATACCTTTGGTGATTGTGGAACTGCTGCTTCCATCAGAAGACCTGGGATACAAGCAGCCACTGTTTCCTCCATTGACAATCAGCTTTTAGTGACCTGCTGCGGTCAGCATAGCTACAGGAAAAATCAGGTTTTTTTTTGTTTGTTTGTTCTGTTTTTTTGAGACGGAGTCTTGTTCAGTCGCCTAGGCTGGAGTGCAGTGGTGCGATCTTGGCTCACTGCAAAATTAGCTCTTGACTGAGGCCAAATCATCCCTGGGGTGCACCTCCACCAAGATTTTATGAGAAGATGACATTTTGGGCTGCATAACAAAAATAAATTATAAAAATTAAAAGATTTCATGAAAAAAGAAGAAAAGGGAGAAGACACCTATATATCCAATGTAAGGGATGAAAAGTCAACTTTGCTAGAGATTCTGCTAATACTAAAAATAATAAGATGATACTAATGGCATATTATTAATAACACAAACTAGATTTAGATTAGATGAATAATATCCTAGAGAAATGCAACTTAGAAACCTGAAGATCTTCATAACTTTGGGGTATGAAAAGATTTTTTTTAGGCAGGATATTAAAAAAGTGCTAACTATGATGGAAAATAGATGTTTACCACCTTGAAACCAAGAATCTCTCTGTTCTTCAAATGACTTGATGAAAAGTAAGCCAACAATGGGAGAAAAGATTTGCTACACATATAGTCAACAAAGAGCTCATACTCAGAAAACAAAAAGAACTTCTAAAAATCAATAAGGAAAAGTCAAACAGCCAAATAGAAAACATTGGCAGACAACTTGAATAAGCACTTCACAAATGAAGAGATCTAAATGACCAGTGAACACATGGAAAGGTGTTGGGCCCATTACTAATTGGGGAACGTAAATTAAAACCATGAGTTACCAATGTACTCACCAGAATGGATAAGCTACAGAAGTCTGGTAATACCAAGTCCTGTGTAGCTCTGGAGTAGAGGTGCAACAGTTGGCACTCTTCTCACTGAAGGAAACCAGAATGCATCATTCCAAAATCTACCTCTTTGAAATAAATATTTTTGAACTGAAGGCAATTAAGAAGTAGCAAAGGGAGGAAGAGCTCTTTCTATTCTCTCCTCTGCCCCTACTGCCTAAAGACATGATATAAATTATCCTTTACTGGAGACGACTGCTATTAGCTCAGAGATGGCACCAGAGGAATCTACAAATAACCCTTACTCCATTACTTTATTCCCATATTCTACTCATAGCTACCTCTGGAAGCTTAAAACTTCTTTGCTCTGTCTTGTCACTTCTCTAAAATTTATTATTCTTTGTTGAAGATGTTAAATAAGCCAGAGTTTCAAGTCACTGCTTTGAGGTACCTTTCACTGAAGTTTCTCTTATGTGATGCACGCTGTTTGCATTTATACACTTGTCTGTTTTTTCTCTTGTTAATCTGTCTTTAGTAACAGGAGTCTGTCTCAACAATACATTTATAAGGGCTGAGGAAAAATTATGTTGTTTCCTTGGCATCATGCATTGCTGGTGGATAAGCAAGTTCACACGATTTATATGGAAAGGAGTTGTCAGAATCTTCTGAAGTTGAACATATACATACTCTATGATCCCAAATTTCTTGGAATTTCCAAAACTTCTTAGATTTATACCCACGGAAATTCATGTACACATGTACTATGAGATTTGTATAAAAATATTCATAGCTGCGTATTGACCATGGCTCCAAACTGGAAGCAATGTGCGTGTGCATCACTTGTAAAGTGGAATAATCTAGAGCCATATGCTAGTTATGTCTGGTGAAAAAGCCAGATTCAAAAAAGTAAATACTGTATGACTTGATTTATATTAAGTGCAAAAACTAGGCAAAAAGCTAGTGCTTAGCAATGTATGTTTAGGAAGTAAAGCTATAAGGAAAAGTATGGAAGTAATTGCCATAAAAATCAGGATAATGTTGCCCTTGTTAAGGAGAAAACATGAGGTGGCTTCTGGGTGTTGATCATCATCTAAATCAGGAGTTGGCAAATTATAGTCTGGTACCTATTTTTGTAAATAAAGTTTTATTGGAACAATGCAAGCACATTTGTTTAATATTGTCTATGGCTGCCTTCACAATGCAACAGCAGATACAGATGCTGTGACCTGAGTGTTTGTGCCTTTCCTACCAAATTCATATGTTGAAACCTAATCACCAATGTGATGATATTAGGAGGCCTTTGGGAAGTGATGAGATCATGAGGGTTGAGCTCTCATAAATGGAATTAGTATCCTTATAAAAGGGGCCCCAGAAAGCTAGCTTGCCCCTTCTACCATGTGAGGACACAGTGAGAGGGAACCTTATAGGCCAGAAACCAGGAAACAGGCCCTTACCAGACATGGAATCTGAGTCAGCTGGCACTTTGATCTTGGACTTCCCAGCCTCCAGAACTGTAAGAAGTATAGTTTTATTGTTTATAGGCCACACAGTTTATGGTATTTTGTTACAGCTGCCTGAATAGACTAACATAGCAGAGTTAGGTAGTTGCTGAAGGGACCAAATAGCTAAGTAAAATATTTACTCTTCTGTTCTCTAGAGAAAAAGTTTGCTGACCCCTGACCTAGACTTCCACCTGGATATTGATCTCACAGGTGCTTCTTTGTGACAAATCACTGCCCTCTACATTCTATTTCTGCTGTACATTTTTCTTTATCTATCTTTCTGTATATATGCTATATTTCACAATAAGATGATATTTAAGCTCTATATTTGAGTTTCAGCAGAGAACAACAGAACTGGGTGGAGATGTGGGCACTGGGAGGTGGGTGATTCACCTTCTTAGAACCTCCTTACATACAATTTGCACTTACTGGTCAGCCAGTGTATACTTCACAGGTTTCCAGAGTTGTTCAAGAACAGTCAAAACATGAATGTCCCTTTTTTTTTACAAACGAAGAAACTGAGGCTCAGAGAGATTTAACTGTCTTGCAGAGTTCTCAGAACTTGGGTGAGGAGATGGGATTTGAACACATTCTGTCCAACTATGAAGTTCATTACACCATGAGGTTGCCTCCTAGCTATTGTTAGAAACAAAACAAATAAGAAGGAAAAACTCAGCCTGATCCTCAGGCATTTTAAGGGCCTGTAGCCAGCTCCTAAATTTAGCCAGTATTTTTTTTTTCCAGAATACATTAAAAAAATGCTTAACTGGATCATGTTTTTAGTCTCCTTAATAAATTCCTTTACCAAAAGGCTTGCAGAATGGGAACTATGCCCTGGAAACTTCTAGTCCTAGTAACCTGACTGTGGTTGCACAGGAGGACCAACCTTCAAACCCAAGTCTGTTTCCAAAGCTTGCAGAGGCCTACAGGTGACTGATAGCTTCAATCACACCCCACTCCAAGCCTCTCTGCAAGCCTTGAAAATGAAAGGGTGGGATTGGCCCAACCAATCATTCCCGACAGAGCTTTGTACTCTGCTTTCTTTGCAGTACTCTCAGAGCCACAAAGGAAACAATCACCTTTCCCAGGAACAGTACAGGCTGAGATGCCTTCTCAGGATTTTCTCTGCTTCAGCAAAGCCCTTATTGCCTCCTGCTCCACAGTTCACCAAGTGTAAATTATGGGGAAGATTAACCTGCCTATTATTACAATTGTTCACTCAACTCTTAACACCAAGAGCCATTACAGGGAAATTAGACTTCGGGGAATGCTATTTACAGCTGCTGGCCTGGCACCCAGGGCACTGCTACTAAATTCATTTATATGTTTTTCCCATGGAAATTCTCCGTGGATTTAGGTTACTCTTTCAATTTCCTAATCCTTAAGTGACCTTACATTGTCCAGCTCATCATAACCCCTTCCAGTGACATGTTCTTTCCCATCATACTTGAGATTATTTCTCTAACAGGCAGAGTTATGACCCACTCTTGCTAACCCTCAACATACAGGGGAGCTGTGGGCTAATGTGCTTATATTGGCATCAGAAAGACCTAGGTTCAAATTCCAGCCCCGGGAAAGAAGAGGCAAAATAACCATAGACAAGTTATTTAATTTCTCAAAACTTCAGGTTCTGCATACATGAAATGCACAGTTGTTAAGATTCAATGAAATAATACATACAAAACATGGAACATGATGTCGGGTTCATAGGAAGTGATGGTGGCCAACATGATAGTTGTTTAATTCCAGGTATCTATTATTGTTGTTGTTTAATGAAATCCTGACTTTATTTATAGACTGAGCAGACTGGGAGGGACAAGGAGCAATGGGAAGGGTTTATGGAGCCTGATGGAAATGGGACTTGCCAGGATGGACTGAGAAAATTCAGTGAATAATGGCTTGGGAGTAGGAAATCTGCCCTTCCCACCCACTCCCACCCATCGCCCACATTCCCTGGCCTGGGACTTCTGCTGCTCTACCTACCAGACCTCATGTGGTCCTGTAGCCCAGGGCTGGGCATGGTCCCTTGACTCTTTGTAAACTCCTGGCTGTAATTCTGTGTTCTTTCTGGCACTGGCTTCATAGCAGCAGAATTTTAACAGACGTCAAACGTCTGGTTGTGTTTGGCTTCGGTTTTCAGTTAGAATATAGTAAGTCATCCTTTCCTCACCACTCCAGACCTTGCATATTTCTGAAGACACATTGTTTCTCTTCTTCCCTAGTGGCAGGGATGGGCCTCTGCCCTGCTGTAGTTTTGGTATTTGACATTTTCAGGGCCACTTACTGTAGATGTCACTGGACTTTCAGTCCTGTTTTCTCACTTGTGTCTGTGAAAATGACTCTGAGGTTTGCTGGGAGCTAGGATCACCCCTACTTTACTAGTGAGGGAATGGGTAGTCTAAGACCAAGTTATATCTGGGTCTAGATGCCACATCTCTTGGGTCTGTGCCAGCACACTGTACTCTAAAAGCCATCATTGTCTCCTTCCTAGAGGTGAGGCTTGCAGTTGCAGATGGGTATCAACTCATGGGAAGCTACTCCCTTCAAAGACCTGGATGACTTTATTCTGGATGTTTCTGGCAAGGCCTCAGGTCCAAAGAATCAAGAGGGCCCTGATGGACCCTCTGCACTTACAGACTTAGTTCCTGAACCTACATGTCTCACCACCTTGTCCCTTCCTGTCTGTTCCAACCTGCCTGGCATCAGCCCTCACCTGTTCCCCTCATTCCCTCCTCTGCCTGTTCTTTCCCTTGGCTGTAGTCAATAGCTCCTTCAACCTTCCAACTTTTGGCTTCGTATCCTGGCCACTGACACCCATGGTGTCTTTGCCTTTGACCTGGCCCCAGCATGCCTGTGTGCTGCCCTCTTAGGAAACTTTCATCTTTTTTTTTTTTTTTGAGATGAAGTCTTGCTGTGTCACCCAGGCTGGAGTGCAGCGGTGCGATCTCGGCTCATTGCAACCTCTGCCTCCAGGTTCAAGCGATTCTCCTGCTTCAGCCTACTGAGTAGCTGGGATTACAGGCACCCACCACCATGCCCAGCTAATTTTTTTTCATATTTTTAGTAGAGAAGGGGTTCCACCATGCTGGTCAGGCTGGTCTCGAACTCCTGAACTCAGGCGATCCACCCACCTTGGCCTCCCAAAGTGCTGGGATTACAGGCTTTAGCCACCACGCCTGGCCAGAAACCTTCATCTTGAATTTGTCTTCTGGACCCTGATGGCAGCTTAGGAAGTCCTTGTAGGCTCCGAATGCTCCATAATATAATCCCAGAAGCACATTCTGATCTGGTGCTTGTGTATCTGATACCATTCAGGTCCCATATGCACACCTGAGGCAGGCTGGACATGTAGAACGGTTGAATAACTGGGCAAAATTTCTAGTGATCTCTGTTCCTCCCCTTCAGAAGGAAGATGATATTCCACACTGCTGGGATAACGCCTCGTCATCCCCTGAAGTGGCCTGGGCCGCCCTGCTCAGCCTGTCCCTGGCACAGGCTGCCCCTCACCTGGCAGGAGTCTATGGGCCTTACAGCCAGGGCCTGCATTTTTATATCATCCTAAGCCAGCACTATCTCTGCCACCACTCACCTTGGCTCAGTCTGCTCAAAGTCTCTCCTGCTTTCACATATCAGTCTGCTCGCTGTGAGCTTGCCCCTGGTTTCGGATCCTAGCTTACCTGCATTCCTGAACTTGATCCCACCAGTTCAGTTCCTTGCTTACTGTAGGTCTATTCTCTCTTTAGCTGTGGCACGGTGGAATTGACCACCTGTGCTGGTTAATTTTATGTGTCAATTTCGCTGGACCTTGGTGTCCAGCTAATTGGTCAAACATTATTCTGAATGTTTCTATGAGCGTGTTTTTTTTGGATGAGATGAACATTTAAATCCATGGACTCTGAGTAAAGCAGATTGCCCTTCATTATGTGGGTGGGTTTCATCTAGCCCACTGAAGCCTTTAATAGAACAAAGATCGACTTCTGCCAGCAGAGGGATTGTGCCAGCCGACAGCTTTGGACTTGACCTGCAACATGGGCTCTTCCCTGGGTCTCCAGCCTGCCAGCCCACCCTGCAGATCATGGATTTGCGTGACTCCATAATTGTGTAGGCAGTTCCCTTCACTATCTCTCTGTATAGATACACATCCTATGGGTTCTGTTTCTCTGGAGAACACTGACTAATACAGCTTCTAACACAGGGATGATTAACAGAATGGATTCCAGGGCCTTAAAAAAAAAAAAGTATGAATTTTAATGATCAACTTAAAAGTTATATTTTTCACCTTTTTATTGTAGTAAAATATACATAACGTAAAACTTACTATTTTTTTCCTTTTGCCATTCATTTTATGCAATTTATTAAAAGAATCATTCATTCAAAAATTATTTATTAACTGTCCTGCTATGTGCAAGGAATCTATAAGAGGTGCCAGGGTTAGAAAAACAAAATAAACACAAAAACAAACGTATGGTCTATGACCTCAAAGACGCACCATGTGTAGTCAAGGAAGACAAAAAACATATGTAACAAACCTGCATGTTGTGCACATGTACCCTAAAACTTAAAGTATAATAATAATAAAATAAAAAAAAGAAGATGAATAATTCAATAGAAACTAAACGGAATGATGCACATGAAAACTTACTACTTTAACCTTTTTTTTTTTCGAGACACAGTCTCGCTCTGTTGCCCAGGGTGGAGTGCAGTGGTGCGATCTCGGCTCACTGCAACCTCTGCCTCCCAGGTTCAAGCGATTCTCCTGCCTCAGCCTCCCAAGTAGCTGGGACTACAGGCGCCACCACACCCAGCTAATTTTTTGTATTTTTTGTAGACATGGGGTTTCACTGTGGTAGCCAGGATGGTCTCGATCTCCTGACCTCGTGATCCGCCCGTCTCGGCCTCCCAAAGTGCTGGGATTACAGGTGTGAGCCACCGTGCCTGGCCTATTTTTAACCATTTTTAGGTGTATAGTTCAATGGCACTAATTTAAGGACATTCACATTGTTCTGCAATCCACCTCCACACTCATGTCATCTTTGCAAACTGAACTCTGAACCTATTAAACAATAACTCCCCGTTTCTTTCTCCCCTCCAACTCCTAGCCTTTCTAGTCTCTGTCTGTATGAATTTAACTACACTAGGTCCCTCATATAAGTGGAATCACACGGTATTTTTCCTTTTGTTACTGGCTTTTTCCCCTGTGCAAAATGTCTTTAAGATTTATCCACGCTCTAGCACGTGTCAGAACAGAACAACTATTAAGCTGGGTTCCTCGAGCAATTTTCTAAACTGCTTGAGTCATCTCATCTGTAAAATGGGAATTGTAAGAGTATCAGCCTTATGGGGTTCAATGAGTTAGTATGTAGAAAGTACTTGAGCAGTAGCTGGCTCATAGTGAGTGCTCAATAAATGCAGCCTGCCATTATTAGGTTCCTCTCTGATCTGGTGCCAAGGGTCCTTTTTCAAGATCTGCTGCCCTGCTCAGAATGGTACTCTCTGGCCATCCCACATCTCGCACCTGGCACATGGTTTTCTCAATGAATATTTGTGACATGAATGTACACATGGAACTTATTCTCTCCCGGGCTGTGACCCTGGAGGGTCAGATGAGGGACAAAATCTCTAAGCTGTGACAGGGAGTAAAATAGAGCTCTCTTAAGTACCACAGTCACTTAAACTTCAACAGTTTTCAATATGGTACCTAAACCCCAGTAGCAGTAAGCTAACAATTTCACGTCAGGATGAAATAGGAAGCAACATTGGTCTACAACTTGGAGTTGATGGCCAAGTACAGAGTTTAAGACCTTTGCTACTTGTTGGGAGTACAACCTTGAAGTACTTATCTCCCCTGAAAAACCTTAGTTTCCTCATCTGTCAATGTGGATTACAAGCTCTACTTCCCAGGGCTGCCATGAGAACTTCGCATGAGATTCTGATGGAACTCACTTTGTACATGATGCTGCGCCACAAGGGCCACCCTCTTCCTCAAGTCCCTGCCTTGCTCGGGTGGATCTCAGCTACCAGGGAGCAGCACACCATTTGCAGTTTGGATTCCATTTCCTCTTGACTCTTCTTTTCATTATAAACATGATAAAAGTGAGAGAGACAGATGGCAAGACTTGATTCACTTTTACAAAATGTTTTTATGGTGTGAATGTAAAGCTGAAAATGAGGGGAACGAGAAGCTTTCTCGTTCCCCTCAATATCAGGGGAGTTGGGGAGGTGGTGAGCCCAGTGGGGAGGTTTTGGCCTCCAGGGGAAAGCTAATTGCCCATGGCTTGAGCAGTGCTCCCTGCCACTCGTCTACCACTCTGGACACCCTAGGACATCACTGTCAGTGAGGAGAGACAGAGAGCAGATAGACTTTCTCCTTAAAGCACCTTCCCGAAGGGACACTCAAAGTCAGACACTGGTCACTTACTGGCCGATGGCTCTGGGTTGGACCAAATGACGCTGCCCTTTCCAGCACAGTGAGGCAATGTTCTCTGGCTGAAGCCAGGGCAGCACAGAGTGTGCCTGAGTTCCTCTCAACATTTGATTAAGGCCAGGCTTTCCCAGCATGGCACAATCGACATCTTGAGCTGGATAGTTCTTTGTTGTGGGTGCTGTCCTTTGCATTTTTGTATGTTTAGCAGCATCCTTGGCCTCTACTCACTAGATACCAGTAGCACCCTCCCCATTCCAGTTGTGAAAAACAAATCCCCCCAGCGGCTGGCAAAACTGCCCCTTATTGAGAACTACTGGGGTGCCCCAGTAGTTGGCACTACTGATTGGGGTGCCCATTGTCTGCCCTTCTCGTGGGGCTGGACAAGCCAGATGGAATAGGCAGAGAGTTACCTGGCAGCCCTTTGCTGGGGATCTTTTGTCTACTCTCCACTCTGGATCAAGGAGCTCCACTGGCCTCTGACTTCTGGTTGGCTTTGGCCAGTGAGGAACACAGGGAGGAGATCCAAGGAAGGACAGAGGGCGAGGTCAAGGTATTTGTTCCCCCACTTCCTCCCTGCAGGTTTGAGGGTGTGGCTGCCTCCCTTGCAAAAGGCCACCTCTCCGTTTTAGTGGCCTGCTCCAGGTTCTGGGACCCGCTTCTCTCTTAGCCGCATCAGGCCTGGGGGTGCTAACAGCTCCTTCTCTCCCACTGCTGCCAGCCCCAGGGTGCTGCATGCTTTGGTCAGTTACCTCCACCCTGTCTTCACCTTTCTGAATTTCTCTAATTACTACATTTGAATGTGCCGTCTGCTTGCTGTTGAAACATAACTGATTTTTACAAACAAATGTTTATTTTTCTTGCATTAGTTCATTTGACCATTCATTTCTTCAACACATTATTTTTCATATCTACCTATCCTGGGCCAGGCATGATGCCAGGTACTGGGGACACAGAAATGGATCAGACATCATTCCTGCCTGAAGGGAGCTTACAGTCTTCCTGCGGAATAAGACAGGAGGATGGTGATAGTCCGAGACCTGGTGCTCACGTGCTCTATGAGATGTCTGGTAAAGCCCTGGGGAGGACACAGGAAGAGTATGGCCTAGGGAGCCTAGTGACCCAGGGGAGAAGGTACTGGATCTCCTGCAATGATGACACATCATCAGGTGGTTCTACGAGGACGTCTCCAGATCACAGCAGCGCCTCCTAGGCAGAGACACAAAGTCTGCAGGCTCCTCTCTCCAGGCCCTGGGGACTCTCTCTGGGGAGGAGTAAGCTATGCACATTCAAGCCAAGAGCCTTCTTGCCAGGGCTCCAGAGCTCACTCACCCTGAGGCCCTCCCCTCTTTGGCTATTTGAAATTCCTGACTGATGCTGTGAAGAAAGAGAACATTCCAGCACAGAGAAGTCTTTCCCCGCAGCAGCTGCCAAACAGGCTCTTTGCCGAGGTACCTCCCTGCTGCCTGCCAGCCAGCCATATTTCAAAGGTCACAATTTCCTCCCTGTGGTTTTCTACAGAGCTAAAGTCTCCAGGACCCTGAAATAAATTAAAATATTGATTGATTCTTAATATTCTCTCAAATCTCTCAAAATCTCCAGGTCTTATATAAATCAGTGTGCCGGTTCCAGGGACTTATTCAATAATCTGCAAAGTATCCTGGTAATTACTTTTGGGCTGACCCCATGGCAGAGGGAGGCCACCTTTCCATCATTTTTAGGGCCCTGGGTACAGTAGCTGATCAGAGGACTCTCATTTCTTATTTTACTTACTGAACCTCTTCAACACAGTGCCTTGGACAGCACGAGGCAGCCCACCTGCTGGAACGAGTCTGTCGGGCAGACCTGGGTCAGGAACTTGCCTCTCTGCTGCCTCTTTGCTGCCCTGCCTCATTCTGCTTCTCCCCTTCACCCCTCCCACCTCATCCCCTGCCTTTTACTCCAGGGTCCTTAGCTTTTTAGTTCAAGGACAAGGCAAGGATAGTTCAGAAATTAATTTAATAACACTCCATTTCTTCAGATTAAGTAGAGAGCTTGTCTTATTGGGGAAAAGCTGTCTGAAAGCCTCAAGCACATGGGACTTTCTGATGCTGCCCAAGGCAGCTGCCTGGATTTCAGGAGCGAGGGTGGGATGGGAAGAAGGAGCGGGGAGATGGGCCATATGCCTCTCATAACAGCGCTCGTTTATGCTGCAGTAAGTAATAAAGTGACTTCAGCTCATTAGGGGCCAATGCAGTTCTCAAAGAAGGGAATGTGTTCCTAAGGAAGCTAGAGATGATGCCTTGTGTACGGTCCTCCCTATCTGACCCCAACCACACCTGAGCCTTGCATTCTGCTGCAGCATCCTCTAACATCCTCCTGTCCTGAACGCCAGACAGGTGTACGGCCAGCCACCCTGGAACACGTTTTGCTCTTTCACCATTCTTAGCCTTTGAATATAGTAGTCTCTCTATCTGGGATGCTTTGCTCCTCTTTCCCCCATCTGAAAAACTCCTGGTCATCCTTCAGAGCCTAGTTCAAGGCCAGGTGCGGTGGCTCACACCTGTAATCTTAGCGCTTTGGGAAGCTGAGGCAGGCAGATCATTTGAGGTCAGGAGTTCGAGACCAGCCTGACCAACATGGTGAAAGCCGATCTCTACCAAAAATACAAAAAATTAGCCAGTGTGGTGGTACATGCCTGTAATCTCAGCTACTCGAGAGGCTGAGACAGGAGAGTCACTTGCAACTAGGAGGCAGAGGTTGCGGTTAAAAAAAAAACAACCTAGTTCAAATGTGAACTCTTGTGGGGAACTCCCATACTTCCTGTGTTTTCCTCTGCAGCTGAGGATTCAGACAAACCTCAAAGGTATTTGCAGACATGTCTGCAGGTGTCTGGCTTCCCAACACCTTAGAGTAAAGCTCTCATGGTGACCTATAAGACCCCACGTCATCCACCTTTCATTATCTCTCTGGGCTCCAGCAACATTGACTGCCTTACTGTTCTTCAAACGCCGGCCACCATTGCCCCCCACCCCACCCAGGTTCCTTGCATATGCAGTTCCCTCTGCCTGGGATGCTGCTGTTCCCCACAGCAGAGGTGGAAGAAGCTGTTCTCACAGAGGGGACATGGAGGTCACATTTTAGGTCTCCAGGTGAGTGTGTTGCAGCAGGGGCAGGGTGTGGGGTTCTTCTGCTCGCTTCTGCTTGGTGCAGGATGAGCTTCAGGACACCAGTGGGGGCACCCTGTGGAGCAGAAGCAGAGAGAGCCACAGACCTTGAGACTTGTGGGGAAAGGGAAGGAGCCACCTGGGGCTCAAGAACTCACCTCGTGGCAGGCACACCCAAGACCTCCCCTGGGAGCCCAGAAGCATTCAGAGGGCACTTTGGAGTGGTTGTGAGCAGAAGGAAGTTACGACATAGTGAGGTCTGAGGTAGTACCGTCACTGGGACCCTATTCCTGCCCACAGGCTAGAGGAGGCAAAGAGTTTCCTGTTGTATTGACAGCATCGTCTTGGGTTACAAATAGATTTCACACGGAGACATATGCCTACCTGTTCAAAGTGGCTGAAGGGCTTCAGGCCAACATCATGGAAAACACTCTCCAACCAACCATCTCAAGCCTTTCTGGATTAGGACTGATATATTCAAGTTTATTTTCCTCAAACTGCTGAGTAGCAAATGAGAGAATTTTTTGGTAGGTCTTTGCATAGGCCCAAGCAGGTGGGGCTTGCAACCCTGTATCACAGGGTGGCGACACATACACACATGCACACACACATGCATACACATGCACCTGCACCATGGCAGGTAGGAGCCACAGGAGTGAGGCTGGTACTTCAGCCGATGGTGCCTTTCCTGTGGGGAACCATCTGTCCTTTTTCTTCTGCCAGCTGCAGCCAACTCTCTGGTTCTTCTTTTTCGTCCCACAGCTCCAAATTCTCAAGAGATGGGGTATGGATAGTGGTCATAATCTTATCCCTCCCCCCAGCATGGAAACTTAGGGTTCAAGACAAAATGTCTACTTTTTTGTTTTTACTTGAGAGCATCTGGGAGCTAGGCCAGCATACAGGCTTAGCGGGCTATAGCTAGAGCAGGGAGCTTCTCACCAGGTTAGTAGGAAGTGTTAGGATGAGATGAGGCTGAGACCCAAGGCCCAAGAGGAGGGGCTTAGGTGACTAATATGAGAAGGCCAGGAACAATGTTAAAACTGGCAGCAGACATGGAAATCAGAACCAGGGAGACAAGAGCAGGCATAGTGTCCACAGAGAAATTGAGGAGGCTCTAGGACAATCTCCTGGAATAGATACGGTATTTGTTGCTGACTTTCACAGACCTGCAAAAGTGTGATAAATAGGTGGGCAGCCTGGGTTTGAGGCATTGGGGTGGGATGAACAGTTAGCCTAGATGGTTGACTTCTACATGGGAATCAACTCCTTCTCCTTTCTTAGACTTGCCTTTACATAATTGTGTTAGGACAATCTTCATTCTTCTTGTTTTCTCTAAGGTAGTGAGGGATAATAATTACCAGAAATTTTATTTTCTGACGAGAATGGAGATCTGAATTTATCAATCGTTATTCATTTTTCACTTTTTTTTTTTTCTGAGGCAACAACTTCACTCTTATTCTACATCCCTTTTGAGGAGATTCCTTCGAGAACTTTCCTTTCACTCACTCCAGGGGATGTTGCAGTCCTAAACAGAGACTTAGAAAAGTGGAGTTCCAGCCCCTTCTCCATTAATTACTGGCTGTGTGACATTGAGTATGTCACTTACCCTCTCTGGGCAGTTTGGCTCTGTTATCTTCGAGGGCTTCCCAGCTCTGCTACTCTGGGATTCCCTAAGTCTGTCTTCTTTATGGATTAATCTCTAAGCCACAATGACACCTCCCTCCAGAAATGTCATTCCAAATGTTCACTGGTGAGCAGGTGTCTGCCCACAGACCCTGCTCCCCAGATGCTACCGGCAATTTGGGAACTATATTTTTAAAATCACCACAGATGGGAAGACTAAATTGAAATGCAACTTGGTTGAAAACGCTGCTTTTAGCATTTTAGCCCCATCCTTCATCCTTCATTGCATTCAACTTTTCAGATAGCTGCCCCCAATAGCCCATGATCTTTTTGATTGCTCAACAAAGTCTCCTGGAAAAGAGCTTCTGATCACTGCTAGCTCTGTGGCCTCTCCTTACCATCCCATAATTCTTGTTCTAATCCATTTCAGGGCTATTGAAGTCCCATATGATCAATGTTATGGCCTCTTTAACTGACTCTGCTATTTGCATAAACATGGGCATATTTGCTTTTTCATCATGCCTTAGAGGTCTGTAACAGTGTCAATGATCTTTCCTACTGTCTTAATTCATTTTGTGCTGCTGTAACAGAATGCCAGAGACTAGGTAATTTATAAAGAATAGAGATTTATTTCTTACAATTCTGGAGGCTGGAAAGTCCAAGGTTGAGAGGCCTGCATCTGGTGAGGGCCTTCTTGCTGTGTCATCACATGGTGGAAGGTAGAAGGGCAAGAGAGTGCATATGTGCGTGACAGAAAAAGAGAGAGAAGTGGGGGTGGACTCACTTTTTAATCAGGAACCTACTCCTGCAATAACTAACTCTTGCAATAATGACATTAATTCATTCATGAGGGCAGAACTCTCCTGACCCAGTCACTTCTTAAAGGTTCCATTGCTCAACATTGTTGCACTGGAGATTAAGTTTCCAACACATGAACTCTGGGGGACACATTCAGACCACAGTACCTACCATATCAGGCAGTAACTTTAATTTAAGTTCTAGGCTGAGCATGTTCATTTGCATACATCATCTTTTTATCCACACAGTAATGCTCTTCCTGCATCTATATTGCTACTTTCCTTTCCCACATAAAATTTGGGAACTATATTTTAAAAATCACCACAGATGGGAAGATTGTTTCCTGAAAACAGTCTTTTTTTTTCAGATAATATCTCCAGAATTGGGATGATTTTTCACCTTAAGCCTGCCCCCGACTTGTTGAATGACATGCCGTCTGGGTGTAGTGCTTGTCCTGGGGAGCTAGTATTGTCCTGGGAGTAGCCTGTCAGTGGGCAGAGCCTCAGGCGGGCTGGATGGTGAGCTGTAAGACAGGTCAGGAGGCAGGTGAGGGCTGGGGTGCAGGCATGGGATGGGATGCAGGTGTGAACAGCTTAAGAGCCAGGGCAGATGGGGTCAAGGCAGAAAGGGCTAGCTGGGAACTGGGAACGAGGAGGTGAATGGAGAAAGTCAGAATCAAGGGTGTTGGTAGCCAGGTTGAATCCAGAAGGTGAAGGCCTGGAACCAAGGCCAGCTACACCCAGTGCTGTATTGGGAACCCAGGCAACATGATAGCCTGGGACCAAGGAGAGAATTCTGGGGGTCTTGTATGCGACTGTGGAGACAAATTGTCAGAGTTTAAATCCTGGCTCTGCTCCTTATAGCTGAATGTCTGGGAGAAAATTATCTAAATTCTCTGTGCCTTGGTCTCCTCATCCGTAAATTGGATGACTATAATAGTGCCTTTCTTGTAGGATTGTTTAAGTGAGTTAAGACATGTAAGGTTCTTAGAAGTAGTACTTAGCCCATACTGGCATCAGATTCAGCTATTTTCTTTTAAAAACTGACCATTAGATCACTTTGCACATGGAGGATTCTGCCTCAAGAGGATGTTGCAGGCTCTGAGCAGCTTCTGATGCTGCTGTACGGGAGTGTATACCAACTCAGGGAAGGCCTGGCCTTGGTTAGCATGGTGCTGTGGTCCCAGTTCTTGCTGCTGCCATATGTTTGTTAGTGGGATAATTGAGCAACTGTCCATTTTTATTTTTAAGTTCTGATGGAAACGTGGAAATAAAAACACAGTATATTTCTGCAATAACCAGAGTGTGGGCTTTTGTGTTATCAGTCCTGAGTTCAAATCCCCTCTCTTCTATTCATTCATCATATGACATTTAGTAAGTTTTCACCTTTTTGAGTCTTGGTTTTCTTATCTACACAATGGAGATACCAACATGTATCTCACAGAATGAATTTGAGGTCCAAGATAAAGTCTGTAAAGCATCTGGCTTAATACTTCCTTTCTTCTGAAACAACTCCCATGTTGGCTGGGGCTATAGTCTCACCTGATGGTGCCACTGGAGAAGGATCCACTTCCAAGTTCACTCACATCGCTGTTGGCAGGATTCAGTTCCTCATGGGCCGGTAGGCTGAGAGTTCTTGGCTGGCTGGGGTCATTCTCCATTCTTTGCCATGTGGGTCCCTTCATAGGGCAGCTTACAACATGGCAGCTTGGCTTCCCTCAGGGTGAGCAAGATGGAAACCAGAGTCATTTTGTAACCTAATATTGGAAGTGATATCCCATCATTATTCATCAGCATCCCTCACTCAAGGTAGAGGGGATTTTACAAGAACGTGAACACCAGGACAGGGCATCACTGGGGCCATTTTGGAGGCTGCCATCACATTCTGAAACCTGTTTTCCCACACACATGTCCCAATACTTCTCTCTCCAAAGGCACCATTAGCCATAACCTCTGAGGCATTTGTCACTTCATCCCATCCCCTCCCTCAACCAGAGCCAAACTCCAAAGGCACTGAGTCTTTCAATCTTTGAGCAAGAAAATTATCTTAATAAGGGCTCTCAATATTCTATTTCTTATGTGAAGATTCTCTTTGTTCTTCCTAGAGCCCTCTAAAGTTTTGATTTCTTTAAACAGAGAAAGGGAAGCTTTTTTCTCTACCCATTCCCAAGAAAATGTAGAAGCCAAATTCTGTTTTAAATGTGTGACTTACTACTTGATATTTGACCTCTTCCTTCATCTTGTATTCAAGAAACTTGTAATTTCAGTAATGTTAAAGAGTCATGTCCTCTGACCTGACCCCAACGGGAGGGTGGCCCTACCATCCACTGCAAAGCTGAAACACATCTGACTAGGGTTTGCAGATTTCTTCTGCCAGGACTCACACTGGGCTCCAGCAGCAGTCAGGCTGAGAAGAAAAGAGTAAGAGATGCTGAGATGGAACAGCTGATAGCAAAGTGGGGACCAGTCTTAAGGAGAAGCAGAGAGTGGTGGGATGCAGTTAGACATAGGATGTCTGTAAACAATTAGACTTGGGACTCAGCGAGGAATCCTAGAGCTAACGATGTGTGTCATAATCCTAAATAAAAGGCAGTGGTCAGAGTTCAAAAGAAGTCAGAGGCAGTGGTAAAATAGCAGCTGGAATAATCCTGGAGACTTAATAAAGTACTGAGAGATAGGTGCTAGGATTAATGGGCAGCATGGGGCTCAGAGAGGTATAGCAATTTGCTTAAAGTCACACAGCCCAAAAGTGGCAGAGGTGAACATTGAAGGCAGGTCTGTCTGCCTCCAAATCTCACTGTCTCTGCAGTCTACCATACTGCTGCCTAGATGACTTCTTTGTCGTCTTCTTTTTTTAGACAGAGTCTCACTCTGTCACCCAGGCTGGAGTGCAGTAACATGATCATGAACCACTGTAGCCTCGACCTCCGAGGCTCAGGGGATCCTCCCACCTCAGCCTCCTGAGTAGCTGGGACCGCAGGTGGATACTACCACCCCCAAGTGATTTTTGTAGAGACAAGGTCTTGCCGTGTTGCCTAGGCTGGTCTCGATCTCCTAGACTGAAAAGATCCTCCTGCCTCTGCCTCACAAAGTGCTGGGATTACAGGCGGGAGCCACTGTGCCCGGCCTGCCTAGGCTTCTGACTATTGGTTGACCTCCCCAGCCTCCACTACAGATCCTGACTCCTTTCTGACCTCCTTGATGGGTTCCAGGCTAGCTGATGCCCAGGACAAGGAAGTGGCAAGGACTGATGGACAATGGGTGGAAGAGCAGCAGAAGACGAGCTTCATAGAAAACTATTTGCACGACCTCAGAGGTGTCCTCTGCCCAGGCTGGGGCCTCCCTCAGTCCTCAGAGATGCTGGGAGAGCCCAGAACCTTAGCGTGGTGGAGCCTGGCTGAGCCTGGTTGGGTCCTAATCCGCTTCCTACTGGTTGACGCCACGGCCGCAGATGCTGACTACGATGTCTGCAGGCAGGACCCAGCTAGGTGGGTCCGCCTTGCTGGCTGTGCGCTGCCTTCTCACTAGGGCCTGGAGTCTCCCTCGGCTTCCTCCCTGGGCCTCTCGCACCTGAATTCTCCCCTCCGGATGGTTGGCTGTAGTTGCAGCACTGTGCCTGCAGGGGGCGTGAGGTGTGCTGCCCGGGTTCCCCTGGGGTCCCTACCCGTCCAAGAAGAAACACAGTCCTCAGGCTGCTGACAGCTCTGAGCTGAGTCTGTCTCCAGAGATTGCCCTCAGATGAGCTCTCAGCTGAGTCTGTCGCCAGGGATTGCTCTCAGATGCCGAGAGCCACCTCGCCCGTCACATCCCCTTCCCAGGGGCTGTGCATCCAATGTCGAGTCAGTGCGGGGGATTAGAGGGCCGGGGTCCTCGCCCTACCTCAGTGCATCTCTGCAGGGCCGTACCAGCTCCCAAGCTTCCCTGCAGGATTGCGGAGGTCTTCGCTGCTTCTGCATCACTGTTTAGCATCTCCTTCTGTCCCATCCTATGCCTCTCACTACTCCCACGGGCGTGGAGTCTGAGAGCACTTCCTGATAAACACCGCACACACCGTTTCCGTTTCAGAGGTGCTTCCGGAAGAGGGACCTGCAACAACTCCTATCTGCTGTCTTGGGTTAACAACGTGGGATCCTTCCTGCCACAAGTCCTGTCCTGAGCCCTAGCTTAGCCAGGCCTCGTGTGCACCACATTCCCTAACCCCCTCCCCTGGGCTGGGTCCACGGCTCTGCCCCTGAGAGGGGGAATCAGGCAAGTCCAACCCCTCCAGGGTCCAGCCGTGAAAGATCCAAGGCAAGGCACTTGGCCACCATCACATAGCAAGGCCGTGGCCCGGAGTTCTCCTCTTCTGCATCCCGACATTTCTACTATGCTCTATGGCTTTTCTCTTTAACAAATATAATCCAGTCCGACAACCTTTCTTGATCTGGTACCCCTGCCCCTAGTATTCTTATTTTAGAGTTCTCAGCTTTCCCATCACCAGGGATATCTTTTGTGTTATTTCTCCATGCTCTGGAAAATCCTATCTGCCATATACCCTTCATTTGCAGATAATAATAAATTTGTTTTCATACTTTTATCATCAAAACCATATGTAACTGCCAATCAGAGCTTCGGATCCATAAGAGATAATCACAGTTTGTATAAATATTGAATTGATATAAATTGATGCTTGTTGCTTCATTTAGTTTGGCAGTGGTAGTGGGGTGGTTATTGAGAAAAACATGCGCAGTTTCCACGAGGAACTTCATTTGAAAATAGCACATAGACATCTGTGACTGTTTCAACTGCAGAGATAAAACAGGGCCTTGACTCCCCTACTCTACAGCATGAAGCTCCCGGAGCCCCCTGCTGGAAGGTGCATAAAGGCAACTTTCCTCTACCAGACACTGAAACCACCATCCCTGGGCTCTTGGTGCCATGGAAGCCTTGCGTGCTGGACTGGATGCCTTCTCGTCCACCATCCCTGGGCTCTCGGTGCCACGGAAATCTTGGATGAGGGTCTGGATGCCTTCTGGTTTAAGGGGAAACTGGGCAGGGCTCTCTGTCCCTGCCCCCACCATTAGCGCCCCTCCATTCTTTCGATTTTTGAAGTTAATACACTGGGGCAGAGAGAAAGTGGGCACCACTTAAACTGTGATTAGCCATTTATCCCTTAGTTGCCAGCTAAGCCCTTTGTAGAGTTTCCTGACAGCTCCTTAAAGCCAGATGATTTGGGGTCCCAGCAAAGCTTTTCAGTGGTAGTTAGAGCTCCAAGGTGGATTGAGAATGGCTCCTGGTTTCTCCAGGTCCTGTGTTTGTAGGCATGACATGTCCAGGTGTAGGGGTGGGTGTCTATGGCAGCTCTGCTCAGCACACCATCGCCGGCCCAGAAGCACTGACATCACACATCACAGAGCTGCCCTCAGCTGGCGAGCAGGGCCTGGGTGTGAGGTGGAGATCCTGGGCTCTCCCAAACATGCACCATAGAGCACCAGCTTCAGGTCTCATGGCAGCCTAATCTTTACCCAGCTTGCCTCCAAGATCCTGTTGGCAGGAGTGTGCACCAAACGAGGGGCAGAAAAATGATCTACATAGAGATGGAGGAGACAGAGCTGCCCAGGGAGCCCTGCCTTGTCTCAGCTGCAGCCTGGTGTGCTGAGGTCTCTTCCTACCCAACCTTCTGTAGACTTCTTTCTGTTCTCCCCTAAGTCACTCACACTCTGGAATCTTCCCAATGGACCTTGAGCATCATGAGGAGGCCAGACCTTGCAGGAGGGGGACCATGTGCCACAGAGCTGACCTGTCATTCCTTAGAGAGATGTGAGATGAAATTGTCCATGCCTGCCCCAGGGATCCTGTATGGGGGCGGGCGGTGGGGGGGGGGAGGCTGCACATGCCTATGCCAGAAACCAGATTATCAATTTCTTTTTCTGACAAAATGTTAGTCCATGGAAGATAAATTCTGCCTTCTGGCATATTATGTATATAATAATATATAATATGTACATACATATTTTTTATATGTGTGCATTTCAATTACTTAATTTTTAATGGGAATCATGAGATATGTATGATCTTTTCAAATAAGGCTTAAATTAAAATACTTTAAAGGTTTTAATTTAATGATAGGGACTAGGAAACTTGAACAAGGATTTAGGTTAAGAAAGTTGATGGAGCTGTTTTGAGACAAGTCATTGAGTGTACCAAAAAAGATAAATCGAGTTAAAAATATACTTGCCTTTAAAGAAATACCACAGAAAAGCACCAGTTTATTTCTAGATAATCTGGTCTGGGATGCCCAATTATTTAAACAAAAGGTAACATATCATAAGAGAAAAACACAAATAAATAAAATATAATAATTATAAATAAAACAAAACCCTCTAGGAAAATGGCTGATTCGAACAATTGTCAAAGCATCTTCAGACTGAGCTTATCGCGTGCATTTTTTTTCAGCAATTGAAAATGAGGTCAGGCTCCAGTGAGCCCAGAGACCTGGTTTTAGGGATGCACCTCCACCTATCAAACCCTGAGTGCTATACCTTCATGCCTCTAATTGTTTGGGTTTCTTCCAGTCCCAAAGGCAGTCATTCAAATATCTCTTTGACTTTTTAAGCCTTCCTGATTTCCAGAAGCTCAAGCACTGTATCTCTTTTCATGCCCAGAACCTGAAACTGCCTTTAACAGATTCTCTTTATTTTCTTTAAACTCCTAAAAATATTATTCCTGGTCAAGCAGCAATACTGTGCCCTCCTTCAAGCCAATGTGCAGGGGCAAGGGCACCCCAGGAGATGCTGGAGGAGTGGTTGCTTTTGACCTATGGAAGATGACTACCTGTAGCTGTGGGATTAGGATCCAGTAGGGTCATGATCACAGGGCCCAAAGAAAGGGACCCCCGGCCTTGAGCTCATAGCTTCTCACAATTTTAACTCATTACCACTGCAGCATCAAGGTTAGTATAAGGAGGTCAGTAAGGGGCCATTCTTCTCTTAAAACCTCAAGATTGTTTGCTAAACTTCTGCATGTTAAACCCTACTGGTTGTGGGTGGTATCCTCAGGTGACTCCCACAGATAGCTTAAACCCATTCTTCTTTGTAAAGTTTTGTGCTTTGTGTGTGTATGAGTGTGTGTATGTGTGTGTGGGCTATGGAGGTTGCTAACTGGCGGCCACCTTGCTGCCCTGGACATGGCTGATTGGATCAGGCCCTTTGTGTTGGACGAGAGGGAAGCCAGTCCCCACTAAACTGTATTGATGTGAAACCTATTAGCCTGACATTCAGTAAGAATGATCTGTATTGCATAACAATGAACAAAGTCAATCGAATCCTCACTTTTGGAAAGAGCAAATGCAAGGTATACACAATGGAGCAGGGTTTGCTTGAATTCAAGTTGCATCCTGAATGAATATGAACTATAGTTCTGGTTCCCTGTGAGAAGCCCTGGATAGTTAGGATGATGGCATCCCATGGTTCCAGCTGTAATAGCTTCCTATTGCTGCTGAAACACATGGCCACAGACTTGGTGGCTGAAAACAACACTAACATATTCTCTTACTGTTTTAGAGGTCAGAAGTCTAAAATCAAGGTGTCTGTGGGGCTGCTCTCATTCTGGAGGCTTTGGAGGACAATCTGGTTCCCTGCCTTTTTCAGCTTCTAGAGGACACCTGTGTTCCTTAGCCTGTGACCCTTTCCTCACGTCACTCCAACCTCTTGCCTCCATCACCACCTTCTTGTTTCTGTGGTCACATCTATTACTGTCTTTGACCCTGCCTCCTTCTTGAAAGGATCCTTGTGATTACATTGAGTCCATCAGGATAACAGGATACTCTCCCCATTTCAAGATCCTAATCACATCAGCAAAGTCCCTTTTGCCATATAAGGTAACATATTCACAGTGATAGCGATAGGAGGCAGCCAAATGCCTAGGCTGATAGGGGCAGGTCCCTGATGAAACCCCACTTTCAAGCCAAAAACAGCCTGAAGGCTGAAAGACTGGGCTGCTGGTCTCAGATGAAACCTGTGACCCACAGTAAGAACTTCTGTTCCTGTTTGCCTGCCCTTTCCTGACAGATTCTTTCTGAATAATGCCTTTTAACAAATTGAATGTTGCCTTTTCCAAGACTACCTATGGCCTGCCCCTTCCCCATTCTAAGCCCATAAGAAGCCCCCAACTCAGCCATATTAAGAAGACTTTCCTGCCTTTGGGTAGGGAGACCACCCCCGTGTCCCCTTTCCACTGAAAGCTGTTTCATCACTCAATAAATATCCCCATCTTGCTCACTCCTCAATTGTCAGCACATCCTCATTCTTCTTGGGTACAGGACAACAACTCAGGAACTGGTGTGCAAGCCAGACTACCTGGGCGGGCTGAGTGGGTGAGCCATCTCCTGCAGCAGGCAGTGTGGCTGAGTGAGGCCTAGGTGGGGCGTTGCCAACTGGAGGTCCTGGCTTGCAAAGTGACCAAGAGGAAAATCCTGCGTCAACAGCTTCTGAATTAGGATATGGAAGTCTTTGGCAGGGGGTAGGGGGGTCATTACTCAGGCTGACCATATGTGTTTTGCTATAAATTCTTGCAATAAGCCTGCATTTCTGATGGTAAGCATCTATCCAATTCTACGCTATTTGTGCTTCAATATATGTCCTGTGCACATCTCCTGTAAGGGACAGTCCATGTATTACATGAACAGACCCTCCTTGGCAATAGTTGGTAAATGGTCAATCTAATTTCTGGTTAATGACCTACTGAGTAATGACCCATTGACTTGCCATTTGCCAGTGACCCACTGGCTTGCCAATCATCAATCAGGTTCTGAAGAATCTGGATGTAGTGACACAGGCCTGTAGCCAATTGATGGTAGGCTCTTTAGACTAGGAGTGATCTAGAGTCAGGATTAGGAAAGCCATCCCATTAGAGAGCTGTGTACAATATTTGTAAGCAGAGGAAGCTGATTGATCAAGAGAAGCATGAAATAGAAATAGAATTAGAGAGCCCCTGTGGCCTTTGAGAGACTGAGATGACTAGATGCAAACCCTGCAGGGACTGGCTGTGCTTCCTTCCCTGCCCCTTTCATCTAAGGTCTTTCTGTGTCATTGTGATAACCTTCATCTCTGTGTTTTAGCCAGTCAGAGAGGAATTTGATTCTTTGCAAAGCAAACAGCTTCAAATAGAATATTCTTTTATTCCTTCACACGGAGACGGTAACTTACAAGACCCTTTAAAGCACAGATCCTCTGTTCAGCAGAAGTCTTCCAAAATGTCAGAAGACCAATGAAGAGAAGGTGGGATAGTTCCCCTGGGGTCCCCTTATATCCAGGGGCTTCAATTCCTATGCCCTGGTGGCTCTCATTTCCCACAGCTAGAACTACTGAAACTCTAAGGGCAGACCTGGCTTCTCCATCACTGATCAAGACAAGGAGTCACTTGACAATTTTCTCAGGGTTGAGTCACTGAAGAAAAACAACAACAACAAAACCCAAAAAACCACTCTCACATTCCTACACTCACCATGTTATCTCAGCCCAAAAGTCCAGACTTCTGCCTCACTCTCCCTGTGCTCAACTCTAGGTCAACCAGAACCATCTTCCTGGAGTGCCTTCTGCTGTCTGGACTCCCATTGCTGCAGCCCACCAGGTTCTAGCATCTTTCTAGCCATGCCTGGGCTTACCATGGCCTCTGGACATTGTGACTTGCACCTCTCAACCTCCTGGCAGGCTCCTCACTATCATGCCCCTGTTCTGCCAGGATGGGGGCTTCCTCTTGTTCCCCACCAGTAGCTATGAGTGTGAACTCCACTGCCTCACTCTCTTTGTAGTCCCTACCTGCCTGAGGATGACCCTTCAGAAAACACCTGTGAATGGACTAACGAACTGATTTTTGTTTAGCAGCATGCGTTTGTGCAGTGAAGTATTAATGGGGTCTGTGCTGCCTCCAGTGCCTTAGTTATCAGGGAAAAATTGAAGAAGACCTGAAACTGCTGAGGATTCAGCTGGCGATTTAATTTTCCCTAATTTTTCTACCTCTGGGGAAACAGGCAAATTAATGAGAAGCCACACCTCTCAACTTGGCTGCAACATATGAGCGGTTGTCCAGGGAATGCAGGTGTATGAGCTCAGCCACTGTGTCTTGTGGTACAGGGTCACTGAGGGTCCTGGGGCAGTTGTTCCCATTCTCCCTGCAGCTGGGCCCCAGGATCCAGGGCACATGGAGGGGAAACCCCTCCTGCATTCCTGGGGTGAGAGAGTCTGCCCGTTAGATCACCCCGCCAGCTTCAGTGTTTTTATTTCTTTCCCTCTTGTTGCTGCTTCTACTATGGAACTGATGTTGCTTCTCCATAACTACTGGGGGTGCCAGACAAGACCTGGGTGTGGAGAGAAGATCCCAAGGGACAATATGTTGGATTCCTGAGCCCAGCACATAGCACCAAGAGCTCCGCAGTTGGCCCTGCAGGCCGACAGCTCTAAGTCCCAGCTCCAGTCCTGTTGGTGAGGAGACCCGAGCAAGTCACTTATTCTTTCTGGCCCTCAGCTGATTGCTCTAGGTCCTGTGAGCTCTCAGGGTGCTTGCAGCCCTAATAATCTGTATTTTATTTGTTTTTCAAAGCATTGTGTAGCCTTCTGCGTTAAAGAGACTTGCAACTTCTATGGATTTTGCCACCAGACTTTCTGGTGAGGAAAATGTTTTGGAGAGAAGCCACATCTTTTCCTTCTGTTCTGAGGATGTTAACAAAGCAAGTCTTAAACATCATTACAAAGAGGCTTCCTTCCAGTTTCCTTCAGGGTCCTTCCTCCTTGGATTTGGAAAGAGTTTTATCCTCCCTTCGTCTCTCCTCCTGTCTTCTGGTATTCCCTCTGTCCCCCTCTTGGCAGCAGCGCCACATGCATCAGAGGGTGGGTGTTTCCTGCTTGTCCGTCAGCTTGGCCATGTGGCCCACATGTGGTATTGCAGGACATTCGACTCATTAAAAAGTCTTCATAAAGTTCCTGGACTCTTGATCTGGGAGGGAACAGGTTTCAGCCCTAGGCAGGCTGCTGGCTCCAACAGCTTCTCCTACCAGGTAACTGCTTCTGATTTCTCCAAGCAAAAATATAGAGCTATCCCCAAGGATCCCCCAACCCGTTAATACATTATTTTAGTGCTTCCCAAACTGGAGTTCAGAAAAAACTGTTCTTGTCTGGAGGATGTTAGCTGATATGCCAAAACATAAAATCTTCCACTTAAATCTATTCTTTTTTATTTAACCATGAAACAAAGTTAGTCATACATTTCTGCTCCAGAATTTCTCAGAACCTTTAAAATAACTCATTAGTGTGTCCTGGGAGTCTTCTGAAATGGGGATTAGTCTGTTGCACTTGCCAAGTTTATTTGGTCTTGGGACACTTTGTTTCTAGAGCTCTGATTAACATCTCCCTCAAATAGTGTTTAGTGAAACACATTTAGGAAAATGTTTTTCCATTATAAGATTTATCACACTGTATTGCAATGATTTATTCACATGTCTGCCTTCCTCACCAGGCTGCTATTTCCTAAAGGGCAAGAAATGTATTTTACTCATCTCTTTGTCTCTAGCACCTAGCACAGTGCTTTGTAGAGTTGGTCCCCTATGGAGCTCTTGCCAGGGTCACCAACAGCCCGGTCTCTGTTCTCGTCTTACACAAATTCCCAGCAGCGATGCACTGAGTTTGGCACTCCTTCCTAACCCTTTTCTCTTGGCTCCAGTGACACCACACTCTCCTGGTACTCTTCCACAACACTCAGGACTCCTTTGCAGTCCTTCTATTGAATCCTTCTCCCTCATCTGTTATGGAAATATCGAAGTGCCCAGGGCTCTATTTTTGGACAGTTCTGATGCTATGGCTACACTCTTTCCCCAGATGACCTCAAGCAGATCCATGGCATAAGAGACTTTCTATAGGCTGGTGATTATCATGCTTATGTTTCTAGACATGGCCTTTGAGTCGGACTCTTGTCTCACTACCTATTTGATATCTTCTCCTAGATGTTAATGTTTAACAAATCCACAACAAAGCTTTTGATTTACCCAGCAAACCTGTTCATCCTCCAGTCCTTCCTACATTAGTAAATAGCATTATCATCCACCCAGGGGCTTGCTTGTATCTAAACTCTAAAACACATTTGTCTTATTCTGTTTAGTATTGCTCTAAAGGAACACCTGAGGCTGGATAATTTGTGAAGAAAAAAGGTTTCTTTGGCTCATGGCTCTGCAGGCTGTACAGGAAGCATGGTGCCAGCATCTGCTTCTGGTGAGGGCTTCAGGCTGCTTCCACTCGTGATGGAAGGTAAGTGGAGCCAGCCTGTGCAGAGATCACATGGTGAAAGAGGAAGTAAGAGAGCGAGCCAGTGCCAGGCTGTTTTTAACATCCAGCTTTCATGGGAACTAATAGAGGACTCATTCATTACTGCCAGGACAGCACCAAGCTATTCATGAGGGATCTGCCCCCAAGACTCACATACCACCCATTAGGCCCCACCTCCAACATTGGGGATTCAATTTCAATGTGAGGTTTAGGGGACAAGCATCCAAGCTATAGCATCCTCCCAATTCTTTATCTTCCCTTTCAATGCACTGGCACATTCCACTAATACTATTTCTGTGATCACTGAGATTATTGTTTGCCAGATACTCACCCTCTTCCCCATCTCTCTGCAGAACATACTTTCCCACCCAATTGATTGTGAACCTGTTTAGGTGACTTGCTTTGGCCACTGGGATGTTAGCAGATGTGTCCAGAGCTGAATGTGTTTGGGAAGTGTGGTTTGGCATTGCATCCTGTGTCAGTTATCAACATATTACCTCTCGGCTACAATTCACCCTTTGTTGCTCCATCTGTGGAAATATCTAAAGGCCCTTTATGTCTTTTTCCTTTGCCAGCTGGGATAGTGTTCAACTTTGTTGTTGAGGGCCCTGGATGTGCTCCATCCCCTCTGCACACCTGCCCACCAGCCTGGGATGTCCTGCTCCCCAGAGGGTGGTTCTACGTGCCTGAGGGCCATGGAACAGCTCTGGGTTAGGAACCCAAGAGAACTTCTCGGCCATCGTATTTCTCTTGGACTATTCTGATAGCCTGTGAACTGGTCTCCTTTCTTCCATTCTTGCTACCCTGCAATAAATCCTGATCCCAACTGGTTAGTGATGTTTCAGTCATCATACATAAAGTTTTCATATATATCACGTTCTGATTCAGACTAATTTAGCTATTCTAGCATATTGATTCGTCTATTTGATTTTAGGTCCTTAACACAATATTTTCATTATGATATCTTTATAAAATATTTTTGTATCTGGTCCTCCTCACTGCTCTTCAACACACTTTTTCAGTGATTCTTTCCAGATGAATTTTAGAATCATTTTGTCATGTTCCCCAGATAACTCCAATATTATAAGTTCATTTGGGAAAATTAACATCTTTATGTTATTGAGTTTCTCCATATAAGGTATTTACACATTTATATTTAGTTAACTTCTTTTATATCCTCAATGAAACATTGTGATTTTCATTATCTAGGCCTTGCACTTTCTCTTTCTCTTTTATTTTCTCTTCTAGGCATTTAAGTCTTTGCTGTTACTGTGTGTGGGATTCTTTTCTCTTATATTCTTTAAATAATTACTGTTAGTATATTAAAAAGTTATTGATTTTTGCATGTTTACTCTGTAATGAATCACCTTATTGAATTCTTATTAATTCTATGTGTGTTCAATAGATTCTCTTGAGTTTCTTGGATACAAAACCATATTGACTATAAATAATGATAGTTTTTCTCTTCCTTTCCAATAACTATACAACTTACTTATGTTTTGTATCTCATTATGTCAACCAGAACTTCTATAATGATGTTAAATAATAATAGTGTTCCAGAAAATTTTTACATTCCCATGCAAAAAAAAATGAACATTGACACTTTTCTCATTCTATGTAAGCAAATTAAAATGAATCATAGACTAAATGTGGGAGCTAAAACTATAAAGCTTTTATAAGAAAGTGTAAGATAAAAAAATCTTTGTGTCCTTGGGTTAGGTAACATGTTTTGTAGATATGACACAAAAAGCATAAATCATGAAAGAATGATAAATCGAATGAAATTGAAACATTGATATATTGAATTTTATCAAAATGGAAACTTTGGCTTTTTGAAAGACACTTTTAAGAAAATGAAAAGACAAGCCACAGACTGGAAGAAACTATTTTCAAAACACAAATTTGACAAAGAACTTGTATTCAGGATATATAAGGAATCCTTACAACACAGTAAAAGGAAGACAAACAGCCAAATAAATAAATAAGTGAACAGTTTAAACATATACTTCACCAAAAAAAAAAAGATGTATTGGTGGGAAGTAGACACATGAGAAGATGCTCAAAATCATCAATCATTAGAAAAATAAAAATTAATGTCAAACCAAGATATCACTGTACATCCACTAGATGGTTAAAATTTAAAAACTGATAATAGCAAGTGCTGATGAGGATTCAGAACAACTGTAACTCACATGAAGTGTTGGTGGGAATGCAAAACAGCACAGCCACTTTAGAAAACAATTTGATAGTTTTTTATAAAGTTAAACGTTTATTTAATATGACCCAGCATTCCTACTTTTAGATATTTACCCAAGAAAAAAATTTGTATACACAAATGTTTATAGCAGATTTATTGATAATAATCCCAAACTGAAAGCAATACAAATATTCATCAATCATGGAATAGATAAACAAATTTTGGAATATTTATACAATGAAATATCATTCATGCAACAACATGGATGAATCTCAAAAAACAGTTTGCTGAGTGAAAGAAGCAGGACTCAGAAGGCTACCATCTGACTTTATTTATATGGCATTCTGGAGGAGGCCAAATTATAGAGATAGAAATCAGATCAGTGGTTTCCAGAGCTGGGGTGGAAGAGGACATTAACTATAAAGGAACTTGCGAGAAATTTTTGGGGTGATGGATGCTCTGTGTATTGAATATCATGGTGCTTCAACGATGGCATTTATTTGCTGAAATTATCAAATTGTACAGTTTAAGTGAATACATTTTATTGTGTGCAAATTGTACCTCAGTAAACCTGACTTTTAAAAAAGAAATATGCAGTCAACAAAAATTCTTGTTTTGTTCTTTGTTTTAATAGGAATGACATTATGTATTACTTCTGGCCACAGGTTTTAAAAAATAAGATGTTCTTTATTATGTTAAAGAAATAACCTTCTGTGTCTTTAAGATTTCTTAGTTGCCTGCAACAGAAACTGATTCTGGCTGATTTAAGCAAAAAAGAAATTTGTTGGCAGGATTCTGGATGGTTTAGAGAATCACCAGGAAGTCAGGAACAAAGAGTTCCTGGGCAGCTGGCACCACAGTGCAGATCATGACATGGAACACAGAGGAATGGCTGCTGCCATCTTTGACCATGGGATGCCACATCTCGAAACACCAACTCTGCTGGTCCCCAGAGCCCAGATACAGCTACTTGTGCTTCTATCACCGTGTCCCTGGAAACAGATGTTGCTGCTATTACTGGAACTGCCATAAAAGATTCTCTGCTGCCTGGCTTTTTTGCTCCCCAATCTGAGCTTATGATAAATGCCTCACTGTTGCTGCAAGGAGGGGGCCAATACCCAGGACAGTAAGCACTTGGCCTTTCTTCCATTTCTACCGTGAAAGATGGCTCTGCCTCCCACCCAAACTCAGAAAGCGGGGAATTTCCCAAACATTGGAAAACCTTCAGATGTGGAGTGCCCTCCCACTAAAAACATTCCCATCACTGTCCACTTGCATCATTTAGTCCTAGCATTTTAAAGAAGGTCCCCTTTAGGAACTGATTTTGAATCTTCATAAATGATTTTCCTGCTCCTCTTGAGATAATCATATGGTTTCTCTTATTTGACCCATTGATATGTTCTATAAACAGATTTACTAATATTAAAACAGCTTTGCATTCTTCGGTAAACCCTATTTGGCTGTGGTAAATTATTCTTTTAATATACTGTTGAATTCAATTTCCTGGCGTTTTGTCTAGAATTTGCACATTTATATTTATGAGTGAGGTTGGTCTAGTTTTATTTCATGCCGTCTCTTTGCCAGCCTCAGTGACATTCCGGGCCCTTCCTCCCAGGGATTTTGTGCCCCCCTGGTTGGGATTTGAGCCCTAAACTATTTTTCATAAACCACAGGCTTTACAGCAGCCCACGTGGCTCATCGAGTGTGAGGAAATTATAGGAACGGACACAGATATGGTGAGAAACTCTAGATGCCCGAGGCATCCCTTAAATCATTCTGGACATTTACTGAGGGCCTACCGTGTGCCAGCTGCTGAAATATTTAACCTGAAGCTTAAATAAGCTTCTCTATTGGTAGAATTCAGATGAATCATGAGAATCATCTGAAAATAGAGACTGCGAGAGGAGACGGGAAAGGCCATCTCATCTACCTGTGTCTTAAGGTTGGGGGCGGGGGTGGGGGTGGGAAACTGATGTCCAGAGAAGGGAAAAGACCTGTACCCGGAATATGATCCAGGTGTCCCTGACTCTGTCCCTTGCTCTTTCATAGACAGGACAGCCAAAAACAAACAAACAAACAAATGAACAAACAGAAAAGTTCCAGACTCTGGTGAAACACATGTTTCAGGCCCCTCAGCAAGAGTGGACAAGACAAACATCTTTACAAGGTTTGTATTTGTATGCTGTATGGTTAGATGCCAGGCCCCTTTCAAGATCCTCTGGCCTCAGGAAATTCTACAGACTTCTGCCAGCCTACACATCCTACATTAGTCCTGTCCAAAGATAAGACAGCATCAAATATAGCCTGAAACTTAAGCCAAGGCTTCTGGAGCCTGGCTGCAGACTACACGTATTAACTGTGTGATCTCAGATTGTAAAGTCTCAGTTTCTCATCTATAAAATGGGATAATAGGAGTGCTTAAAGTTAAACTAGTTCTAGGCTCAGATAAGCACTCATTTGTAAAGAACCTGCTCTGTGCCACGCCTGTGCCTGATAGTGAGACTACAGAGATAACAATGGTTCAAAATGATATGTTTTATTGTAGTGTATCTATATCTGCTCCAAATACATGACTTTTTGCTCATAGGAATGGCATCTTGAAAAAGTCCTATCTTTTATTTTTCTCTCGAGGCTGTATTTAATAGAACAAAAGGTCTTTGGATAATTATTGAGAAATTGCCTCACCACCCTCTCCAGGCTCTGATTTTCAGGTGGGTGTTTCTGGTGATTTCCCAGCTGGGCTCCCCTCTCCAGTGCAGCCCATAGTCCCAGGGGGATCTCCTTCAGCTGGAGTCCAGTGCAGCAGTCTCAGGCTGGTCAATGTGAATCCCCTTTCCACATCAGGGAGGAATCTCCTCACCTGTGGGTATTCCCCAGGCCATGCCTGGAGGCACAGCTGTGCTTTCTGGCCTGTGTGGCTATTATCTTGTTCCGCAGTTCGGTGTCTGCAAAACTTTCCCTTGCAGGTGGTGTGGTGTCCACGTCCACACCCACAACTCCAGCATCCCCATGGTCTCCATCTTGTTACTCTCCAGAACACGTAACAGACCAGGGACAAATACTGTTCCATACAGAAATCTGCAGACAGCTCTGACTTTGTAATAGCCCTGGCCAGGGGAAGAGTGGGCCCAGGGTAAAGAGGAGGCCCTGATGCACAGCAGGAGAGGTTCTCTGGAATGAGTGGGCAGAGCTTTGCTTTCACCTTGACTGTCACCAACTCACTAAGTGACCTTGACTGAGTCTGTTTCCCTCTCTGGGTCTTGATTTCCTCATTTTGCCAATGAAAACCCTTCCTAGAGCATCAATTTTCCTTGGCTGTTTGGCTTTAAAATACTGTAAGTGAAGACAGAGGTCTTTGGGAAGGTTAAAGCTGTCATGATCATCGCAGTCTTACTGGTTGAGGTTTTGTTGAATTGACATCCAATATGAGAAGATGCCTTAGTCAGCAATCATTTGGTTCCCAAGAATAGAAACCATCTAAACTCCCCTTAAGTGAAGAGATGGAGGGGAATTTCCAGACACCCAATTGTAGAAGAATTACAACTGGGCTTCACAGAGACTGAAGGTCATTGGGTGACTTCTTTCTCTTTGTCTGGTGCCATGTGCCTGCCTCTGCTCCAGTCTTCTCTTGGTAGACCTGTTCCTTCTCTAGGGCCTGTAGTTAACCTCCCCAAACTCAGCTACTGTGAGGTTCTGCCTGGTATGGGCACCAGTCTGGCCCTGGATTCTCTTAACCTATAGCTATGATACTCAACACCATAGAACTGTCTCTGTGAGTGAAGAACCAGCTTGGGTGAGGTGTCCACCCTTAGTCTGATCACGTGTGTGTGCTGAGTAGGATCCCATGTTACTGAGAACTGAGATCATTGTGGTGGGTCCTGGGGAGAAGGTTCTCTGAGGGGTAGCCTAGTACTCTGTGATGGAGCTAAGTCATCTGTTTCAATGTTTCATTTTACAAAGAAGTAAAATGAATAATGGAGTTGAAATGACCAGTAAAGGTCACACAGAGAATTAATGGCAATGCTGTGACTTGAATTCAGTCCTCCCAGTGTATAACAGAGGCATCACTGCAGCCCTTCTCTGGTTCAGATGCAGAGGAGTATTGATGCTTGGTGGATGTGCTCTGTAGTGGAGACGTGGAAATCAAAACAGCATAACTCTGTAGCCAGGCTGGATGTGCCAGGTATGTCTTCTAAAGGCCGGGAGTTACTGTAGGTGGGCAAGGGCTGCCTGCCATGAGTGGAACACTGATGCAATTCTGGGGTCCCACTCTGAAGCCTGCAGGCTAGGTGAGGAGACACCAGATGGATTTGCACAGCAATCTGGGGGACATTCCTGGGGCTGATTTAATGCCTCTCCCAGGGCTCACTAGAACTGGGCAGACCATTCCTACTGTGTTTATCAGCCACAAGGAGGCCTCCCCAGGACACATCTCGGATGTCTTCTGTTGCCTCCCAACTTTCCACCTCCATATATGGTGACAGAAAGCATGTGCCATACCCTGTATCCACACCCTCCCAACTGCACCAGAAAAGGGAATGTTTATTTTTAGAAACGGGGCAGGCTCTGGGGATGTACCGGAGAGCAAACAGGCAGTGTTTCTGCCCTGAAGGGGCTTATGGCCTAGAGCAGAGGGCAGACAGAACCACACTATGCTATGTGCTGTGAAAGAAAGGGGCAGGAAGCTATAAGCACACCTGGGGGATCCCTGACCTGGCTCAGGGAGGGCCTACCAGGATGACCTCCCTGAGGAAGTGCTTGGGCTGAGAACTGAAGGATGGGTTATTACAATAACTAATATTTTTGAGCACACACTAAGTGCTCTGTGAATGCTGAATTATTTATTCCTCTAGCTAAAGGTTCTGTTATTGCCTCCATTTCACAGATGAGGAGACTGAGATACAGTTAGCTTTTGCCAATTGTCTAAGACTACACAGTTAAAAAAAAAAAAAGAGGAGGGTACTATACAGCTGGAGACTCAAAGCCTGTCAGTCTGACTGCAGAGTCTGTATTAGTAACCACTAAACCGCAGCAGCTGTTAAGTAGGCAAGGGTGTGAAAATGACAGAAGGGAGGCTCAGAGAAGGCACTGAGAGAAGGCTAGACTGGTGGAACCCAGCAAGTGAGGTGCAGCCAGGGGCAATACAAGGCCTGGGGCCTTGCAGGGCCTTGAAGAGCCTTGTAGGGGCTTGTGGACCACATTAAAATTTGAGTTTTTATTCTGACTGAAATAGGTAGGAAGACACAGAAGGAATTTAAGGACAGGAAATACATAATGAGAATTGTATTTTTAAAAGACTATTCTGTTCTATTTGTGGAATGGTGAACAGATTGGAAGGGGGTAGGAGAAGATGCCAGCAGACAAATTTAGAGGCCACTACAGGGGCCCAGAGAAGGGGCAATGGCAGTTTGAGGGTGGGGAGGCAGCAGTGGAGAAGGAGAGAAGTGGGAGGGAGAACTGGTGAGTTCTTTAAGAGGGTGGATTGACAGTCTTTTGTATTATGGGGGCTGCAGGAGAGGGAGGTGCTGAGAAGACTCCTTGGATTCTGAGTTGTACATCCAGATGGAGACTGGTGCCATTCACTGACATAGAAGGCACTCGAAGGATGGACTTATTTTCTGTACTTGTCCACACTTTTATGTATGTGTGACTCTCAAATTCTAAGGATAATTTTAATTTGAGGATGTTTAAGAATAGTAATGTGTAAGAGGTGGTTTGATGGCTCTGGGAAATGAGAAAACGGCAACCTGGTATTTTCTGTCACTTATGGATCTGCACTGTTACTAAAAAACATGACTTAGCGGGTGGAGCTGGACACACATCACCCCCAAGTGGACCACAGGGAATGAGGTTCTTAGGCAGCCTTTCTGAAGGCGAGGCCTCCGCCCTGGCTTTCCAAGCTCACTTGGCAGGACATTCAGAAAATTTATACTACTTGCTAGAATTCCACATTCCCCAAACCCAGGTTCTCTGAGGGAGGCCTAAGTATGGAGGAACATCCATGTAATCATATGTAGCAGGCATGAAGCAGGGGAACAGAAAAGTACCAGGGAAGCTGTGAAAAGTTTCTACTCCAGCCTTTGTAACTGGGAAAAAGTTTAGAAACAGAGGACTAGGAAAAAGCCACCAAATAAATGAACTTCGAGTAACAGGGAGAATCATTCACCTCCTACCCACCTAAAAACCCCTCTTCCAGCATAGAATATCCACACTCATCACAGGCAGGTTGAAGCAGACTATACTGGATACTGTCATATATGTCCAGATCCCCCCTTTGGGAATGAGGCACTCATTCCTCCAGCAGCTGGTAGTAGTGGCTGCTGACAGCTCACAGCTGAGGCCCCTTTGGAAATTGCCCTCTATCTCCCAAGATCATGCACTCTTCCCCGAGGCAGACTTGCCTTCATTACAGACAACCCTGAAAGCCATCCCAGCTCCATACAGAATCCTGTTGCAACTGCCTCTCAGCTCACCTTCTCCCTCTGCCCCGCCCCTGGCTTCCTTCACTCCCAAGAACACACCCCAGTAAATCTCCTGCATGTACATCTCCATCTCATAGTCTGTTTCCTGGGACATTTGACCTAAGACACTGTGCTGGCTTTGTAACATGTCAGTTTGGCTTGCTGACATGCAATGATTCCCTTTACATGTGTTTCTGGTTAAGGTGGGTGAACTAGGAGATCCTCTAAGGATTTTTTGGGGGCAAAAGGGAGGCAGTAGCCATCATGTAGCACATGTACACTGTTGTTAACCTGCTGACTCACCTCCTTGGTGAAGCAATAGCTGGGCCAGGTGTGAGTGTTTAGCTCAGGGTTGAGGGTCTGGTCTATGTAGGAGTTCTTCACCAAGGTCAGAGGCAACAAGAATAGTAGGTTCCAGCCTGTCCTTGTGAGGTCCCAGCTTGTGCCTGTGGGGTTCCAGCCTGTTCATAATCCTCCCTTCCTGATGCCTGCCTTGTGGTCTTTAAGCTCCACCATCAGACACAGAGACAGCCTTACATGGACTATTTAACCAGCTCCCACAATGCATAGGTCAATTACCTGTAAAAGGTCCCTTAATCTATCTCTCTCTCTCTCTCACTACCCCTCCCCCCTTTCTCTATCTCTCCTACTAGTTCAGCTTCTCTGGTCCAGCTCTGACTGATATAGACACATTCTAATCAAGGAAAAGCTAAAATTCCTGCACAAACTAGTGTAGTAGCTAATAGGGTCAGGTTTAGTGAGAACAACGGGAGCTTAGCTGACAAAGTCTGCTCTTTGAAGAAAGAAATATGAGCAGTAAGTATGACCACCCTGGTGCCAGGATGTGGAAGACCAGGTTATCCCGGCCCAGAAAGGAAGGTGAAACAAATGGGACGGCATCAAACAACGGAGCTGGACAATATTAGATGAGACCCTGCCCGGCCACTCCTGATTTAAGGCTGCACCAGTGTCTAATATGGAGGGGCTGGTGGTTAAATCCTTACCTCTCATCTGCCGCAGTGTTAACACTGAACTCTGGATATATAAGCATATATAAAATAATATACAAGTTCATTCCATAGTTTGCCTCAGTTCTCAGCGCCTCCTTTTGTGTTCCACCAAAGGCCCTGAGTTTAACTGTCCCTCCCACCCCCCAGCTAACTGGGGCACTGCCCAGGTGCAGTCGATCAGGGGAGCCTCCTACTGCACAGATTCAGGTATGAGCTGAGGCTTTTCCTGAGGGGTTTTTGCCTTTTCAAGAGCATCTGTTTTCTAGTCATGCTTGCCCCTCTTCTTTCAGGAAATAGTTACTGTACTTTTTAGCTTTTGAGCATGACTGAATGCTGCCCCTCAGGGTTTCCTGGGTTGGGAGTGATTTTCCCAACATGGAAGGATGAGGGATAATCTAGGCATAAGGAGGGGAAGCAGAAACAGAAGGTTTCCAGCTGAGTAATGAGAGAGGGAAAAAGAATAATAGCCTCAAAGGAGAATGGGAGGAAGAGAGTTTATTAGCCACTATTTGAAAACACAGTGGTCCCAGAGCAGAATTCTTAATAGAGTCAATGGTTTTTACACATATTTTACCTGCAAAGCTGGAAAAAGCATGTGAGAAAGGAATACAGAAACTCCTGAGGACAGCTTAACTTTCGATTCTGCTCTCCTTAGAAGATCCAGTCTCTCGCTCTTTAGCCCTTAGGGCCTTATCCAGGGATTCCTTGCCTCCTTCTTCACAAACCGTCCCTCTCTCAGAGGATCAGACTAAGTATAGTGGAGCCAGTTCTCTTGGGAAGGCTGTGCTGCTTGAAGGCTGCTCAGGAATGCTTCTGAAAGGGCTGAGAAATCCTTTCTTTTTCTGTCCAGCTCCCCCAACTATTAGCATATCTGCCCACTTTGGTAGGCTACAAAAGTACCCACCTCTCCCAAAAGATATTCACCTCCTAATCCCTGGAACCCATGATTATTACTTTATGTGGCCAAAAAGGGCCTTTGTAGATGTGATGGAGAATCTTGACGTGGAGAGATCATGTGGATTATCCAGGTGGGCCCTGAGAGCAATCACATGATCCTTATTAGAAGGGGCAGGGGGAGATTTGACACTCAAATACAGAAGGCCACAGGAAGATGGTGCAGAGAGAGACACAAAGATGTAAACTTTGAAGATGGGAGTGATATGGCCACAAGCCAAGGAATGCCAGCAGCCGTTAGAAGCTGGAAGAGGAGACTCCAGGGGAGAGCAAGACCCTGCCAATACCTTAATTTCAGGGCCAGTGATATTGATTTCAGACTTCTGGGCTCTGAAACTGTGAAAGAATACATTTCTCTTGTCTTAAGACACCAAGTTTATGGCTTCTTTGTCACCCAGCCCCAACGACCTAATGTATAGACCCTTTGTGTGCTTCTGTGGAATGTCTCCTACATCAACCCTGGGAGAGTGGGGACCTCCAGAGAAACGGTGTGGGGAGGCCAGTGTGCAGAGATCTCAGTCCCTGAGCAGGTAGGTTTGCTGGTGGGAGGGAACTGAGTTTAGACCTAGAAAAGGACCACTGAGTGCAATGAGATAGGACGGCCCAAGGGCTGTTGATTTGAACGCCCATGTGTTTATATTCTGGTGTGACTTCTGATCTGTTATTTCATTTTAGGCATGCTATTTAAACTTTTTGAGTTTCCTTCTCTGTAAAACAAGAAAAATAATATATACCTTATCAGCTATAGGAAGAATTTAATGGGATGAGGCAAGTTAAAAATAGTGTGCATAATTCTAGCACATTTAAATGCTAAGAAGGTGATTCCTACAAGAAAAGAAAAGGTATGGCAATTCAGGTATGGTTCTAGCAAGTCTAGCTTCTGGGAGGACAAATCCCTGTGGTCTGACTGCCAAATTGTACCTCAGTTCACAAGTTTGCTAGAGCTGCAGTCAGGGTCAAGATGGTGTCTGTGTGCATTAGAAACATGGTGTTCAGGACGCAGGAAGTGGAATCAGGCTGAGGGAAGGAAGGTGGCAGGGACCAGGTAGATTCTAGGCACCAGTCCTAGAGGGTCCCAGGGTAGCAGGCAGCAGGACTGGCTACATAATTTGCCAGGCTCCCTGCAAAATGAAAATGTGGGGCCTCTTACTGAAAAATAAGAATTTCAAGACAGCAATAGCAGAGCATTAAACCAAGCATGGAGCCTTTTTGAGCACAGCCCCTTCTGAACACAGGGTCTTGTGCAATGGCATAGATTGCAGGTTCATGAAACAAGTCCTTCAAGGTTTGAGACAATGGGGAATTCAGAATAAAGTCCAGCCTGAGAAAGGCAGAGTCCTGCTGAGTCTCAAGGCAGTGCCGCTGAGCCCTGATGTGCATAGGAATCACTCGCCCCTTTATGTTAATACTATTACTGATAACAAATAACAACACCAGTGATAGCATTACCTTAGTAGCCTGTATTTATTGAGCACAAATCATGTGCTAGAAGCAAAGCTAAGTATTTTACAATGCATTGTCTTTTTCTCCCTGGTTTGAAAAGAATTAATAATACCAACCTATGCCAGGTGATTGTCAGTGATCTTATTATATATTAACTTATTTAAAGGCATATAAACGTTTTACTATTATTTTTCATGCATCATCTTGCTTGTGCCTTCCATCATCCCTATAGCTGGTACCAGCACATTATGCCCATTTGACAGATATGGAAACTGAAATTGAGGAAGGTTCAGTAACTTGCCTGTATCTGTCTGGGTCCAGAGTCCACGCTCTCAAGCTCTCAAGTAGTTGGTCCTCATTATAAATAAACTGAAAGGGATTGAATGTTGGCTAACACTAAACAATTTACAACATGCTTTCATTCATGGTAACTCACTACAGCCACCTGGGAAGCATTGCTGGTATCCAGTTTATGGATGAAGAGATTGAGGCCTGGGGGTAAGTGAGCTGTCCAAGTTCACAGCCAGTAAGTGGGAGAAGCCAAGCCCAGGGGCTGGGGGCTCTGTGAGAACAACGTGCTGCCTCTTTTTCATTGGAGGGACAATGGAATGAGGTGTATGCAAGGATCTGCATCCAGCTCCCGAGTCTGATGAGTTCTGGCAGTGGCTCCAGGGAAAGGAGGAGTCCAGGAACAGAGCTGGTGGGGGAGGCGCTCCCAGGAGTGGCCTTCCCAACAGCAGGTGCTGCACTCCTGCTGCCACTGAGGAGTCACACGTTCCCTCTTCTGAAGGACTCTCCCCTATTTCTGGTGAGCATTCCCCTTCCCCAGGCCAGACAGGCAGCTGAGCAACAAGGGCTAAGAGAGAGTTCAGACTCTCGGGTTCGAAGCCTGACTCTCTCTCTCACTGGAAAACCTTCCTCAGTTTCAGTCAAGTGGAATTAATAATAGTGCCCTTCTAACAGGCTTGTGATGAGGATGAAATGAATTAATCCACATATATCTCAGAGAAGAGTGCTCATCTCAGAAGGTGCACTTAAGCAATGTTGTGAGTAGGTGTCCTCTTCGTGCAGAGAGCTCTCATCCTGGGGTGCTGGTTGGGACCATAGCAGGTCCCCCTGAGCTGAGAGGCCAGCTTCCTTGTCTGAGCAACTGTCAGCCTTACCCTGCTTGGCTGGGCCCCGCCCTGGATCCCATCCTCTTCCTCATTTTCATTCTGCCAACATTTTGGCAGCAGCTCATTGTTGAGATTCTATGAGATTCTTTTTTATCCACATGGATTATATATAATCTTCAAAGAAAATGACACCAATTTTCTCTCCAAGTGTGATAGACTAGATCAGCTCCCATTGGGGTAAGGAGGTCTCAGTTCTGGTCCTAGCATTACTATTTGTTAGCTGTGTGATTTTGAGGATAGCATCAAAATTCTCTGGGCCGTGGTTTTCTTGCTAAACAAGGAAGGAGTTGGATTTAATTTTTTTTTTTTTTTGAGATGGAGTCTCACTTTGTCGCCCAGGCTGGAGTGCACTGGCACGATCTCGGCTCACTGCAACCTCTGCCTCCAGGGTTCAAGTGATTCTCCTGCCTCAGCCTCCCGAGTAAGTAGGACTACAGGCATGCGTCACTGCACCTGGCTAATTTTTTGTATTTTTAGTAGAGACAGGGTTTCACCATATTGGCCAGGCTGGTCTAGAACTCCTGACTTCATGATCCACCCACCTTGGCCTCCCAAAGTGCTGGGATTACAGGCATGAGCCATTGCACTTGACTGAATTTAATTTTTGAAAAGTGCCCTGAGCCACCACTCCATGCCAGATAATGTAGGGGGTGGGGTGGGGGGGGGGGGGCGGGGCACCAGGGGAGGTAAAAACAAAGGTTCCAAGCCCCCCCTCAAAGAGCTCCACTCTGGGGCAGAGGAACACCATGGTGAAAGGACACATCATCCACTAGCTATGTTTGACTCTGACACTCTGGAATTATCCCTATTGTCACCCTTGACTCCCACCAATGCTGTCATGCTTAACAGTGAACAAATATGTCTGTTGCTAGTCTTTGCTCTTTCACCAGGTATCTGTTCTGTCTAAAGAAAAATTTCATTAGACAATCCGAGTTCTGAACCATTGGTTTAGCATAAAATGTGTCCCCCTAAAAAGGTCCTCTTACTGGTCAAAGTCCAAGGTTATGATAATGGCTTACAAAGTTCAGAGTCAGATGTTAGATGTGGCCCTGAGTTTCTCGGGGTTGGTAATAGAAGAGACATTCTCCCAGCTCACCTATACCCTTTTCCAGGAGGCCTCTCCCTGATATTTCAAATCAGCAGGCCTGGAGGCTTCTGTCTCAGTAATTCAACAACTATAGCAGCTGGTTCTTTTCCCTTAAGATTTAATACTTGTCATTTATCTATGTCAAAACTGTAAAGGAGCAAGTTTCCAAAGACAGATTTATTATGTGTGCTGAGTGTCTCAGGTGCAGCAGTGCATATAGATGGGCTGAATTCCATATTTTCCCTGAGTTTTTGTTCTATAAAAATAGCCACTTTTACTTTGCATTCAGACAAGCAAGAAATATACAGTCTTGAGCTGTGAGTCACCACAGGGCACTCACAGACAGTAACATTATTGTGAGACTGGGCTCTAGCCATTGGATTCAGGATCAGCTGCCTAGCTTGCACATGGGTTGGCTTAGGCAAGGAGCAAGTTGTAACCAGAGCTAGCTACATAATTTGTGAGGCTCAGTGCAAAATGAAAATGTGGAGCCTCAGGGTTAAAAAGCAAGAAAAAAAGTGCTCTTATAGATAAAGCTTTTTTCTTTCTTCTGCAGTCTCTCTCCCAGCTTGTCATGGTGTTTTTCATTTGTTATTTAATGTCATTCTAAGAAAAATTAAAGTTTTGAATTATTAGCATGAATTTTAATTTATCTTTACATCGTGCAGGGCAAATATAAACGCAAATATAAAAGCACTTGATGTGTATGTGGAATTACTGAACTTATACAATTTGCATTTTGTAGCCCCTCCCCAAAAGGTGCCTTGAGCTGTCCAGAAGAGACAAACCGAAGCCCTGCACTGGAAGGGAGGAAAAGAGAGAGGAACCCCTCCCCCCAGCAAGGTATGTTGCTGGCTGTAGCTGCCTGAGGGAGGGCTCCAGGTGTGGGGACACTTGCAGGGGAGTGTGGAGCCTCATAAGTGCCCCGGACCTCTGCCCCTTGATGGAAGAGGCATGCACACTCTTCCTGCTTGTGCCAAGGAACCCTGCCCGAGGCAGCCAGAGGCAACTGGGGCTGTGGGTCTGAAGAAATTAAGCCAGGCATCTTTCCTTTCCATGGGCTCTCACCCCTCCAACCCATGGCAGTTGGCTTCCCTGGATTTTTGAAACTGTGTGCTGGGATGTGCTTGCTACCTGGATTGGGTAGGTGAGATTTAATTCCCTGGAGATGGGGCCTCTGGCTAGCCATCCAGCAGGTGTGTAGGGGTGCTGCCAAGCCTCACTACCAAGACTGTGGGTATGTGCTGGGGCCCCGACTCTCCCTGTGTCCTGTCTGGGGTGGAGAGCAGCCACAGTTGTGCAGTGGGGCCTGGGGGAGAGAGAGGCCCCACAGCCCCCGCGGACAACCATCCTGGAAAGGTGGGAGGAGGTAGGACCACAAGCAAGCTGAGGTCCTAAGCCCCTGTGAGTGCCCCATTGTCCCATGAGACCTCACAAAACACAAATTCGAAGATACAAGTCTTAAGAATTTCAAGATGGCAACCACAGAGCATTAAACCTCCTGAGGAGGGAGCCCAGTATGTGGCCCCTGCCCCTGAGGCCGCCCTGGCTGTAACCCTAGATCCACAGCATGGCTTGGGACTGACACTACCCTACTTAGTAATCCTTGGAGCTCTGACCCTTTCAGGACCTCACCCAGCAGGCCAGTGCGTTTCAGGGCTGTGACAAAGAGGGGAACAAGGAACAAATGTTGGAGACAGAGGCAGAAACCCTGGACCCTAGTCCTGCTTCTGCATGACCCTATCATCTGTATTACCTTGATAAAGTCATTCCACTTTCCTACATTTACCTTTTACCACAGGGTAAAGAGGATGGTGTCTACCTTTCTCCTTTGCCTCCCCAAGATATTAAACACAGAACGCTAAAGGAAATGTATGTGGGTGTCTCCAATCTTTAGAAAGCAGATGTCGTATAGTCACAAGGCTGAAGAGAAACTGCAAGCCAGCTGGGTCGATTTTTTACTCCAGACTTCAATTCCTCCTTCAACATTCCACTAAGAAATCGACCTGCCTCTGCTTGAATTTCTCTTGTGACAGAGAGCTCACTACCTTTCAAGTCATCTCATTCAATGATTGGATAACTCCTACTGCTGTAAAGGGCCTAGAATAGTGTCTGGCACATATTAGGTATTCCATAAATATTTGTTTTTTTTCTTTCATAATTGAGATTTTATTGGTTGCATTGAGGATCAGTACACAGACATTTCAATTTGTACACAATTCTTAACATACATACCAATAATCTAAAAAGCCGTTATTGTAATTCCTTTTTAAAGTTGTTCCAGTGACTTTCCAGCTTAAAATTTGGAGGCAATTTTTCCTTAAGAGGCTATCAAATACCAGTATCTTCACATATTGATCAACTGTTACATAGTCCCACCAATTCAAAATTGAATTGCATATATACCACATACTCAAATTTTCAGTCTTCCACAGCACATGAACAAATTTATTAGGGAAACAGGGCTGCGACCAAAGAAGGTACAGAGTGCACACAATTCTGACAGGGAGAGCCATGTTCAAGGGCTGGCTTTCTTTAGGAAACAATTCTACTGAAAAACAACATGGCACTAGAAGTAATTTAAAATGTCCGAGACATAAATGCAGGACTGTGACTCTACGTTGCCATTCAGTATGCTTTATATTAGAGCATATAAAAACTAACCCCCATCTATGGAATGTTAAGCTAACACCCAAGACAGTCAAAGCCTCCCATAATTCAATATCCCGCACTATCTTCTGGTTGTACCAAAAAATAAACAGCCAGCAAATGACTTTACTTCTTAAAAAGCATATACTTAAAAAATGGGATGAGGTGGGATTCCCTCAAAAACGTTTCTAGAGCTACTAAAATACTTGCATTTACAAAATAGTTGATAAAAATACTCTTCTGGATTGTACAAGAAGGGAGACGGGGACCGCTAAGACAGGGTACCTGCTATTAATCAGACTTGGCTTCTTTCTCTCTGGCTTCATCAGAGGCTGGGCTCTCCCCGATTTTTGTTTCTCCATTTTCTGCAGATAAATGTTCTTTAGTTTCTCGGTTAACCACTTGGCCTGTTTTCTCCTTGCTCCCCTGTTCCCTTTTCCCCTTTTGTTTAGACTTTTTTTGTCTGAAGATGTATCCTTTCCTGATGCCTTTTTGGCTTCATTTCCCCTTTTGCAGGAGCGGAGTTAGCTGAAAACTGCACCGATCCCCTCTTGGGCTCTTCCTTGGCTGCTGCCCCTTCGGCGCAACTGCCCTTCCTCTTGGGCTTCGGCAGTGGGAAGAGAGCGAGCCGGGTGCTTTTGAGCTGCAGTGCGCGGAGAGGCTTCGCGAGGCTGGGCTCAGTATTCGTTAATGATCAAACAATTATTTATGTTGACAGCCCACATCTCCCTTTCCGTAGTTTCCATCTGAAGACTTAGCTCTACCCTTCTGGTGCAGAACAGGAAAGCCTAATCTGTCTTCCCTGAGATTCAAGAAATTCAAGAGGCTGCTCCTCCTGGGGCCTCTGTCGGTATCCTCCTTGTTGCTCCTAGTTAAACTCTTATTCCTCAGGTAAGATGGTGCTGAGTCTACTCACCATCGGACTGTGGTGTCTAGTATTGGACACCACATCCCTGATGTGCCCTGACACCTCAGTGCTCTCCCACATAGAACCTAGTGGGCACTGTGTCCCCGCATCTATCTGAAGAACTGCTCAAGAGGCTTTGTGGGAGGTCTAGCTCCTCCTCACCCCCTCCAGGCTTGACATGCCTCCACCCCCACCACCCCGTACCCTTCGCAGCATACTTCCAGTCAGGCAGCAATCAGCTTGCACCTGAGAGGGATCAGCTGTGGTGACTGAGGCTGGCTTGCTCTTGCAGCCCCAGGAACACAGAGATTCGTGCTGAAGAACCAAATGGTTTCTACAGTACAAGCAGGCGCCAGGGACTCCGCAGGAGGCATCACTGGCACCTTCTAATTGATGAGCAGTCCAGCTCTGAAGCTGTGGGCTCTAAAGCCAGATACCTCCTCCAGGTGACTCTGATCTTCCTCTCCCAGCTGAATAGAGTGAACTTCAGCGTTTCTGGCCTCCAGTTCCTGAACTCTGCTTCTTCCAAGGCAGGTAAGGCAGTTTTGTTCCTCTGCTGGAAGAGTAATTTCAGGCCTCCCTGTGCCACATGCTGGTCCTTTTGCCTGGAATGCTCTTCCTGTCTTCTCTGCTTTCTCCTTCAAGTTTTAGCTTAGGCATCGCCTTCTCCGGGAAGCTCTTCCTGACCCCCATTGCTACCCACAGTGAGTCACTTGCTCTCTGTTCCTCACTTCCACGATGTTTCCTCCTGTCTCCATCATTCTACTCATTAGCCCAGGTGGCAATTATTTGTTGTGGTGTTTGTTGTAGACAAAGACAGTCTTGTTTTTTTGGTTTTGGCATTTTGCTACTAAATGTGTTTTTGATAAATGAATAAATATAATAACACCACAATAGCAGCTAAAAATTATTTATTGACCATTCACTATGCAAATGCACATGCATTTTCTTAAGTATTCCAATAACACAGTGCCATGGTTATTATCTCAGTTTTACAGATGTAGAAACAGGCTCACGTGAATTATGTAACTTGTTCAAGGCCATAATAGCAGTTTGTGGTGAGTCTGGGACTTAAACCTAGGTCTTTTAAAAAAATTATTATTCCAAAGTCTTGTTTTAAACTTTGTAATATGAATGTTTATCCCAAAGATTTTAAGCACTCCTGAATGTTATCTCTTACATCTAAGAAGATAGGTAGTTCTCAGAAAAAATCAATTGCTTAGAATGCCTTTTGCATAGAACTGCTGCTAATATTTCTTTTTGCCAGTAATAGAACTTAGACTCATATTAGGCAGTGCAAAGTAGTGGTTAAGTACTCAGACTTTGGAGTCTGCCAGACCTGAGCTCAAATGCTAGCCCTGATACTGGAATCTTGTGTAAATTACCATAACTTGCCCAAATCATAGTTTGCTTATACAGTATCTAAAAAGGGGCTAAACTATGTTGGAGAAATGAAACTGTTGTTTACAGATGCCATGATTGTGTGCTTATAAAATCTAAAATAATCTGCAAACTATGGTAGGCTGAAAAATGTACCTCCAACCCCACCTCCCACTCAGGATATCAGGTCCTAATTTCTGGAAACTATAGATGCTACCTTATTTGAAAAAAGCTTCTTGGCAAATGTTGTGCCAAACCCCCGATTTGCCTCAGTAGGGAAAGCACCAGGTTCACAAGGCCAAAGAAGAAACCCAGATGTGGGGTTCTATTAGGAGCTCACACACAGGGGAGAGAGTCCAGTGGCAGTGGGCTGGGCAGGAGACCTGCCTTACCTACAGCAATGGTCCAGTGGCAGTGGACAGGACAGCATAACCACATGGCCTAGTGGCAGTGACCTGGGCAGGAGAACCACAACTTCCTTTCTAACTGTAATAAAATTAGAAAAGTTTGCCAATGTTACAAAATAAAGTCCAGAAATAGACTCATATATCTAATTACCTGATTTGTGATTAAGGTAGTGCATAGGAAAGAAGGCATAGTTTGTTTATTAAATGTCGCTCCATCATGCGCTTTATACAGCATTTTCACTTAACAGCCTCCCTCTAATGACCTCCACCTGGTAATCTTTATTTAACCCAAAACTCAAGGCCTCAGTCCCCTGTACAGATCAGCCTGTGTCCCACAGGACTGGCCGGGGGGCTCTCATGTTTGTGATAGAAGAGGAATGAATCTCCAAGTTGGCCACTACTGGATTCCCTAGCTCAGCACAAACATTCAGGTGCACCTGCCACACAGGGTCATTCTAAGAGTATGTTTAAATCATTGCTATTAGGTGCATTTACCCTATAGCAGATGTAATTAAGTTAGAGATCTTGTGTTGGGGAGATGATCCTGGATTATTTGGGTGGGGCATAAAGACCATCACATGTGTCCTTATATGACGGAGGCTGAAGTTGGTCATACACACAGACAGAAGAGAAGGCCATGTGAAGATGGAGGCAGAGATTGGAATGATGTGGTCACAAGGAATGCTGGAGCCACCAGAAACTGGAAGAGGCAAGAAACAGATTCTCCTCCAGAGCATCTGGAAGGAGTATGGCCCTGCTGACACCTTGATTGTAGCCAAGATTTTGGACTTCTGGCCTCTAGAGCTATGAGAGAATAAATTTCTATTGCTTTAAGCCAATAAATTTGTGCTAATTTATTGCAGGAGGCTTAGACAATTAATACACAAACTATTAGAATTAATAAATGTCATTAGTAAAGTTGTTGGATACAAGGTCAATATACAAAAATCAACTGTATTTCTATCAGCAACTAACAAATAAAAATTAAAATGTTATATTTATAATAGCATCAATAAACATCAAATTCCTAGGATTAAATATAATAAATGATGTACAACTTCAAAATATTATTGAGAGAAATTAAAAATGACTTCAACAAATAAAAAGATATATTATATTCATGAATTGGAAACTCAACATTGTCCTAAGATGTCATTTCTTCCCAGATTAATATATTGATTCAATATAATCTCAGTAAAATTCTGACAGTATTTTTTTTGCAAAAGTTGATAAGCTGATTAACAAGGCCCGTTATACATTTGTAGTGATTTAGACAATATAGAACTGTCATGAAGTTAGAAAAACTTACCAATGGTACAAAATAAAGTCCAGAAATAGACTCATATTACTTGATTTGTGATTAAGGCAGTGCATGGGAAAGAAGGCATAGTTTGTTTGTTACACGTTGCTCCACCAATTATATGAAAAATATATCTTTACTTTCCTATTTCATACCAAATACAAAATCAAAAACAGATGGATAGCAGCTCTAAATGTAAAAGATAATAAAGTTGTAGAAGAATACATAGGATAACATTTTCATGATCCTTGAGTAAGCAAAGCCCACTTATTTAAAAGGACACAAAAATTGCTAACCAGAAAAAGAAAAATACAAGGACGAACTATACTTTGATTTTTCAAAAGACATCAATAAGAGGGTAAAAATGTAATGCAAAAATGAAAAGACATTTTCAACACATATATCCCACAAAGGTCTTGTATCCAGAATATATGAAGAACTCTTACAAATCAGTTAGAAAAAGATAACCTAGTAGAAAAATGGGCAGAAGGCTTGAGTAGACATTTCTCAAAGAAAACATCCATGTGGAAAAATAAATAAGCAAATAAAGCCAACCATGTGAAAAGGTACCTGACTTCATTAATCATCAAGGGAATGCAAATGAACGTCACGATGCACCACTGCACACTCACCGGAAGGCTACAAAGGAGAAAGGAAGTTTCAAAGGCTGGTGAGAATGTGGGGCAAAGTGAACGCTTCTATACTACTGGTGGAAACATAAATTTGTACACTTCTTTTGGTAAAGTGTCAGCATTTAATAAAGCGGAACATATGCATGTCTTACTCTCCAGCTATTTCATTTCTAGTTATATACCCAATAGGAATGCACTGAAGTAATCACCAAAACAATATGTGCTAGGATGATCATAGAAGAACTATTTGTAATAATAAAAATAAAACGGGATATTACCCGTATGTCCAAAAACAGTAGACTGAATAAATTTTGTCTTATTCACATAATGGAATACCATACAGAAATAAGCAAAAATGGTCTGTAGTCATGTGACAATGTGAATGAATCTCAGATGACATAATGTTGAGTGAAAAAGGCCAGACCCGAAACAGTACCTATTTGTTATTCCATTTGTATAGAGAACAGAAATGGACAAAACTAATCCATGCTGCTAGATATTAGGACAACAGTCACCCTTGCATAGGCATGGTAACTGGAAAGGAACCCAAATAGGGACCTCAGAGTGCTTGCCATGTTCTATTTCTTGATCTCAGTGCTGGTTACATGTGTGTTTAGTTTGTGAATATTCATTGGGGCCAACATCTATGTGCCCTAGAAAAGTAAGTTATGCTTCAATAAAAAGTTAATAAAAACTTACCCTATATTCTATGGTGTTATGATGTGGATTAAGAAAAGTAATTTCTTAGCACAGGTCCTGGCACTTAGCAAATATTAACAGTGACAACTATTTTTATTTTTGCTGTAAAACGTAAGCTATTTTCTGATGATTATCTGCTACAGCTAATGCTACCAGCTTCATTTTTAAGTTGCTTGATGTTAGTCTGACAAATGAAGGCCTGTCTAATCATGACTCTGCTGCAGTGACTTTGAAATTTGTTAAAATTTGTGTAGCAGTGTTGAGCATCATGAGATTTGTAAGCTGAACCCTGGTGAACCGAAATGTCTGTTAACATGAAATTATTGCTCTCCATTTTGAATATTTTTCTAAAGCGGTTTTGGCAAGTGAGGCCTAGAGCCATGAAAGGGCCATGACTAAGGTTTTTCAGAATCACCTCTGACATGGATTTGACATACAGGTTTGTTATCTAAGTGAGATTCAGAAATGGCTTCAGACAGGACCTTTGCAGGTACCAGTGAGTTTGAGGAGTGTTAGAAATGCAAAATGTCCATGTTACCTGGCCCCTCAGCACATACTGGTCCCATTTGCACTCTGTACAAAGTTTCTTATTGTCTCTCTAATGTTATAATGATCCTAAGGCCAAATTCTCAGATAGATGCAGATGTAATTCACGTTGAGCTTTGCAGTTTATTTGCTCATACTCTTTCTTATTGCAGAAAGTCTCAAAGTGGTTTACAACTGCTGTTTAAGCCATATTTAGGGACATCTGCTAGGCTGTGACCTCCCTCCTCTAAGAACTGTCCCTCTCAATTATAGTGGGGGGCCTGGAAATCATGTTTACACCTTATTAACCCTCCTTCCATAGCGGAACAGAACTGGTGGAGATGGCTGACCCAAGATGGGCCAATTGCAGTCTTTCTCCTGAGATTTTGAAATTAGTACCTAGAGATAGCAGTCTCTTTCAACTAATTGGCTTGACTGAGACCTATTTTCACAGAGAAGAAAAGAAAGCTGGTTTATGGAGGAAGACAGAATGAAACAGATACGTAGGAGAAAGCAGACAGAGTACTTGGGGAAGAGAAAGGTAAGAGACTAGGAGAGGGAATGCTTTGGTTTCTTATATTTTTCTCAATCCTGGTTTTTGTTCCTCCTCTGATCCAACTATACTTCCTCTCCTTGTGGCCATGAAATAACCCCATGATATTACAGTGACTCCTCTCATTATGTTTAGTTTAAGCAAGCTCAGGTAGGCTGCCCACAGTCTCCAACTAACACAGAACATGTTGCCACAAGATAAAGTCATATTTAAAATGTGTTGACAAATGGAAAATGAGAACTGAAGGCTAGGATGGTGTCTGGGGTGAGAGATGATACCAGTGGAAGCCACAAGGCCCAGTGAATTTGCTGCTAGCAGCCAGCATACCTGGCTTTCAGTTTTCTAGTGGCCAATGCCAAGGAGCAGGACTCTCCAGGGATCAGTGGTTCTCAACCCTGACTGTATGTTGGGGACACTAGTGAGCTTCTGAAAAATACTTCCAGGCCCTACTCCAAGAGACAGTGATTTAATTGGTCTAGGCTGGCATCTGTATGTTATAAAAGCTTACTAGTGATTCTAAAGTATGGCCAGAGTGAAGCGCCACCAAGTTATACTATTCACAATATGTAGAAATAAAAGTAAACAGATAAACCAAACAAAAACAACTCCTTAAGAGAAGCAAAGGAGTGGAACTGAGAGAGAAATTCCTCCTGTGAATTTGTAGCTGGAGGGCATGTGTGATACAATGAACAATGTCCTCAAAAATATCCCTATAGTAAATACTCAATTTTCCACAAATGGAAACTCATGGAATTATCCCTAGGTACCACTCAGGAAAAATCACCTCTACAGTCATGGGCCAAAGCATCCTTGCCACTTGGCTCCATCCTGGAATGTGTTCGAGAGGATTTAGAACAGATTCTTACATAAGGACTCCAAAAATTAAAACAATTTCTTTTTCCATGAAGAGGGCCTATGGTTTTTTTATTAGTCCATTTTCACACTGCTGCAAAGAATGACCTTAGACTGGGTAATTTATAAAGAAAAGAGGCTTAATTGACTCACAGTTCTGCATGGCTGGGGGTGCCTCAGGAAACTTACAATCGTGGTGAAAGGTGAAGGGGAGGCAAGGCACGTCTTACATGGCAGCAGGAGAGAGAGAGAAAAAAGAGAGAGAGAGAGAGAACACAGCATAGGAGAAACTGCCCTCATGATCATGATCCAATCCCCTCCCACCAGGCCCCTCCTCTGATGTGGGGATTACAACTAGAGATGAGATTTGGGTGGGGACACAGAAACAAACCATATCAGTTTTCATCTGATTCATCTGATTATCAGTGGTGGCTCTGAACCCTGTGAAGCTTAAGAACCACTGGAAGAGAAAAATTCATGGACTGCTTCTTTCTGACAATTTTCTAATCGCACAGGAGTCTTTTAACTGCTCGATTGGGCTTCCAGGTGCCAGGGCTACCTGGCATGCAATGCAGCTTGCTGTACTGCTGACTTGAGCATGGAGCAGGTCTGCCTCACTGGTCAGCTGGCAGGCTCAGGATCAGCATTTACTTAGGAAAGTTGAGGAGCCTGGCAAGGACACAGACATAAATAGAAAGCAAAGAGGCAGGCTAAGATTTTCCTCAGGAAGCATTTGGATACACTCCAGTGCACAGACAAAAGGGTAATTGAGCCCCCAGTATTCTCCATCAGAGCACGAACAGCAATAATTTTTGCTTGGAAAAAATTTAAAGCAGGTGGGCCAAATACCCAATTTGTTCACAAAATATTTTGGTAAACACCCATGGAATATTTAACCTTGAAAAATAGAGTTTCCTTGTGCCCTTTCCATGCTAAATTGTTTGCCGAATATACGACTCTGTGACTTGAATTTGTGAACTTGTTTCTTAGGGTTATTGGCCACAAGTCAGTTTAATATTGGAGGCTGTCTACAAAAAAATAATGACTTTGTTTTTAGAAGCACTTGATTTGTGGTCCTGTTTTACAACATTAATTAGATAGTAGGTATGCTATCTATTAAGGTTAGTCTCAGCTCATGACACTATGGAATCTGTGAATAAGTGAATACCCTTCTTTCTATTTGTTATAACAAAGGAGTAATATCCTGATAGCCTAATCACCTAAGAGATGCTAATTTAACAGAAGAAAGGCCAGAATAAATATCCATTTTATTTCTTTGGAAGATGCTATCTGAGCCATCAGAAGAATACCTTTATTGGGTAGGTCCTGGATCAGGTGTTGGCAAACCACAGTCTACTGGCCACATCTGGCCAGCAGCATTTTTTTGTGTGGCCTGCAAGCTAAAAATGTTTTTTAAATATATTTAACAGATTGAAATAAATCAGAAGAAGAAGAATATTTTTTGACATATAAAAATTGAAACCCTACAAGCCAGAAGAGATTAGGGGCCTATATTCAACATTTTTAAAGAACAGAAAGTTCAACCAAGAATTACATACCTGGCCAGACTAAGCTTCATAAGTGAAGGAAAAATAAGATCTTTTTAATACAAGCAAATTCTGAGGGAATTTGCTACCATCAGACCTGATTTATAAGAGCTCCTGAAAGAAGCACAAAATATGGAAAGTAAAGACTTATCAGCCACTACAAAGACACACTTAAGTACACAGACCAGTGACACTATAAAACAATCACACAAACAAGTCAGGGTATAGACAGCAAACAATATGAATACAAAATCTAATACACACATATAAATACTAATCTTGAATGTAAAGGGCTAAATGCCCCAATTAAAAGGCACAGAGTGGCAAGCAGGGTAAAGAAGAAAAACCTAATGGTATGCTGTCTTCGAGAGACCTATCTTACACACAATGACACCCATAGGATCAAAATAAAGGAATGGTGAAAAATCTACCAAGCAAATGGAAAACACGAAAAAGCAGGGGTTGCAATCCTAATTTCAGACAAATCAGACTTTAAACCAACAAAGATCAAAAAGGAAAAAGAAGGGCATTACATAATGGTAAAAGGTTCAATTCAACAATAAGACCTAAATATCCTAAATATATGTGCACCAAACACAGGAGCACCCAGATTCATAAAGCAAATTCTTAGAGACCTTCAAAGAAACTTAAACTCTCACACGATAGTAGTGGGAGACTTCAACATCCCATTGACAATATGAGAGAAATCATTGAGGCAGAAAATTAAAGATATTCAGGACTTGAACTCAACTAGTGGACCAAATGGATCTGATAGACATCTACAGAACTTTCCACTGAAAACCAGAAGAATATACATTCTTCCTATCTGCATGTGGTACATACTCTAAGGTTGACCACACAATTGGACATGAAACAATCTTCAGCAAATTAAAAAAACAAAACAGAAACTATACTATCCACACTCTTGGACCACAGTGCAATAAAAACAATTCAATATGAAGAAAATCACTCAAAACCATACATTTACATGGAAATTAAACAACTTGCTCCTGGATGACATTTGATCAAATAATAGAATTAAGGCAGAAATCAAGAAGTTCTTTGAAACTAATGAGAACAAAGATACAACATACCAGAATCTCTGGGACACAGCTAAGGCAGTGTTAAGAGGGAAATTTATAGCCCTAAATGCCCACATCAAAAAGTTAGAAGGATCTCAAATTCAAAACCAAAAGAATTAAAGAACCAAGAGCAATCAACCCCAAAGCTAGGAGAAGACTTGAAATAACTAAATCAGAGCTGAACTGAAGGAGATTGAGACATGAAAACCATTCAAAAGATCAACAAAATCAGGAGCTGTTTTTTGAAAAAATAAAAGAATAAATAGACTGCTGGCTACACTAATGAAAAAGAAAAGAGAGAAGATCCAAATAAGCACAATTAGAAATGACAAAGGAGATATTACCACTGACCCCACAGAAATACAAATAACCATCAGAGAATATTATGAACACCTCTGTGACACAAACTAGAAAATCTGGAAGAAATGGATAAATTCCTGGACACATACACCTTCCCAAGGCTGAACCAGGAAGAGATTGAATCTCTGAACAGACCAATAATGAGTTCTGAAATTCAATCGGTAATAAATAGCCTACCAACCAAAAAAAGCCCCAGACTAGACAAATTCACATCTGAATTCTACCAGATGTACAAAGAGCTGGTACAATTCCTACTGAAACTATTCAAAAAAGTTGAGGAGAAGAGACTCCTCCTCAACTCATTCTATGAAGCCAGAATCACCCTCATACCAAAACCTGGCAGAGACACAACAACAACAAAAAGAAAAGTTCAGGTCAATATCCTCGATGAACATTGATTCAAAAATCCTCAACAAAATACTAGCAAAACAAATCCAGCAGCACATGAAAAAGCTAATCTATCACAAACAAGTAGGCATCATCTCTGGGATACAAGTTTGGTTTAACATCTGCAAATTAGTAAACGTGATTCCTCACGTAAAGAGAACTGAAGACAAAAACCACATGATCATCTCAGTAGATGCAGAAAAGGCTTTCAAAAAAAATCAATACCCCTCTTGTTAAGAACTCTTAACAAACTAGATATTGAAGGAAATACCTCATAATAAGAGCCATCTATGAAAAACCCACAGCCAACATCATAGTGAATGAACAAAAGCTGGAAGCTTTCCCCTTGAAAACAGGCACAAGACAAGAATTCCTTCTCTCACCACTCCTATTCAACATAGCATTGGAAGTTCTGGCCAGGGCAATCAGGCAAGAGAAAGAAATAAAGCACATCCGAATAGGAAGAGAGGAAGTCAAACTATCCCTGTTTGCAGACAATATGATTGTATATCTAGAAAACCCCATAGTCTTGGCCCCCAAAGCTTAAGTTGACAACTTCAGCAAAATTTCAGGATACAAAATCACTAACATTCCTGTACGCCAACAGCAGCTAAGCCGACAGTCAAATTAGAAATGCAATCCCATTCAAAACTGCCACAAAAAAAGGCTGGGCATGGCGGCTCATGCCTGTAATCCCAGCACTTTGGGAGGCCAAGGTGGGTAGATCACCTGAGCTCAGTAGTTTGAGAACAGCCTGGGCAACATGGTGAAACCCTGTCTCTACAAAGAATACAAAAAATTAGCTGCGCATGGTGGCATGTGCCTATGGTCCCAGCTACTCAGGAGGCTGAGGTGGGAGGATCGCTTTAGCCAGGGAGGCGGTGGTTGCAGTGAGCCAAGATTGTACCACTGCACTCCAGCCTGGGTGACATAGTGAGACTCCATCTCAAAAAAAAAAAAAAATGCCACAAAAAGAATAAAATACCTAGGAATACAACTACAAGGAGGTGAAAAATCTCTACAATGAGAATGACAAAACACTGCTCAAAGAAATTAGAAATGACACAAACAAATGGAAAAACATTCTATGCTTATGAATAGGAAGAATCAATATCATTAAAATGACCATATTTCCCAAAGCAATTTAGATTCAATGCTATTCCAATCAAACCACCAGTGACATTCTTCATAGAACTAGAAAAAACTATTCTAAAATTCATATGAAGCTAAAAAGAGCTCAAAGAGCCAACACAATCCTAAACAAAAAGAACAAAGCTCCAGGCATCATGCTACCCAACTTCAAACTATATTACAAGGCTATAGTAACCAAAATAGCATGGCGCTGGTGCAAAAACAGACACATAGACCAATGGAACAGAATAGAGAGCCCAGAAATAAGACCGCACACCTACAACCAGCTGACATACATTTAGATGAAATATCCAAAAGTAATAGATAATAAAGGAAATGTTCTTAAAAATGGGAAATAACATTTTTGAATCATTTGGTTAATTATTTCAACAAATATTTATTGATAAATTACTATGTGCCTAAGATCATCATGACCAGGGTATTCATAATAGACTCAAAATCAAAAATCAGGAGATAGAGACCATCCTTGACCAGTTATGGGCACAAGAAATTTTGCTCAGATGTTTTAGTTACCTTGAGAACTTTGTTTTAATCAACTGTATGAAATGAGAGTTTATTACTAGGCCTCAATAAGAAAGTGGCCCAGGATCTACAAGGTCTGAATAATTGCCCCTCCTTTGTAAAGCTGTGAAAATTAAGTGTCCTGTATCTAAGTCACTAAATGCATGCCTCTTGTAATTATTTTCTGAATGCCCATTGCTAGTTGTTATGGCATGGATCAATTAGAAGGGCAGAAGTTTACAATAAGATCAAGAGTTACCAGTGGTTTCTCTCTTCCTTGAAGTTATTGTTTAACCACAAATGAGGTGAGTGTAAATCCTAGGATACAGCACAAGGTTAAAATGTATTTATTGTTTTTTTTTCTGATTTTCTTTTTTTTTAAATTTTATTATTATTATACTTTAAGTTTTAGGGTACGTGTGCACAACATGCAGGTTTGTTACATATGTATACGTGTGCCATGTTGGTGTGCTGCACCCATTAACTTGTCATTTAGAATTAGTTATATCTCCTAATGCTATCCCTCCCCCCTCCCCCCACCCCACAACAGTCCCTGGAGTGTGATGTTCCCCTTCCTGTGTCCATGTGTTCTCATTGTTCAATTCCCTCCTATGAGTGAGAACATTCGGTGTTTGTTTTTTTGTCCTTGCGATAGTTTGCTGAGAATGATGGTTTCCAGTTTCATCCATGTCCCTACAAAGGACATGAACTCATCAATTTATGGCTGCATAGTATTCCATGGTGTATATGTGCCACATTTTCTTAATCCAGTCTATCGTTGTTGGACATTTAGGTTGGTTCTAAGTCTTTGCTATTGTGAATAGTGCTGCTATAAACATACGTGTGCATGTGTCTTTATAGCAGCATGATTTATAATCCTTTGGGTATATACCCAGTAATGGGATGGCTGGGTCAAATGGTATTTCTAGTTCTAGATCCCTGAGGAATCGCCACACTGACTTCCACAATGGTTGAACTAGTTTACAGTCCCACCAACAGTGTAAAAGTGTTCCTATTTCTCCACATCCTCTCCAGCACCTGTTGTTTCCTGACTTTTTAATGATTCCCATTCTAACTGGTGTGAGATGGTATCTCATTGTGGTTTTGATTTGCATTTCTCTGATGGCCAGTGATGATGAGCATTTTTTCATGTGTTTTTTGGCTGCATAAATGTCTTCTTTTGAGAAGTGTCTGTTCATGTCCTTTGCCCACTTGTTGATGGGGTTGTTTGTTTTTTTCTTGTAAATTTGTTTGAGTTCATTGTAGATTCTGGATATTAGCCCTTTGTCAGATGAGTAGGTTGCAAAAATTTTCTCCAATTTTGTAGGTTGCCTGTTTACTCTGATGGTAGTTTCTTTTGCTGTGCAGAAGCTCGTTAGTTTAATTAGGTCCCATTTGTCAATTTTGGCTTTTGTTGCCATTGCTTTTGGTGTTTTTGTCATGAAGTCCTTGCTCATGCCTATGTCCTGAATGGTATTGCCTAGGTTTTCTTCTAGGGTTTTTATGGTTTTAGGTCTAACATTTAAGTCTTTAATCCATCTTGAATGAATTTTTGTATAAGGTGTAAGGAAGGGATCCAGGTTCAGCTTTCTACATATGGCTAGCCAGTTTTCCCAGCACCATTTATTCAATAGTGAATCCTTTCCCCATTGTTTGTTTTTGTCAGGTTTGTCAAAGATCAGATAGTTGTAGATATGCGGCATTATTTCTGAGGGCTCTGTTCTCTTCCATTGGTCAATATCTCTGTTTTGGTAGCAGTACCATGCTGTTCTGGTTACTGTAGCCTTGTAGTATAGTTTGAAGTCAGGTAGCGTGATGCCTCCAGCTTTGTTCTTTTGGCTTAGGATTAACTTGGTGATGCGGGATCTTTTTTGGTTCCATATGAACTTTAAAGTAGTTTTTTCCAATTCTGTGAAGAAAGTCATTGGTAGCTTGATGGGGATGGCGTTGAATCTATAAATTACCTTGGGCAGTATGGCCATTTTCACGATATTGATTCTTCCTACCCATGAGCATGGAATGTTCTTCCATTTGTTTGTATCCTCTTTTATTTCCTTGAGCAGTGGTTTGTAGTTCTCCTTGAAGAGGTCCTTCACATCCCTTGTAAGTTGGATTCCTAGGTATTTTATTCTCTTTGAAGCAATTGGAAATGGGAATTCACTCAAGATTTGGCTCTCTGTTTGTCTGTTATTGGTGTATAAGAATGCTTGTGACTTTTATACATTGATTTTGTATCCTGAGACTTTGCTGAACTTGCTTATCAGCTTGAGGAGATTTTGGGCTGAGACAATGGGGTTTTCTAGATATACAATCATGTCATCTGCAAACAGGGACAATTTGACTTCCTCTTTTCCTAATTGAAAACACTTTATTTCCTTCTCCTGCCTGATTGCCTTGGCCAGAACTTCCAACACTATGTTGAATAGGAGTGGTGAGAGAGGGCGTCCCTGTCTTGTGCCTGTTTTCAAAGGGAATGCTTCCAGTTTTTGCCTGTTCAGTATGATATTGGCTGTGGGTTTGTCATAGATAGCTCTTATTATTTTGAGATACATCCCATCAATACCTAATTTATTGAGAGTTTTTAACATGAAGGGTTGTTGAATTTTGTCAGAGGCCTTTCCTGCATCTATTGAAATAATCATGTGGTTTTTGTCTTTGGTTCTGTTTATATGCTGGATTACATTTATTGATTTGCATATGTTGAACCAGCCTTGCATCCCAGGGATGAAGCCCACTTGATCATGGTGGATAAGCTTTTTGATGTGCTGCTGGATTCGGTTTGCTAGTATTTTATTGAGGATTTTTGCATCAATGTTCATCAAGGATATTGGTCTAAAATTCTCTTTTTTTTGTTGTGTCTCTGCCAGGGTTTGGTATCAGGATGATGCTGGCCTCATAAAATGAATTAGGGAGGATTCCCTCTTTTTCTAATGATTGGAATAGTTTCAGAAGGAATGGTACCAGCTCCTCTTTGTACCTCTGGTAGAATTCGGCTGTGAATCCATCTGGTCCTGGACTTTTTTTGATTGGTAAGCTATTAATTATTGCTTCAATTTCAGAGCCTGGTATTGGTCTATTCAGAGATTCAACTTCTTCCTGGTTTAGTCTTGGGAGGATGTATGTGTCGAGGAATTTATCCATTTCTTCTAGATTTTCTAGTTTATTTGCGTAGAGGTGTTTATAGTATTCTCTGATGGTAGTTTGTATTTCTGTGGGATTGGTGGTGATATCCCCTTTATCATTTTTTATTGTCTCTATTTGATTCTTCTCTCTTTTCTTCTTTATTAGTCTTGCTAGCAGTCTATCAATTTTGTTGATCTTTTCAAAAAACCAGCTCCTGGATTCATTAATTTTTTGAAGGGTTTTTTGTGTCTCTATTTCCTTCAGTTCTGCTCTGATCTTAGTTATTTCTTGCCTTCTGCTAGCTTTTGAATGTGTTTGCTCTTGCTTTTCTAGTTCTTTTAATTGTGATGTTAAGGTGTCAATTTTAGATCTTTCCTGCTTTCTCTTGTGGGCATTTAGTGCTATAAATTTCCCTCTACACACTGCTTTGAATGTGTCCCAGAGATTCTCGTATGTTGTGTCTTTGTTCTAGTTGGTTTCAAAGAACATCTTTATTTCTGCCTTCATTTCGTTATGTACCCAGTAGTCGTTCAGGAGCAGGTTGTTCAGTTTCCATGTAGTTGAGCCGTTTTGAGTGAGTTTCTTAATCCTGACTTCTAGTTTGATTGCACTGTGGTCTGAGAGACAATTTGTTATAATTTCTGTTCTGTTACATTTGCTGAGGAGTGCTTTACTTCCAACTGTGTGGTCAGTTTTGGAGTAGGTGTGGTATGGTGCTGAAAAGAATGTATATTCTGTTGATTTGGGGTGGAGAGTTCTGTAGATGTCTATTAGGTCTGCTTGGTGCAGAGCTGAGTTCAATTCCTGGGTATCCTTGTTAACTTTCCGTCTGGTTGATCTGTCTAATGTTGACAGTGGGGCGTTGAAGTCTCCCATTATTATTGTGTGGGAGTCTAAGTCTCTTTGTAGGCCACTAAGGACTTGCTTTATGAATCTGTGTGCTTCTGTATTGGGTGCATATATATTTAGGATAGTTAGCTCTTCTTGTTGAATTAATCCCTTTGTCGTTATGTAATGGCCTTCTTTGTCTCTTCTGATCTTTGTTTGTTTAAAGTCTGTTTTATCAGAGACTTGGATTGCAACCCCTGCCTTTTTTTGTTTTCCATTTGCTTGGTAGATCTTCCTCCATCCCTTTATTTTGAGCCTATGTGTGTCCCTGCAAGTGAGATGGGTTTCCTGAATACAGCACACTGATGGGTCTTGACTCTTTATCCAGTTTGCCAGTCTGTGTCTTTTAATTGGAGCATTTAGCCCATTTACATTTAAAGTTAATATTGTTATGTGTGAATTCGAACCTATCATTATGATGTTAGCTGGTTATTTTGCTCATTAGTTGATGCAGTTTCTTCCTAGACTTGATGGTCTTTACAATTTGGCATGTTTTTGCAGTGGCTGGTACCGGTTGTTCCTTTCCATGTTTAGTGCTTCCTTCAGGAACTCTTTTAGGGCAGGCCTGGTGGTGACAAAATCTCTCAGCATTTGCTTGTCTGTAAAGTATTTTATTTCTCCTTCACTTATGAAGCTTAGTTTGGCTGGATGTGAAATTCTGGGTTGAAAATTCTTTTCTTTTTCTTTTTCTTTTTTTATTTTATTTTATTATTATACTTTAAGTTTTAGGGTACATGTGCACAATGTGCAGGTTAGTTACATATGTATACATGTGCCATGCTGGTGTGCTGCACCAATTAACTCATCATTTAGCATTAGGTATATCTCCTAAAGCTATCCCTCCCCCTTCCCCCCACCCCACAACAGTCCCCAGAGTGTGATGTTCCCCTTCCTGTGTCCATGTGTTCCCATTGTTCAATTCCCACCTGTGAGTGAGAAGATGCGATGTTTGGTTTTTTGTTCTTGCGATAGTTTACTGAGAATGATGATTTCCAATTTCATTCATGTCCCTACAAAGGACATGAACTCATCATTTTTTATGGCTGCATAGTATTCCATGGTGTATATGTGCCACATTTTCTTAATCCAGTCTATCATTGGTGGACATTTGGGTTGATTCCAAGTCTTTGCTATTGTGAATAGTGCCGCAATAAACATACGTGTGCATGTGTCTTTATAGCAGCATGATTTATACTCCTTTGGGTATATACCCAGTAATGGGATGGCTGGGTCAAATGGTATCTCTATTTCTAGATCCCTGAGGAATCGCCACACTGACTTCCACAATGGTTGAACTAGTTTACAGTCCCACCAACAGTGTAAAAGTGTTCCTATTTCTCCACATCCTGTTCAGCACCTGTTGTTTCCTGACTTTTTAATGATTGCCATTCTAACTGGTGTGAGATGGTATCTCATTGTGGTTTTGATTTGCATTTCTCTGATGGCCAGTGATGATGAGCATTTTTTCATGTGTTTTTTGGCTGCATAAATGTCTTCTTTTGAGAAGTGTCTGTTCATGTCCTTTGCCCACTTGTTGATGGGGTTGTTTGTTTTTTTCTTGTAAATTTGTTTGAGTTCATTGTAGATTCTGGATATTGGCCCTTTGTCAGATGAGTAGGTTGCGAACATTTTCTCCAATTTTGTAGGTTGCCTGTTCACTCTGATGGTAGTTTCTTTTGCTGTGCAGAAGCTCTTTAGTTTAATTAGATCCGATTTGTCAATTTTGGCTTTTGTTGCCATTGCTTTTGGTGTTTTAGACATGAAGTCCTTGCCCATGCCTATGTCCTGAATGGTAATGCCTTGGTTTTCTTCTAGGGTTTTTATGGTTTTAGGTCTAACGTTTAAGTCTTTAATCCATCTTGAATGAATTTTTGTGTAAGGTGTAAGGAAGGGATCCAGGTTCAGCTTTCTACATATGGCTAGCCAGTTTTCCCAGCACCATTTATTCAATAGTGAATCCTTTCCCCATTGTTTGTTTTTGTCAGGTTTGTCAAAGATCAGATAGTTGTAGATATGCAGCATTATTTCTGAGGGCTCTGAAAATTCTTTTCTTTAAGAATGTTGAATATTAGTCCCCACTCTCTTCTGGCTTGTAGAGTTTCTGCCGAGAGATCAACTGTTATTCTGATGGGCTTCCGTTTGTGGGTAACCCAACCTTTCTATCTGGCTGTCCTTAACATTTTTTCCTTCATTTCAGCTTTGGTGAATCTGACAATTATGTGTCTTGGGGTTGCTCTTCTCGAGGAGTATCTTTGTGGCGTTCTCTGTATTTCCTGAATTTGAATGTTGGCCTGCCTTGCTAGATTGGGGAAGTTCTCCTGGATAATATCCTGCAGAGTGTTTTCCAACTTGGTTCCATTCTCCCTGTCACTTTCAGGTACACCAATCAGACGTAGATTTGGTCTTTTCACATAGTCCCATAGTTCTTGGAGGCTTTGTTCATTTCTTTTTATTCTTTTTTCTCTAAACTTCTCTTCTCGCTTCATTTCATTCATTGCGTCTTCCATCGCCGATACCCTTTCTTCCAGTTGACTGCATCGGCTACTGAGGCTTCTGCATTCGTCACGTAGCTCTCATGCCTTGGTTTTCAGCTCCATCAGGTCCTTTAAGGACTTCTCTGCATTGGTTATTCTAGTTATCCATTCGTCTAATTTTTTTTCAAAGCTTTTAACTTCTTTGCCATTGGTTTGAATTTCCTCCTGTAGCTCGGAGTAGTTTGATCGTTTGAAGCCTTCTTCTCTCAACTCATCAAAGTCATTCTCCATCCAGCTTTGTTCCATTGCTGGTGAGGAGCTGCATTCCTTTGGAGGAGGAGAGGCGCTCTGATTTTTAGAGTTTCCAGTTTTTCTGCTCTGTTTTTTACCCATCTTCGTGGTTTTATCTACCTTTCGTCTTTGATGATGGTGATGTACAGATTGGTTTTTGGCGTGGATGTCCTTTCTGTTTGTTAGTTTTCCTTCTAACAGACAGGACCCTCAGTGGCAGGTCTGTTGCAGTTTGCTAGAAGTCCACTCCAGACCCTGTTTGCCTGGGTGTCAGCAGCAGTGGCTGCAGAACAGTGGATTTTGGTGAACTGCAAATGCTGCTGCCTGATCGTTCCTCTGGAAGTTTTGTCTCAGAGGAGTACCCGGCCATGTGAGGTGTCAGTCCGTGCCTACTGGGGGGTGCCTCCCAGTTAGGCTACTCGGGGGTCAGGGACCCACTTGAGGAGGCTGTCTGCCCGTTCTCAGATCTCAAGCTGCGTGCTGGGAGAACCACTACTCTCTTCAAAGCTGTCAGAGAGGGACATTTAAGTTTCACTTGGAAATGCAGAAATCACCCATCTTCTGCATCGCTCACACTGGAAGCTGTAGACCGGAGCTGTTCCTATTCAGTCATCTTGGCTCCTCTCCAAAATGTATTTAAATAATCAGCATTTTGCTTGGTAGGAAGAGGGAAAACATCTCCCTTGAGGCAATTAAAGTGAAGTTAATAGCCCCCTGGATAGAAATTGGTCCAGCAGGATCAAACTGACTTAAAGATGATGAATCTAAAACCAGGGAATCTCTTCTACAATATTAGAGGGTGTGAGATGTTTGGAAGCAATACCATTCCCTTAATCCCTTAATCAAGTGTTTCATCTGTGCAAAAGAATTAGAATTCTGGAAAGTGTGAACTTGTGAGTCTACTGGATATTCAGGGAGTGGGGTAGAGTAGAAACCCTTAAAGGGATCGGTTCTTTAAGAAACAGGGTTTAGCTCTTAGGACCAATGCAAAGAAGAAGGGTCCAACCTCTGCTCCTTACAGGGTGAGCTTTTCTGTGCAACCACATCTATAGCAACACATTCTGGCTGGCCATTGTAAAAAGAAATGAATATTTGTCATAATTTTCATAGAAAGAAAGGCAAAATGAATGAAATTATTTCAGTCATGAGAGAGAGTATAGGAGATTAAAAGGATATTAAAACAACCATAAAAAAGCAATATACGTTTATAAAGAATATAAATCACAATAAAGGCAAAAGGTTAGGAGCTTAAAAATAACAATTAAATAAAATGGATGAAATTCAGAAGAAAATGTTAAAGGCTATACACCAGCAAAATTAAAGGTTACAAATATAAAAGTAAATAAGATGAAAGATTAAGATAAAAGGATAAAGCCATAAAAGTAAAAAGTGAGCAAAAATGTAGACATAGATGGGATTTTAGGGTTAAGAACTAAAAAATTAAAACTGTAAAAGTAAAAATAAATAAGTCACAAGAATAATAAGATTAGAAAAATAACATGTTTAAATGTTTATGATAGAAATTTAAAAATGATAATGATATTGGTGTGGCAGGAACCTGCTAGAAGAAATAAAGAAAATGTCTTGGGGTAGCTCCAGCTTCTCCTGGTTAATCAAATCCTCTAAAGTAGGAAACTAAAGGGGAAAGATGGTGTCTTACAGCAGATTCACCTTCTACACAGAAATTAGCACTACGGAAAACCAGTAGAGTTGTTGGTGCTTGCCTGGAATGAGAGGAGGCGTGACTTCTTAACATCAACAGCTAGGGTCTCAGGGTTGCCCATGCCTGCCCTTGGGCAACTTTCCAGTAAGAGCACTGAGCACTGGCTGGGCACGGTGGCTCATGCCTGTAATCCCAGTACCTTGGGAGGATGAGGTGGGCAGATCACTTCAGGCCAGGAGTTCAAGACCAGCCTCGCCAACATGGCAAAACCCTGTCTCTACTAAAAATACAAAAAACTTAGCCAGGAATGGTGGTTCACACCTTAGTCCCAGCTACTCGAGAGGCTGAGGCATGAGAATTCCTTGAATCTGGGAAGCAGAGGTTGCAGTGAGCCAAGATTGTGCCACTGCACTCCAGCCTGGATGACAGAGCTCTGAGCACTTACTATGTTCCAGAGAGTGGCCTGGGTGCTTTCACATTTGAAATTTCATGTAGTAATATTCCTAATAATTAGCTTTTGGAGTCACCAATTATGCATGTGTTGGATTTTCTGTCTATCTTCCAGTAGGCACTGACTTCTCCACGGTTTAGGGAAATACAATTGTTTAAAGTCATACAGCAGCTGAGAATTAACTCACATCCAGTCTTTGTTCTACAACGTTGTTCATCTGAAAGCCTTTACTCTCTAATTCTCAACTGCCACACTGAGGAACTGCCCCTTGTGATTAATTTTAAGTGGTGACTATTGACTCCTAGCTGCTAGGGATGAAGCAATTGACTTGCTTATTTCTAATTCCATCATCTTTTGCCCTTCTCCTCTCATTTTCACATTGTCAGAGTGTGTGCTATTTACATTGTATTATGTCACTTTTACCTCCATGCTTGCTTTTTATTTTAGGTCTACAGTTAAATATATTGAATGCTTTGACAGTCTTTTTGCCAGATTTTCCTCAATTACCTCTTGTTTGACTAGAATTTATTTTCTGCTATTTTCCTCAAGGATGGCCCGTGAGAACAATATTTCCAGAGTTATTGCATATTTTAAACTGTTAGGCATTAGGCTTGAAGGACAACTTGGCTGGATATCAAATCTTTATCGCAATTTCTTTTCTTTGAATATCTGATAAGAATTTCACTTCACTATGTTGGTGTTAAATGATGCCATGGGAGAGTCCGATGTCAGCCTGATTTTCTTTCTTTTATAAGTGATTTGATCTTTTTGTTTGGCTGCTCAAAGAATCCTTTAACATCTAACAATTTTATTAGGATATGTCTCAGTTTGGACCATTTGAAGTAAGTTTTCCCTAGTACATGATTTGCCCTTTCAGTATGTAAATTCAAGTCTTTTACTTCAGGAAAGTGTTTTTGAATTATACATTAAGCATTTATTCTGTTTCATAGTTTTGGTTTTAGTGTTTGGAGACAACAGTTATGCATGTGTTTGATTTTCTGCCTATCTTCTTTAATTCTAATTTTCTCCCTAATCGTTTTTATCTCTTTCTCTGTTTCTGTTTCATTTGATCACTTCTCCCATTCCTATCTTTTGTATCATTTACAGGCATCTTGTGTGTGTCGTCTATAGTGTCTTTTCTTTCTTGTGTTCCTTTTCATATATTCTTTATTTCTGAAAAAATAGATTTTTTTATTCCTGAATTTTGCCAGTTTTCATCTCATTTCCCTGAATTCTTGTATTTCTGAATTTTTTGTCTTTTTTGTCATTGCATGTAACAAATTTTTAAACTTTATGATGGAATATTTGGTTATGATGTCTTTGAATCTTGAGTGTTCTTCATTAGCACAAGAGTTTTCTAGTCTGTGTAGTTGAATAGATCCTGTGCCTATGAAATATTTGTTAGTCAATTGTATTAGGTGGATTTCTGGATCAACCATCTGCAGGAAGTTATTTTGTGCCTATGTTGGGGAGGGTTGTGAGATGAGTTGGGGGAAGAGCATATGGAAAATCTCTGGGCTTTGCAAGTCAGTACTTCCTCCTCTGTTACTTAAGTAGTGAGCCATTTCCTTCAAATATGGAACCCAGTGTAACCATACCTGCTCGTCTCTGTGTATCTAAACTGGCTCAGAAGGGCTCCTACAGCCAACCTTGATTTTCTCTGTTTGTTTCTTTATTGGATGCCACAACTAATAGGAGCAGCCCTTGCCTTCAAATGTCTATTTGTTTGTGCTTTCTGAGGTATGCCATTCCTGGATCTGTTGGGGGCACTTTTGACCACTTCTCTCTGTTGCTTCTTACCCTACTCACAGATGTCCCACTTAGGGCAGTTATTCTCTGCTTCTGGGAATGCATTTTTTGTTGATGATTTCTGAGGTCTGCTAGTTAGACCCTTGTTCTCCCTGACTTTTCTCATGTCTGCCTCTTATGAGGCTCTTCAAGTCTCACCTGCTTTGGGCATTACTTACATGTAACTTGGAGTTTGTGGGTTTTCTCTGTTTCCTAGTTCCATGTAAAATGATGTTTGTGTTTTTCCTTTTTCTTTTACTCATTTTCCTTGTTGCTCTACATGGCTTCCAAAGGGAAAAGTCCAAAATAGGAGCAAACTATCTGGTATTTAAAAGATTTCCCCGGTGATTTTAATGTCCAGAGGGGAGAATAACTATTTAAAAAAAACAGGAAAAAGATATACATAAAATTTAGTGTAATGGTTATTCCTGGATGCAGGAGGTTGTGGAAGGCAGGAAAATGCAGTAGAGGAAAGAGAGCTTCAATGGTATTGGTAATAATTTATTTCTTAAATTGGGTAGTAAGTTCGTGGGTGTTTATGTTATTATTTACCATATGATTATGTGTGATTAAAATATTGCATAATAAAAATACAAACCTTTAAAAATTCACAGAGAAAACTGTATTTTAATGACTCAAAATATAATTAATGTTAATTTGACTGTTGCCAATAATACTATTGTAATAGATTATATTTAAGGATAACAAAAGAGCAGCTCCATGTGGGGACCCGAGGAACCAACCTCGTTATTCCCCTCAGCCCACAGAGATAAAATGACCTCCAGAAAGTCTACCAGGATTTGAGTGTTCTTTTTTTAAAAACAAAAAACCAAACAAAAAAAAACCTGTTATAGCGTCTGTAACTGGACTTTAAAACAAAAGGAACTTTTTGGACAGTAATATTCCCACACTGAATGAATCTTATTTTCCTGGAGCCAGGAAAGCCTGGAGTGGTCTTTAGAGGTCTGGGCACTTACGGTGATCTTTTTCTCCAGCATCCTACCTAACAAAGCCACTGGGACACAAGCTTCCCTTTTACTTTACAACTCTTTCTCAAAGACCTTAAGACATGCTCATCAGAGATGGGGTCAGAAGGCATATGACTATAATAATAAGAAAAAAAAAAACACTTCAGTTTATATACACTGGCATGTATCATTAAGGAAAAAAAAACCACCATGTGGACCAAAATACATGGCAGGTCCCAGTTTTGTAAATAAAATTAAAAGATTATCATCTGTTTAATCTTTTGTCCATAGACAGAAAATGTCAGGAAGGATGGACAATGGTTAACATGGTGGAGGGGGGTTGGTGTTAGAAGGACAGAGGAAAGAAATTTCACTTCCCAGTATAATAATTTTAAAAGATGTGATTGATTTATAAATGATTTTTGATTTTATTGTTTTTAGTGTTTTTCAAATACAACTTAAAAAAAGAATGCATCGCTCCTTGTGGCAGCCAGTATTGTAATCTGGGACACTTGCTATCAGCTCTTGCCTTGAAGTGAGTCCCCTGCTCCCTGCCCTGAGACTGAGGCAGCCTTTGTGCCCTCTTTTGCTGGGAATTATAATCTTAGTGTCCAAGAGCTGGACAGTTAGGGTCAAAGTCTGCAACCTCATTTCTCCAGGTCGCTCCTGATAACTCGATTCCTAGGCTCAACATGAAAGCCTCTCCTTCCTTCCTCAGGCTTTTATTTTTTAAAAAATTGACGAATGAGATGCATTAAACGTAAGTGGTTAAAAACAGGGAGGCAAGGCAGATGCCTCCACTCTCCTCCCTCCCTAGGAAGCCCTGATTTGGTGGCTTCTGAGCTGGATTTGTGGCCAGGGTTCCCGTGTTCGGTTTGCTAGCCCCAGGGCCCTGTTGACTTTCACTGGGCCAGCGTCCATGTATGTCACTGGGAGAGGATGGACTGGGATGTTTTGTTCACCCGCCTTTGGCAGGAAGCAGAGGGTGCCCGAAGCCAAGAGGCTTTCCTTTCCACCAGGCGCTGAAGGTGGCTCACAGGGATGGGAACTCTGAATCCAGAGGATGGACAGTGATATGTGCTGGTCCAAACCAGAAATCCAAGCATGACTGCTGAATAGCAGGACATGTGATTACTGTGGGGTGTTTCCTACCGATTCTTAGACATTTACCATCATTTCCAAAAAGTTTTTCCAAAATCTCAAACTTGCCATTCTTTCAAAAACTTTTTTTTAAAAAGGAATACGTTTGTGGGGGTTTTTTTTTTTCATTTATAGCAAAACTCCAGGGACATCTCCTTGTCAGACAAGGCTCTATTGCTCCTACAAGTAGAGTTCATTATTTTGTCAAAGTGAATTAAAATAGAATGTCACTTACTGAATGTTATATTTCTGGCTGTGACATTGTATATAAAAGGTCCTCTTTAAAAAAAAAAAGAGAAAATCTGAAAGCCTTCGTTGGAAACCCATTTAAGAAAAAGAAATATAGACATTAAAAAATCCCATTTGGGTTTCATAAAATTCCTTTCAAATGTGACAATCTGGTAGAAATCAGGTAGTTTTCAGTTCCCAAAATACAATCTTGATAAAAAATTTATAAAGCTATTTGGAGGAAAGATACTACATAAATTGAGAATAAATCTTATGAGTCCCTTAGAGAAAAGCTGGGAAATTTCCAAAACTAAGTGGCAAACAGTATTTGCTTCCTGCAAATAAATACCCTTTTTACTATTTGGAATGAATCTCTTTCTATATTCCAGCAATTTATGTCTATGGCAGCTAAGGATGACCAGAGACACTGGAGGGTGACAGTTACCAGGACTAGACGCTAAAAAAAAGAGCTGAGTGGTCCCCTGCAGGCCGCATTTGAATACTCCAGGGTCCATATCTTCTGCACCTCAGATTAGTTCCTGAAAAACTGAAAACCATCACCTCCATCTTCTGGTGGCAGGTAGAAATAGACAGATAAATTGAAGAATGTTTTGTCTTCTTTTTTTTGCCAGATAAATTCTTCCCAGAGCAGAGTACTTATGACTATCTGAGAAAAGAATGAATGAGAAATTATGGGAGCTATGGATTCATTCCCACGTGGTTGAACTTAGTGCTTTCCCTCGTTCTTACCATGCACCCACCTCCTTTGCTTGATGAATTCTTACTCAAGTGTTTCTTCTGTCAAGATTCTCCTTCACATCTATGCAGGGATAATCAACTCTGGGCCCCCAAAATACATTGTATAGATCTCTACTGTAGAACCTAAACACTGAAATGCACTTACGGATATAAGTGGTTCTCTAATCCATTAGACTGTGAGTTCCTCAAGAGTAGAATTTTGTTTCATTCAATTCTATGTTCCTAACATTTAGTGTGCCACCTAGCACATAGTAGGTGCAGGAAAATGGTTAGTTAGATGGTTAATAAATGGTTAGTTAGATGGATAGCTGAATGGATGACTGGGTAAATTAAAAAACAAATGAATGAATAAATGAGCAAATAAATAAAAACACAAGTGAATACATGAATTCAAAAGTGGAGAAATAAATATACATGAACAAATGGACCAATGAATAAACCACATGTCTGTTCCCCACAGGTATGTATATATGCATACATATATATTAATACATCCTTCACAACATGTTATTCATTTTAAAGCACTTTCCCCCACATTAAAATTCATTTTTAATATCCTTGGGAAAGGTACCAGTAAATTCCGAGGTAATTCACTAGAGGAGACTCAGGGATCAGAGTAGCATTGTCCACTGGTGGGGGGCAATGTTACATTACCTCTTGGGGATTGACCATGATGGGTTTATTGCTGAAGTCCCCCCACAATCAAGGACGTGCTCCCCATTTCAGCCCTGAACAACTCCTTGGCTTATTGGATTGGAGCCTCTTAAGATAACTATTGAATTCCAACAAGATGGTTCAGAACATGACCATGGCCATCTGTGTATGCACTTAGTCCCTGACATCTGCCTTCCCCCAAGGATAATGAGTTGAGAGGTCCAAGGCCCAAAGATTGCAGGAACTTCAGCTTCAGTGAAGCCTAAATTTACATACCAGAGCATTGTGATTCAGGGAAGTGCACAGGGCACACAAAGTACAGCAGGTCTTGCTCCAAATCCTCGCTCTGGCCCTCCTGTGCTGCATGGCTAGCATGACCTCCGTGAGCCTCAGTTTGCTCAGTAGCTGAGTGAGGATAATAATACCTATGAAGAAGGCACCTGTGATAGGTGCTTAATAAAGTCCAGTTTCTTTCCTGCCCAATAAAAAAAAATTGAAAATAGTAGTAGTTGAAGGAGAGAAGCTTCTCTTTGATATGAGGCCCTTGGCATTGACCACCGAAGATGAGGCTCCAGAAGGGCACTGATTCCACTTGAGTGGAATGTTGGCAACGCTGAATCCCACCAACAGCCCCGTCGTTTCTCCAGCAGTCATTCTGGGGTTCCTGCCTCATCTCCCAAGATAGCCTGTGGCTACCATCAGCTGCAAGGAACTGCCCTGCTGAGCAATTAATAAGCAATGAAGAGTGTCACCTGGATAAGTATTAAAAACAAGGAGATGAGACACCTTGGCTCTCATTTCAGCATAAAGCCTGTTCTGCCATCCTTGTCTCCCAAAGGTCAAGATCTTGCTTTAGAAAGTGAGAATTTAGTAAGAATGCTGTGTCCTCGGCACTGCTCACCTGTGTCCAGCAGAGGTGACTGGAAATGAGGCTCCCAGAGCACTGTTTCTGCAGAGAAAATCCAGCCATCAAACCTATGTTGGCCTAAAGAAGCATCTCAATCCTGGCGGGGGCGGGGGGGGGTCCTTTTTCAGAACAAGGTTGTCAAAGCCAGGAAGGATTGCTAAACAGCAGGGTGTCCCCATGAGAGCAGAAGGGCTCAGGAGTCATTCAGATCTGATCCAAGCTGAGCAAACGTGGACAGGTCACACTAGCCAGGCTAGCATGAGGTGTTGACCTTGAGAAGAGAGTGCCTCCTTAAATTTTGCACCCTAAATGTCTCACTTGCTTAACCCTAGTCCTGGGTCATAGAATCTTAGCTTCCTCGTCTATAAGGAAACTTCCCTCGTGTATCATGTGGGAAGATGATAATACCTAATAATAGTTAAGGTTATTAACATTATTATGTTCGCTTTACCCAAATTAACTGATTTAGTCCTCATGAGGCTATAAGGTAGGTATGATGATTATCTTCTTTCGGAAAACAGCCAAAGTGAGGAGCTGTGCTATTCAATAGTAACTTGCTAATATTCTCACATCTAGTGGCTGGCAGGCTGAGATTTGAACCATGGGAGACTGGCCCCTGCGTCCAGCCTCATTACCACCATGCTACACCAGCCACAGTGCAGGGTCTGTGTGAGAAGAACAACATGGTTGACATAGACAAGAAAACAGTGCAGGGGAGAGACACTTTGCTAATAAACTGAGGTGGTGCTCAGTCACCCACATAACATGTAACTGGGAGGATCCAAGGTGACTTCAACCCCAAAGACCCAGCACAGGCAGGAACAGTCCTGGCATGCTCTGCTGCAGCAGATTCTGGTCCTGGGGTTTCCTGGGCGATTGACTTCTCTTCCAGGGCTACCATCCTGACATCATTAATCCAGGCCCTGTGTGGCTCTCATAAGGTTCATTCACATGCATATTAGATAATACCTGTTAGTGATGCCCATTAATTAAGCAGAGCAAGTTGTTTATAATTAACTTGAGAAATTTATGGCTTCAGAACACAATACAGGAGCTGATATAAACACATTAAGTGCCTACAGCAATGCCAAGTTTAATTGCTTTCAAGAAGAATCATTGATATTAATGCCGCAGCCATCGCTAGCCATGTTTGACAGCAGCTTGTAAATTCTTCAGTCCTATGAGCCAACAACACCCCAGGTTATTTGGAATGGGAAACATCAACCCTGGCAAACTGTTCATGATACAGTGCTAAGTGAAAAAAGTAGGCTTGAAAACTGTATGCGGTGCCTTTCCAATTTAGTGAAAAATATTTTTTTGTATATGTATTTCCTCCTACTCTGACATATATACATATTTTTATGAATATGTATAAGTATAAATATATTTCCTTTTAGTACAAGAAATACAAAAAATGAAAAAATTACATATGATGTACATATAAAAAATACATAAATAAGTGACAGTGGGTTTTTCCCATCTGATGGAATTACTTACTATTTTAATATTTTCTTTATGACTTTTTATATTTTCCAAAAATTTTATAGGAAGAATTTATTACTTTATGCCAAGAAAAAAGTGAAGGGTTAAAGGATAGAAAAAGAAAAGGAAAAAAAGAATAGATTTTTCTTTTCCAAGCAAATTGCTTTTTGAAAGGTAAGCAGACCCTTCTGTAATAATTGTATGTGCTACTTGGTTGGCATTTTAAGATGCTTTTTATTTTTGTAAAATAAAATTTTGAAAATAGCAAAGTAAATGCATCATTTTCACAAACGTGATTCTCATTGTGGGGCTATGCCTGCGCTCGTTGTACAATTAGGGAAGAAATGCAGCACCCTTCAATTTTTAAAAATATCAGCTCCCGAAAATACTGCAAGAGGCCGTTGGCAGAACTCCCATACTGCGGGTGCCTGCATGTTCAGGATAAAACATAACAGCCAGTCATTCTGGACAAGGATGAATTCTCAAAGGACTCATTGAATAAACCTCCTGTTGACAAGCCTGTATACTTAGAAGAGGGGTGAGAACCCATCCTTGCCAAATGATTCATCTTCCCAAAATGTCACAAGTGAAGAAAAGGGACATTTAGCTAAAAGCTGCAAATGCCCTTTCAGAAAATGCACTCCCAGAATGTCAGAGGTATCCGACCCAACCTGCTCCTTCCCCAGCCAAGAGGAAGTGCTGAGATCCCGTGGGGTCACTTGCTAGCCAGAGACAGTGCTCACTCTGAACACAGATAGGCTCCCCTTTTTGTTAACATTTAATGAACACCACTGACTCTGTGTCAGACAGTGGCCTCTTAGGCTCTTCTTAATAAAGATTTGTAAGCCCATGGTCTGGTGGTCCTTAAAGCATAGTCACTAGAATACTCATTTTGTTAGGTGCTCCTTGAAAATTCTCCCATCCGTTAAGTTTGGGAAACCCTGATTGTTCTTGCCACTCTTGGAGATTCCTAATGGTATCAGCTTATCAAAGTCTTGGAGGAGTCCCACAGTAAAGGAACTTGCTTATCTTTGTTTGATGTAGTGTTTCCCAGACTCATTTGAGCACAGAATGCTTTTGGTTCTGTAACATCTCTCAACATGTTAAACTAGTGTTCCTCAAAAGACAGTGGGACAAGTCAGCAATTCATTTAGTTTGAAGATGCAGAACAACTAAATTTGGAGCTGTACCAGCTGGGCAAGTTATTTCATCCATGTGGCATGCTGCCAGGCACAGGGTAAACCCTGAACAAACATTGGTTTGATTAGTTGAATCAGAGGAGACAATTAAAACCCAAATCAGTGAAGTAATGAGCTCAATTGCAAACTCACAATCCAGGCCATTTTATTTTTATAACACATGCCAACATTCCAACATTAAAGTAAAAATGCTATCTGTAAATCTTTATTCATTCAACAGTGAGTTCACTCTCTTACTTGAATTAGAAACATAGAACTGTGGACCTGGATCATCCAATCTACCCCTCACTTTACAGGTGAAACTGATGCTTACTTAAGCCACATGATTTGTCTGAGGTCACAGACTATTAAGGGGGTCCAGGATTTAAGTCTTGCAAGTCTAAATTTGGGTAATTCTCAGTCTCTGACCTCCCACCCATGCTCTCATTACCCTCCACACTGCCACTCTGAGGTGACATAATGCAGCGAAACCAACAGGACATTCAAAATGAGGCAGATTTGGATTTAAACTCTGGCTCTTCAAACCAGCAGCAGAGTGACATTGGGCAAGTGGCCTAACCTCTTTGTGCCTCAGTTTCTCCATCTGTTAAATGGGAATCATAACTCACTTCACGAGCTATTGAGAAGATAGAATGAGATAATGCATGAAAAAGATCACTGTCCTAAACTCAGTGGGTGTGGGAGAAATTTTATCCCCTTGTTTCATACTATTTTGAAGAGCTCTTGATTCCTTTTTCTCCTCAGAATGAAAACCCAAGTTTTCTCTGTAGCTGTTTGTCACTCTGGATGGTCCTTTATATTTGAACAACAAGAACCTTTCAATATCAATAGAAGGAAACAGAATTAATAAGTGAATTGCTTGTTGATGAAAAAATAATGTTGAATTCTAAGGGTGTGAGACCGAGAAAAAGAGAATGTGTGACTTATCCCACCCTGGGCTCTGTTTTCCAACAGGGCTTGTAGATATAGAAAGCAGGTCACCTCATATGGAGGGACCAAGAGCCATCTTTTGACTGTTACCTTGTCGTTTGCTCTAGCCCAGTGGGACAGCCTTACTAATGGGTTCTAACGTGGACATAGGCAGGGCCACTGGTGCAGGCAGCAGTGCATTTCCCTAGAAGAGTCATTAATTTAAGGCTGGCAGAGGGCTTGCTTCTCCTGAGAGCCAGGCAAGACTTGGAGCATTTTGCAGACAGCTGGGCCATGAGCAGGCCTTACCAAACTCTCTGGCTACAGCACAAGAAGCATTTATTTATCTGGCTCCTTTGAGACAGGCATCTTACTTTCGACATGCAAAGAGGCAGCCTCCCCTCCACAGTCCCCTTGTCATCCCACCCTCTCCATGCCTTTACTCCAGGCCTCATCTCTCATTCGGTCCATTGTGCCAACCTCTTAACTGGCCTTCCACCTCCTATCTAGCCCCTTTCCTGTTGATTCTCTGCAGCCAGAGCCATTTTTCCAACTGCTGACCTGCCACCAATGGCTTCCTATGGTTTCTAGAAAAAAGTCCAGAGACCTTACTCTGACATTTGGGATTCTCCAAATCTGGCCAGTGTTCCTTTAGCCTTACTGGAAATTCCTCTCATATGTGCCTCCTTTCCTCCAATCATACTGAGCTTCTTGACATTTTTTTTTTCTATTTCATACCCTGTTATTTTAAGTCTCTAAGTCATTGCAGTGGCTATTTTTTCTGAGTGGCATTTTCCCCTTCTTCTTCATATTCAATACTCAGTTCAAATGTCATCTCTTTGATTTATTCTTCTTATACTCCCTAAAATTAATCATCCTCTCCCTTGGATTGTCACACCACTCTCTTCATACTCTTTATGAACAATTGTAAAAATTTCCATTTCCCTCTCCAGATTATGAGCTCCTTTGGTGCTGGGCCTGTGTTTATTCATTTCATCATTCCCTGTGCCCAGCTCAGTGACTGCTCAATAAAGGAATGGATTAGTGGATGGATGGGTGGATGGATGAGTAGATGAATGGATGGAAGAAAGGAGGAAAAGAAGGAATAAAGGAAGGAAGGAAGGGAAGGAATGTGGGAGGGAGGGAAGAAGGGAGGGAGAAAGGATTAGTGAGTGACTATGTAGATATGGTAGAGAGAATGTATCCCACATAGATTTAAATGCTGGAGTACAGTTAAGAACAACAGTTTTGACTGCAGTGGGGAGGTTGCAGCTGATGTTGTGATAAAACAAAAGGAAGTTGAAATATAAAATAGAAAAGCAAGCTTGTTTCTTCCCCCTGGAGAGCTCTGGGCTTTGGAGAAGTCATAGGAATCACAGAGGAAAAAGAGAAAAGGAAGTCATTCTCTCCCTGCCAAGACTCAGGGGACAGAAAGCAAGGAAGGAATCAGGCTGGAAGAAAACCATTGCAACAGAGAGGGTGAGTAAAAGTCTAAACCACAGAGACAAATTGTGCATTTTGCTACCCAAGTCACAAATATTCTCCTCTAGCACCGATAAGTGCTCTGGAGAACTCCTTGTGTCTAAGCATCACTGAGAGAGAATTCTGTGATTTCCATAGAAGCAAGTTACACCTGTGGGTGCAGGTAACATTGGTTGATTAATTTGTTTGTTAATATCTTTCTCAAACACTGACTGTTTGCAAGTGGGAGCTCTGGGTTGAGTGGAAGGCCTTTCTCCTCACACGAATGGAGCTTTGAGCTGAGAGAAGCAACCCATCTTCCCTGACAGTAGGACCTGAAGAGTCGAACACAACACTGTAACTGTGCTTCACTCATCCACCTGGAATACTAGGTATTGAGACACTGAGAGTGGAGATCTCACTCCAATTCTAAAGAATTAAAACAATAAAATGGGACTTGAGACAAGGAATTTATTTACAAAGTGTTTCCTGGCTATTGAGAGAGGGACATGCTTGGGCCAGACAGATTCGGTAGCTAAAGGACTTAGGTGTTTTGGATCTGTAATTAAGAGACCCAACACAAACCCTAATTTCCAGCCTTTCAGATCTGGGAGGAAAGGGATTTTGATAAAGACCCCTGGCCTCTTTATTGTAGAATTCATTAGTTCAACTAAACACTTATGAAACATTAACTGTTTGCCAAGAATTGATTAGGGCACTGGGAGCCCCTGCTCTCGGGGAGCCCTGTGGGAGAAGGGTGTGCCAACAGCCAGTGTCATGTCATGTGGCCAGGGCTCTGATGAGGGTATGGATGCCAGCAGCTGGGGCGCACGGGGTGAGATGAGGGTGTGTGCCTCATATTATGTGGGAAATCATTAAAGGCTTCACAAAGGAGGAAGGCTTAGGAGGAGGAGAGTTTACCAGAGGAACAAGAGGAAAAGGGTGTTCCAGGCAGATGGATTAGAGGCTGGGGGAAGATCAGCACAAAAAGACCAGTAGGGAGTGTGGAAACAATCTGGATGTGAGATGCTGGGAGGAAGTGTACTGGAATGATTGCAGCAGGAGTGGAGAGAGGAGGACGGATTGGAAATACTTTTAGGAGATGGAATTGGCTGGGCTGGATGATTGATGGGATGTGAGATATGGCCCAGGCAGAGTCAAGGATGGACTTTTGTTTCCAACTTGCATGACACTTGCACAGTGATGGGAAACCAGTGCGGAGGATCAGACTTAGGGGCAATACAGAGAATGCAGATTTGAGTGTGTGAGTTTGCTGAGTCTTGGAGGACCTTCAGGAGGAAGTAGCAGGATAAATTGATCTGGAGTTGAGGACAAAGGGCAAAATGGAGACACAGGCTTGGGAGTAATCCATGGGCAGATGACAGCCATTGGGAAATACGTCAGGCTCTGATGATGTCCTGTGAGGTCAGCAACCACGAGTGGGGAGGTTGCAAGGCCTGGCGCACAAAAGCCTTCGTTTCTGCTGGTCCATTTCTTCAAGTGTGTGTTTGTCAGGCCACCCTGCTGCCATTGCCACTGCTGTCACCCACCTCCCCTGCCTCTTGCTGCCCTGGCCCATCCCTACTCTGAGTGGCCACAGCATAGTCAGAGCCGAAAGATAAAAAGATGGCAAACAGAGCTCAGGTGGCCAGTGTCAGCATTGCAATGGCAATGCAGAGGAGCTCAGGCAGCCTGAACAATGGGGCCACTGTGTCACAGGCCTCCTGGGTGGAGGGGCTAGAAGTGGCCTGCTGCCAACTGCTGAAGGAGGTTTCTTCTGTCATTGAGGCGTTCAGCATGGCAGGATTTCTGAACTGGAGAAAGAATGAGTCCTTCACCATGGGTCTGAGGGCTGCAGGTGGCTTTTCCCATGTATTGTTTCAAAACACACTGTGGGCAAAGTGTGGCAGGAGAGAAGCCAGCCTGCTTCCTGCATCCTCTCTTCATGGGTTTCATTTCACTCTCCACAGGAAGACCCAGGCAGCAAGGGCTGGGGGCTTCTGTGCCAGGAGTTGTGGGCCCAGAAAAGGCTGGCACTAGGGGAGCGGGGGACCCAAGGGACATTTGCACTGAATCCTGATGGCCCTGCCTCTCTAAGATTCAAGATGCTCCCATCTTCTGGGTGTCCAAAGCCGAGGTGGCAGGAGGGAGGCCTGGGCATGTGAAGTGGAAGCCTGTGCCCTCATCCTTCCTTCAGCTTTCCCACAAGGGGGACCACTAAGGCCAGCCCTGGGAGGTGTGATTTCCAGCCCCTGCCTCTGTATGTGGAGCATAGATTCCTTAAAGCAATTTCAGATGTGTGTTCGTCAGACTGAATCAGTTTTCTTTGTTCAACTTCAGACACATTGCCTACTACTTCTTGGAAGAGATTGTTGCTTGAGAAGAAAAACTACTTCAGTTAGGAACAAGCTTTGCTAAGATTTGTTGAATTTACCTGTCCTAAAAAACAAAAACAAACAAAACACACACACACACACACACACACACAACTAGCTATGGATGACAACTCCTTTGGCATCTCCCAGGCAGGTAAGGCACACCGAGCCTAAGGGACATGCCTCTGGTCCCTGCTGGTGATTGTCAGAGCAGGCCACTGAACGCTGTTAACCACTGTGATGGTTAATACTGAGTGTCAACCGTATTGTTCCTTCAAGAATTTAGGGTGTGTGTGCCTTCACTCACCCCACCTTCTATTCACCCCACCATGAACCTTAAAGACACAGGCACCCACATATCCCACAGAGGATACAATGGCCTAGAATTGTCTATTGGCCTGGCCAGGATGGGCTCTGGGGGCTGGACCAGGTGGAAGGCAGGATAGAGGCTGATTGTATTAGTCAGGGTTCTCTAAAGGGACAAGACTAATAGATAGATGTATATATGAAGGGGAGTTTATTAAGGAGTGTTGACTCACGATAACAAAGTGAAGTCCCACAATAGGCCATCTGCAAGTGGAGGAGCAAGGAAGCCAGTCCAAATCCCCAAACCTCAAAAGTCGTAGGGAAGCCAAGAGGTCAGCCTTCTGTCTGTGGCTGAAGGCCTAAGAGCCCCTGGAAAACCACTGGTGTTAGTCCAACAGTCCCAAAGCTGAAGAGCTTAGAGTCCGATGTTCGAGGGCAGGAAGAATCCAGCATGGGAGAAAGATGAAAGCCGGAAGACTCAGCCAGTCTAGTCCTTCCGTGTCTTTCTGCCTGCTTTATCCTAGCAGTGCTGGCAGCTGATTAGATTGTGCTCACCTAGATTGAGGGTGGGTCTGCCTCTCCCAGTCCATTGACTCAAATGTTGATATCCTTTGGCAACACTCTCACAGGCACACACACCCTCAATACTTGAAGGAACAGTACGGTTGACACTCAGTATTAACCATCACAGTGGTTAAGAGCGTTCAGTGGCCTGCTCTGACAATCACCAGCAGGGACCAGAGGCATGTCCCTGAGGCTCGGTGTGCCTTACCTGTCTGGGAGATGCCAAAGGAGTTGTTATCCATAGCTAGTTGTGTGTGTGTGTATGGTTTCTTTTTTTTTTTTTTTTTTTTTTTAAGGACAGGTATATTCAACAAACCTGGGGTAAAGCAGGTGGATCTACTTCCTGTCTACACACACCCTCCTGCCTCCCTGCACCACACATACACACAGTCAGAAGCTGCCACCATTGGGCTCCCTTAACAAGTAGGGCTCCAGAGTACAATACAAGTTAAAATCTAAGATCGAGGAGGGGCAGCTTTTATGGGCTCTTACTGTGGGGCAGACACTTTGCTGTGGTATTTTACACCTTATTTATCTTTCGCAGAATTCTCTGCAGGGCAAGGATTCAGAGAGGCGAAGCTACTTGCCCAGAGTCACTCAGCTAGTAAGTGGTGGAGCCAGGATTTAAACTGTTCACTTAAGTGAACAGTTGAGGTCTGGTTCCCAGTGATAGCCTCTTGCTGTCTCCCCATGCTGCCTCTGACAGAGCGTGACCACAACTGTGCACTTTGTCTTTGTCTGACCTCCTGCAGTCTTGGCTCCAGCCACACCTGTGTTTATCTGGCTGACTTGCTTTCAGCGCAAGCAAGATTTCTAATGTTCTCTCTTCCTTCTTGGATTCCTGTCACTCTTAGTTTTCAAGTCAGCTCAGTATCCAGAGTGTTGTCCTCAGAACTCCCCCTTTAGCTAACTCCCTGTCCCGTACCGTTTCTGATGAACTGGTGATTTCTCTGACTCTGTCTTAGACATTATGTTCACTTTCCACTTTCCAGCTACCAGTTCTCCACTTAGTTCAGGGTCATATTCACAACTGTCCTCTCCATCTCCAGCTGGAGGAAGCTGGCACTTACCCAGGGGCTGACCTGGCAAGTGTCTCAAGTCTGTGTCCTGTGTGGGTTTAGGACACAAGTCAGCTACCAATGGCTGTTTGTTTTTCCATGTCTGAAGAGAAACACCTTGGGGTAATGGGATAGCTGCTGAGTCAGGGCTCCAGTGCTGGGTGAGAAAGTTCCCTTTGGACCGAACTAGCTGAACTAATGTTAGAAATATCCGCTTATTCCCATTTCTGGGCCCTCGGCAGTGCGTTTTCTATTTCCCCACATCTATTTCTGCATGCATTTTATTTCCCCACATTTGTCTCTGAGTTTGGACCAGAGAGTTTGACCCTTCTCCAATCCTACTCTTATCCTTGTTGAGAGACTTCCAAGTATGGCCCCGGCTGCTGCTGGTCCATGATATTGTCTCTTGGGCCATGGAAAGAACTAGCAATAAGCTGATGATTGACACTCTCCCTACATGTCTCCCCCTACCTTCCTGCCCAGCCTGGTGCAGCTGCAGGATCGGGCTGTGGGTGTGTTACAGATGCATTTGGTAACCGTCTCCTCTCTCCTCTCACCCCTCGCCCCTCCACGCCATGGCTTCCCTCTGCAATATCTGCAACTCTCTGCCCAAGGAGGAGGCTGGAAGTACTGGGGAGCTGAGGCCCCTGGGAGCAGCCATCAGCCAGTGATGGACGGTCATTGGAGGATAAACACCCGGCTTCCTATTCCTCTGGTGGGGCAGCCGTGAAGTGTGTTCCGCATTATCAGGTGCCCCCAGTGAGCGTCCCCCCAGTTTCTCACAACAGCAGCTTGCTCATTTGCTCACCCGGAGTTGACTCTCCTCTTCTCCCTGTCTTATTTCCTCACTCCCCTAGATGAACTGTACCAACTACTTGTACTCAAATCCTTAGAGTCTGCTTCTTGTGGGGAGGGGAGTCCAACCTACCACAGGGTCCTACAGCCAATGTCCTTGATGGCTCCAGCTTCCATTCGGTGCCTTTTCAATGGGACCACAGTTCACAAACTCCCACGGTGGTTTCAGGACTGAGGGCACATACCAAAACTCCAGTGAGCGTGGGAGGAAAAAAAAAATATATTGTTTAACATAGGCATCTTTCATGGAAGCAAGTTATGGAGCTAATAATACTGATAGTTTCAATGGACCAAATTAAATTATGCTTCCCATCTTGTGTCTTAATTAAAGGGATAAAAACTGTTTCACATTTTAATTAGCAAGTAAGTCTTGAAAAGACTGAAATTAATATGGGAGTCATCACCATAGGAGAGTAGCCCTCTGCCAAGATTCATAAGGCCAGAGAGAGCACAGAGAACGGAATGGGATTCTGGCAGGAATGAGAGCAGCCACTGCTGGAACTCAAAAACTTTGGTTTCTTGAATTTTCTGAAAGGATAAAAGCAGGAACCTGGTAGAAGGCATGCCATTTCCTTTTCTAGAGAGGTCCACTTTCTCCATGTGAATCTTCTTTAAGACACTTAAACATCGCATCTAGAGACTATGAGAGTATAGAGGATGGTGGGGACAGAGAATGCCTGCTAATGACAGCTCTGCCTTGCTTCGCCCATCTCCTGGGATGTGAGTTCCTGGAGTTTCTGGAAGCCTTGTTGGCAGAGCCTGAAAACAAGGGGTTCTGCCTCACAGTTGTCTCAAGTCCGTGTCCTGTGCAGGTTTAGGAGAGGAGCCAGCGCTGATGGCTGTTTGTTTTCCCTCTGTCTGAAGAGAAAAACGGTGTGGGAGCAAGGCTTGCATGCTGCTACTGAGTGTTCAAGTCCTTCCACAGCCCTGTTGGCACATTTGTTTATTTTTTTTAGTTTGACTTTAAAAAATTTCACAAGTAACACATACTTGGGAAAAACAATTTGAAAATATATATGCAAAGACGAAAGAAACAAAACAAAAACGTAATCCCATCACTTCAGATAACGTGTTGATTTCCTCTTCAGGTCTGGCCCCGGCCCTGGTCCCGCTGCCCCTCCACCCCCATGTATCTGTATGTATTAGCAGTTATATCTGCTAATGTATCTGCAGATAACGTGGGGGTGGCGGGGTCGGGGAGTGGGGTCTGGCGCTCACATTCTCCTGCAACTGCTGTTTCTAAACGCTTGCTCCAATCTCCATTTGTAATTCGCTCTCACGTCTTCCCGTGGCTCCTGCTGGCTCTTCCAGCCTATTCTGATTCACTCCATTTCAACCATGAGCAAGCCCCACCTCCTTCATTTCCTAGAGGCAAGTTAATACAAGTCTGTTGTACAATGACCTGTATTAAAGGGTTTGGGTAAAACGGAATTGCAGCTGGAAAATGGAAGATTAGACAACATTATTCCTGCCACTCTCAGCTGAGCCCAAGGTCCTGCTACCAGATTTCTTGGCTCTGCCCCCTCTCCCCAGACTCTCCTCCCATCTTCTCACTTCTTGGTTGTCCCATGTTCCCCAGAACACCTTTCTCTTGGGTGCCCAGGGGATCGTGAGAGGCGTTTGAACCAGAACAGCTCCATCTTGAATAGGGCCTGGGTAAGATAAGGCTTGAGACCTGCTTGGCTGCACGTCCAGGAGGCTAAAGCATTCTAAGTCACAGGATGAGATAGGACGTTGGCACAAGCTGCAGGTCATAAAGACCTTGCTGATAAAACAGACTTCAGTAAAGAAGCCGGCTAAAACCCACCAAAACCAGCATGGCGACAAGAGTGACCTCTGTTCATCCTCACTGCTGCATTCCCACCAGCACTATGACAGTTTACAAATGCCATGGCAACATCAGGAAGTTACTCTGTATGGCTTAAAAAGGGGCGGCACTGATAATCCATTCCTTGTTTAGCATTTAATCAAGAAATAACCATAAAAATGGGCTCTGTCTATGGAGTAGCCATTCTTTCATTCCTTTACTTTCCTAATGAACTTGCTTTCACTTTACTGTATGGATTTGCCTCATTCTTTCTTGTGCGAGATCCAAGAACCTTGTCTTGAGGTCTGGATCAGGACCTCTTTCCAATAACAGGACCACTCTAGAGATCCTATTACTTTGTTGTGCTAAGTAATTTAGTTTTCTTTTTGTCTCAATGTCTTATATATAGACTAGCCCATGGCCTTCCCTATCATAGCCAAAAGGCCAGGGATTTTCTGAATCAAATAGACATCTACTATAGAGATGAATTTGCCATCCTTCTGGAAGGCAGAAATAGTGGAGTTTTTAATTTTATTTATTTTATTTTATTATTTTTTCCTTCCCATGAAATAAAAAAGCCTTTAGTGACTATTCTTTAAATTGGTGTGTGAGATGGCATGCACAACCTCTGAACAATATTTTGGACTTAGTTCTTAGAAGTGAAAGTCTAGGTGAGGAAATATGACCAATTTCAAGGCAATCTGCTGAATGGCCATGCAGAAGAAGGGCTCACCCTCCCTCCTGCAGCATGAAGTGAGAGCCTGTTTCCTCTTATCCTGACTAGCTTTGGATAATATAATTTACAGGAGAAAAGAATTATCCCCTTTGACAGGTACAAGTCATGCCTGCATGTTGATGTAATTTGGAAAGCTGTTTTGAACTGAGTGTGGTCAGAGCCTGGGAAGCCTGAGCCCTCTATGGAAACCCATGTGTCACCTTTTTCCCAACAGGCTTCCAAATGGAATCTTAAATTCTGCACGGCCATTTATCAGAGTTTCCAAATGCCACTTTCCAATTTGCATCAGATCTTTTCTACATATTAATATGATTATGTTACTAAGGTATATGTTTTTGCTGTTCTACCAAATTTGTGTTTGAAACACTAATGAGCCTACAAGGTGAGCTAGCTCCCTGGGGAAAAGGATTCATTTGCTTCTACTTGTGGATCATGAGGGCGTCCTGAGAGGGGCACGTGGAGTCAGAATAGTCTCTGGCAGTCCACTCTTTGTCTTCTGCTACCTCTGCTGCTAAATGTTGGGTCCGGCCCAATTCTTTTTTTTTCTTTGAGATGGAGTTTAGCTCTTTTGCCCAAGCTGCAGTGCAGTGGCACGAGCTCGGCTCACTGCAACCCCTCCACCTTCTGGTTTCAAGTGATTCTCCTGCTTCAGCCTCCCAAGTAGCTGGGATTACAGGTGTGTGCCACCACGCCCGGCTAATTTTTGTGTTTTTAGTAGAGACAGGGTTTCACCATATTGGCCAGGCTGGTTTCGAACTCCTGACCTCGTGATCTGCCCACCTCGGCCTCCCAAAGTGCTGGGATTACAGGTGTGAGCCACCGTGTCTGGCCCCAGCCCAATTCTTGACCTCTACCTTCTCTTGCTCTGGGCAAGGCCTGCTAGTTCTTTTTTTTTTTTTTTTCCCCACTCAAAGACAATGGACTTAGGTTAGAGGGGTTCAACCCATTGCTTTGCCCAGGAGTTTGTGTGTGTGTATGTATGTATGTATGTATGTATGTATGTATGTGTGTATTTATTTTGAGATGGAGTCTCACTCTGTTGCCCAGGCTGGAGTGCAGTGGCACGATTTTGGCTCACTGCAAGCTCCACCTCCCAGGTTCATGCCATTCTCCTGCCTCAGCCTCCCAAGTAGCTGGGACTACAGGTGCCAGCCACCATGTTTGGCTAATTTTTTTGTATTTTTAGTAGAGACAGAGTTTCACCATGTTAGCCAGGATGGTCTCGATCTCCTGACCTCATGATCCACCCGCCTCGGTCTCCCAAAATGCTGGGATTACAGGCGTGAGCCACCATACTCGGCCCTTTTTTTTTTTTTTTTTTTTTGAGACAAAGTCTCACTCTATTGCCCAAGGTGGAGAACAGTGATGTGATCTCGGCTCACTGCAACCTCCATTTCTCAGGTCCAAGCGATTCTCCTGCCTCAGCCTCCCAAGTAGCTGGGACTACAGGCATGCGCCACCATGCCCGGCTAAGTTTTGTATTTTTAGTAGAGATGGGGTTTCACTATGTTGGACTGGCTGGTCTTGAACTTCTGACCTTGTGATCCGCCTGCCTTGGCCTCCCAAAGTGCTGGGATTACAGGCATGAGCCACGGTGCATGGCCCGCCCAGGAGTTTTGTTGGCGGTGGGATCCAGGACCCAGATCTAAGTTAGGAGTCTTTGCAGAGGTGATTCAGGCCAGTGAGAGCCTGATGGTCAAACTATAGTCCAAGTTCTTAGAGAAAACTTTTCCCAGTCTCTGAACAACTACATTGCTTTGTCCTACAGGGGCCTGTTGTGGGTGCCTTTGAGTGTCATTCCTGGAGCAGGCTTCCAACTCTGAACAGTGGTTTGGACTCTAAAACAAGCTTCTGGAGCATATACTGCCACCCATTCTGTCCTCTCTGCTCCTGCTCTTCCCAAGGCCTGAGCATGAAGACAGATGTCACTACCAGTTGGGTCACTACCGGTTGGACCTTAGGGATGCGGGGTTTGTTTTGCCCACTGTAAACTGAAGGCAGTGCAATGGCTTGACCATGGGCCTGTCCTGCTGACCATGGGGCCCCCTGCTTGGTGTCAGTGCTGCCTCAGACCTTTACATAAGCCTTTCCTTACCCAGTCATTCACGAGGACCTGCCATCCCTTGAAGGGGAGCCACAGCCCCCAGGATGTCAGCCCAGGGTAGGCAACCTGGACTCCCCTTATTCATCCCCAGCCTGCTTCCACCCCAGACCCCCCTTTTGCCCCATTCTGAATTCTTGACTCCACATTCTGATTTTGATTCAGCGTTTTGAGACTTAGGACTTGGCATGTGTGCTTTGTCTTTCAGGATCTAAGCTTTCTCTGGAACTCTGATGGGCATCTGTTTTTCAGCTTTTCATGCTCCAAGATGCTGCAAGTGGCAATTCCTGTCTGGGCTCAGCCCTGGGCCCTCAGTCAGGGCCTCTGCAAGGCCAATGCCAGGCTTCCCTCATGTGCAGGGGTGCTTAGCAGGGGTGGCATGGAGAGGAAAGGTGAAAGAATCCCCTCAGCTCTGTGTCAGAGAAGCTGAATGCAACCCGTGGACAGTGGGTCGATAGCTAACTAGCCCATCCTTCCAAATCCTCATGCCCATCCTTCCAAAGGTACAGATGATCAATGAAGAAAAAACCAGAGGCATAATCTCCCCTTTCCTGCCCTATCTGTCAGGCCACACCCCCATGACAGGAACCTCACACAGCTTGGGCCTGCTCCTGCCTGCCCCAGCCCTTCTCAGCAGCAGACATCAAAGCTCTTCACCATCAAGACCCTGGATCCTCTGTGACCAGAGGGCATTTGAAACTTCAGCCAATTCTCCAAGTTGAAGAAGGAGGGTTTTGAGCTTCTATCATCAGTATGCAGTTCCTAAGGAGAGGCTCGGGCTCTTAATCACTGACCCAGGACCAGCCTCAGCCCAAAGCCAGTGGATGGCTGGTGTTTCCTGGTTTGACCTTAATTCTTATCAGCAGTAGAGCCTGTATTTGTTTTCCAGGGTTTCCACAATAAATTACCACAAACTGGGTGTCTTAAAACAATCAAAATCTATTCTTTCGATTATGGAGGCCAGAAGTTCAAACCCAAGATGTTGGTAGGGTTGGTAGAGTTGGTTCCTTCTGGAGGTTCTGAAGGAGATGTTTCTTCTCTAGTTTCTGGCAGCTGCAGCAATCCAGGGTGCTCCTTGGTTTGTAGACGTGTCATTCCAACCTCTGTGTCTGTCATCACATCACCTTCTCCTCTGCGTGTCTCATCTCCCCTTCTCTTCTAAGGACACAGTTCATTGAATTTAGGGCTCACCCAGGTAATCCAGGATGATCTAATCTGGAGATCTGTCTTTGTTTGTGTTGCTATAACAAAAGACCACAGACTGGGTAATTTATAAATAATAGCAATTTATTTCTCACCGTTCAGAAAGAAGTACAGGATCAAGTAGCCAGCAGATTCAGCGTCTATGAGGTCTACTGTCTCTGCTTGCAAGATGGCACCAAGTTGCTGCATTCTCTAGAGGGGATGAACACTGTGTCCTACATGGCAGAAGGTGGAAGGGCAAAAAAGGGGCAGACTCCCTCCTTCAAGCCCTTTTATCAGGGCACCTAATCTCATTCACGGGGACAGAGGTCTTATGACTCAATCACCTCCTAAAGGCCACATTTCTTAATACTGTTGCATTGGGGATTAAGTTTCAAAATACATTTTGGAGGGCACTAAATGTTCAAACCATAGGAAGCTCCTTAACTAATTACATCTGTAAAGGCCTTTTTTTCCCCACCAAATGAGGTCCCATTCACAGGTTCTAGGGGCTCTGGCCCTTTGCTGATTTCTTGCTCCAGCCTGTGAGCCTGGCTAACCTTATTTAGCTCCAAATCTCACTCACGTCTGAGTTCCTCCAGCAATACCTTCTCTATTTGTTGACCAAATTCTGCCCTGAATGTCAGAATTAATTCGAGTTTATTATACCCCATTAGACACAGAATAATGAAACACTGGACTCTGGCTGGCAAAATCAGGACACAGGCAGTGGCTCAGGGCAAGGGCGTGTGCTCTGGCGTGAGACAAATCTTGGTTCTTGGCTCCAACACTCACTCCCATTTCTGAGTCTTGGTTTCCTCAGCTGTAAAATGGGTTTGGATGATGATGCTTTTCTCAAGGTTGGTGCATATGTGCACAAGGCCCAGGGCATGAAGGATGGCATAGGGGTTTCTTGCCCGTTCCCTTCCTTTCTCTTTTTCCCATCCACCCTATGGAGTAAGTGTCTTTGTTACTACAGAAAAAAGAGGCAGGGTCCACAATGTGGTAATATTGTAATGTGTTAATGTCACAGAGTTATGCTTAAGAGGAAAAGATTTCCCTCCCACTCCTGGTACGAAGTAAGAAATAAGATAGAACTAGAAATCTATGGCCCAGGACCCTGAGAATTCAGAGCAGGGTGAAAAGATCAAGGCATTTCTGGAAAGAGAGAGAAGTGGCACCTCATTAGTCATTCAAGACAGATTCTGTGTGAAGTGTTTACTCTTATAATACAGCACCTGCAGAACTTTCCAGAATTTACAGGCATAACTAAAGGGCTGCAGGCAGGAAGTGCTCAGTGTCTTAATTCTGTCTCCTCCTAATTTCTTCTTGTGGACCAGCACTCTTTGTCCTAGCTTCCTCTCTTGCACACCAAGCCACTGCTAAGTCAAAGCTTGCCTTTTGATCCCATGATAGCACAGAAATCAAATACTCCCAACATCCCCTTATCCTCCTATGAACAGGCCAATGCAGCGCCCCATGTGCCAACCTTAAAAGCCACAGTTGCAATGACTGGCAGGAAGGATGATGATTAACACAGTTATTGAGTGAACAGTTGGGGTGAGGGTGAAGTTTAATCATTGGTTAGTTTTAATTGCAGTCTATCTCTGATTATGAGCATCACACAGTGCATATTTTCAGTCATGTCTACTTTAAAGCAAAATTGAGAAATAAGAAGGCTTATCATTGTCTGACAGTCACTATGGATTTCTGTGATGGGTGAGTTTAGTTTAAGCTAGTCACAGTTGACAATGAATATGCAAACAGATTCTAATGAAGACCTTTTCTCATCTCCCTACCTCATTGTATTATGCCACATTGCAGAGTGTGAGTATCTCTCTCCCATGCGCAACCCTGAGTGCCTGCTGGCCTGTCCCCAGGTTGCCTTCCCCAATCTTCCAAGATTATTCAGAGCTCAAATCCCTTAGATCTAAGCCCAGGTCAGCTTTTCTTCACAAGCGAGAGAGCATCCACTCGCACAGCCCTCTGATTAATTACTCGAGTTCTGCCAAGGGCCTTTTTGTGGATGGATGGGGGAGAGCATGTATCCCTTTAAACATGCTTAATTAAGCTGGGTGAAACACTGGACTCCTTAGCAACGGGCTGGGCCTTGAAGCAAGTCTTGTGGCATATTTGCACAAGATGCTCTGTGTTTGCCCATTTGAAATGGGATCGATCTATCTGGAGGATGCCTCCATGTCTTGTACTAGGACATTCTTCCTTGGCACAGCAATATGGCCCTCCCTAGGACTCTCCTTATAGATGAGCTGTGATTCTACTATTCAGAGAGGTTGGCCGGCTGCCTCCAAGCAAGGGATACAAGATGTACAGGTAATAGTGATGCTATTCAGAAGTGATATTTGACATATTTAATAACAGGGACAGCACAGGCTCTGGCCAGTCAGAACAAGCAACAGCCATAAACCACAGATAGAGCTGTTCTGGTAGGTACTTGCTGAATATCAGCTGTGGAAAAAGTTAGAGTTTACATAGAGCTTCACATATATTTCCCTGTTTGATCATAGCCACAACCCCGTGAGAGAGGTTTGGTACTTTCTTAATTTTAGAGATTTCCCAATTCTGAGGTTCAGAGAGGTCATATGTCTTCCCCACAGCTGCATAGGTCATCAAAGAGCTGGAAGCCAAGCACCCTCCTCCATGTTCTTTCTACTGTACCACGTGGCTTGTGTCGATACAGACCCTTGGGCTGGACCAATCCTGGAAGATCAAGAGCTGACTGGTGAGCCCAGGGCAAAGGTGGTGGGGGTAGGGTGAGAGGTGCAATGCTCTGGGATTTGTAGAAAAGTCAGGGTGGAGCCAGTGCCCCTTTCTGTACCCTCCACTCACATAGCACTATGATCCTATAGGAGGCTCGGGTTAAGAAAGGGCTGCACAGAGTCAACACAGAGAGGAGCATTCTTGGGAAACAAGGACACGGTTGTTTATTTGGGAGGTGATCCCCGGAAGCACAATGATGAAGTAGGCAAGGTTAGACATAGAAGACGAAAAAACAATAAAGTGAATGCTCTGATGAATGAGTTACAGTCATGGGCAACTGGGGTTGATCCCTGGAAGCTTTCTGAAAACCATGTGGCCCTTGCCTCAAAATCGAGCCACTGGAGGGGCAGGGAGCCTGGGGCACTTATTCACTCCCTGCCATACCCACCCCGGGCATTAACTCCCCCGCATGTCACGGTGGTGACTGGCCACTGAGAGCAGGCTCTCAGGCAGGATGCCAGCCAGGCAGAGAGGAGGGACATGCACGGGGGTGAGAGCTGAGATGTCCTCATAGCTGCAGGTAAACTCAGGTGGGCTGGATATGGGATGGAGGCTCCACAGCATGTGTTACACTCATGAATCCGAATGACAGTAGAAAACAGGAGACAGGCGTTCACCATTGTGGGCTCATTTTCTCCAGGCAAGGGAGGAGGCCTCCATGTTTCAGGTATATGCCATGCCCAAGACAATGCTTGATGTTTTAGGAAACTCAGGGAATGTGTCCCTCCATCCTTTTGCTATGAAATGTTAGCATCTGGACTTGCCTCTCCCCCATCCTCTGACTTATTTGGGGAACCTCTGCAGTGGGAGGGAGCTTGCTTTTTGCTCTGGTAGGAAATGCCATATCCTCCCTACCACCAACTGAAATCTCCCCTCCCTTCTATGGCCCCCAACCTCACACCAATCTGCAGCTGGTACCTCTGCCCTGCCAGAGGGTCTGGTGGAGACATCTGACAGATACAGAATGTTTTAATTTTTGAAGCCATTGATCTAGAGCATGTTAACAAATGGCACCTGTTGGTCCAAACGTTGTTTGCCATCCATCTTGTCTTATCTGAGCACTGACTGCATCTAGATGGGAGCTATGTCAGTCCTCAGGGACAGATTGCTGTGCAGGGTTCCACCCCACAGCCAAGAGGAATTATCCCTCCAGCCTAAGAATGACAAGGGCAGTGCCTCTGTGAGTGGCTCAGGGGCCAAGAATGGGAGAAAGTGGGAGGAAATTGCCCGGGAGTGGCTAAGAAAAAAGTATTTTCACCTCCATTCTAAGGGTCAGTCTCTTGGTACATCTCAGTGATACGCTGAAGAGATTGGACTGTCACTGACAAACCTCAGTAGGTAACTTCATTGCTGTAGTAAGTGCTGAGCCAGGGGGTCATCAGCAGGGGGTGGAGTAGCCTTTATCCTGTTGTGTGAACCTGGGCGTATCATTTGTCCTCTCTTTCCTTTCATCACACCATCTATAAGATATGCAGAGAAGTCTCTGCCCTGCTCCATCTCATTAGGCTGCTGAACTGGGTTGTGCAGGACAGCATTAGAACAAGTAGAAGGAACCATGGGAATGCATTTTATTTATGAATCAATGTAAATGAGTCAGAGTGAAGAAAACCTATGCAGGGTGGGCACAGCTGGGCACAATGACTCACCTACAGCCTTGAGGTAGGATTGGTGATGTCAACCCATCTGAATCAAGGCACAGTCTGCCTGCAGAAGGGATGGGGCCTAGGGAGAAACTGGGCTTCAGAGAGGAGGGTTGTTAGCCTGTTCCCAGCTCTGCCTGAGAGATGGGTGTTCTGCTTTGGCGTGAGGACAATTTCTAGATCTTGGTAAAAATAATCTCACTTCTTAATAGCCCTCTTGCCTTATTCTGACATACCAAGCAAGCCTCAGAAGAATGTTTTGGCCTCCTCAGGACTATAATAAGGTGTCCTGGTACAGTGGGCATTGGTTGGGTTTGCTGCCCAGCATCCACCCCTGCATTGTGGTGCCCATATCCAACTTCCCTCTTTCCCCTACACTCAGCCCTTGTGCTTGGGAGGCACCAACTCTTGGCTTAGGGGTGGAGCATGTGATCTAGGCCTCAGGCAATCAGAATGTAACACTCCTCTGCTGGTCGCAAGGCTTGGCTCAGAGTTGGCTATGTGACCTCATTAGGGCCAAGGAGATGCCATGAGATGCATGCTGAGGCTTCCAGAGGAGACTCTTCCACTCCTGCCAGCTAGACTTGAAGCTGGGAAGATGGGATCCTGGAGGCAGGAAGCCATCTATCCACCATGTGGAGCCTAAATCAACAAGGTAGAACCCAGAGAAGGAAGAAATTGAGTCCTGATGATACCATTTGATGCCTGAATCCAGCTGTACCTGAAACTAGATTTATTCCCTGGAACTTTCAGTTTTGAAAGCTGATAAATTCCTTTTGCACTTAAGTCATTTTTGAATTAGAATTCCTGTCTCTGGCAACTGAAAAAATCTCAACTGAAATGCCTGGACAAGAGACAGAGCACTGCAGTCACCTTTACCAATCATTAGGCTGGCATTCCCACTTTACAATGTGACTTTTGAACCTGGTTATGTGAGTTTGCTGCTGAAAAATGACTTTGGGGTGCACTGCAAAATTTCACTTGCTAAACTCAGATGGCTGAGAACCTGGCTGGGGTACAACCCACCCATGAAAGACACTTCTTGAGAACTTGGTTGGGGTATAACCCATCTATGAAAGTCCCTTCCCGAGTGGCCATTTCTGGCACTGAGTGACATCTCTGTGGTCACTGTGGTTGGTACCTTATTTGTGTCTTCTAATCACCAATGTGTCCCTGTGAACCCCCATCCTTCATGACAGGGCTGGGGAAGACAGCAAGTACTAGCTCACATATCACTCATCCCTTTATTCATTCAGGCATTCTTTATTTATCAAATAAGTGAACAAGGAAATGGTAATAAATCCAGTTCGTTGACTGAGGTGGGAGTAATATTCGAAATACTGCATTTTACAACCAGTGTGGTCTACCACAGAAGCTGTAGTACCTGAACATTTCCATGTGAGGGCGCCTCCGGGGGATGCTGGCCTGCACCAGGGACCTTAGCCCAGCCCAGCATACACCTACAGGGGAGTCAGTGCCAAATGCCATCAGGGAACTGTTTCTCTTCAGGGCTCTGGCCAGGAGACATGTGAGCAAGGAGGTTGGCTGGTGCATGTCTGGGGTCATCGAGTGAGCACAGAAGTATTTCAATGTTTTAACAGCTGGTATGGCTTTACTGGTGAGTACTGGCTGCACATCAGGCCTGAACGAAGACCAGGTTTTAAAGGGCTTTGCATGCCAAGTTGAGAAAGTTTTATTCCATCTTGAAGACAATGGGGAGTCACTGGGGTATTAAGGAGATTGGCCTGACCAGATCTATGAGATAGGTGCCTACTTCTAGTGACAGCACAGGAGATGTCTGGATGAGGGACAAGAGACAGGTAATCTGGAAAGGAGGCTGGCAACAGTGAGGCAGCTAAGGGTGGGGTCCATGTTGGAACAGTCTTTTCCTTTTAGGGACCACTGAACCAGATGCTTGGAAGGCCATGGTATTGAGATGATGTGTGTGGTCTAGTTGAGTTTCTGTAAAACTTTCGTAAACTTGATACTTTCTCTGACGATGTGGGTTAGGAGCCAGCTATTTTACGCAGTTCATTTACTATTGTATTTAGGAAGTTCCTGAACACTCCCAGGAAGCCTGCCCTTGCAAGATATCGCCCTTCATTCCTTAACTCAGATGCTCCACTGGGATTCTGAGAAGCTTCAATTCACTGATATACATCGGTGGGAGCTGCTGAGCCATTTAAGCTTTGACTATCTCTACTTGAAAGGCATGAGATAAAGTTTTCCACTGCTGGAGAGGAGAGCATTTAAGTGACTTAGGCTCTCAACCAATCACACTCCCCCAGCAACCCTGAGAGGGTCCTTGAATGTTAATTTCATGATTCAAAATAAATGGATCATCAACCTTTGGGAAATTCATTCATCAAACATACACTAAGTCCCTACTATGCACCAGGCACTAGGGAGGATAAATGAAGCTGCAGGAAATGCCAGAGGTTTCCTTTGCTTCTTTCACACATCACAAAGCACATCATCAGCTCACAGATGGGAGTGTGCTAGGCAAATCCAATGTCCCTATTCTATTTCCCCAATAGGCAAAGCACTCTGTGCACCTAGGCAGAGTTAGTGGCCAGAGCAGCTCAGGAGCTCCAGGAACCACCCCCTTCCTGGGTCTGCTTCCTCCATTTCCCTAAGGTAAATCTTCTTTGGCACCCAAAGTCTGTGGTTCCAAGAAGCCACAGGTCAAAACAAGCACTAGTGTGCCAGGTCACCTCTGTTATTCCCAGTGTCGGAGAACCATGCTCCCGCAAAGATCTTTAATATGGAACCCTCAGTGGCTTCTGCAGAACTTGGAAGTAGTAACTATGAGGGCTCAAATCAGCCACTCAGCCCAGACCAGACTTTGGCTTTGGGGATGGTATTGCAATTAATTATGCAATATGGTTCTTTGCTGATAATCCCCTTGCTGCTGCTGGGAGGCAGAGGCAAAGCTGCTTCTTACTAGAGAGCTTTCTTTTTAATTTAAAACTGGACTCTTAAAGGAGCAACTAACTCTTCTTGTATGTACTGAACATTTAGAAACTAACATTGTAAAGGACAGCTTTTCAACACAAAGGTCGAGTAGTTTCATCTTATAGAATCTTGGAATAGCCTGTCTGGCTAGGTGTGGATGTCGGGAGGGGGACTAGTGGGGAAGAATTGTTGAGAATCAAAGGGGAAATAGAGGGAGACTGAGGATGGGACAAGGAGGAGGCAAACTCAGGAAGGATTCTAATTGTCCTGAGGGCCAGCCTTGTCGATGGCAACTTCTCTGAAGGCACCCAGGGATGCTGAATGGCCTAATAAGAGGAATCTGCTGGCACCCTAGGTTAGAGTTAATGCTTGTAAGAGCTAATACTTAGGGTGCACTATTCTTAGTTCTTTGCCTGTTTTCATTAATTTAATCCTCATGACAACCCAGTGCGATTAATTTTATTATTAGTAGTACCATTTTCCAGATGAGGAAACAGAGGCAGAGAGAGGGTAAGTGATTTTCTCAAGTCTCGGAGCTGGTGAGTGCTGAAGCTGGGATTCAGAGTCAGGGAATCAGCTCAAAAGTCTGTGCTGATAACTATGGTACTAGGAAGAGGTCCAGGAATGGGTCCACCCAGATCCAGCTCGATGACCTGGGCCAGTTACTTGGACCCTGGATTTGTTTTCACCTATACACTGGGAGAGGGGTGGAGAAGAATGAGTTGTGGTGAAGGGTAAATGAGATAGTGTGAGGGAAGAGTGCCTTGTAGGCTGGAGGGCTCTGGACACGTGTTCATTGTGGTTATTTAGTTTTCTACTGGGAGAGGAGAGGAGGCAGAGAGATTAGCTTTTCCAAGGAGCACCCAGCTTGTACCCCAGAGACTCCAGGATCTTTGGAGAACCATTGAAGCTAGAGAGGAGATGAAGGAGGCGGGATAGAAGGACTCCAGGGAGGAGAGGGGAGCCTGGCATTCGACCCATTTCAGGGGTCTGTTTGGATGCAGAGATGGGGTTGATGTGCCCACTTCCATGCAAGGTCCCACCCATGGAGCTGTCTTGGGGCCTCTGGACATTGCACTGAAATCAGCCACAGGAGCTCCTATGCTGAGCTGGGCTCAGGCCTGCTATCCTCACCCCTGAGGTTTCCAGATACTGCCCTAGGGCCCTTTCTCTATCTCTGTTTGCTCCTCTCAACCCTCCTTCGCATTCATTTCCAAGACCAAAGGAAGCTCAGCCTGCAACAGGACTCACAGCACTGTGTGTTCCGCTGCGTCCTTCCCCTTGTCAGGCATATTTGCTGCATCGTCGCTCCCCCTCTGTCCTGAGAGCCCACCCAGCACAGGGAACTTGCTTATTCCCAGAATGAGGCCGGGCCTTTCCTTGAGCGAGCCCTGGACATGTGTTTGTTGAATGGAATTGAGGAGCAGTCTGGGAGGTGGCCAGAGCCCTCCTTCCAGCTCCACTGTGTGGCTGTGGGTAAGTCCAGGGATCTCTGTGAGCCACAGTCTCCTCCTGATACAGAGGGATGGATTGGACAACTCCGAGGGCCCCTTTAGCTCTGACTTTCCCAGGGTTCCAGGGATGGAAGGGCCCGAGGTGTCTAAGAGGCTGTACACGTCATTGCTGTGGCCTCAGTGGGCCAGACTGTGAGCCCAGCCCTTGTCGTTAATGCCTGTTGATTCCCACAGGTGGCTCTGAGGAGTCATTTAGGACCCCGAGTGGGCAGAATTAACACCAACTTTATTCATCTGGCAACAAGAGTTTGGTTGGCAATAAATTGCTTCTCCAATGAGAGCATAATCACTTCTCATCAGATTAGTCCTCGCCAGGAGCTGTTCTGAAATCCTTTCCGTGTCTGATGCATACAGCTCTGACTCCGAAGGAAAAAAATGAAAAACAAATGAGATGAAAGAATGATGAATTTGATAAAGGGCAATGATATCTGGGGGCTTTTCCTCCTGCAGAGAAGCTCGGAAGTGGGGGGCGGGTGACAGGTCATTCGAAGAAGTCTGAGGGGGTGCGATCAGCTGCTCCCCCATAGTCTCACTGCTAGGTTGCATGAAAGCGAGTCCCAGAGCCAGTTTCTCCACACACAGACATTTATGCCCTGGCAAAGCAGGCAGTCCAGCAGTTCCTACAGCCTGTTCTGTGAGTCCAGGGAAGTCCCAGCTGTCTGCCCTTTTACATCCAACCTCACCCTGCATGTGAGGATCACTTGAGGTAGACATAGCAAAATTCCAGACATGAGATTTCTGTGTTCTTGTCAACATCAGACAAGCAGAAAGCCTCCTAAACCAGTGGCCAGACCCAGAACCCTGCATCAGGGTCACAGGTACAGGCTTCCCTGAGTTCTTAGGTCCTACTCAAGCAAATGTCTCTGAAATATTTTCAGCCAGTCCCCAAATCCTGAGCGCCTTTTATTTCACCAATGAAAGCTTGCTGGGGTCTGAATGTTTGTGTCTCCACCAAATTCATGTGTCGAAATCCTAACCCCCAAGGTGATCATATTATGGGAAGTGGGGCCTTTGGGAGGTGATTAGGTCATGAGGGAAGAGCTTTCATCGATGGAATTAGCACCCTCATAAATAAGATATCAGAGAGCTCCCTTCCCCTTCTGTCATGTGAAGACACGGTGAGGAGAAGACCATCTCAGAACCAGGAAGCTGGACCTCACCAGGCACTGAACCTGCTGGTGCCTTGATCTTGGACTTCCCAGCCTCTAGGGTGTAAGAAATAAATTTCTGGGCCGGGCGCGGTGGCTCACGCCTGTAATCCCAGCACTTTGGGAGGCCGAGGCGGGCGGATCACGAGGTCAGGAGATCGAGACCATCCCGGCTAAAACGGTGAAACCCCGTCTCTACTAAAAATACAAAAAATTAGCCGGGCGTGGTGGCGGGCGCCTGTAGTCCCAGCTACTTGGGAGGCTGAGGCAGGAGAATGGCGTGAACCCGGGAGGCGGAGCTTGCAGTGAGCCGAGATCCCGCCACTGCACTCCAGCTTGGGCGACAGAGCGAGACTCCGTCTCAAAAAAAAAAAAAAAAAAAAAAAAAAAAAAAAGAAATAAATTTCTGTTGTTTGTTAGCTACTCTGGTTATGGTATTTTGTTACGGCAGCCCAAACAAAGACATCAGTGTCCACCTCCCTAGTCAATGGGGCCACTATTTTCACCAATAAAGCCCATTTTTGACATGCCTTACGCTAGCTTGTGGCCTTAGCTGTTGATTGAAAGACAAATAACAGTGAAGTACTTACAACTATTGCTTCTTGTGTGGGCTTCCTCCTGAGTGTGCACAAAAGCTGGTGGCCCTCGGACTGAGGATTCTTGATTAGGGCAACTGTCCCTAAAATTGAGTTCCTCTCTGTGCTGAAATATTTGAAAGTAAAAAAGAACATCATGATAAGACACCATAAATGGGAGACCTTGTGACCCTGCAAGTCGATGCCTTTGGAGAGAGAAAGTAACTTACTAAACCGTATCTCATACATAGCTTAGAGATTCTGTTACCAGCTGGATTCAAATCCCAACCATGGACCCTGACCTCATCACTAGCTAACCCTCTGACCCTGGCCACAGACAGAGCCACCAAACTCTCCAGAGACAGAACCCCAGGAACCAACCACTTCAGCCGCAGAGGAGCCCGGCACATATCTAAAACAGCGCGTGATCATAACTATTCAGCCACAAGACGAGCCTTCAAGCCAGCCTGAGCTCCCTTCATAAATTTACTTTGATTTGAATTTTATGTCAGTCATGTTCTTGAGAGAGAGGTGAATTTTCACCTCCTTAAAAGGCATACCACTAATTCAGGCCTCTGGGAGTTATCTGGTTAGAGGGTAGGAGGGGGGTGTTTACTTCCTGTAAATATACTGCCTAGATTTTTGGCACATTTGAGGATGCAGAGACAGTTTAGCATTTTAAAAAAGCTAAGCTAAAGAATATGTAAAGCATCCTAATAAAAATATAGTTAGAGCCCAGGCGGGAGGAATAATCATTATATTAATGCATTGGGCTTGAATTCCCACAGGCACTTTTTGCTTATGTAAAAATCCTTCCCTCTTGTTACTGGTCTCAGGAAACGGCAATGTATTTCCTTTTTTTTTTTTTTTTTCCGAGAACATTGGGATCTCTGAGTCTGGTTTTTGAAGTTCTATCACAGCTTTTATTTATGAAGCAAGGCATACTTGCTTCATAAATAAAACAAGGAACAATACTGAGTTTTGGAATCAGACACCCAGAGTTCCCATCACGGCTCTGCCACCAACTAACTATGTGACCTTGGGCTCTTTAACCTCTCTGAACCTCAGTTTCTAAATTTGTAAAGTTGGGCTGCTAAAATCTAACTTATAGGGGGTTATGGGATGATGACACCGATCAGTGTTTATAAAGTACTTGTCATTTGGCAAATGCTCAGTTAAGGGGCGTCACTAACAGTGCAAGGCCAACCCATCAGAGAGGCTGTATATGGAAAGAGCATTACGAATGCTTCCAGCTGGGTATCATTAGCAGTTCTATTCTGAAGAATAATTATTCGTGACCCTTGGTGGACCTAAGGCCTGGCTGAGTGTGGCTCAGATCTGGGGCACAGTGCTTATAATACTTGGTCATTTTGACCCCTCATTCTGGGTACTGTCACATAAATGCAGAGTTGCGGTCATGAAGTGGGAGCCAAAAGGAGAATGAAAGTAGCGCCCCTTGAGTGAAGGGATTGTTGCCTTTATTTCCCATGGTGCTTTCCAAACTTAAATATGCATGTGAATCACCTGGGGATCTTAAGCAGCTGATTCAGAGTCAATAGGTCTGGGATGGGGCCTCAGATTGTGCATTTCTAACAAGCTCTCAGGGGATATCAATGTTGTTGGCCCAATTGCAAAGTTCTAAAGCAGAAGTTCTCAGCCCAGGCTACCCATTATAATCACCTGAGGAGTGATTTTTGTTAAAAAGCACTTTAACAAAAATACTTATTCTCAGGGTCTATCTCAGAGAAATTAATTAGAACCTAGGGAAGGGGAATGGTAGGCAGGGTTTGGGTTGGTCAAAACAACTTTGAGTATTTTCCGTTTTAATTATTGACCAAGGACTGCTGATGGTCTGTGATATTGTTTGGCCATCTCCCCACCCGAATCTCATCTGGCAGTTCCCATAAATCCCCACGTGTCATGGGAGGCACCTGGTGAGAGGTAATTGGATCGTGGGGGCGGTTACCCCCATGCTGCTGTTCTCGTGATAGAGGGTGACTTCTCATGAGATCTGATGGTTTTATAAAAGGCTTTTCCCCCTTTTGCTCTGCACTTCTCCTTGCTGCTGCCCTGTGAAGAAAGATGTGTTTGCTTCTCCTTCCACCATGATTGTAAGTTTACTGAGACCTCCCCAGCCATGCTGAACTGTAAGTCAATTGAACCTCTTTCCTTTATAAGTTACCCAGTGTTAGGTACGTCTTTATTAGCAGCGTGAGAACAGACTAATACAGCCTGATTTTGCCCACATCTCTACATTCAGCCATAAGCATCTGGTATGGAGGCTTCCTTTGGCCCTGAAATGCCATGCTGCAGAGGGGACAGGTAATAGGGTGGCCATGGTCACAGCAGTAGTCACTCCAGCTCTACCCTGCAGCTGCTGCAGCCCCTTTCCCTTGGTCTGCAACCCCCTCCCATGTGCTGCTGCAGAGCCTGCAGAGCCAGATGGCCAACGATGGAGCTGGGCTTGGAGAATGACTTTACCACCTCACTGTCGTGGGGTGACTGCTCTCTCAAATCAAGAGTGCCTGGGCTTTCTGACCCCTAACCCAATGTGTGGAGCTCCTGGGACAACCAATGAGTCTCTTCTGTGCTGACTGTGCTCACTACAGCTGGGGCTGGTAGCAGCTATGCCTTCAAGGGTCCCAGCCCAGGGCTCAGTCAGGATGGGACAGGCCAGGCTAAGGGGTTGGAAGGCTACGATCTGAAACTAGATGAACTCACAAGCAAGCCAAGTGACTAGAAATGGGGTGGGCTGTAGACGGGTGGGGAGTCCAGGGTTAGCGGTGCCTGGGAGGAGGCAGCAGGACCCCAGTCACAGACTCTGGCAACCATGGCATGACTGTTGGAGGCTGCAAAAGGGGAGGCTGAGGAAAAATAATGCTGGACGGTAGTTCCAGCTCCTCTGGAACACTGGACAGGGAAGGAAAGCAGCAACTCCAGCGTGGGGGCCGGGAAAGAGACTCCATCCTTGGAACCAACTGCCTACCCTCTGCACAGGCACACGGCCAGGGTACAAGAGACAAGGGAGAAACTGGGTAAAGAAGAGGTGGCAGAAGGTCAGGAGGATGAGGTGCAAGCCTAGCGATGCTGAGTCCCACAGCCACCACCACCACCACCACTACTACTACTAATGGCCGGTGTACCTCCCTTCTGTGGGCTGAGCCAAAGGCAGTGGTGGTAGTGAGGCAGATGGTGCGGAGGAAATAAAGAGGCCCGTGTCTCATGCCTCCTTCCCTCAACCAGGGATCTTTGAATGACAATAATTTCTTGCCTGGGTCTATCACAAGCCACAGCCAACTTCAAAGCAGGACTCTTGATAGTATGTGGCTTCCTTGGCCTACAGGAGACCTTGTGAAGAAAGAGTGGGTCACACCTTCTGTATCAAGATTTCTCAGAGAAACAGAACTAATTTCTTCTCTAGTAAGCCTGTTTTTGCTCATAAGGCCTCCCAACTGATTAGATGGGGCCCACCCATATTGTCAAAGGCCCCTTTACTCAAAGCCAACTGATTTTGGATGCTAACCATATCCACAAAATTCCTTCACAGCAACATCTAATTTAGTGTTTGATGAAATGACTGGGTGATACAGCCTAGCCAAGCTGACACAGAACTAACCATCACATCCCCCACTAGGTCCACTCCTGTGGTTGCAGAATGCCAGTGCCTTCAAAGGGGTGTGTGTTTCCCTCTGTGTCTCTACACATAGATGTTCATTTGGTGTCCAGTGGGACCAGGAATAGACTCTCTCTCTCTTGCCTCTACCCTTGTTAAGGTCCTGATCAATCAATGACTGGACCATTGCCACAGTCTCCTAACTGTCCCTTCCAGCCTTTTTTTTTTTTTTTTTTTTAAACCACAGTTGTTTTTCTCTGCCACACCTACCCTTTAATAAAAAATAAGCTATCCAAACCTTTTATATTATGTTTAGGGGCCATTATCACCTTATTTACAGCAATCTCTGCTCTAACACAAAGTAAAACAGTCATAGCATTCTCCACCTCAAGCCAGCTGGGCCTTGTAATAGTCACAATTGGCATTAATCAACCACACCTGGCATTCCTTCACATCTGCACCCACGCCTTTTTTAAAGCTATACTATTAAAGCCAGAGAGCTTTGTAAAAGGCAAATCTAATAGATTACTCTCTGTCTCCCTGTTTAAAGTACTTTGGTTGCCTGTTTTAGCACAACTTCTACCTGTAGGAACTACTCATGCTTCCTGAAAGATCCAGGCTGTATGATGTGTCTGAGCCTTACTCATGCCTCAAATGCTTTCTGTTCATTCATGCCCACTATCCTATCTATCTTCTGTCCTGTTTGTCAACTACTGCCCACCCTACAAACATGCACATGTACACACACACACACTCAGTCCACATACAAGTGTGCCTGGCGTTAGATCTAGACTTCCTCTATGAAGTCCTTCCTTGCCCCTGTCTTTCCTTTTTTCTCTTTCCTCCCCTCTCCCCACTCACTTCTTCACTCTGGAGTCTGTACATCCTTTCACACAGTGCCTGGTACATTTACTACCTTCCTGATACTTTCCCTCTAATTCCCCTCAGACAATCTGAAACTTAAATTAGAATAGTGGATCACCCTTAGAATGGGTGGGTTCCCATTAGGGTTGATCAGCATCAGGGGATGAGAAAATCAAAGCAACTGCCTGCACTGATTGAGCACTTACTCCATGACAAGCTTTCTGTGACTATTTCGCTGAATCTTTGCAACTCTGAGAGGTCAGTACTTTTATTTTACCCATTTTGTAGGTGAGAAAACTGAGGCTCAGAAAGGGTAACACAGTGACACAGTAAGGGGTAGAGCCAGCACTTGAACTCAGGCCTCCTGACTCCTAGGCCCACTCTACCACCACAAGGTACACAGTGTGGTTGAACGGTTTGGCTGAAAGCACTTTGTTTAAATTAAATGGCTTCAAATCATAATTTGATTAAAAAGGAACATTTCCACTTTTATCATTTATATGTAATGTTGACACATGAGCTTTTCCTAATTTGTTTTTAACTGAGATATAATTTACATATCATAAATTCATCCTTTTAAAATGTACAACTCAGTGATTTTTAGTATATTCATAAAGCTGTGCAACTATCACTGTTATATAATTTTAGAACATTTCATCACCCCCAAAAGAAGCCTGTACACATTAGCAGTCATTCTCTCTTCTTTCCTTCCCTACTCCCTGGCAATCACCAATCTACTTTCTGTCTGTATGGATTTGCTTATTCTGGACATTTCATATAAATGGAATCATTCATTGTGTGGTCTTTTGTGTCACTTCTTTCACTCTGCATGATGTTTCAAGGTTTATCCAAGTTGTAGCATATATCAGCATGTCATTCCTTTTCATGGCTGAGTAATATTCCATTGTACACTATAGGCTGACTAACGGCCCTCAAAGATACCCACATCCTTATCCCTGGAACTTGTGACTGTTACCTTATAAGGCAAAAGGAACCTGTGACTGTTACCTTATAAGGCAAAAGGAACCTAACCTTGCATATGTGATCAAGTAAGAATTTTGAGACGGGTAGATTTGTCTGGAGTACTCAGGTGGGCCCTAATGTAATCACAAGTATAAGAAAAAGGCAGAAGATAATTTGACTACAGAAGAGAAGGCAATGTGATGATAGAAACAAAATTGGACTGATGTGCTTCAGAGATGAAGGAAGAGGCACCAGCCAAGAAATGCAGACAGTTACTAGAAGCTGAAAACGGCAAGGAAACAGAATCTCCCCTCTAAGCCTCCAGAAGGAACTAAGCCCTGCTGACACCTTGACTCGAGCCAGTGAAACCAATGAAGGACTTCCACCTTCAGAACTGTAAGAGAGTAAATGTGAGTTGTTTAAGCCACTATGTTTCTGGTAATTTGCTACAGTGTTAACAGGGAAGGAGTAATATGAACATCCCACATTTTGTTTATCCATTCATCCACTGATGGACATTTGAATTGCTTCCATTGTTTGGCTATAGTGAAGAATGCTGCTATGAACATTCATGTACAAGTTTTTGTGCAGATGTTTTCCATTCTCTTGGGTATAGATCTGTCTATACAGGAGTGGAATTACCAGGTAATACGGTAACTAACTTGATGAAGTTTTGTTCTGCAGACTTTTGTGGCATGAATTTCAAAGAGGGCGGGCTGATGCTTGGGCAGGATGAAGAGGTTTTTGTGCAGGAGCTCTGGGGATGGAAGGCAGCCTCAAAGTTCCAAAGAGCTTTTCGGGAATTTAAGCTGTCATTTTACACATATGCAGCACTTTCAGCGTGCCAAAGAAATTGGGGCTGCAATTACGTTTTTTTGTGTGTATTTGTTTGAAAATAGAAGCGGATGTGCTCTTTCCTAAAGCTGATACTGAAACAGTGTAGATATGAGTAATTAGGTAAAAATAAACTGATAGGAATTTCAAAGGACAGTCACAACAGAAACTGGTAACGGAAGTGTTCGTCAAACGGATTCAGACATAACAAATATGGCCTGAGTAATTTATGTGAGCTAGAGCCAGGCACTGGAATGGGCTCTTTCATGTAAGTTTTTAAATTTAATTCTTGCCAGAACCTTATTAGGGAAACATCGCTTTCCTGCATGTGTTAAAACCGAGGATGTCATGGTGGCTACAGAGTGTTTGCCGAAGTCACAGAGCTGTTATGAGATAGTCACAATTCTAACCAGATCTGTCTGAATGGGAATTACTTTTATTTCACTGAAAAAGAGAACATTTTCTTCAGGTTATTTGTTTGGGTTTAGTCATACATATACTGAGAGGTCTCTGGCAATTAACTTTGTCTAGAGCATCTCTGGTTCACTTTTTAGTGGGAAGTCCTTGTAAATGAAATGAGGTAGAGACAAAAGTCTTATACCTCTCCATAGAAACTAGGAGGACAGAGGCATGAAGTGTCTTGTGGTGGTTTTTGTTTTGTGGGCTTGTATTTTTGTTTCTTGAGTACCTGCCAGATGCCAGGCTTCTCACTTGGTCTTCGTAACATCCTGCTGAGGTAGTTATTATGATCTCCACTTTACAGATTAGGGGAAAGGTATTTGGAAAGGCTGTAACCCTAAAATGACATGACTGGTAAATATTAGAGCCAGGATCTGAGCCTGGGTTTTCTGATTTGAAGTCCCTTGTTATTTTCACCACACAATTATGTCCCTTTTTGGTTTGGAATCTAAAACACAGAAAGAAATAGGATTCTTCTCTCTGGAAAACATTAGGTAATGTTTGGGTAATGTCCATGGTGAGAGATTCAAGTGAACATCTCAGCAGCCTGCGTTGGGAGGCAGGATCTAGACGTGCCAGGCTGGGATGGATCCGAGAGGCTCATCTGGTCCAATAGTGAAGCTCAGGTCCAGGGAAGGAGCACAGCCCGGGGCCACTGTGGGGATGTGGAAACAGCATGAGGCTGGGACGAAATCCTGCTCCACCACTTACTGCCAGGAGACTTGGGCAAGCGGTTTAATCAGAGGCTTTTTCCCATTTCAAATGGGGATAAGCAGGGCCCTGTGGAAATGAGAAAGAAAAGAAAGTCACCCAGCAGTAGGGATTCTGCAGGCCCTGGCTTTCCCAGGCCACATATCTCTAGAGGGTGAAGCAGAGTGTCACCTCCTGGCCTGGGTACCCTCGGGCTGTTCTGAAGCTTATGAGGGTGTTCAGATGCTGGCACTCTCCTTCCAGTCACTGCTGAGGGCTGGGTCCCCACTGGTCAGGGTCACTCGCCCCTTAGGTCACTGACAGGGCCTTCAGGGGAGAGGACATTCGGTCAAAGAGCTTTGCAGAATCTGGAAATCCAGCTCAGCGTTTCCTCAGCCTGCAACCCCAGGAGACTCGAGCCACAACAATACTGCAGTCCCACTGGCGGCTGCTTCCTTGTTGCTAAGCAACCAAATATTTGCTATTAAGTTCCTGTTGATGAAGCTAATTGCAAAGGTTAATTGTCCTCTGAGATGAAAAACGCTCCAGGAATGTATTTAGGAGTTGTTCTCTGAACTTCTGAGAGGACATGATTTCTTGAAAAAGCCTATTTTTAAGATGGTGATGGCATCAGCACTGTTCTGCCTGCTTTGTTCATCCCTTAGTGTGGAAGTTTTTCAAATTTAGTTAGCAAAGGAAATTTTTGTTCAGAGGGATTCCTATATGGAACCTCACTCAGTGTATGGGCAGAGATGATGGATAGCTAACTTGGAGGGGTGGGTGGAGCCTGGAGCCCCGCCCACTCAGCCCTGCACACTCATAGTCCCGCCCACTGGGAGCCCCTTCATTCACTGGCTTAGGGATAGTGCTTGTTACTTCCTGTTATTAGACTGTGAGGTCCCTGAGAGGTAAAACTGCTTGGTCTACCCTGTGCATAGTATCCAGCATACAGCTGGATGCAGGGCAAGTAAACAGCTAATGCATTTCAAATAAGTGATACCTTATTTGTCATGAACCCAGCCAGGTCAGGTGGATACAGTTAAAATACTTTGATTCAAAGATCAAAAAATCAAGCTCCAACACTGTTCCAGTGACTGGTTTTGGGTCCCTGGTGAAGCAGGTCAGGGACGTGAGAAAAGAGGAAATAATGGGTTTCCATCTCACCTCCAGAATTTAACATGCTGTGTGACCTTGGGCAAGTGTCTACACCCCCAAGAGGCTCAGTTGCCTCATCTGTACATGGGAATGATAAAGCCTACCTTGCTTCTCAGAGTGAAGTACATGGCACAGTCCCTGGCACAGAGCAGGAGCTCCATTAATGGTAGCTATTTTCTTCATTGTTTTCCAACAAGAGGCTAAAGTGGTCATGGGACATCCTGCCTCAGGCAGAAAGGCAAATTCTGATTCAATGCATTGGAGATTCCAAGGAAAGCCATAGCAACAAGGCTGGGGTCAGGAAACGGCAAAAAAGGAGGTGGGAAAGGCCCTCTGAACCATCTCTAGCAACTTTTCCATTTCACAAGTGAGGATTTAAGAGGGGTTTTCTTATAAGATGATGATGGTCCTCTCTTTTAGGAGGCTGTGAGAGGTGCTAGGGTGATAATGTGGAGAGTTGATACTAGTTCTGTCTCAGAGTCACCTGTGGGGACCCCTACCCAATTGGCAGCATCATGGAGCTGAGGGGCTTCTAAGAATCTGGATGGAGCTCAAAACTCTGACACTTGGGCCCCTGAGGCAGTTGTTCCTTGAGAAGTGGCAACCATTCAAGTCTGCCACGTTTTCACTCATTTCTTTACTTGGGATTTATTTATTTATTTATTTTTGTGACAGGGTCTCACTCTTGTTGCCCAGGCTGGAGTGCAATGGCATGATCTCGGCTCATTGCAACCTCTGCCTCCAGGGTTCAACTGATTCTCCTGCCTCAGCCTCCCAAGTAGCTGGGATTACAGGTGCTTGCCACCATGCCTGGCTATTTTTTTTGTATTTTTAGTCTCAAAGTCTAATGCAGGGGTTGGCAGACTTTTTCTCTAAAGGGTCAGAGAGTCAGTATTTTTAGCTTTGTGAGCCATATAGTCTGTTGCAATTACTCGGCTCTGCCGCTGTAGCTTTAAATGGCCACGGCTGTGTTCCAATTTTTCTTTAAAAATCAAGTTTGGTCCAAAGGCTGTAGTTTGTCAACTACTAGTCTAATGGGAAGGAGAAAATAATAAAGTTCATTACAGTACAGTTCAGTAAGCATCATCATGGAGATGTTACACAGTGTGGCAGGGACCCAGATGAGGGAAAAAATATTTCTCACTTGAAAGAGTTCCTGGAGAAATCAGCTTGGGTGCCTTTGGTAGAGTCATTTTCTATATCTGTTTCTTTGTCTATAGAAAGAACATACTGTTACAGAGATCACAGCATAAATGTGAAGATGTATGCATTTAACATACTGTCTGGATTATAGTTACATCCATAAGCCAACACAAATGTTAGTAATAATGCGTGTTTCTAAGGGATTTTTATATGCAAGCACTCTCATGCACTGTATATATATTATCTCATTTAAAACTCATAATGATTCCATGAGAGATCTATACTCATTCTTTCCATTTTGTATATGAGGAAACTAAGGCACAAAGAGGTTGGATAGTTTGTCTAGTAAGGGCAGAGCCAGGATTCAAAGGCAAGCAATGACTTCAGAGCCAGAACTCCCTAACCACTATACGTATTGTAAGCACTAATGTTAAATATTTGGCCTCCATCAAATCAGGAAAGAAAATTGCAGGTCAGCAAGCCTGTTTCTGCAGGCAGCAGATCCTGGGCTCTACTGTTTACCCTCTGGTAGGAGAACCTAAGTTAGCTGGATCTGGCAGAGGATGAGTGATGCCCATACCCTGTTACTGTGACACCCAAGGGGTCATTTCAGGCCTGTCTGCCATGTCTTACAATCCTCTGTACCTTTCTGTAAAGGATGTCACTTTCTCTTTCTCTCTCTCTCTGTGTGTCTCTCTCTGTGTCTCTGTGTCTCTGTGTCTCTGTGTCTCTGTGTCTCTGTGTCTCTGTGTCTCTGTGTCTGTCTCTGTCTGTCTCTGTCTGTCTCTGTCTGTCTCTGTCTGTCTCTGTCTGTCTCTGTCTGTCTGTCTCTCTGTGTCTCTGTCTCTCTGTGTCTCTGTCTCTCTGTGTCTCTGTCTCTCTGTCTCTGTCTGTCTCTGTCTGTCTGTCTCTGTCTGTCTGTCTCTGTCTGTCTCTGTCTGTCTCTGTCTCTGTCTCTGTCTCTGTCTCTGTCTGTCTCTGTCTCTGTCTGTCTCTGACTGTCTCTCTGTGTCTCTCTGTGTCTCTGTGTCTCTCTGTCTCTGTCTCTCTGTCTCTCTGTCTGTCTCTCTGTCTGTCTCTCTGTCTGTCTCTCTGTCTGTCTCTCTGTCTCTCTCTGTCTGTCTCTCTCTGTCTGTCTCTCTCTGTCTCTCTCTCTCCGTGTCTCTCTCTCTCTCCGTGTGTCTCTCTCTCTCTCCGTGTGTCTCTCTCTCTCTCTCCGTGTGTCTCTCTCTCTCTCTCCGTGTGTCTCTCTCTCTCCGTGTGTCTCTCTCTCTCCGTGTGTCTCTCTCCCCGTGTGTCTCTCTCTCTCCCCGTGTGTCTCTCTCTCTCCCCGTGTGTCTCTCTCTCTCTCTCCGTGTGTCTCTCTCTCTCTCTCCGTGTGTGTGTGTCTCTCTCTCTCTCCTGTGTGCGTGTGTCTTTCTCTGTCTCTTTCTCTCACACATGCACACACATACACACACCCACCCTTGTCTTAACTGGAGCCAGAATGCCCCTGCAAAGTAGGTACTTAGTGTCAGGTGAAGTGCTGGGCTTTATAACTTATGTTTTCTCACAAACAGATGGCATTTCTGCTTTATTTTATAATTGAGGAAAGAATCCTCAGTGAGGTCAGGTAAGTAACTTGCCCATGGTCACAAAGCATGTAAAAGGCACAGCTGAAATTTCAATAAAAATGGTCTCATTTGAAGTCCAGTGTGCTTCTCATCACACCCAGCTTCACCATCCCCCATCCTTTCTCCTCTTAGCTCTCATTACCAGCTACCTGCAAGACACAATGAAAAAAAATACATGAAATCTTACAAGCGTGGGCACCAATATCCTTACCATTTTTGAGGCATCTTAGTTTTCATGCTGTGCCCACAATGGGGGCAAATGAGCCAACTGTTAAGGAACAAAGCCATTGGGGTGTGTTAGTCCAGGTAAGGCTATAAAAGACAGCTTTTACTCTGTCAGGTTATGTCTGGCATCAGAAATGTAAGTCCTCTGGAGAGTGCCTGAACTCTGGCCCAAGGTCAAACTTCAGAGCACCAGACTCCAGGGTAGAGGCCCATGTTCAAGAATATCTGTGCCTAGCTCATAATGATAATGAAAATAATAGCAATAGAAACCACTAAGTTTCTATGAATTAAACACCGCTTATGCACTACTTCTCAGTGTCACCTTTCTCTTATTGCAGCAACTGTTGCAATGACCAGTGCTGCATGGATGTCTTAGTCCGTTTCATACTGCTATAGCAGAATACCCAAGACTGGGTAATTTATAATAAACAGAATTTATTGGCTCATGGTTGTGGAGTCTGGAAAGCCCAAGATCAAAGTGCCAGCATCTGGTCAGGACCTTCTTGCTAGCATCACATGACAGGAAGTAAGGGGATGAGAGAGAGAAAGAGGGGGCTGAACTCACCCTTGTATAATGGTATAAACGACACCCCTGAGAGTGGAGCCTTTGTAGCCTAATCGCCTTTTAAGAATGTTACAATGACAATTAAATATCAACATGAGTTTTGGAAGGGACAAACATTCAGACCATAGCAATGGGCTTTAATCAATTTTACACAGGTACAACTTAACAGTTTCTCAACTGAGATATGTTCATGTACTGCTTGCCTTTTACCCTGGGACCTCTCCGTTGATGCCATTGTAAAACCCTACTCTGCATCACACAAGTGGAACATAGAAGTACAAGAATGTTAACATCCCGTAAAATAAAATACTGGCCAATGAAAGATAAAAGCCATTGAATACATCCTTCCCCCATTCTCTCCTCTGATAGTCCTGAGACACAGCTTGTGTGGTCCAAGAGCTCTCAGAGATGACACCATGATGAAGTATTATGGGATCACCTCAATTAGTTATAGCCGGAATTTGGTGACTACAGTGTGCTCAGGCTGGAGAGTGTCTGGGCATGGGTGAGGCTAGTCCCTGGATTAGGGTATCTATAGGACAAGAAGTCTCTACCAAAGTGTTGATGGCCTCAGTTTCAATAGTGATGATGAGCTGGATTATTAGGTTAAGCTGGGATCCAAGGTAAATTGCTTCAGTACCAAAAACATATTGGCCTACATTCTCTACTTTCTGAAGATATTGGACTATTAACTTTCATATATGTAAAACCAGCTGTGAACAGAACATGACCTAGGAATGCTACCTTCCTGCTCTGGGATATACTCCCTTTGGCTGGTCCCAGAGTTGAGCTGTTTAGCTAATCAAGAGCTTTCTAGTCCAATCAATGGCTAGTGGAATATCCGATCCAAAAGGTGTATTTTTGGATAATCTTATATCAGCACTTGAGCAAAAACTTCCACATAGCCTCTGAAATCCCAGGCAAAATCAAATCAGGATAGAACCTCACGTGTGATAACATTCATCCTCACCATGACTTTCATCCTGAGCCTGGACTTCATCGCTCGTGTTCAGAGGTGCTACATGCTAACATATGAATGACTGAGGAGTGGTCTAATCTAGGGTTTTTTTCTACCTGTGCTGACTGCAGGTCCTTCTCTCAACTTTAACTAGCAATGATTCTACCAAGTTGTTGCAAAGGGGCTGTGGCAGAGACAATGCTAGTGTGGGAACACAAGAATACTGAATGCTGCTTGGAGGTAGAGGAATCTGACCCATGTCAGGCTGTGAAGCACTGAGATCTGGGATTCTTTGTCACTTGAATTTAACTCACTAACACATGCATACATATACACATATGCACACATATACACCTATATGGTCGCTCTTCAGTATGGAGATTGGTTCCAGGAACTCCCAAGGGTATCAAAATCCACAGATGCTCAAGTTCCTGTACTAAGATGGCATAGTATTTGCATCCTCCTGTATATTTTACATCATCACAAGATTCTTAGAATACCCAATACAATGTAAATGCTATGTAAATAATTGTTATACTGTATTGTTTAGGGAATAATGACAAGAAAAAAGTCTTTACATGTTCAGTATAGATGCAACCATTGATTTCTTAAATATCTTTGGCCCAGCAGAGTGGCTCACACCAGTAATCTCAACACTTTGAGACGCCAAAGCAGGAGGGTCACTTGAGGCCAGGAATGTGGGACCAACCTGGGCAACATAGTGAGACCTCATCTCTGTTGAAGTATATATGTAATATATACATGATAAAGATATTTTTGACTCAAAGTTGGTTGAATCCACAGATGAGGACCCCACAGATATGGAGAGCTGACTGTACATACATCTATTTGTATGCATATATATACCTATATGTGTGTGTTTATCAACACTAGAGGGTAGATAACTTTATTCTCAAGCATGACACCCCAGGTACTTCCTCACCTTAGGGCCTTTGCACATGCTGCTTTGTCTGCGTGAACCCTCAGTCTGGCTTGCTACCTTTTTTCCTTCAGGTTGCTCAGAAGTCGTTCTCAGGAACATATCCCTTGAACACCCTATAAAATTGCTCGCCCCTGGCATCTCTATCCCCTTTCCCTACTTTATATAATTTCACAGCACTTCTAACATGCCATATGTATATAATACGTGTGTGTGTGTGTGTGTGTGTGTGTGTGTGTGTGTGTGTGTGTGTGTAACTTGTCTATTGTCTGTTTCCCCTAAACAACATGCAAGCCCCAAGAAAACAGGGGTGTTCATTTACGTAGTTCTGTCCTCCATCCCTGTACCATAAGCAATGCCTGGCACATGGTAGATGCTCAATACATATTTATTAAATGAATTCATGAACCCCTTTTACAGAGACAATCCCAGAGGGGGTAGTTAGACTCAGAGCTAGTGAGTGACAAGAAAGATTTCAATCCCAGGAATTTCTGCTTCAAAGCATTGCTATTTTCTGCTATTAGGCTTCAGGCATGTGCAGAGTAGCCACGGGGTTGTTGTAATGGATGATGCAACCCTGAGGAGAATATTTGCTGTCCGACACCAGGTACAAATGAGCTGACTCTGTCCCAGTGGCCATGCTCTGTTTGTGGTGTTTCTGTTCTGCCCTCAAAGGCATTTACATTGTCAGCAACATCTGTGGTCTTCAAAATTGCTTCACCTCTCTGTGGATCAAACACCTTCAGCTTCCTATCTGTAAATATTGCCTTTGAGGTTTTAAAGCTAAGCTTAAGTTCTGCCAGGCTGGAAGGGAGGTGGGTCAGGTGTTCCGTGACCTTGTTGGCAATAGTCACACACACTTCTCATTGGCCAGTTGATGGTGCCCCCTTTTCCCAGGTGGCTCCTGCCCCAAAGCAGAGAACCTGTGATGAGCTGCTAACATTTGGCCGATGGGGATCTCAACTGCCACATTCACCTTCACTTGGAGCCATAAAGCTTTCCACAGAAGGGATGGAGTCTTGCCTTTATTCAGTGGGGGCTTTAAATAATGTTGATGCCTGAATCCCATGCCTGAAAGTTCGGATTAAATTGGTGTGGGCGTCATGATTTTAAAAATATCCTCAGGAGACTGTAAGTGTGTAACCCAGGTTGAGAATGCTGCTTAGATCGTCTGTAGAATCTCTCAAAAAAAAGTCGCATCTTATTCCTGAATTTTCCTGCTTCCTCACCCTACGTCCTACTAGTACCTGAAGATGATATAGCCTTAGTTTTGTTGCAGAATTCCAGTAACTGTTTTCCAGCTGCCTTTCTTGCTGCAAACAATAGCAGTTCTGGGGAGAAGCAGGTTCTTTCCATTTACCGTGTGTGCCTCAGTTTTCTTATTACAAGTCCCAGGAGAGCCAAGTTGACATTGACTTTCTACTGGCAGCCACTTCCTTAGATGGTGGCTGAAGGCTTTCCCATGACAAACCTTTGTTTCACTACCCCATTCTGCACATGCAGAAACTGAGGACACCGTGTTTGTCACATGTTGAGCCTTGTGTGGCTGTCCTGGCCCGGTGCCTTTGAGGGCAGAAATTGTCATTTTGTTTACCTTGTAGTATCTCTAGGGCACAGTATGGCTTTAGTAGGTGCTCTAGAAGTACTTCTTGCATAAGTGAGTGAATGCATGAACTAATGAATGAATCCCAGTGTGGCACAATGGTGGGAATCCAGTAGGTGGTGCTCAAAAATCCACATGGCAGTTAGATGGCAGGTTGCAGGGGATAATGTTGCCAGCAAGGTATGCTGAGCCCTCAGCACTCGAAATTATTGGACTGTGAGTTTGCATTAGGGACCAATATAGGCACAGACACTGAGGCTAAAGAGGGTGTCTGGAATAGGGGCTTGCTGGAAGGAGCTGGGGTTCATGGTTCCAAGATATAGCTGCAGTCTGGCTATGGTCGGGAGCAACACATCCTGAGGGTGTCAGAGAAGGCTTCTTTTGGAGCCTTTAGTGGTTTGGGGCTGAGGCAGGGGAATTGATCAGGGACCTGGGGTAGTGCTGGCTTTAGAGTGAGAGATCCACGGGCCCAGCAGCTGGGAACTGCTGCCAACGGAGGCAGGGCAGATGCCGTAATGAAAAAGACATACAGTCCATTTAAGAGACAGCTAGTTAGTGAAGAAATTGCTCTGGAAGTAGAATATTTCTGAGGTGGATGCAGAATTTACAAGCTTTAACTATAGATCACATCATGTTTTCAAACACATTTTCCTGTGTTGACGATTTCACTTATTCTGCAGATTGTGCCTGATTCAAGAGCCATAATTCCTGCCATGGAGACTCAGGTGGTGTCATTTGGGTTCCCAAATTGGGTTTGTGTATTGCAGCTAAACGGCCATCTCTTAGTTTCAGAGAGATACCATTTGAAGATGTGCCATCAGCACTGCCACAGTGACAGATGAGAAGCCTCCCATCTGGTAAGGCCTTCCCCAGGCAGGGCTGGCTGCACACCTGGTAGGCCCCGTCTGCACCTGCTGGTGATGTCATCTTATGTGTGGTCTTCTGCTCTGGGGATGGCAGGCGAGTGCCTGCGGCAGCTGGTGTGCTGAGGACCCAGGCAGAAAGAGTCCAGAACGTGAGGGTCATATCTTATATCTAGGACAGCTGCCTCCAAGGTTCCCCTAACCAGAGCAAAGGGCAGAAGCACTGAGATACCCGCTGACACCCAGGCCGACCTCCCAGGGATCTTGGCTATCAGTGTGGGGCAGGGCACCCACAGGGATGGGGAGCCTGGATGGATCAGGCTTTGTGAGGTCACAAGAGGAGACAGGCACAAACAAGCTGCGGTGCAGGGTTATTATGAGTGTACATGTGAATATGGAGTAGCTTGGGATGTCTCTCCAACTGATACAACTTCCCTCTATCCCAGGGTTTCTGAGACTAGACTGAGCCACCAGATTCCTAGAGAACCCATAACTCAATGTCATTAGGCAGAGGACCTATTTTGGTTTTTTTGGTAATAATTTGTTAAATGGGACTCCACCCATTTTCTTGGAATTGGAAGAACCAAGGCTGAAATCTATAGGTGCTATATATCTGCATATTCCTAAATGGGACCGATGGATCCATTCTTTCAGGACATCACTCCAGCACTACCAGTCTGCAATAGCAGGAGATACAAGTTCTTTGGGGCTGTGAATTGCTAACATAGAGGCAGAGTACTGTGACTTCTCTTCCTTTTGGGAGAGGAGAGGAGGAGTGTTCTATACTCTTCCCCCAGTCAAATGAACGGGTCTCCAAGAAAACAGTGGGGCCCTAGGAAATGGGTGACTGCTGTCTCATGCCCTGAGTGGATTCCTACTAGGACACTGGGGCACCAGAGCCATCTATGTTGACAGGAGAAGGGGGGCGGGGAGTGGAGGGAGATGGTAGGCAGGGAGGAGGTAGAAGAGGTACAGCTCCTACTCCCCTGTTTGGTGTGGGAAAGAAGTGGACGTCCCGTGGGTCAAGAGGATCCTGAAAAGGCAGCTTGGCTGGTGCTACCTTCCCAACACCTCACCCAAGAGATTGTGGGGTGTGTCACTGCAGGCAGGAGAGGAAAGGGAGCAAACTTGGTCACATGCCTGCCTCTCAGAGGGTGCTGACTCCAGGAAGGTGCACAGCAGCACGAGTTGGCAAGAGACACTGGCCCCTTCCCCCAGTGTTTCTCCCAGCCCTGACTCAATGGGAAAGGAGGGTGGGGAGAAGGTGGAGGAGGAGTGGAAGAATGGCCACATACCCTTCTGCCTGCAGGTGTCCTGGGCCGGGGGCAGGTCTGAGCTAGGGAAGGGGAAGGATATGAGATGAATGCTTTAAACTAGACGCCCTAAGACTGGATTAAACAAAAATTATAACCCAAAGTGACCAGATGGCTCTAGTTTCTGCCCAAGATGTTGTTAAGAGATTGGAGAGGTAGATTCAAAAGGTTGAAGGCAGTGGTTGGAGAAAAACGAAACCCTTTCACTAAATTAAGAGCGTTTTCTGTATTGGTCTATGTGGGAGTTTTCCTACCGCGATCAGGAGGAAACTCTGAAACAAGAAAAGGGCCCTGCTTGCCTCTGGCCCAGGGGCCATTGCCCTCTGCTTGTGTACCCGTTGTCCCTTTCAATCCACTGTGGCCAGAGCTACAGGCTGACTTCACTGAAAACAGCCCCAACCCAGGGTCTCTTAGGAAGGAAAGCCCTGGTTCAGGCCCTTTATCTCAGAAGGGACACAGAGGCAGCCACAGGACTCCTCTGGCTGTCCATCCAGCATAGCACTCAGGTGGAGGCAGACAGGCATCTGCATAGATTCTAGTACAGGAAGGAGAGGTCAGTCAGACCCAGGGGAGACTGCGGAGGGAGGCTTGCCTTAGGAGTTCAGAGGGGCTTCCAGGTACCCTCTAGAAAAATGTATCCAGAACTGGAGACTAGGGGGCTGAGATGAGGCAAAATTGATGAGATTTTAGAGCCTTGGTCATGGCCCCAGCTTTTTCCCTGCCCCTTACCTCCTGCCAACTTCCTTCTAATCAGGAGCAATAATAGCCTTAAAGGGCAAGGACCTGTGGGCTTGTGTTTGGGGATGTAAGAAAGGAGGAGAGTACATGAACCCCTCTGCAGCTGGGCTTTCCAGGAGGGGCACCCAGCTTAGGGGTGGGTGGAGCCCCTCAGGCCTGAGATTTCTGGCCTGGGACTGGCCACGGATGGGAGTGGCACAGTCAGGTGCCCCTGGACTCTGGAATAACCACCATGACCTGATGATGACGATAACAAGTTTAACTATTGAGTGCCAGGTACGAATCATCACAGCTCTCTGCCGAGACTCCTACTGTTATCTCCATTTCATAGATGAAGAAAAACCTCAGAGAGGCTGCCACACGGTGCAAATCCAGAGTCCATGCTCTCTTCTTTTTCTTTTTGTTTACCTCTTTCTCACTCTCTCCTCCTCCTTACCCATATTACCCCACCCATCTTCCCCACAACCTTGATTAATGACCTGGGATAGATCCTTCTACATTTTTCTCCATACATATAGTCCACTCCATCAGAAATGGGTTGTACAGTATAGACATCTTTTCTTGCTCACAATATCTCACAGAAATTCTCCAACTGACCTCATAAAGTCCCTCCAAATCAATTAGATTGCTATTTTCAGAGGTCATCTGATATTTCACCGTAGGGGTATATCATAAATTCTTCCCCATCCCTCCATGATAGGTGGTCATTTTTTGTTTGTTTTTCTTTTACCACTACCAACAATGCAGCAATAAATATTGTTATATTTGTCTCAGTTGACCAGAATTTTTCTCTCTAGAGGATAGATTTCCAAATTTGAAGTTTTGGGTAGTTTTACTTGAAACAGATATTGCCAAATTGATTTCTAAAAAGGCTATGGCAATTCACACTTCCACCAGCAATGCATGAGTGCACCTCTTTCCCACATCTGCACCAGCCATTACACTTGCTTTCATTTTGTTAGTCTGGTGAGTGTGAAGTGGTATCTAATTGTTTATTTTGGTTTTCAATTTCTTGACCATGAAGGAGTTCTAACATCATTTTATATACTTGCCAGAATTTAGTTCATTTTCTGTTTTTTGCCTATTTATTTGCTTGTCCAGTTAATTTTGGGTTGCCTTTCTTCTTAAGAATATTTCTTTTATAGATGTTAATACTTTATGTGCTATTTGTATCACAAATACTTCCTTCCAAATCTGTTATTTTGTTTATGGGTTTCAATTATAATACTTTTTACCATATAAAAGTTACAAATTTTTGTATTTCAAAAATTTCTTTTTTGTATTAATGTCCTTTTTCTTAAGAAGGTCTACCCAACACCTCGATTCTATATGTAGTCTCTAAGAACTCTCTTCTATGGCTTTTATAATTATTGTTATTTTTTACATAAAAGTTTTCAACCAAGTATGAAATTTATTTTTGTACAGAGCATAAGGGCTCAACTTATTTATTTTCCAAATGGATAGACAGTTGTGCCAGTCTAAGTGCCAGGGAGAGCTGAGAAAGTCAACAAGAGCTGAGACCTGAATTCTCTTGCCGATGGTTCAAGAGAGAACTGGGGAGAACAGGTGAAAGGTGATTGAGACACACGAGAGCCCTTGCCTGTACCCCCACTGCCCTGCAAAGAGATGCTTGGTCCAGGACTCAGAGATGAGCGAGGCAAGGGATGTCTCTATTGGAGGAGAAGGGGACAATAAGTACATCCTACTAAAGTATCATCTTTGTCATATTTTTAAATTCTCATGGTAGGATCTGTTTCTGGATTCCCTATTCCGCTCCATTGGTTTATTAGTCCATTCCTACTCCACTGGCAGTGTGTGTATGTGTGTGTGTGTGTGTCACAAAAATTAGATCACTGTGGCTTTAAAGATTAATTCCAATGTCTTTAGTGTTTCCCAGTTAAGAAAAATGTTTCTCTTCCTCTTTCTCTTTCTTCTTTTTCTTTCTTTATGTCTTTATTGGGAATATCTCAAATTTTATTAAATGAGTTTTCAGCATCTACTTATATAATCCTATGGTTATCTTTTAATATTTTGGCATAGTGGACGACTTTAATAGATTTCCTCATATTGAAACAACTTTCCATTCCTCAAGTAATGCCGCCTTAGTCATTGTAACTTTTTTGGTTACATTGGTTTCTATTCATTAATATTTTATTGATAATTTCTGTATTTATATTCATCTGTAAGACTGGTCTCTAGTCTATCTTTTTGTGCTGTCATTATTAACTTTTAATACTAACCTTATATAAACTTCATGAGATAAATTGATTTTTTTCCCATTTTTAGTGTGGTTTGGAATATTTTTAACATCAGAAATTATCTGTTTTTCAAAGGTTAGATAGAATTCAGGTGTTAAACCACCTGGCCTTAGCTCTTTTTTAATGCAAGTTCTTCAAAGTCTTTCCAATTTTTTCTCATGGTCACCCAGGATTTTGATTTCTTCTTGGGTCAATTTAGGTAAATTTGTATTTTACTAAAAAATTGTGCACTTTCTCTAGGTTTTACAAAGTATTGTTATCTACTTGTACATGCTGTTCTCTTACAATTTTTTTTGATCCTTGCTCTTAACTACTGTCCAGACTGTTATCCTTCTGAAGCTTAAGAGAACCTAGCTATGCTCAGAGTGGTCAAATGTCTGAGATGAAACTGTTCAGACCCAGGGTTGAAACAAAGGGTCGACACAAGGAGTTTATACAAGGAATTATGGGGGGATGCTTTGGCTATTCATAGACGAAGGAATGTTTGATATCAGGGTAGCAGGGAGAGCTAACAAAGTCAAGAGCTGAGACCTGAATTCTCTTGCTGATGGTTCAAGAGAGAACTAGGGAGAAGAGGTGAAAGGTGATTCAGACAAATGAGAGCCCTTGCCTGTACCCCCACTGCCCTGCAAAGAGGTGCTTGGTCCAGGACTCAGAGATGAGCGAGGCAAGGGATGTCTCCATTGGAAGAGAAGGGGTCAATAGGTACATCTCCAACAAAGGCTTCTAAAACTTGAGTGGGTTTCATTACGGCCTTTGTTCCCATGAAGACCAACATGGGAGATAGAAAATGATACAAGTGTCAGCTCAAACACGTTTAGTTCTTTCTCAAATGGCAATTCTCAGCATGTCATAGAGGCACTGGTTAACTCAGTAGGGTAACAAAATGGGTCATAGGAGCTCAGTCATGCTTAAAATTTTATGAAGATCCATTAGCTCTAATATGAGGAAACCAGAGATGCTATTGGTATACTTTGGTGAGTTAAAAATAAATAAGACTTTTTATTCAGGTGATTAACCCTTGAGGCAGAACTTGGATTTTATACCTCTTCCTACCCCCGCAGGGCCTGCTCTATTAAGTACTTAGAACCAAGGCTATAAAGATATGAAACTTGTTTATTTTGGGGTATTGAACCCCTCAGTAAACTAGTTCTAATTGAACTTTCAGTGTGGGATGCCTCAAAGTAACAAAGGTTCATGGTGTGTTTTTGTTTGTTTGTGTGTTTTTCAAAATAATAGAGGCCTTCTCTCTCTCCTTCCTGGGCTCAGCTCCGTTAGCCGTCATCCTAAGCCCTTTGACCCAACATCTTCTAGGGTGGTGTCAGAAACTTCTGGCTTTACGTGCATTTGTCCCTGTTCTGTCTCACCCTACCCCTCCTCCGCAGAGCAGGCAACCTGTCCTTACCATGGAGCTGAGCTGAAGACCATTCTGACTGGCAAACACCAACTAAGGTTTTCTTACCGAACTAGCCTTGAGTGCTTGAATTTCTCTTCCCTTACCATCAGTTTTCTCCCAGGAAGCTTTTCAGCATTTTGTGTAAAAAGCCTTCTGTGTGGCTGGCCCCACTGTTCTAATAAATTGAATAAGAATATGAGCTGCTAACATTAATACATTAATCAAATACTTACTCTATTTCAGGTACAGTACTGTGTTAAGCACTTCATAGAATTTAATTGATTCAATTCTCAAAATAACTTCATCAGTCAGTGTTTTGTTTTTTTTTTTCTTTTTTTTTTTTTTTTTTTTTCTAGAAGGAGTCTCACTCTGTCACCCAGGCAGTCGCACTATCTTGGCACACTACAACATCTGCCTCCCGGGTTCAAGCAATTCTCCTGCTTCAGCCTCCAGAGTAGCTGGGACTATAGGCATGTGCCACCATGCCCGACTAATTTTTGCATTTTTAGTAGAGACGGGGTTTTGCCATGTTGGGCAGGGTGGTCTTGAACTCCTGACCTCAGGTGATCCGCCTGCCTCAGCCTCCCAAAGTGCTGGGATTACAGGTGTGAGCCACTGCAGCTGGCAAAGGTTCTTTTGATTGCAAATTACAGAAACTCCACCTAAAACCTGCTTAAGTATGCATTTGTCTGCACTAGACATTTACTATTTTCATAATCAGGAAAACATGACTTAAAAGGGGTTCATATAGCATTCACCACATTGTTTCTTATATTATAATCAGTGAAGACTCTTGTCCCATAGACTGATCTCCTTAAGGGCAGGGACTGTCTTATGTGCCTCCAAAGCCCCTTCCTTGCCTTTTCAATTTGTGCTTAAGGATATATGTAAAGTGGATTGAATTGACGTGTCTCGTAAGGGAGGCTTTTTGCAGTCCCAATTCTTCCAGAAGCAGATGATAATAAGAAAGTAGTTTACACTTGAGCCAATACATGATTTTTCAGGACAAGCCATGTAACCTCAAATGGATGTAATAATCCCAGGTTATTGTGAAGCTCAAATGAGTTAGAGCCCCTTGTGAGCTGTAAAACTCTGTACACCTGGTAGTTTGTAATGACTTGGGTTTATAGAGCCTTCTCATTTCCGAAGCCTCTATCCAAGGTGAGTCATGTCTATTTCTAAATTTTCTAAGAACCATCATTCTCTCTTGATGAAAAGAAATGGTGCAAGGGAGCAAGAAGCTGGGAACATCAATTTAGGACACGATTATTAATCGCCTGCCTTGTGCACACTCCAGACCCACATATCCTACTGTCAGATTCTTCTGACATTTCATCTGGACATCTCAAAGCGCTCCCAAACTCAATAGGTTTAAGACAATGAGTTCAGCCTCTTGCCTTCCAAACTGGTTCTCTTGAAGTGTTCTCTAGACCAGTGAATGTGCCTCTTTCTGTCCTCTACTCTTCTGTCTTGCTCAGGTTCCATATTCAAGCTCCTGCTATGATCTATCTACTCTACCTCCTAAATGCCTCTGAAATTTATTCTTCTCTCCATCTTCACTGCCATGAGCCTAGTCCAAGCTACCATCATTCCTACCTGCTATCTGGTCTACCCATGGATTGGGTTTGCCTTCATCCTATCAAATCTATTTAGCCATCAAATACAACTGATCCTGTCATCTGCCTGCTTACAACTTTTCAGTGGCTTCCCTCACTCGGAAGAGAAGGACTCTATATTTAACAAAGCATATAGAGGCCCTGCATGGGACAGTACCAGCCACCTTCCACCCCCATCTTTCCCATAGTGCCCCTTCACTCCTCTGGCTCCCCACAATGAGCTTTCCTACAGGTCCTCTCACTGCCACTCCATGGACTATTTATGCAGAATGGAAGGACATGCCTCTATCCTCCAGTCGTGCCTTCTCATGTGCACGTCAGCTTAAGTGTCATTTCCTCGGAATCCACCTCTCACTTCCCTGACTAGTTTAATCTGCCTTTTATACTCTGTCAGGATTCTGTGTGTCCCCCCCTTTTTTTGTGATGGGGTCTTGCTCTGTCACCAAGGCTGGAGTGCAGTGGTGCAATCTCAGGTCACTGCAGCCTCCGCCTCCCGGGTTCAAGCAATTCTCCCACCTCAGCCTCCTGAGTAGCTGAGATTACAGGCACATACCACCATGCCCAGCTAATTTTTGCATTTTTAGTCGAGGCAGGGTTTCACCATGTGGCCAGGCTGGTCTCGAACTCCTGACCTCAGGTGATCCACCCATCTTGGCCTCCGTATGTCCCTTTCTTAGTACTTTGTACAGTTGCACTTTTACATTATTTAATTATTTGATTAGTATTTGTCTTTTCCACTAGACTCTAAGCTCCATGAGGGCAGTGACTGTGTCTCTCTTCATGCATGGTTGTGTCCCCAACATACAGCACACAGTTAGAAGATGGATGCATATATGTTGAATGAAGGAATGAAAGAATGAACACATGCAGGCATGTCAGGCACTGTGCTAGAAGCTGCGGATACAAAGACAAATCACGTAATGTCTCTGCCTTCAGGGCTCTCATTGCCTAGCAGGAAGGACAGTATAGGTAAATAAATGGTTTCAAGAGATCTGTGGAGCCTCTGCAAAGAACAGTTGAATGCAGATAAAATAAACATAAAGGAAATAAAAACAAGCTCAATCATACCAATGTCAGAAAAACTACCTTGTGCATACACACATAAAAACCCCTGGCTGTATATACATGTATCACAGACAGAAACACTCATTCCACAGCACATTCTGAAATACCCGTAGGGATAACAACAGCACCCTTATGCACATATGCACATGTGCACAAGCCAGCATACCACCCTGCACTCACATGCTTCATGCCTGCCCTCCACACAGACACACACACACACGCACGCACACACACACTCTCACTCAGGGCAAAGCTGATATTGATCTTCTTTTATTTACAGAGGGGTGGGAGTCCCAAGATTTTAAGGATGGGTCGATGTGGGAGCAGAGTCCCAGGGAAGGATTATTCTGCAGCCAGACCAAGTGTTCAGTCCCAAGGGGAAGGGGCCTGGCAAGGCCAACAGGGATTCCAGGCCCAGGTCTAGCAAGGCTGTGGCCCCAGTAGAGATGCATTGTTAATCAGGAACTGCAGTGGATGATCCTCCCTATACTTACCTGGTTCCATGTCTGGAACTCTGCAAGTCAGGGTTACTCTGAAACTCAGAGGCTGAGTTTAGGGTAAGAAGAATTGGTCCAAATCCTCACGCGCTGGGAGGAAGGCAGCCAAGCATGGTCATGCCATTCCCTTCCTCCCTTCCTCCCTTCCTTTGGTTTACCTGCTCTCCTCTAGGTGCTGGAGTGGGTGCTAGAACACAGGAAGGAAGCAAAATCACTGCTGTCACAGAGCTCAGTCCGGCAGGGCAGATAACCAATTACAGAAGGGCACGGAGGGGGCCCCAGTCTCACCCTGGAGGCTCAGGGACACTTTCAGAGGAGGTATTTTAAGCTGAATCCCAAGGGACTAGAAAGCGTTAGCTGGGTGATCCTGATTGGGTAGATCTGCAGCAGGGGCTCCCAAATTTGCATCTTACAAACACCAGTGACCCCAGCTGCAGATGCAGGTAGGGGTGGATCACATGTTGAGAAACCCTGGAGTGGAGGGGATTAGGACCAGTCAGGGGAGACGGGAGGAGGCTGCATTGGTAACTGGGGTGTGTAGGAGGTGATCTTTTAAATTCTAGACATGTCGGTGGGAAGGAGAGCCACACCGTGTGTCTTCATACAGATTGCAGAAGGGGACACTCTCCCAGAGGGCAGGTCCGAGGACCAGAGACTCAGGCTCTGAGCTGAGCTTTGTCCATGAGGGGGTGGACACCCTGTGAAGGATTAACCTTCATATTTGTATATTTCCCCTTGAACTACGAGGAAGCTTTATAAAGCAAGCATGAATGGAAAACCTGGCCTGCTCCCACATCTGTGATTTGCCTTTGCTACCACTAACATGTCAGGGAGGTCTGGTCTACCTGACAGCCTTGTGTGGTGGAGGCATGGAGAATTAAAGTGAGGCAGCTGGCCTATTCTAGCCTCAGCTGGTGGATGAGGCAGCATCCTGGAGAGAGCTGAGGGAAGATCGGGGGCAGATGTGAGACAGATCCCCTCACTGCCAAGAGATACCAGGTGAAGGGAAGTGACCATGTTCTAAGTATATGCCTTTCTGTCTCTCACTCATCATAGCCAGTCATTCACCATGCTTGATAATTTATCTCCTCACCTTCCTTTACTATTACTTTAAGTCAGACCTAAGTCGTCTTTCTAACTGACATGTCATTCTCTTATCCTTTTCAGTTCAGAAAACTCCTATTCACCCATAAAAGCCCAGGTTATAATGACCACCCCTTCTCTGTGGCATTCTTGGACTATCCCAGCCCAGATTTCTCTCTCTCTCTCTCTGTCACTCACTCACTCACACACATACACGCACTCACACACACACAGAACATACCTATATTCTATATGAAAAACAACACTGGTCCTCGAGTCTGAAGACCTAGATACAAATTTGAATTATTTCACTTTCACTTAGTAGCTCTGAGAACTTGGGTAAGTTATTGATCTCATCTGAACCTCTTCCTTTCCTCATCTATAAAATGGGTAGTTAATATTTACCTCATGAGCTATATTGTAAGACTTGATAAACGTCAAAGCATGTAGAATATAAATGCACATCACAGACATTCAATTATGGAATTTCTTTTACTTCTCATCACATTGTACACTGAGGAGCTACCATTTTCCTAAGACATCCTTTCAGATAGTAAGCACCTTACAAGAGACACCCAGACTTCTGCTCTTTTCCTCTGTGCCCATACCCAGGGGTCTACAAAAGAACCAGTTGAATAAACAACTATGCAATTGCTGTGACCCCTGGAAAGAAGGTAAACACCTTTGTGAGTTTGGCCCATCCGGTGGATTTTGGTTGGAATCTTTGTGTGCAGCATCCCTGGTTGGCCAATTGGCCAAAGTTTCAAGTACAGGAAAGAGGAGTTTCTGCTCTTCCTCACGTGCTCATCACTCCTGGTGGTTTTCCTTGAACCATAAATCATGACACTGCATTCTGAGCCTCCCTGGCCACACTTCTTGGGTGTGGGCACTCAGGTCTCAGTGTGCATGGCATGCATCCAGAGCTCTGGGCATCCTGCCCTCTGCTCAGTCTTTCCTCAGACCTGCCTTTCCCCATCCTCATCCCCCAGCTCCCAGCCCTGGGTGTCTTGATGTTAACATCGAAGGACAAATGCAGTCCTATATTTCAAAGTCATCAGGCAGATGTGATTAATTTTGGAAATGAACAACAAGAAGATTAATCACAAACTTTCAGGTATGAGCAGCAATAAACAAAACCAGAGCATGGAGCGCTATTTATTAAAACAGTAAATTGAAGGGAAATGGGCTATTTATTTTGTACCATGTCTTCTACAGAAATAATTGGCTCATTAATCACCATGGTCACGTTTGGAAGGGCAGGCTCGCTAGGGAATTGAAGCAGGGGGCGGTGCTTACAGCTCTGGCAGCACATGGAGCTACAGGAAGTTGGTTCCCAGAGGGGTTTTCCTGTGGATTCTGCAGCGAGTGCATAGGCAGTGAGGTAGCTGGGAGGTAGCAGGTTATGGTGGTTAAGACCACAGATGATTGGCAGCAGGGGGCTTGAGTACAAGTTCTGGCTACTACTCCTCGCTAGCTGTGGGCAAACTATTTAACCTCTGTGTCTCAGTCTCTTCTTCTGTAAAATGATGTCAGTACTGGAACCATCTTGTAGGATAACATGCGTTTAAGTGAGTTGGTAGGGCACTGGTATATTACTGGGCCAGGTTTGGCACTTCTATAGGTGTTAGTTGTCATTGCTCCTTTGGTCCAGGTAGAACTTCAGGGTGGGACACTTTGGTATCAATGGCAGCTTCCAGCATAAAGTTATTGTGGAGTTCCCAGGGTCCAGAATGGAGGCAGAATAGTATAGAAGAGGATAAAAGGGAAGGCTCTACAGTCAGCCTCCCTGGGTTCAAATCCAGCCTTTGCTAGTTATATGTCCTTATCGAATGATTTGGCCTTTCTGTGCCTTAGTTTTCTCAACTGTAAAACAGGGTGCTAATAATAGCGCTACGTGATAAGGTTATATTGAATATTAAATGAGAAAATAGAAGTACTCACCTCAGTGCCTGGCCATCAAAGTCATCAATTAGTTGATGTTATTATCATTTTTAGGATCTTCTTACACACCACTCATAATCCAGTGAGCTCAGCAGGTGAGCAGATATACTGAGACTGGAGCCCCTTCCCTGATGGAAAGGGGAGGGAGCCAGAGTTCAAAGAGCGAGGGGCTGAGGAACCTGCATCCATAGCAAAGGCCAGCACCTCAAACGCATATGGAGGGTTCGCATGGTTTGGGCAGGTGACCATGACCAAGGGTTTGTGTCTTTGGAGCAGGGCATAGCACTTACGAGTAGGTGACCCCTTGGTGGTAGCACCCTAGCCAAGGTGGAGCTCCAGAGCACCAACCCAGTGGGCTGAGGTTTTTGGGGACATTCAGTTCCTGATGGGAGAAGGACCTCTTCAGCCAGCACAGCAGACGGGGTAGAAAGGGCAGGATGGAAAGGCCAAATATATAACACACACAGTTCACCCATCTCCTGCTCATCCTCTCTGATACTCCTGCCTATGGAAGCCAGACCCTCAGAATCCTCCCCAACACATCACTTCAGGCAGCCAGGACCAACTGAATGCCCTTAAACAGATGGAGTCTGTTTGCGATTCCAAGGCTACAAGATCAAAACTCACCCCAGACTCATCTAGGGCATCAAAACTGCAGGTCCCTGCATGCTGATGGGGCTGGGGCTGTTCATGACCACCTTCCTTAGAGATAAGGAGGAAGCAAGCCTATGAGAGGGGGTCTGGGTCTCAATGACCCCAGAGGAATTGGACAGAAGGATGCAGTGCCAATGATGTCTTCAGGTGGCTCATGCTGTAATTGGGGAGATCTCTCTCCTGTCTCCTCTCTCTTACCAATAAAAGGAATGGTTAAATGTCAAAGGAAGTGGTATGGTTAGTGTCCATGTAAGAGTATTCAGGGACTGGGAGAGGGATGCAAACTGGCAAGACAGGATGGGCAAGTGGCCTGTGACATCCAGACCAGGGCTAGGCTGAGGGTGGCATGTACTGGTGACTCATTCCCTGCTCTTCTTGGCCTGCTCTGTATTGACCCCTGTGGGCTGAATCAGTGGCTCCCCCGACCCCCACCCCCAGCTGGGTTTGGCCAGTGGGAGGCTTTGGTGGAATATCTGACAGCAGATGGAGAGGGGGGTTTCCCCCCCCTTCGTTTGGCTGTGGTTTTTCCCTCTTCGCTCAGCTGTGGTTTCTATAGTGGGGGTTCTTCTGCCTTTGGCTGTGGGGTCCTGCTGGCTGCAGCCTCCAGTGAGCCTGCTGGCACTCCTCCCTCTCCTTGCCCCTCTAGCTCTAAGGGTAGGAAGGGCTTCTGCTCTTGTCTCAGGGTTCGTCACCCTACCCTAGCCATGCTTTCGAAGAACTTCGGTTGTTAAACTCTCTTCATTTCATCTCCCCTTCCCCAGATCCGAGGCCCCGACTCATATCCTGAGTACAGAAGGGGCTTTTTTTCCCCTTGTTGGGGAAAGGGTCAGGTTCTACCAGGAGCATTTCCATGATTAGAAACCAAAGACAGACCAGGCCCGTGGAAAGGCGTGAGTAGAACAACTTAAGGGAACAGAAAGTACTGGGGAGAAATAACTCTCACGCCATCTCTTTGGTTTGAGGATCATTTCCTTGGAGTCCTCCTTTAGTAGTTCAGTTCCTTTTGGAAATCCTAGTGTACCTCACCTGGACTGTAAAGGAACCTGGGGGTGGGAGCACGAAGGGAGCACAGTGCCCCCTAGAGGCTGTGGCGAGGGTGGCAGCGGCAGGAGCCAGAAGGCAATGGGAGGGGCTCACGGGGAGGAAGAGATACTCAGAGGGTACAGATCTGGACAACTTGGCTCAATTGGACAGGGACATAGAGACATTATGTGGTGACAGTCTTTAAAACCTGGTTTCCACGATGTGGCTACACCATATAATTTTAAAAGACACCCACATTAGGGCTAATGTCTCTCCAGGCCCTTTCTGCCCAATCTTGTTTCCAAAACAACAAGGAAGGTTAAAATTCCTGACTGTGGGTAGAGAGGTTGGCTGAGGCAGAGGGCAGGGCAGTGGGACTTGAGGGTCTTATGGGGTCAGGTGCTAGATGTGGTCTAGGGTGTCTACCTCATTCCCCTCCCTCCTGTTTGGAGCTGAAGGCAGGAGAAGGAGCATGGCTGAGAGATGACACGTTTTTGGGTGACTATTCTGTTTGTTTTACTGGGTTTTAGAGAGTGGTGACCATGGCGATAAAATCTGAAGGGCAGAGAGTGAATGCTTCTGTCTTGCCTCAGAACCCCCTTACATCTCTTGCTTGTAATTAGAAATGGTAAGAATAAAAGAGCTCTGATTTCCAACAACCTTTGCTTCACAAGGGCCATGTCAAATGATGACAGCCCTATTCTTATAAAAGCAGATTCTGGGAGGAGCAGAAATCCCTTTTCTCTATGGAGTCAGTGTGTTTGCACTCATGCACGTTTGTGTATCTGAGTATGTACATGTATGTCTGCATGTGTCCAACCTGCTGCATGTGTGTGCATATGTGTATGTGTGTGGCTATGTTAACCTGTGCGTGGATGTGTACATAGATGGTGAAACATGTGTACCTCTGTTGCATGTGTGCACAGCCGTTGTAGGGATTGTGTGTGCATTCCCCCATGGGCGAGGGGCTGTGAGGGAGTAGGTCCTGGTATCTAAAATCTTTACATCCTGCTTCTATCAGTCTTGTTTGTTGTAAAGAGCAGGGAGCTGGTCAACCAGCTGAGGGAAAAGAAAAAACATCAGGGTGTGTATGGGTTGGGTCTGGGAGGAGGAAACCCAGGCAGCTCCAGGGCCAGTTTGCTGCCTTTTGCTCATCAGCTCCTTTCTTTTCTCTGCTTAGTTGTGGTTTTCCCCATGATCCCAGCCTGCACAGGGGTCTAGTTTCTTGGTCCTCTGAGGCTGGCTCTTCCCCAGGTACATCCTGTGCATGGCCATGGGTCCTGGCCTTCTTCAATTGGCTGAATATGGTGTGTCATGGTGCAAATTCACAGGCAAAATTTGATTGGCCCCAGCTGGTCATTTTTGTGCTTAGTCATTACCTACTCAGCAGCCAACAAAATACCTGTCCATGGGTCAGGCTGAATCAGCTATGGTCATGGCACAAACAGGGTCACACCTGGGACTGTGGTTGGGATAGTTTTCTTTAAAAGAGATGTGGACATGGAGGACAATGATGAATGCCTCAGATACTTATGCAAAAATTCCCTGTCACCTGTGAAGTGCCCACCCTTATCTCTGTGGAGGTCAGGACCATGGGGATGTCCCCCAACAAGGAAGGACTTGCCTGAGCAAGGCGGGATGAGCGTAGGCAGCCTCCTGGGGCCTGGCCTGGCCTGGCCCTCACCACCCCTCCCCTATGTCCCTGTTCCTTGAAGGAGGGAGCTTCGAGGCTGAATTGTGTCACCTGACCCCAAACTTGTCCTAACCCCCAGTACCTCAGAATGTGATCTTATTTGGAGATAGGGTCTTTACAGAGGGAATGAAGTTAGTATGAGGTCATTTGGGTAAGTCTTGATCCAATACGACTGGCGACCTTAGAAGAAGAAGAGATTTGGAAATAGAGACATGCATAGAAAGAAGAGGATGTGAAGAGACACAGGGAGAAGAGGCCAAGCACAAGCCAAGGAGAAGACCCAGAACTGATCCATGCCATCCTTCCCTCACAGCCCTCAGAAGGAGCTACCCCTGCCAACATCTTGATCTTGGCCTCCCAGCCTCCAGAGCAGTGAGCCAATACCTTTCTGTTGTTGAAGCTCCCCAGTTTGTCACACTTTGTAACAGCAGCCCTAGCAAACTAATATACCTCCCCCAAAACTTCCTCAAAATAGGGGAGAGGATGTGGGGCACTAACACCATGCCACCAGGTGTGTGTGGCAGCCAGGACACCGGGCTTCTGACACTCAGCCTCTGGATTCACCAAATGAGGAAGCTTCAAGGCTGGTGCCTGAGCTAGTCATTTAAAATTTTTGATGAGACCCACTGAAGATTTCAGGAAGGAAGGGATCTGATCATATTTGTATTTCAGGAAGACCCTTGTAGCTATCACAGTGTGGAGGATAGATGAGTTGGGGAGGCTGTCTGTGAGTGTTGAAGAGGCTTGGGGAAGATTTCAGAGCTGTTTCGGAGGCATCGCTGCCATAATATACTGAGGGCAAGAAGGGGTGGTGGAGGGTGAGGACAGGAAGAGCTCAGTCGCGAGGAGTGTCTGGTTCGAGCACCTGGTGGAGGTGGTGCTGGTCCTGGTCCCTGGGCCGGGCCTTATGGGGGCCCTCAGATCAGCATTGTCTGCATTATGGCCACACGCCTGCCCAGGGCCCATCAGCAGTGAGAGATCAAGCCTGGAACTTAGAGGAGAGCTCTGGGGTGCACACGTGGATCTGGGTATCACTGGTGTCCAGGTGCAGATGGGCCATGGGTGGGGACAATCCGAAGGAGTGGGCGTAAGCTGCTTCTCCCAGAAGCATACTCAGGGACAAGCATTTGGGAGGTGATTGGGGCAAGTGCAGAGGAGTGAGGGATATGAGACAGGAAAGGGAAGAAAGGCCAGGGGCATTCAGGAGCAACTGGGGCTGAGTCCCTCCAGGGCCTGTCTGAGACTACAGGATCAGGCCTCCAATTTGCACCCCTGAAGGGTGAGGAAGCCTATCCCTTATTGGCTGGGGGTTGTTCCTATGAACCAAGCTCTCTAATACTTCCTGTCTGCCCTGCATGGGCTAAGCAGGTGCCTATGGCCAGAGAAAGGCCTCAGGCAGTGATGCAGGCTGCTGGAGCTATATGGCTGTTGGCAGTGACTTTTTTTTTTTTTTTTTTTTGAGACAGAGTCTCACTCTGTTGCCCAGGCTGGAGTGTAGTGGCATGACCTTGGCTCACTGCAGCCTCAACCTCCTCAACTCCTGGGTTCAAGTGATTCTTGTGCCTCACCCTCCCAAGTAGCTCGGATTACAGGTGCCTGCCACCACACCCAGCTAATTTTTATATTTTTAGTAGAGACTGGGTTTCACCATGTTGGCCAGGCTGGTCTCAAACCCCTGACCTCAGGTGATCCACCCACCTCGGCCTCCCAAAGTGCTGGGATTACAGGCGTGAGCCACCGTGCTTGGCCAGCAGTGACTTGGAGTCTGGCCAGGATACAGTCAATGTACTCTGGCTTCTGCCATTGTTGCTGCTAACAATTGTGTCCATCTTCTTGGGGGGTGTGAGGAGCCCATTCTCTTCTTTCATTACTCATAACAGAGGGGACCATGGGCAGGAACTAGGCGAGGGCTGGGGGCTGAGTTAGGGAACTGGGTGGTGGGCCAGGCAGCAGGGCTGGCTGAATAGGAGGTCTTACAGCACAGGCTAAAAGAGTCCTTTCCAGTATCAGGGAAGGCAGTGGAAGCAGGAAACACAGGCGTTTAATGTGCAAATGTCCTGAGGCTGTCCCAGAGGGGCTGACCTGGAGCCCTGCGTGAGTGAGCCAGGTGCTAAGGGCTGAATTGAGTCCCCCAAAAGGATATGGTAAGGTCCTCACCCCCAGTACCTCAGAATGTGACCTTATTTGGAGATAATCTTTACAGAGGTAATCAAGTTAAATGAGGTTGTTAGGGTGGTCCATCATTCAACATGACTGCGGTCGTCCTAACGACAGGAAATTTGGGCCCCAGAGACAGACACATACAGAGGGAAGACAATGTAAAGACACAGGGGAGAAGATGGACATCGCCCCGCCAGGGAAGGCCTGAGACTACCAGGAGCCAGAAGAGAGGCCTGGAGCAGATTCCCCTCCCAGCCCACAGAAGGAACCAGCCCTGCCAACACCTTGATTTTGGACTCCTAGCCTCCCAGACTGTGAGACGATCATTTTCTGTTATGTGAGCCACGCAGTGTGTGGAGATCTGTTATGGCAGCTGAAGGAAACTGACAACCCCTGATTCATGGGAGGAGCCTGAGTGGTCTTGGCAAATGGACACAGGCAGTGTCCTGGCGAGGGGCTGGGCCGGGGGCAGCTCTAGGGGGTGAAGGTGGAGGTGAGTTGGCAACTTCAGGAGAGGGCAGGGTGGCCTGAAGCCCAGCAGATGACACTCCAGTGACCAGTGAGCAACTGTGGTCCCTCAGGAATGAAGGGCTGCAGGTATCTTCCAGAGGGGAACCTGCCATGGGAGAGGCAGAGGGGACCGTCCTCCTCTGGGTTGGAACCTGAGGTCACAGTGCCCTTCTTGCTGCCTTGGGTCTAATGAAGAGAGCTGGCAGCTTGTACAACAAGCTCCCACTGAGTGCTAGTCATTAAAGCCCCCTTTCTGAGGACGAGAAGCCAGAAAGGAGCACATAGGGACGCATCTTTGGCTACAGGAACTCCAAGTTCAAAGGAACCAGGCATGAATCTCCACAGAGCACCAAATGACTGCAAAACCCTTTTCTTAATAATATTTTATTGTCAGTTATAAATATTTTCCATCTGTCCCCTATTTACAACTGCAAAATAGTTTGATATCATACCATCACCTACCAATCAGCATCTTTCTATAAACTCCATGAAAATTGAATAGGAAATAAAAAGCTCTTCTTGGGGGCCCACTAACCTGGTTCCCCAGACTCCAAACAACCCCACGTGGACAGCAGGCAACGTTGCAGCAGGTGCTACACAGTAGCAAAGAGGCAGCCGGAAGTGGCCCCGGTGGGTCAGGACGCGAGGCTCCTCAGGACGTTGGTGATGCTCCAGTGCTGGCCCGAGCACTTCTGCAACACCAGCTGGAAGCCGAACTCCAGGTCGCTATTCTCCTGCAGCTCCAGACAGCGCTTAGACTTGCGGTTCTGGATGGGTCCTCCCTAGGGGCCAGGGCAGACAGTGGGGTCAGAGGGCATAGAGGCAACATGCAGAAATTCGGGAGCCTCAGGCCAAGTGGCTGGTGAGGGCTGACATTATCTGTGTGGCCAGATCCCAGGAGGTCAGCATTCCCATGAAACTGCAGGCTCCCCTATCACTCATATATTAGTCTCCTCTGGAAGACTGAATATGTGCCACAGCTGTCTTCACAGAGCCCTAGTTCTTCACTAGGAGAGAGGCCTCCCCACCCCTAGGTAGTTCTGTCTACCTAGCTGGGCTGTGGTACACCTGTTTGCACCTACAGCTCCTACCCCAGGGGCTGGGTCCTTTCTCTGAAAAGCCTAGTTTCTTGGGACGACCCATCATTGGCCTGCATTTGAGCATCACCAGAGGCCTGGGGCTTCCTGCTCCTAGGGTCCATGCCCCCAGTTGGACCTCTGGAGTCATCAATACTGGTTTCAACCAAAGTCAGCCTCCTGGTTACTGTCTCTTAGGCCACTGGGCCCCCTAAGTCCTGACATGCATGATTTTTCCCCATGCTACTGAGGTTCCAGAATGTTTGTAGCCATTCATACTCAGTTTATGACCCAAAGCCCCTTGATGTTCTGCTCCTCATATCAGCCCTATAGCAGCAAATAGGAAACCCCCAATTTTTGTAGTGAAATCTTTTCAGGGCTTGGACCCTTTGGGTTGCTGGCTGTGAGTCTGAGGTGGCAGCCTGGACTGTCTGAGCATCTCTGAGTTACCACCAAACTTGTGCTCAACTAGACTTTGGCCTCCCAAGCAGGCAGAATTGCTTTGGTGGGTGGAGGTTCTTATAATTGGACCCCTTGTAGCTTAATGGCACTTGAGTATATGGTCAAACTCACTTTTTCCCCCAGAACCTACTCCTGTATTTCTGTCTCAGGTATTTGTGTGAGAAACATGGACATTTTCATTTATCTATCCTTTCAGCATCCAAGTAAGCCTCAAGTCCTGGCAATTCTACCTCTCTTGTGTCATGTGACTGTCCCCTTATCCCTTTCCCATCACACTTGCCCTGGTTCAGGCCACCAACTTCTTTCTCTCACTGGGACAACTGTGTCAGCTCCCTAATGGATCTCCCTTCCAACCTCCAGAGGCAGGAGTAGTGATCTTTCTAAAATGCATGTTTGGCCTAAAGGACAAAGTCCAAGCTCCTCAGTGCAGCACTGAAGGCCTCCATGGCTCAGTGCTGCCTTTCTAGCCTCATCTCTGATCCTTCCCCAGCTCCATGACTTTTGCTGCAGCCACATCAAATCCCTTGTACTTTTCTGAACCCATTTACATTAACTCAGGGTTCCTGCACTTTAAGCAAGCTGTGCTCTCCGCTTGGGATTCTTCCCCATGCTCCCATGACAGGCTAAGCTGCAACCATGTATCAAAGCTCAACTCCTCCATTTCCTCCAGGAAGTCTCTACTGCCCACCCATGCCCCACCTCCACTTCCACCTCCTCAGTCTACAAGCTGGGCTGGTGCTCTTCACTTTGTGCCTTTTCCAGCTCACAGTGGGAAGTGCACTGAGAGAGGGAGAGGTGGCAAACTTCTTGAAGGATGTCATCCAAGTCTGCCATGACCATTCCCATAGCAACAACGGACATCTCAAGAGAGTGTTAAGACTTGGTTCTCTACACAATGGGGAAAGGACAGTCTTTTCAATAAATTGCCTGAGAAAATGCAAAAGAATGAAACTAGAGCCCTATCTCTCGCTATATATGAAAATCAAATCAAAATAGGTTAAAGACTTAAATCTAAGATTAGACTACAAAACTCCTAGAAGAAAACATTGGAGAAACACTCCAGAATGTGGGAAACACTCCAGGACATTGATCTGGGCAACAATTTCTTGAGACAGACCTCAAAAGCACAGGCAACCAAAGCAAAAATGGACAAATAGGATCACATCAAGTTAAAAAGCTTCTGCACAGCAAAGGAAACAATCAAAGTAAAGAGACAGCCCACAGAACTGGAGAAAATATTTGCAAACTACCCCTCTGACAAGGGATTAATAACCAAGATACATAAGAAGTTCAAATAACTCAATAGCAAGAAGGCAAAAAATCCAATTAAAAAATGGGCAAAAGATCTGAACAGACATTCCACAAAAGACTTATAAATGGCAAACAGGTTATGGAAAAATGCTCAACATCAGTAATTACCAGAGAAAAGTAAGCAAAAACTATAATGAATCATCTCACCCCAGTTAAAATGGCTTTAACCGAAAGACAGGCAATAATAAATGCTGGTGAGGATGTAGAGAAAAGGAAACCTTTGTACATTGTTGGTGGGAATGAAAATTATTACAGCTACTATGGAGAACAGTATGGAGGTTCCTCAAAAAACTGAAAATAAAACTACTGTATAATCTAGCAATCCCATTGTTGGGTATATACCCAAAAGAAAGGAAACCAGCATATTGAAGAGATATCTGCACTCCCATGTTTATTGCAGCACTATTCGCAATAGACAACATATGGAATCAACCTAAGTATCCATCAATAGGTTAATGAATAAGGAATATGTGGTATATACACAGGATGGAATAATATTTAACCATTAAAATAATGAGACTCTGGTTTCACTGTCAAGATGGCTGAATAGGAATAGCTCCGGTCTGCAGCTCTAAGAGAGATCCATGCAGAAGGCGGGTGATTTCTGCGTTTCCAACTGAGGGACCTGGTTCATCTCATTCGGACTGGTTGGACAGTGGGTGTAGCCCACGGAGGACAAGCTGAAGCAGGGTGGGTTATCGCCTCACCTGGGAAGTGCAAGGGGTTGGGGGATCTCCCTTCCCCAGCCAAGGAAAGCTGTGAGAGAGTGTACCGGGAGGAACAGTGCACTCCGGCTCAGATACTGTGCTTTTCCCACGGTCTTTGCAACTGGCAGACCAGGACCAGGTGTCTATACCACCATGGTTCTGGGTTTCAAGCACAAAACAGGGTGGCTGTTTGGGCAGACACTGAGCTAGCTGCAGGAGTTTTTGTTTTTGTTTTTTTCTCAATACCCCAGTGGCACCAGGAATGCCAGTGTGACAGAACCGTTCACTCTCCTGGAAAGGGGGCTGAAGCCAGGGAGCCAAGTGGTCTGGATCAGTGGGTCCCACTCCCACAGAGCCCAGCAAGCGAAAATCCACTGGCTTGAAATTCTCGCTGCTAGGACAGCAGTCTGAGGTTGACCTGGGATGCTCAAGCTTGGTTGGGTGAGGGACATCCGCCATTGCTGTGGCCTGAGTAGGTGGGTTTTTAAAATTTTTTATTATTGTACTTTAAGTTCTGAGGTACATGTGCAGAATGTGCAGTTTTGTTACATAGGTATATGCATGCCATGGTGGTTTGCTGCACCCATCAACCTGTCACCTACATTAGGTATTTCTCCTAATGTTATTCCTCCCCTAGCCCTCCACTCCCTGACAAGCCCCAGTGTGTGATGTTCCCCTCCCTGTGTCCATGTGTTCTCATTGTCCAACTCCCACTTATGAGTGAGAACACGTGGTGTTTGGTTTTCTGTTCTTTGCTGTTCTTATGATAGTTTGCTGAGGATGATGGTTTCCAGCTTCATCCATGGGACATGAACTCATTTTTTATGGCTGCATAGTGTTCCATGGTGTATATGTGACACATTTTGTTTATCCAGTCTAGTGTTGATGGATATTTGGGTTGGTTCCAAGTCTTTGCTATTGTGAATACTGCCACAATAAACATACATGTGCATGGGTCTTTATAGAATGATTTATGATACTTTGGGTACATACCCAGTGATGGGACCGCTAGGTCAAATAGTATTTCTAGTTCTAGATCCTTGAGAAATGGCCACACTGTCTTCCACAATGGTTGAACTAATTTACACTCCCACCAACAGTGTAAAAGTGTTCCTATTTCTCCACATCCTCTCTAGCATCTGTTGTTTCCTGACTTTTTAATGATCGCCATTCTAACTGGTGTGAGATGGTATCTCATTGCGGTTTTGATTTGCATTTCTCTAATGACCAGAGATAATGACCATTTTTTCATGTGTCTGTTGGCTGCATAAATGTCTTTTGAGAAGTGTCTGTTCATATCCTTTACCCACTTTTAGATGGGGTTGTTTGTTTCTTGTAAATTTGTTTGTTCTTTGTAGATTCTGGATATTAGCCCTTTGTCAGATGGACAGATTGCCAAAGTTTTCTCTCATTCTGTAGTTGCCTGTTCACTCTGATGATTTCTCTTGCTGTGCAGAAGCTCTTTAGTTTAATTAGATCCCATTTGTCAATTTTGGCTTTTGCTGCCATTGCTTTGTGTGTTTTAGTCATGAAGTCTTTGCCCATGCCGATGTCCCGAATGGTACTGCCCAGGTTTTCTTCTAGGATTTTTATGGTCCTAGGTCTTACATTTAAGTCTTTTATCCATCTTGAGTTGATTTTTGTAGAAGATGTAAGGAAGGGGTCCAGCTTCAGTTTTCTGCATATGGCTAGCCAGTTTCCCCAACACCATTTATTAAATAGGGAATCCTTTCCCCATTGCTTGTTTCAGTCAGGTTTGTCAAAGATCAGATTGTTGTAGATGTGTGGTGTTATTTCTGAGGGCTCTGTTCTGTTCCATTGGTCTATCTCTCTGTTTTGGTACCAGTACCATGCTGTTTTGGTTACTGTAGCCTTGTAGTATAGTTTGAAGTTAGGTAGCCTGATGCATCCAGCTTTGTTATTTTTCTTAAGATTGTCTTGGCTATGCAGGCTCTTTTTTGGTTCCATATGAACTTTAAAGTAGTTTTCTCTAACTCTGTGAAGAAAGTCAGTGGTAGCTTGATGGGGATAGCACTGAATCTACAAATTGCTTTGGGCAGTATGGCCATTTTCATGATATTGATTCTTCCCACCCATGAGCGTGGAATGTTTTTCCATTTGCTTGTGTCCTCTCTCATGTCCTTGAGCAGTGCTTTGTAGTTCTCCTTGAAGAGGTCCTTCACATCCCTTGTAAGTTGGATTCCTAGGTATTTTATTCTCTTTGTAGCAATTGTGAATGGGTGTTCACTCATGATTTGGCTGTTTGTCTTTTATTGGTGTATAGGAATGCTTGTGATTTTTGCACATTGATTTTGTATCCTGAGACTTTGCTGAAGTTGCTTATCAGCTTAAGGAGATTTGGGGCTGAGACAATGGGGTTTTCTAAATATACAATCATGTCATCTGCAAACAGAGGCAATTTGACTTCCTCTCTCTCTTCCTATTTGAATATCCTGTATTTCTTTCTCTTGCCTGACTTCCCTGGCCAGAACTTCCCATACTATGTTGAATAGGAGTGGTGAGAGAGGGCATCCCTGTCTTGTGCCAGTTTTCACCCATTCAGTATGATATTGGCTGTGGGTTTGTCATAAATAGCTCTTATTATTTTGAGATATGTTCCATCGATACCTAGTTTATTGAGAGTGTTTGGCATGAAGGGGTATTGAATTTTATGGAAGGCCTTTTCTGCATCTATTGAAATAATCATGTGGTTTTTGTCACTGGTTCTGTTTATGTGATGGATTATGTTGCTTGATTTGTGTATGTTGAACCAGCCTCGCAGCCCAGGGATGAAGCTGACTTGATCATGGTGGATAAGCTTTTTGATGTGCTGCTGGATTCAGTTTGCCAGTATTTCACTGATGATTTTCACATTGATGTTCATCAGGGATATTGGCCTGAAATTTTCTTTTTTTGTTGTGTCTCTGCCAGGTTTTGGTATCAGGATGCTGCTGGCCTCATAAAATGAGTTAGGGAGGATTCCCTCTTTTTCTATTGATTGGAATAGTTTCAGAAGGAATGGTACCAGCAACTCTTTGTGCCTCTGGTAGAATTTGGCTGTGAATCCGTCTGGTCCTGGACTTTTTTTGGTGGGTAGGCTAGTAATTATTGCCTCAATTTCAGAGCCTGTTATTGGTCTATTCAGAGATTCAACTTCTTCCTGGCTTAGTCTTGGGAGGGTGTATGTGTCCAGGAATTTATCCATTTCTTCTAGATTTTCTAGTTTTTTTGTGTAGAGGTGTTTACAGTATTCTGATGGTAGTTTGTATTTCTGTGGGATCAGTGGTAATATCCCCTTTATCATTTTTTATTGCATCTATTTGATTCTTCTCTTTTTTTTGTTAGTCTGGCTAGTGGTCTATTTTGTTGATCTTTTCAAAAAACCAGCCCCTGGATTCATTGATTGTTTGAAGGGTTTTTCATGTCTCTATCTCCTTCAGTTCTGCTCTGATCTTAGTTATTTCTTTCCTTCTGCCAGCTTTTGAATGTGTTTGCTGCTGCTTCTCTAGTTATTTTAATTTGATGTTAGGGTGTCAATTTTAGATCTTTCCTGCTTTCTCTTGTGGGCATTTAGTGCTATACATTTCCCTCTACAACACTGCTTTAAATGTGTCCCAGAGATTCTGGTATGTTGTGTCTTTGTTCTCATTGGTTTCAAAGAACATCTTTTATTCTGCCTTCATTTTGTTATTTACCCAGTAGTAACTTAGGAGCAAGTTGTTCAGTTTCCATGTAATTGTGCAGTTTTGAGGGAGTTTCTTAATCCTGAGTTCTAATTTGATTGCACTGTGGTCTGAGAGACTGTTTGCTATGATTTCCGTTCTTTTGCAATTGCTGAGGAGTGTTTTACTTCCAATTATGTGGTCAATTTTGGAATAAGTCCGATGAGGTGCTGAGAAGAATGTATATTCTGTTGATTTGGGTTGGAGAGTTCTGTAGATGTCTATTAAGTCCACTTGGTCCAGAGCTGAGTTCAAGTCCTGGATATCCCTGTTAACCTTTTGCCTCGTTGATCTGTCTAGTATTGACAGTAGGGTGTTAAAGTCTCCCACTATTATTGTGTGGGGGTCTAAGTCTCATTTTAGGTCTCTAAGAACTTGCTTTAATAATCTGGGTGCAGGACTTAGACTCCAACACCATAATGGTGGGAGACTTTAACACCCCACCTTTAATGTTAGACAGATCAATGAGACAGAAAATTAACAAGGATATCCAGGACTTGAACTCAGCTCTGGACCAAGTTGACCAACGAGAACACATGGACACGGCAGGGAAGGCATCACACAGTGGGGCCTGTTGGTGGGTGGGGGGCTGGGGGAGGGATAGCGTTAGGAGAAATACCTAATGTAGATGATGGGTTGATGGGTGCAGCAAACCACCATGGCACGTGTATACCTCTGTAAAAAACCTGCACATTCTGCACATGTACCCCAGAACTTATAGTATAAAAAAAAAAGGGAGATTGTTATTTGCAACAACATGGATAGAACGGGAGGTCATTATGTTAAGTGAAATAAACCAGGCACAGAAAGACAAATTTTAAGACAAATTTTGCATGTTCTTACTCACATATGGGAGTTAAAATTAAAAAAAAAATTGAATTCCTGGAGAGAGAATGATGGTTACCAGAGGCTAAGAAAGGTAGTAGGGAGGAGAGGAAAAAGCAGGGATGGTTAATAGGTACAAAAATACAGTTCGATAGAAGGAATAAGCTCTAATAGTAATGCAACAGGGTAACTATAATTAATAATAATTTATTGTATACTTTAAAATAACTAAAAGTAGAATTGGAATGTTTCTAACACAGAAATGATAAATGCTTGAGGTAAAAGATAACCCAATTATTCTGATTTGATCATTACACATTATATGCCTGTATGACAGCATTACATGTACCCCATAAATATATTCAACTATTATGTACCCATTGATGTAGTCTGGATATTTGTTGAATGTGATCCCCAGGGTTGCAGGTGGGGCCGGATCCCTCATGACGGGCTTGGGCCATCCCCTTGGTGAGAAGTGGGCTCTCTCCGCTCTGAGTCTACACGAGAGCTGGTCATTTAAAAGTGTGTGGCACCTCCTCTCACCACTCTCTCTCCTCCCTTCATCTTGTGACCTGCAAGCTCCCAATTCATCTTCTGCCATAAGCAAAAGCTTCCTGTACAGCCTGAAGAATCATGAGCCAATTATACCTCTTTTCTTTAATTTCTTTGTAGCAATGCAAGAATGGCCTAACACATCCATAATAATTAAAAATTTCTTAAAAAAATTTAAGACTAAAAAAAAACTTCAGTTCTTACAACTGTTGAAATGGGCAGTACCTACTATAGTTAACATATACAACCCTATGACCCAACACTTCTATCAGAAACGTTTATACCAAAAACATGCGCATGAATGCTTTCTAGAACACGATTTATAAAACTAACCTGGAGATAACTCAAACGTCCATCAATAGTACAGCAGACATATAACTCACGGTATATTCATATAATGGAAACCTATATAGCAACAAAAACTATAGCTATACTCGATAAATCTCACCAATACAATGTCGAGCAGAAGCAGCCAGACAAAATACAAACAAACATTATTCTATTTATATAAACCTCCCAAACAGGTAAAATAAAGCCATGATGTGAAAGTCAGGATGGTGGTCAGCTCTGGGAAGAAGGGACTGGGAAGGTGATGGGCAGGAAATCACAAGGGTGTTGCTAGCAGTCCTATTTCCTGAGCTGGGTGATGGAAACCTAGGGATTTGCTTTGTTTTAAACCATGGAGTTGAAAGTGTGTATTTTATACATGTTTCTGTATGTATCCATGTTCTTCAATTGAAAAATTGAAATAAAAAATCCAGCTCCCTGAGAAGGGACTTTGAGTCACAGATGAAGGAGGCAGGGACTGAGAAGCAGGGGGTGCGGGTGGAGGGGACTGTGTATGTGTGTGTTGGGAGGGGACATGGGATTACCGACTTCCTGTGTTGGGGAGATGGCCCAGCCGATCACACAAACCTATTCAGAAGCATTCACACAAATAAAGCAAGATTCCTCCTGCTGTGCCCCACACCCCAGGGCACCCCCCGCCCGGGGAGTGCAGTGATTCAGTGTACTCAACAGCACAGAGACCAAAGAATAAACAGGAAACTGAAACAGCAGCTGCTGGGGCCCACTGTTTGCCAGGGAGAAACCTGCAGGCTCGGCCTCTGAAAGGGGCCCTTGGACAAGCCTAGGAAGGGCCCTGGAATCCCCATGCTGAAAGAGACCTTGAAGGCCAGCCTCTCGCTCTCACATGCCTAATGGCCTCTGTGGCCATGGGACCCTTCAGCTCTGCTTGGCACCTCCAGGGAGAAGGATCTCACCCCCTCCCAAATATGCAGTCTTCCCCCAGCTGCCCACCCTTGGAGCATGCTCCTTCCACTGCGCTAAAATCCTTGTCTTGAGCTCCCCTGAGGCTTCCCCAGCGGCCTGCTGTTCCTCCACACCTTCCCTTCCGGCAGGAGAGGTGAGGCCTGCGTCTCCCAGTTTTTCCCAGCATTTCCAGGTTTAACTTTCCCAGTTCCTGGTGGGACAATTTTGTATAATTTTCCAAACTGGTTGCCCTCCTTTGAACAAGCTCTGGCTAATTTCTGCCCCTCAGGACTGACCACAGTGCCCAGGGTCACTGCCTCACTTATACTGGACAAGAGGCCCCTTCAATATAGCCAAGGAATTGGCACTTTGGGGCCACATGGTGCTCCTGATGGGTGTGAAGCACAGCCTCAAGTTGTCCTCTCAAACTGTGGTCCACCTTGGGTGCCCATCCTGTCCCTTAGAAGCTAGACTCTTAGGCCCAGAGGCATCCCCTGTGCCAGTTGCTCCAAACAAGGCCAGACCATTGCTCCATGGCCCACATTTCCTTAGCTTCTGTGTAAAACCCTGTGGCCTGGGCATATCTGCTGCCCACACCCAGGCTGGGCTGTGTTGCTGATGCTTCTTGAACAGATCTGTGGCCAGTTCCCTGGCCCCACCGCAGTCCTGCCAGCCCAGTGGTTTGTCTTCCCCACCATGCTGGGAGCAGCACGCAGGCAGGGGACCAAAACCAGCCCCGCTCTCTAATTTGCAAGATCTGTTGGCGTTTCCGGAGCCAGGTAGAAAGGGAAGAGTGCTGAGCTAGGATGCTGAGGACACAGCTGCTTTCCTGGCGGTTAGCTGTGTGGCCTGGGCAAGCCTCTCCCCACTTCTGGTTTCATTGTCTGCAGGCCCAAATGGTCATTTCTGTCCTGATTCCTGGAAGGATGAGCCAGAGGACTGATAGGAATCCGTTTATCAGCTATAAACCGTACGGATCGGAGGATCAGGGTGGGGGCTGTGACCAAAGCGCACAACAAACGGGCCCGGACCAAGTGCCGCTGCCCACTCAGCTGAAGATTCTGGCTGCTCAGCTCATCCTTGGGGCCGGCCCAGGCCTTGCCAACAGCGAGGTGCTGTGCAGACCCCAGACAACCAACTCTTGGAGAAACACGTCCCGCACAGAAGACACCACAGCCCTTTCTTTGCTTGCCTTTCAAGGGACACCTTGCCAAGGTCTAGAGAGGAAGGCAGGAGCAGAGGTTTCTGAGACATAAAGCATCCTTCAGAGACTCCCATCTGATGTTTCCCAAGCCCAGCCCAGCCACAGCCTCAGCACCCTAGAGACTAGAAGTGCGGTGACCCTGGGCATTGGCTGCCTGAAGGGATGTGGGAAGGATGGATCACGGCCAAGAGTGGGGTTGGGGGAGGCGGGTGGATGGGACACAACCTCCGTGAGAATATCTGAGCCTGTCAGGGAGGGTGGAGTATGAGGCCAGGAGAGCTCCCTCCCTGGAGGCTGGGAGGGGAGGGTGCTCTAGAACTGGTAGTAAGGCCATGGTGGGGCATCGCTGAGCAGAGCCCTGACCTGCTCCCTGGGAACACATCTGGGATATGGACAGAGGGACCAGGCCACCCTTTGATGCTGGAGCTCTTCAACAAAAATTATAAAAGGTTAAAGTTTAAAACTTGCTTAAACTTTTAAAACAGAGATAGCACTGGCCACCAGCACTGTCTTCCTCCTGTCCCCCTTCTTGACCTCAGCCTCTTTCACTGAACAGACTCTTTCTTCTTCTCTCGGAAAATTTCATTCACAAACATTGCAAAGAAGCCTTCCTTTCCCACACTCAGTGCCTTCCTGGGAAGCTCAGCACCGTGGGAGCAGCCTCCTGTTTTACCAACTGTACTTCTGCCTGCAGGTTCTGCAGCTGAGATGAGAGGAATAACAACTATCACTTATTTACCATTTGCCTAGTACTATGCCAAATACTTTACATGCCCAATTCCAGGTCTTCCTGACAAAAGCCCTGAGAGGTAGAGAGAATAATTATCCCCATTTTACAGGCTTGGAGACTGAGGCCCAGAGAGGCTGGGAGACTTGTCCAGGGTCACATGGTCAGTAAATGAGCAGTAAGTAGTGGCAGCCTGGGAACCCAGGGGGGTCTGCCCCCTTTATGTTCCTCGCTAGGATGGTGGCCAGCCCCAGCCCTTGCCTATCACAGTGGTGGTGAACTAGACTGAGGGAGCTGGTGGTGCCCCAATGCCTAGGGTGGAGAAGGATCACCTCAACGAGCTTCAAAATTAGGTCTGCTTCCTCTGAGGGCCCTCTGCAGAGACACTATTCATTAATCCTTCCATCCATTCAACACATATTTAATGAGCACCTACCATTCTAGGCCACTGAGATATATCAGTGACTAAACAGAAAAAGATCTTTGCTTTTGTAGAGACCATATTCTAGTAGGGAAAGCAGAAAAATAAATTCCAAAGCATGCGAGAAGGTGATAAGGTTGTATACAAAAATGTAGACAAGGAAAGAGGCTCGGGGTGGTGGAGAGCTGGAGGCAGACGGCAAGTGTAAGAGGTGGCCAGGGAAATCCTCAATCAAAATTGAGATCTCAGCAAGGGCAAGGAGGGGAGGAGGTGGCCCACGGCAGAAATGGCGGAGTCGTGGGCCCTGAGCTTGGGGTTAGTGGGAGGAGATGAGGTCCAAGAGGTGCGGGTAAGTGGATAGGGCCTTGTGGCCACTGAACAGACTTTGGCTTTTTATTTTTTTCTTGAGATGGAGTCTCACTCTGTCACACAGGCTGGAGTGCAGTAGCAGGATCTCGGCTCAATGCAATCCCAGGTTCAAGTGATTCTCCCGCCTCAGCTGCCCAAGTAGCTGGGATTACAGACATGCACCATCATGCCTGGCTAGTATTTGTATTTTTAGGAGAGATGGAGTTTTGCCATGTTGGCCAGGCTGGTCTCGAACTCCTGACCTCAGGTGATCTGCCTGCCTCAGCCTCCCAAAGTGCTGGAATTACAAGCAAGACTTTGACTTTTAATCTGAATGACAGGGCCAGCCATTGCAGAATCTGACTGACAGGCTAACCAGGTCACTCTGGGTGGTGCTGTGTTGGGCACAGAGCATTGGAGGAAGGAAGGAAGAAGGGACACATGTTAGCCGACTTCTGTCCTCACTCGCAGGGTCCAACCTGCAGCCTCCGGCCCAGTCTCATGGCTCTAGGCTGGGGCTTCGTGCAGAGACCTGGGCTGGCCCCTCCCTCTGTGGAGGGCACAGTCATTTGGTTCACCAGCCCTGTCATCTACATTATTTGTGTAATACTACAACTACATAATCTGGAAACACACAATACTTTTAATTAAAGAATTTAAGTAAGGGCAATTAAACCTGGCAGGAGAGAAGCCGTAGCACACAGAGAACTTAATTGGAATGAAAACCAAATTAAATATGGAAACATCAGCTAAAAGAAAAAAATCAAATTTGAATGTGTAGAATTTTGAAGGCTAATAATAATTCCTAGAGCCAGGTTCCCTTCTCCAAGCCTAATTCCTCCTCCTTCTGGGCCTTTCAGGAATAGGAACTGGAAAGGCATGAGCAGAAGCAAAGAACGTAGGACTCTGTGCCCCGCCTTGGCCACGTCACCTCAGGAAAATGGCTGAGCCACTCTGGGCTTCAGTCTTGTCACTTGCAAAAGGAGACAGAGCATGCTGAGGCACTCAATTTGTGTCTCAACATAGAGAACTGTGCGTAGACTGGGGCGTGTGGAAGCCACAGTCCATGAGTCTCTTGGGCACCGAGGAGCAGATCCCAGGTTATTACACAGCCAAGCATCTTTCTGCCTCAGTTTCCCAAGTGTGTCTGTGGTGCCTACGTGTGGTACAGACTGACTGGCCTGTTCCTCCTGGAATGTAAGAGTTAGAGTCACCTGTGGGCTTTTTAAACTATAGATCACTGCCCCTCTCACTTCTGATTCACTAGGTCTGAGATAAGGCCTGAAAATGTGCCTTTTAAAGTTCCCAGGTGCTGTTTCATTGGTGGTGGTGGTGGTCTGGGACCACACTTTGAGACCACAAGCTATGACCCCCTTTCAGGAAAGGGTTGGGCCCAGCTGGTCGCTTGCATCCTGAGGTGGAACGTCTGGAGTATTTGTGTTAAGCTCAGGCTGGTCTTACTTTTGCAATCAAGGAGTTCACAAGGACGCTGTGTGTGTACTAGCTCGTGTATTCCAAATACTTCTCTGCTTATTTTAGAATTCCCATTCCACTTTCTTTTTTAATTAATTTTCCATGGGCAAGCAGCCCAGTGGGTCTTTGGCTTTAAGCATGGTGAGCTCAGGAGTTTCTAGGTTAAGTAGTTAATGATTAGTAATCAAATACTTCAAAGCATGTGTGGGACATTACAGCTAGTTAAAGAAACCCTGAGATTAAGTCTTTTTTTGGTAGAGTTAAGTGGTCTTTTTGTATTATGAATACTCAACACCTGATTTACTAGTAAAGACTTTCGTGTTTTTTTTTTTTTTTTTTTTTTAACTACTTGGGCGTTCTCTTTCTTAGTCTCACCTTTGCCTGAGTGAGATTCTGCCCAGGGCTTGTTGTGTGAAGGGCCCCTTGGACTGAAGATGGGGTAACAGGAACATCAAGTGCAAAGCACAGGTAGAGAGGGGTTATGGAGACAGCAGGATGGCTGGAGGGAGTTTGCTGAGGAGGTAGGGATCCAGCCAGTCCACACATATTTGCGACAGGCTCAGCAGGGAGGCCCCAGCCCCAAACTCCCATTGCAGCGATCCACTGGTTTTCCAGAGGCAGGACAAGGGACCATGGTATGGTGGTTTAAAGCATGGACCCCAGAGGCAGGATTCCCAGATCTGATTTTTGACAAATGACTTAATCTCTCCATGCCTCAGTTTCCTCCTCTGTAAAACTGGGGATAATTATAGTAAGTACCTTATAGCGCTATCATAGGGATTAAGTAACATTTATAAAACAGAGTAGTGCAGGGCACATAGTAAACACCATATAAATGTTTGAGCAATACATTTTAAAATCTCACCCAGGTCTGGGTAGTGGGGAGCTGAGCCATCACACCTAGTCCCGGTCCCTGATATCTGTGGGATGAGGGAGAGGAGGGAAGTGCTGACTTCCATAAACCAAAAATAACTAATTGCACATCCAAGGCCTAAACGAAGCTTTGTCAGTCCCTCAAAACTGGACAGTTCTACACTTGTCCCTTCATATGACATGAAAGGCTGTTTTATTCTGGAGCCATCATTAAATACTCGATTATTGTCTTTTCAACACAAAAGGTTCTCAAAGTTGGACTTGCTGACAGCACTTGGGGATTGGAGCAGGAGAAAGTCAAGGACTCCTCCTCCTCCTCTAGCATGGGGAAATTCTTTGGCAGAATTAGTGGTGTTCCCTGGGAAATGTGCTCTGCAAATAGATTCGTCTTTGCGTGCGTTACTCATCTTGCATCAAATTATCAAATTAGACCTCACAAATCAGAGCCAATTGTCCCTTGACAGGCAACTTTGGCTAGGGGCTCAGTCTCTTCTGGGCAGTCTCATCTAGTCTTGAAAATTTCTCCTTTCCTGGCATTAACAGACATCTCTGTGGCTATCCGCAACGTTCCCCACTTGGAAAATGCATCAGCGCTGCTCTGAGAATGAAGCAAGCACAGGGGGCTGGGGTGTGGTGTCTGCCCTGCATACCCTTGAACTCTAAGCTCAGCCTTGCCAATGTTCCCGCCAAAGAACCCAGAGTCTGAGGGCAACATGAAATACAGTCTCAACACCCTGAGATTTCATCAGATCCTCCTGTTTTTAAAAATACTCATTTAAATTTGCACTCCATGCAATATGCATATCTGTTTTAGTATAAAATATTTCCACCTCTCTCCTCCAAATCTGAGGTGATCGGAAGAAGTGCGTGTTTATGCCGTAACTTTGAGTATCCTACATAATGAGTGTCTGTGTACCACAGGTGGGATGCGCTACCACCTAAAAGTGTTCACTGTAGGAACTGGGGATTTTCCAGCTAAGCAGGACCCTTGGACTATTAACATGAAATGTCTTTGAAATACTGTTAGATGACTTTTTTTTTTCTCCAGTGAGCATGCATGCATCCGAGGACGGTCATTGAGGTAGGATTTTGTTCATCTTTGGGGCTCCCACAAACCTAGCTCAAGACCTTGCACACAGGGGGGACTTTGGTTAAGATTTGTGAATTTTTTTAAAAAGACTCCTTCATTTGATCAACAGCATGCTGGGTGCTGCCTCTGTCTCTGGCTTTTCATTAGGTGCTGGAGATACTGAAGTGTGAGACACAGTCCTGCCCTCTAGTCTGTTGGCTGATGGAAGAAGAGAGGGACACGGGTTGAAATAAGGGGTAAATGATGCCATAAAGTGTGATTAAGAGTGTCATTCTCAAATTTGTGATGCTTTGTATTCAGGCTGGCCCAGTGAGAATTCTAGGTGGAAAAAACCCTTCTCAGGGTTTGCCATCTAACTTCGGGAGCTTAGAATTATAGAATTTCAGGGTCCATAAGCCCTTAAAATCACCCAGCCCAACTCCACTGACAGCTGTGGAGCCTTTGACAACCTGCTGATGGTCCCCTGAACTCACCACCTGCCCAAGCCATCAGCTTCATCACCAGCTCTATGAAGAAGCAGCTCAATAAATTGTTCCTAATTTCCCCCTGCTGGTCCTCCCTCAGGGCTACATAGGACAACCCTGCTGGGCCCTTGCACAAGGCAGCCCTTCAGAGATCTGCAGGTAGAACACTGACCTTTCTGAGCAATTTCTGGTCTTAAATAGTCCTCAATCCTTTAGCCATGAATTCAAACATATAGATGGACTTTCAGAAAGTGGGAGCTTGGAGGACCACATCATAACAACAGCCTTCCTAAAGCAAGAATCTCTTCAATAACATCTTTGAACAGAGGACTCCCTCTAACATTAGGCTATTACAAACCATTCAAAGGAATGATGGTAGTTGAAGGTGGAGAGGTGGCCTTGTTACTACCGAGAGTCAGTCCTCTGCTTTGCTTGACAAGTATCCTGCCACAAAGTTCTTCTCTGTAGTGACCTGATATTTGCCTCTTCCCTCTCCCTCCACTGGTCCAGGGGTCATTGACCAAATGCCTCTTTTTTCACAGAAATCCATCACTGAATCCCAGAATCCCCCAAATCTCAGTACGAAGGCTACTCTCAGAAGGTTGAAAGACATATACTTAATGCATATGAATTTATCATCCCAGTAGGTAGGTAGTTTTAGAAGTTCTTTAATCCTGGAGGAATCACAAACAGGAAAAAATCACTGAAGGCAACAACTGCCACTTCTAATATTATGAAGTTTTGTCATGTGCTGATGCGGGAGACATCAGCTGTTTAGGGAGGGTGTGTAGCTTGAGGGAGGCAATTCTGCCTGCCCACCAAATGTTCTCAAACACAGGGCTGGCAATGGTCCTGTATTGAGAACCACTCCACTGCCCGACTACCATCATCTAATCCATCATTGTGTAATAACCTGCTGAAATGTCTCTCAAAGTCCTCCCTGATAGCTGCATGTCCCCACACCCCTGTGGCAACCAAGTCCTCCTATCTCTTCCCGGGACAATGAAACAGTTTCCTCCTTAACTTGCTTCCCTGTTTCTAGCCTCTTTCCTTCTGATCCACCTGCTTTCAGCTGCCAGGGGGATTTTGCACACCCCACCATGGAAATCTACTACTTAAGAACCTTCCCCATTCCTTCCTTCTGCTTTTAATGTGAAGTCTACCTCCTTGGAATGGCTTTCAACAACCATCATTATCTGCTCTACATGACTCTAAGTCTTATCTCCTACTTGTCCCATCAAAAACTCTAAATTCTGCACACAACAGACAATGGATTCCTACTACTAAAATATGCTCAGCTATTTCATGCCTTTGCCCAAGTGAGCCTCTACTTGGGATGTTCTATGCTTGGAAACTGTCTCTACAACCTTTATGATATAAATCAAACAAGCCTCCTATGTGAAGCCATCTCTGAGTTCTGCAGACCAAGTCGGTCATCCCAGGCTCTCAGAACACAGCACACCCCTCGGTTTCTGTTCTCATCATTCGGTTCCATTGTGTTTACATGCCCATGAGCTCCTTGAGGGCAGAAGCTGTGTCTGATTTATATCTGCATTCCTCCTGTCCAACCCCCATGCTCAATAAATGTTTGATGAACGACTAAAGGAAAGACTGTTCATCATTGGAAAATTGCTCATCAGAGTCCTGCACATCAGCGTTGCCAAGAGATGTTTTCATCAAATGTGGTTTCTCAGTGTCAGTATCTAACGCTGTCCTGGTTCAGCCTGAAGTATTGGAAATTCAGAAGAGCTTGTGGGGGTTAGAGGAAATGTATTTTATTTGTTAAGCAGAAAATCAGGGTATGAGATGGAACACTAAGATATGCAAATGCCTATCTATCTTCTTGGTAGGAGAACCTGGGAAAACACACTAGATTATTTTAAAATTAATTCAGCCTGAGTGTCTGTGGAGCTTAAATGTGGTCCTCAGGAGAATAAATAGTGCATAATGTGAAACCAGAAAGGAGATTTGAAATGCACCCAGTAAAAGCTCCTTTCAGCCCAACTTGAGTACCAGAACGTTCTAGTTGGTAGGATCTGAATGCAATTTGCAAAGATTAAAACCTGTTGCAAGAAAATTAGCCCAAGCACAAGACTTTAATCATTTCAGAGGCTCCTGGCTTCTTCAGGCCTTGTCAACAGCGACTCCTCACCAATGAGGGCTCGAGGAGAGATTCCAGGTCACCTGATAAATATCGATCATTTTGCAGTAAGCAAAACTTCCACATATATTAATTATTAAATAGCAAGTGAGAGTGGCTGCTCTGGGTCTGAAAACTAGGAATTCAAAAATAGTATTTCCAAACAGTTCCCTTTTGTAGAAGGATCAAATATATGGTTGCCAAAGCACTCCGGGGAGTTTTAAGTAGACATATGCCAAAGTGGCTGAAAACTGCCCAGTCACCGAAGAGCCTTGTGCCACAGATGCCTGCTTTGTTGACTGCTATGTCTGTTTAAACAGGAATCGTGTGGGGCTGCCTTTTCAAGCCATGCCCTGGGATAAGGGAAGGAGGGAGCTGGAACTTGGGGTGACTTTGCCTCAAGGATGCCCATTTTACAACAGTGTTTCCTTCTCTGCCATAGCCAGGATGGACAGACAAGATGGGAGGAGTGGGGAGCGCTGGCCACAGCCCCAAGGCATCTAGGTGTGCACAGGAGATGAGACTGAGTTACTCCAGTGGGGACCTCAGAGCGTGGGTGGGAAGGATTCTGTGAGGGCTGGAAAGAGGGTAGAAGTGTCTGGGTGCAGGTCTTGGATGTCAAAGCAGCCTGGGCTTCAGATTCAGCCAGTGAATCTACCACTCTCAGGCCATGTGATCTTGGAGGGTGACTTCATCTCAATGTCTCATATTGGAGGTGGGCTTGCTGTGCTATTAACCTCAAACTGTATAAGGCTGAACACAGAAAGGCTGAGGCTCACAGGCAGAGGAGTCTGAAGAGGGCTGGAGGCTTACTTCAGTTCAGGAATACCCATGTCTGGATGACACCAAGTCCCCAGGGCTACAAGTGCCTGGCTGGGCTGTGGCCTCCAGGGGCTACTCCAAGACAGCCCAGAGGCCACTGCTCATCCTCCTCCTGCAGTAATCTGAAGCAGTACTCTTGTCGATTGAGGACTCCTGGTGATGCCTGTCAACATTTCCAGCCCACACCACCAAAGCTGAGTCCCTAGGATTGGCCTTAGAGCCTGTGCTAAGAGGAGACTTTGGGGGCTGACGCAGGCTATGAAGACCCCGGGGTCATGGAGGAGAGGGAGGAAGAAATGGCTAAATCTTCAAACTGCATCTCAATCTCCTGCTAACTCTTCATCCTGCTTCTTTCCTTTTCTAGAATCTCTCCTAATCTAGCTTCACAATCCCTGCCAGAGGGGGGCTTTCAAAATCCCAGACCTAAACATGACCTGGGGTTACATATCCTTATCTCCCACAGAATCAAATCCACCAGGCCCTGTGGCCTCCAGGCCTAGCCCAGTTGGCCTTCCAGACTCTTCAGCCGCTCCCCACTGTGCCCTCCAGGATCGGCCACCCCTGACTCCCGGCAGCTCCCTGAGCACAGCCTGCTTTCGATGTCACAACTTTCACACATGCTGTTTCCTCTCCCTGGAATGCCCTTCACTCCTTCCAAAGAGACCAGGCTCCCAGGTTCTTAACATTCATTCCCAATTAAGTACATTGTCTCCTGAGAAACCACCAGCCCTGCCCACCCCTAGCTGCACCACCACCAACTTCCTGCATGGTTCCATTCGTTCCATTCACAGACGGCAGGGCAAGCTGAACCCAGAGGCCCAGCAGGTCTGGCTGAGGGCAGTAGAAAATGGTCCCTTGTGACCTCCATAGACTCTGAAGACAGTCTGAGGCATGAAGACCATTTCGCCCCAGCAAAGTCAGCCCCACTCACCTCCACGGAGCCCGGAATATGCACTCAGGACCCTGTTGTCTTCAACCTACAAGCCTACTTTGCACCCAGCTCGACTTGAGAAACAACAGCCATCCTTCACTGGGCATATACCTAACTGTCCTTCCACACCACACACCCCAGGCCTCCCTCTGCCTCTCAACTTGAAGGAGGAAAGGAGGGAAATGTAGCCTCATCCTCTGGCCCCTGAGCTGGAAATCTGGCAGAGGAAAGTGATGAAGGCTTCTGCTAGGCACAGTGTCAAGTCAGCAGTAGCTCCCAGCTGGGGCATCTGGTGTTTCCACAGAGAGGGAGGTGGGAGGATGAACACCCTGTGTCTCAAGCCTCAGCCCTGACCTCTGGCCTTCTCCCACGTGGCCACTTCCGACATAGCTTCAGTGATGAGAAGTAAGAGAGAATTTGAACTATTTCATAAATAATGACCAACATGAGCACCTTGGGCATGTTCGTTAACTTCTCTGTGACTCAGTTTCCTCATCTATGAGGTCAGGTGGTACCTATCACATCTGGGTTTGGTGAGGATTAAATGAGTTAATATATGCCTGACACATAGTAAGTACTGTATGAATGTTAGCTGTTATTCCTATTGGGATAGAACTTCACAGTTTACAGCACATGTCAAAGGTTACATAGACAGGAAGGAGCAGGAGCCATGAGTCCTTTGCATGAGTTCCCTTTCATTGAACCCCCGACACTTTGCAGGGTGAGCTGGGACTCACAGAGCTGCCACCTGCATCCTCCACCTGCCCTCGGAAATGCTCCCATTTGGCTCCTGGGCTCCTCTCCACCATCTGCTTTCCTGTGTTCACAAAGCCCTGGTTTAGGCTCTTGGTTCTGCTTTCTAGCTAGCTCCTAAGTCCATGACCTTGTTTTGAACTTCCAGCTCAGTATTGACATTCACTGTTTATTTAGGACCTAAGAGTCTCTGTAAGTGCTCTAATTCTGCACACCCAGACCACAGTCAAAGGTGCCCTATGCCCATACAATATGATGTAGCTGGGACTCTCCTTACCATCACCCTTGCTACAGGGAGAGTAACTGGATGCCAGGATTGGAATCAAGGTATAGCCAGCTTCCAAAGCTCCTTGCAGTGCCCCCAGCAGCCTCCATCCTCACCAGGGGAGAAGCAGCTTGCCGGGAGGCTGGAGTCAGGGACTCCTGCCACTCAGTTCCATGAATACAGGTGTTCCCTCCCGAACTTCCCTGGGAGTGTCCACCATGTACAGCCCCCAGGCAGCCCTGAGGCTCCACAACCCCATGGGCTCCCTCACTTCCTGTTATTAACGCTTTACCTGCTCCACCTGGGAGGCAGGCATCCCTATCTGTGGCTGAAAATGGATCCTACCTTAGCAGATTCCCTGGTGACTAGGAGACCTCTGGGCAGAGGCAGAAGTTCTCCTCAAAGCTAGGCATCTAGATCCTTGGCAACATTCTATAATGGGAGCTACTAGGGGCCAGTGAAGAGCAGGAAGTCAAATATGGGCCCCTGAATTAACAGAGACTTAATAAAGGAATGTCCCACGGTCACTAGTGTGAGGACTGCCTTTCGCCAAATGGCCCCAAGATGCTGTCTGGCAAGGAAACCTCTTCTCCCAGAGTGACCCAATACTGCGTGGAAGGCAGAGGGGGTTGCAGATCAGAGACCCAGCACTGTCTACATCTGGGAGACTGGGGGCTCCATCTCGTGAGCAGAGGCTTGTATAGGAGAAACGTGAAGGTTTAAAGTCAGAAAGACCTGAGTTTATATCCCAGCCCTGCCCCAGCTGTGAGACTCTGGGCAGGGGACTCCCATCTCTGAGCCTCAGTTTCCTTATATCTAAAAAGTACAATAATAAAATCATTATAATAAAACAACAACAATAATAATAAACTCCCTCAGAGCCAATATCACAGGGGTCAATAGTCAACACATGAGACCCACAGCACATGGTAATTTGATCAGCAAATCCCTGAGAAGCAAAGCAGTCTGGAGCCACAGCCTCACTACTGCCAGTCTGTCTCTCCTTCCCCTTCCCCTCTCCTCCACCACCTCCCTGGCCCCTGAGGCCACTCTCCTGGTTTTCCACGATGGCTGCCACTGTGCCCGGGCTCTGGGGCTGTTACCTGAGAGAACTGCCAGTGAAGCTTCATCCTCTTGGCTTTGGCGTAGCTGCATTCGATGAGCCGGGGCCGGCTGTTGACGTCCACCAGGCATCGGTTGTCATCATCATCCACGGTGGGGCTCAGAATGCCCACATGGATCTGCTGACTGCTCGTGTAGTACACGTTCTGGGGGCGGAGGGAGGGAGAGAGTGTGGATAAATGCCAATGGCCACGGAGACAGGAGCATAGGTGGTGATTCTTCCAGGCAGCTGGCAGAGAGGCCACAGTTAGGGAAGACCCCGGAGTCTTCACATCCAGTGGCCTTCAGATTATTTTCTATTGCAATGGACAAGAAGAAACCCTTTTACATTATGATCCGGTATAGTGTCTGGTCCACCTGTATAACTACAAGAAATAAAACACCCTTACATATGTAATATACACTGATTTCTGTTCTAATCTTTCATTGGAAAACATTGGTCATAACCTTTTAAATTTATTTCTTCACCCAGTTTACAAACCCCTCTTTTTTTTTTTTTTTTTTTTTTTTGGAGACAGAGTCTTGCTCTGTTGCCCAGCCTGGAGTGCAGTGGCGCTATTTCGGCTCACTGCAACCTTCCACCTCCCAGGCTCAAGTGATTCTCCTGCCTCCGTCTCCTGAGTAGCTGGGATTACAGATGCGCACCACCATGCCCGGCTAATTTTTGTATTTTTAGTAGAAACGGGGTTTCACCATGTTGGTCAGGCTGGTTTCAAACTCCTGACCTCGTGATCTGCCTGCCTTGAATCCATTATTTACAGATTGCCTGATTTCCTCCCTTCATAAATATTTCATGTCAGATACTGTGCTTTGTCAGAGTAAAAAGCCTGGATTGCGCCTTCAGGGAGCGCAGAGTCTTGTGGGATGGGAGATGTATAACAATTTCCATGCACACTAAGACTGTGCAGAGCAGGAGGTGGCCAACTTTTTCTTAAAGGTCAGGATGACAAATGTTTGGTTTTCTGGGTGTGCTGGGGAGTCCCCAAGACCACCCTCAGCTAAATGATTTTCTATGGGGACTCATAGGACTCAGCACATAGCTGTACTCACTGCTATGATTTATGACAGCAAAAGGATACAAAACAAACCCAAAAGGAAAAAGGAGAAAGGCTCCTGGACAAATCCTGGGGAAACCAGGTCCAAGTTTCCAAGGGTTCCCTCCCAGGGGCGTTGCACAGGACATGCTCAATTCCTCTGAGCTGTGACAACACATGGGAAATGCTGTCTACCAGAGAATTACGTTAGAGACGCAGCACCAGGGTTTTTTACTGGGGGCTGTCACATAGGCAGCCTCTGCCTGGTATGCACCAAAATCCCAGGCTTCCAGAAGGAAAGTGGGTGGTAAACCTAGGCTGTTTTGTTTGTATAATCAGATTAAGCACAGAGAGCCACTCTTATCAGTTCTGCTGGGAATCCTGAGACCCAGGCTCTTAGATGCCAACCTCATAAGCAAGACTTTCAAAGGACAGCAGCCAGGCCAGCTCTGCAAACTCCTTTCTGCACAGAGGACCATACAGCCTCTGAAAACTCAACGCTCCTACTGTAGTGCAAACACATCCCAGAAAAAAAAAAAAAAAACATAAACAAATGGCTGTGTTTCATTAACACATCATTTACAAAAGTAGGAGTCTCCCATGGGCTGTAGTTTGGGTCTGGTCTAGGGGAAAGCCACGTGACTCTTGGCCTTCAATGTTTTCAGCAACTTCCCTCAGCCCTGAGCCATGGTTCCCAGTCAGGGCTCCGAGTGAAAAGTCTTAGGGTTCTGTGAACTCTTCTCCTCACATTGCCAAAGGCATTAACATGCTGCTACCCTCATCACTAGTGCTCCCCTGCCCCAGTGATTACGCCTCAGAAACAAACCAAGATACCACACTTTTCCACTTTAGGTTAGAATATTCAGGGTGTTCTCTCTGGTTATCTTGACATGTTCAAAAATTCTCATTGGCAAATATTTTTAATTCAAAATGGCAAAATTATGTATTTCTTGCTTTAGCAAAAGAGGGTGGTTGACAACTACTTTTTAAACCTGTGTGCTAGGCCATAAAAGGGACAGAAGTGGAAAGAAGGCAGTGCAGGTGAGGAGGGTGAGTAAGCGTGGTCCTTCACGGCAGATTCTTCCTGAAGCTCAGAAGTCTCTTTAGGCTCTTGGGAGGGGGTGAAGGGCAGGCAGGGTGTTCCCTTTCGCCAGTGTATCAGTCAATGCTTCAACAGGAAAGAGACGGCCCACTTTAGTAGGGGGAGACCCGAGGAGTATGTAATAAAGGCACCATTTTCAAAGGTGTGGGTAGGGTGTCAGGGAACCACAAGGGATAGGATGATTCCCTGAGGAAAGTAACATGAAGCAGTTAGTACCCCTACGCCCAGTGGAATGAGAGGACAGAGCTGTCACCAGAACGTGTAAGAGAAAAGTCATGGAGAGAAAGCTGAGAGGAGGGCTTTGGGGTCATGGCAAGTGATGCTGAATAAACACCCCAAGTTCACTCTTTCCTCCCCACTTCAATCTCATGCTAGGTCAGGCCACTGGCAGAACCCAACTGGAAACCAGAGATTTCCATTGAAATGTTCCATAACGTCAGCCTCTCAGGGTGGAGGGAGGTGGGTGGAGAGTGTGTCTGGAGGGAGGAGCAGAAGACGCTCATTACAGCTAAGATCTGCTCTCTGTGGTCACTTTACAAGTTATCAAGCTTGGCAAATCCATGGTAATTGATATCAAAATGACTAAAATGACTGAGTTTTTCTATAACAAAGGTGAAGGATTCACTGTGACCAAAGTTCTGAGCAGAGGCCAAATGTGGGATGTCCAGCTTTGATGTGGAAATGTAACCAGAACAAGAGGCAAGGGGAGCCTCTTCAAAGCTATCCTGGGCAAGAGGTGGTTTGCTCATCAGAATCCTGAGACTGTCCATTGTGTGGCCTGGATTTCCAGGTCACCACCGAAGAAAGCTGATGTCCTGTGGCTTCTAGTTTATTGGAGTTGAGGGAGAACTTGGCAACTGGTAGGATGGAGAAAATTAAACAGCCATAGAGTTAGACATCACACCCATACCTCTATTCAACTAACAAGTAATCTCTAAGTTGGGATCTAGGACTACAGAAATGAGAAAAGCCATGGTCCCTGTCCTGGAGAAGCCATGCCGCATTAGGGAAACCAACAACATATCAGGAAACAATGACCCCAATCACATGAATATGAGAAGTGCCCCTGCTTCTTGTACTCACCTACCCCAACTCTTACTACTTTGAAAATAGAAACGAGAACCCACCATATCCAGAAAGACTGCCCTGAATATTCAACTGTGTGGAGCCTCAGCCTGCCACCTGGGCCTCTCACCAAAAGGTGCACACCTGTTTATACCCCTGGGTTGAATGCACTGTGACCTCCTTAGGACACTGTAGCTCTTAATCTCCCTGCATGCCAGGACCCAGATTTCCTGAGGTTTGGGGATGTGGGCTGTGAGACAAGGACAGCCAGGGAGCCAGTCATTCCCATGTTTTTCTTCTTCTGTCATCAAAGCCTGGTTCTTGTCTCTGGAGCAGACTTGGCAGACACAAGTGGCTACTCAGGTAACAGCTGAAATCAGTTTTATCCACTTAGCTGCTCTGAAGAGTTTAGGGAGATGCTGGGAGAGACGTGTGCACTTACTATCTGGTACAGCTGTCATCAGAGCTGTTTATTGCTCCAGAGTCTGGGAAAATCATAATGGGGCAGACGATTGTTATTTAAAAACAAAACAACAAAGTGCCTCTTGACTGGCGTAATCACAAGGCTGGCAGATCACAGAGGGAGGTTCGGCAAAGAGGATTTTCTCAAGTCCTCACATGGACATCTCAGAAGCCCAGCCTAGCGGATTAAATAAACAAATTGCTCGAACACAAAAAAGGTGTTCAAGATGCCCTACCTTCAGTGCCTGCAGTCCCAGCAAGCATAGCTAAGCTTTCTGAGCAATGGGGACTCTGGAACGTTTAAGGCAAAAAGTGACTTAGAACGATGGTCCTCAGTGGAGGAATGTTATAAACCAGGGGCTATCTGGAATGCCTGGAGACATTTTTGGTTGTCATGATGGTGGGGGTGGTAGGAGGTGTCTAGTGGCTGGTCTGGGATCCCACTCAACATCCTAAGTGCACAGGACAGCCCCCCACAGCAAAGAATTATCTAGCCAAAATGTCAGTAGTGCCGCTGTTGAGATACCCCAACTTAAGGTATAATAAAAGCTAACATGTTTTTACCTCTTACACTGTGCCAGACATGAAATGACTTACATGCTTTATCTTGTTTAATCTTAGCAATAACTCATGAGGCAGGTACTAATATTATCCCTTACCTTACAGACGAGAAAGCTGAGGCACGGAGACCATAAGCAATGTTTCCAAAGTCGCACGGTTGGTGAGTAGCTGAGATTTACAGCGAGGCAGTTTAACTCCAGAGCCATATGTGCGACCACTCACCTCCCTTGCCCACCTCCCTGGGGTCACTCCAGCTCCAGCCTCCAGGCTGGGAGGGGCAGGGGGAGCCGGGAGAGGACTTCCACTGTGATCCCTTCCAACCATGATGGGGGCCTGGACTAAGACAGTACCAGAGAGCTGGAGGAGCCTAGAATAAAAGATGCTACAAAGTTCTGAGACAGCAGCATCCCTCCTGTAACTCTGGTCTGAGGCTGGGGTGAGCTGTTATCCTGCCTGTGGACGTCTTACAAACCCCCGGGGCAGAGAAACGTCATCCCCGCCCACTCAGCTCCTCCTCAGCTGCCAATGATTGATTTGGCTCATTCTCTACTCAGCTCTACACAGCTCAGCAGGGCTGCAAACCAGATCTCCAGCATTTCATTTTGATTCTTGCAGGAGGAAGAGCAAAATCACCTGCAAGGTAAAACAATCAACACATCCGTATCCTGGATCTTACGCTAGTGGCATTTTCCTCTCCTCCAGGCCAGGGGTAGGAGCCATGACTGAGAGCTAACAGCTGGCCAGGGAGACCACAGAACTCTGGTTGCACATTCCTGCCTTTAGAGCCACAGAGTCGAGGCTGGGTAACGTCCCCCAGGGCCGGAGGTTCTCCTGACTCTGTCCCTCACCTTGGGGCAAGGGCCCCCATCCTGCAGGATACCCTGGTCTCAGAGCCTGGCCTCTAGCCCTCCAAAGAAGCCACCCCTCACATGTGTCAAGCCTCACCTGGCTGATGGAAACTCTGCCACAGCTTCAGGAAGGGAAGGAAGAGAAGAAAACACACATAGTTTTGTGCGCCTAGCAGTCCTCTGCTAGGTGTTTTCCATGCCCGTGGCTACTGCCACTTTTAAGGATAAGGAAACTGAGGCTATGAGAGTTTTAAAAACTTGTGAAGACACTCAGGTAGGCAGTTGCTCTCTCCCCTCCTTGCCTAGGGAGAAGTCCTGAGCAAGGCTGAGTTCTGGCAGCTCAGGGCCTGTGGCCCCTTACCCATTCCTTGGAGGGGCTCTCCTCGGCTGCACTGATGGCCACTGCCTCCGCCCAGTCCCGAACCTCAGCTGCAGCTGCCCAGGCCCGGGAGCTTGGTCCCGAGGGCCACCATGAACTCACCCATGAACCAGCAATGGGACTACCAGGGCCGTTCCCACCAGGTTGTCACGCTGAGCTCTGGGGATTCCAAGAAGGGGTCTCAGGGGCCATTGTGGGTGGGGTTCTAGAGCCCCTCTCCCAGCCCCATCACAGCAGGTCTTCTTTTGTCTTTTGGATAACTGGCTTTCATATAACATTTTCTTTGAACAACAGGTTATGATGAATTTTAAGAAGTTTGAAAACCACTTCTCTGAAGCAGGAGGCTTCTGTCCAGGAGGAGGACGTTGCAGATGAGTAGGCCTTTGTTAGCTTCTACTCCACCAAAGAGCCTTTGCAAACATGCAGATGAGAATCTCAACCTCCTGCCTCCCGCCTCCAACCTCCACCAGGCCCCACTCCCTTGCATTCTTTGATATGGCCAATCTACGTATTTTTATTTTTAAATTATTATGTCAATAGTTTTTGGGGAACAAGTGGTGTTCGGTTGTATAAATTCTTTAGTAGTGCTTTCTGAGATTTTGGTGCACCCAGCACCCAAGCAGTGGATACTCTGCCTAATGTGTAGGGTTTTTATTTTTTAATTTTTTGACAGTCTCACTCTGTCGCTCAGTCTGGGGTGCAGTGGCATGATCTCAGCTCACTGCAACCTCCGCCTCCCAGGTTCAAGCAAGTCTCCTGACTCAGCCTCCCAAGTGGCTGGGATTACAGGCGTATACTACCACACCCAGCTAATTTTTTTTACTTTTAGTAGGGACAGGGTTTCAACATGTTGGCCAGGCTGGTCTCGAACTCCTGACCTCAGGTGAACTGCTCGCCTCGGCCTCTGAAAGTGCTGGGATTACAGGCACAGCCACTGTGCCTGGCCCCATTGTGTATCTTTTATCCCTCACTTCCCTCCCACCTCTTCCTCCAAGTCCCCAGAGTCCATTATATAATTTTTACACCTTTGCATCCTCATAGCATAGCTTGCACTTTAACTGAGAGCATAGGATGTTTGGTTTTCCATTCCTGAGTTACTTCATTTAGAATGGCCTGCAACTCCATCCAAGTTGCTGCAAATGCCATTATCTCATTCCTGTTCATGGCTGAGAAGTATTCTATGGTATATATACCACATTTTCTTTACTCATTGGTTAATGGGCATTTAGGCTGGTTCCATGTTTTTGCAATTGTGAATTGTGCTGCTATAAACACGCATGTGCCAGTGTCTTTTCCATAGAATGACTTCTTTTCCTTTCAGTAAACACCCAGGATTGGGATTGCTGGATCAAATGGTTTGGAGATTCCTTAAAGAACTAAAAGTGGAACTACAATTTATGTATTTTTCAATCATCCAATCCCCTCTTCTACCAACACCTCAATACCTATGTTATGCCTCTGCAGAAATTCTGGAGCCCTCACCAAGCTAAACAAAGACTGAGATGCAAAAATCATGGGATGGGCAGAGGGAGAGTCAAGGAGGGCCTCCCAGGCAAATCTAGAACATTGGGAAAATAGGGTTAGTTACATTACTTAATAATACACACATTTTCAAGGCACAACTGGAGTACGAGTTCTCTTCCAAATGATGGGCATGTAAATTTGGACTAGCTGTTTTTCCTCCATTAAATGAGCCTTCCTTGACAACTCTGCTGGCCTATCAAGTAGGTGCCCGTGAAAAATGAGGTATCTTTGGGGCATTTAGACTCTCCCTGCTGAGCCTCCTGCATGGGGCAGCAGTGATCGTCTTTGGCTGAAACTGTCCTGGGCCTAGAGAGTGGTGAGGGGTAGAAAGGGAGAGTTATATTGGGACACTGTTTACAAGAGGTTCTAGAACCCATCATAAGGGAGAAAACAACGGAATTGGCCAGGGACTTACATTGGAAAGGGATGAACCAGCATCCTTGCAGTCATTTCTTCAGATATTTATCCATATTTTTGTTGGTTGCAGCCCAACAAGGAATTAAGAGCCCAGCTCTCTGAGGGGCTGGGGGACATAACAGGGGAGTGTGACACTGTCTAGGGAGTTAAGAGTCACACATAATGGGGTGATTGCAAACTTTTACGATTGGACGGTTGGCAAAGGTCATTGAAGGCACAGTCAAGCTGTGGGCTGGATCTTGGAAGAGGAGGAATATCTGAGAGCAAATGAAATCACAAGAATCACAAGGACAAACTCCTGAATGCAATCAAGCTAAGGCAGGGGTCTCCACCTTGGCTGCAGAGCAGAATCACCTGGGGAGCTTTAAAACCTATAAACCACAGTCTCAGGGACTGGGGCCTGGGCACGGGGATTTATTCCAGGTGATTCTAATGTGCAACCAAGGTTGAAAACCAGCTGGGTTAAGGAGAGTTTGGGAAGCCTAGGAGTGAAATGTTGGCGCAACACACACCCTTCTGGATTCTAGCTTAAAAGCAATGCCCCTGCAGATCGGGATCTAGCTTGCCCCCACAATGAGAAGGGGGAACTTATCCCTATCTGCAGGGCAAGGACAAGGTAGGCAGGGACGAGGGTATCCATAGGAGGGCAAGAAAAGACCCAGGAGGGAGAGGGCTACCCGTCCAGCTGCAATGCCTCACCCTCTCATCTCTGTGCCCGTCTTGAGTCTGATCAATAGGTCTGCAGGTAGGAGTCATGGAAACAGGCAGGGTGCCAGACACAGAGGGCGGGAAGAAGGAAGGGAGCCTTGCTTTATTAAATTTCAATTTACAGAGTGCTGGCTTTGACATCCAGAATGTGTATTAGAAATGGGCTCTTTTCCCTCTTTTTCAAAGAACGAGCTGCAGGCCTCTCTGCAGACAGGCAGGCTGATTTAAGGGTTTGGTTATTGGTCATTAACCCCTTGACACAGAAGTTCGCTACAGTGCTGAGGGCCACAGTGCACTGATGCTAAATCAGAAATGAAGGAGAGTCATTTCCAGAATGATCTTATGTTCATCAACCACAGCACGAGGTCCACGTGAGGAATGGGAAGCATTTATAAGCACCATTCTCCATTAGTGTGACGACATACATGTGTAAGGCTGGGTTTCTAGCTCAGGGCTTCCTCTGTGAACCCATTTCCCTGGTGGAGCGGGAACAAGTGAGGCTGAGCACAGGCACACGAATCCCTCAGCTCTTTGGGGAGAAGTTTGTAGCTGGAACTCAGCCCATCAGTGAGGAGTCGATCCCATTCAATTCAACAAACACCCTCTTTGCCTCTCGGGTGCCAGGGCTGGCCTGGGCATTGGGAAAGCAGAGGGAAGAGCGGGAGCCCCTCCCTCAGGGACTATCAGCCTGGCGGAGAGACAGACATGCAGGAGGATGGGTAGAATATACTCATGGCCAGGCTTATAACAGATGAGTGGGCAGTGTGCTGGGGTGCCCCAGAGCTGGAGTAACAGTCTCTACCTGGGGCTGTCAGTGAGTAATGAGTCTAAAGACAACAGCCTAAAGAGAGAGTAGTTTGCCCAAATGTTTGTCAAGGACAAGGGACTTCTAGCAGAGGAAACAGGCAAACACAAGCCACAGACGCTTGACAGTACAATGCCATTTGAAAAATGATAGTGCCAATGGGATGAGGTGGGGAGGAGACTGGGTAGCACCCCGCTGGTCCCCAGGGAGCTGTGATTCAGATCAGTAAGTGCCCCCACTTGTTAGCACATCTGAGGGGCTCTAAGAGTCTTCTGACTCAAAAACGTCCAAGGAGCCTGGAAGCAAGCTTGGCCTGGAGGTGCCTTGGTGTGGTTGAGTACAAGACAAAGAATGGGTGCCCCATTTTACTGGGATTGCTGGTGAAGTCTCTCTTTTTCTGCAGCCTCTGGGTGTGTCTCTAGGGACCAGGGCTTGCAAACTCTCCTGATCTAGGCCTTAGCCCCTCATCCAGATTCTTCTGCCACTGCTCCTCCCTTTCCTCCTCCTGCCCTCTGCCTGCACCCCCCAGACCAGCCTGGCTGCCTGGGACAGGCTTCTGCATCAGTGGCTTTCTCCAGCAAAGTGCCTTGACACAGATGGGAGCTGCAAACAAAAGCCACATCAAGCAGAAACACGCTGCCATGGGACAGATCACAGAGGAGGCACAATCAATAGCAATGGCCAGGGTGGTAGGCCAGGCCTCAGCGGTTGAAGAATTGGGCTTGGCTCAGGGAAAGGATATGCGCAGGATGCGTGCTGCTGGCAGAACAAAATCAGAGACAGCAAAGAGCCGCAAAGGGCATGGGGAGCGACATCGCACTCGGATATCTCAAGTGCTCTGGAGACGCAGTCATTGCACTCAGCCTTAAAAGGCAGAGAGACTGACAGCCCTCAGTGGCTGTCCTTCAAAACACACCTGGCCCATCAGCAACCCTTGAGAAGACCATCATCAGATGTGGAACATAGCAAGGATGTGGTGACAATCCCCCTCGGGGCTCAGCCTCTCCTGGATATAGGACAAAGCTCGAGTGACTCCTGGAAAACCCATCCCATTCACTTTGACAGCATAACCTGGTGTCAGCCCTGTTTGTGGCTATAGCAGATACTGTTAGTGCCTCACCCATGCATCTGGGCACTCCCCAGCCCTGGCCATGTGAACAACCTCCTCTATTGGCCCCTGCTGCCCTCTGCCTGGGGGACTTTTCTGGCTGCAGGAGCTTGCCTTGCCTGTACCTAGCTCCAGGAGCAGCCCCCAACCAATGGTGGATGGAAGCTGGTGGACAAATAACACATCCTTCTTGCTTCTTGGGCTAATTTGGAGATATATTCCCTACAGGCCTCCAGAAATCCCCAGCAGCACTGGCACCAGCAGCCCCCCACTGCTAACCTGTGCATTCACATGACATGAATTGACCTTTCTTTCTCCCTTGGCTCATGTTTCCACTGCCTTACTAATGCTTCTAGAACTGCCTTTCAGATACATTACTTGTCACAAACCCTTGTCTCAGGATCTGCTTCTAGAGAAACCTGACTCAAGACAATGCTGGCCCATGGCTAGCTATACCTGTGGCCATTATGTCCAGGTCCTCAGCACTGATACTAGATAGAGGCTGAGCCCAAGCCTGTCACTGTACTTGGGCCCTAGCGCAACCTCAGTCAGCAGTGGGGCTCATACACACCAGACTTGGTGCTCCTGAGCCTTCTGGGGACTCCACATCTGACAGGCCACCTTTCAGTGCAGCAGCCATGATGACACCTGAGGTCCCTGCAAGGCAGACCTGGGGCTCTGAGGAACAGCTGCACCCTTCTGACCTGGGACTGTTTATGGGACACCATCACACAAACTTATCTTGCCAATCCTTCTCTGTAGGCCATGAGGTCATCCCGGAGACAAGGGACCTTTGGTGAAAAGCACATTTCATCCTCGCTTTGACCCTCAGGAAGTACCTGCCTCTGGTAATCTAGCACACACCCCTTGGAGGGGCTGCCTGGCTGACAGTGACCCATTTCCTCTGAAGATGGCTCTGTCCAGGGCTTGGCCCAAATGGTCTATGCTCTGGGACTCTGCCACCCTGACCATCAGTGAGAATGGAGCTGTTACAAAGAGCCAAGTAGACTTCTCCCAGGAATTTAAAACCTGAAAAGGAAAAGACACAGACAAAGTAGCCCTGAAGCTAAGACACATTTAGGGCAACTCTCTAGGGAAGACCCATAAACTTTTACTGCTGAGGCCCCTGGAGCTGTCCTAGTTCCTGCCTTTCCCGGTCAACCTTTCCTCTGAGTCTATAAAAAGGAATCACCCCAGGTTTTCTCTAATAACATTCACCCTTTGTCTTTACCTTAAGCTACCCAAATTTGTTTTATTTGTTGTTGATAATGACCCCCTCCCTTCAAATTAACAAATACAGTTAGCTTGTTCATTAGTAAGTTCTCTATGTTCAAGAAATCTCAAACACCAGATATCTGACTACTGGGCCCTATTTTGGAAGGTAATGCTCAAAACACTTCATAGCTGTGTCTGCTTGTCTGCTATAAGCTGTGCCTACTCAATCACAAACAGCAAAGAGGGTGCATATCCTATGCACTGAGGAATACTTCCCCTGACACTCTTCACAAACAACAGTCTGCCTACTCTGCATCAGCTTGTGACAGTCAATTCATACTTCTTAAATACAGATTGATTTGTTGTTCGAAATAGTCTCTGCCCTCTCCTATGATGCTTCTTCCTGTATTCCCCTCCCTACTGAGCTATCGTACATCACCAGATCATTAATGCCAGACATGGCCACGTTTCTAGCTGGAACGTGAGCGGGAGTGACAGACGTCATTCCCAATCAGAAGCTTCAGGAGCAATCATGTGATACACTGTCTTTTTGTTCTCTGCCACTGGACCTGCAGCATCCTGGAAAGGAGCTGCCCCTTTGGCCCTAGAAAAAGTTGAGATGACAGAGCTGAAGCTGAATGATGACAACCGAGGAGCATGAGTAAGAAATAAACACATCTTGTTGTAAGCCACTGAGATGTGCGGACATCAGCCTAAGATGACTGATAAAGAAACCGACACTAGAGGAGGGGTACTGCCAAGCCTTAAAATATGGGCACTGACTTTAAGGCCAGAGGTAGGTGATGAGTAAACCACCACTGGAGGCTGGAAAGATGGTGACCTCATCTATGCAACGAAGAGACGGTTGGTGAAATACCTTGGTAAGATACAAATATCTTAGTTGGCCTGCAATATCTTGGTAGACTGCTAATGTTGCAAGTGAGCCCATGCTTAGATGCAGAGTGTGCCTTTTTAGTATCAGCTGCTTTTGACAAGATTCTGCAAAAGAGAGATAAGGTCAGGGAAGAAACAGACACGCAGTAGGGCCCAGTAAGCCATTGAGATTTTGAGGTCATACATTACTGGAGCATAAGGAAGACTGAACTGATGGACAGGTTCCTCCCCAAATAATCACACCAAAATAGAACTTCTAAATGCAATGCATGCTCTTAAGGAAAAGTACAAGAAACTTTGAACATATATACCAATGAGACTTGATCCATTGTGGGTGGAGGGGAGGGGTGATTCAAGAAAGACTGAGTCGGGATCCAAACTGCCTCGACTCAAGTCTCTGCCCCCACTACCCACGAGCTATGTGACTAGAGACAGTTTACACAGCCATTCATCCCCTCAATTTACTCATCAGTGGAAACAGGCTAAAAATGCTGCCAACCTCCGAGGATGTTGGCAGAATTACATAGAAGGATTTGTGCTTGGTGTTAGCTGTCAGGGATGCGACTGTAACAGCAGTCACCCCCTTTAGATCCCAAGTTCCCTGAGGGCAGACACCATGTTTGTCTTACCCACCCTTATATCTCTATTAATGAACCTCTGCTTATTACATGATATACACTCAAAACATATTAATTGAATCAAGCAATGTGTTAATAAATTATTCCAGGGACATTTGGACTCCAGAAATTCATGCAGGTGCACTCCCTGGTGCCTGCCTCGTACCCCTTACTCCAAAACTCCTCTAAGCTGCTCTCTGGCCAGTTTTGGACCTTGGACATCACTCTCCATATAGCCCAGTGGATTAATGACTTGGATAGAATGGGGTCTCTCCCCAGGACATAGTCTATGCCATGTCTAGACCTTACCTGGTCCTCCTGAGAAATGAGGAGGCTCAATACCTTTTTAGCATACAACAGTTATTCTGCACAGCATTAAGCAGAGCTTAGAATATTCCCAGTGAGAGTGGTGGAATGTGTGTGTGTCTGTGTGTGCATGTGTGTGTGTATGTGTGTGTGTGTGCATGCATGTGCACGAGTATGCACAGATAACATATGGTCAATGTGGGATCTGGACTCACTAGCAATCTTGGTGATCAGAAGGATGTAGGAAAGAACACAGTAATAAAATATGCAGGTTAAGATCCAGTAGGAAGATGTTAGCCCAGAAAAAAAAATGGAGTTCATGTGGATAAAATAATGGTGGCTGATTTTAATCTGCAGATATAAGTCTCTCTATTTCACTTGCTCCAACACCATCTCCATCTCCATTTTCCTTGTCCCTGGGGAAAATATAACCTGCTTTCCTCCAGCTCATGTCTTTATTGGATGTTACAGACCTCAGATAGCAATGCCAGATGGATTGCACTATGACAGAGAAAGTGTTACAAAACTAAGGCCATTCATATTGGGGATCCCTTTTCTTGCCATACCACAGATGAGCACTCAATATTTTTGAATGAGTGAACAAATGAATAAAATAATACAAAGTGAACATGATGAGGCATTGTGACGTGTTATACAAATGGCCACAGATTTTTCCCATCCTCGCATACAAACTACTTTGCAATGTGACTGCGCAGCTCTTCCCTTCACTTCATTTCTCCCTTTATCCGAGTCTGGGCTGTGCTGTGTCTTACTTTGGGCCAATGAAATGTGCATCACCTATGTGACACAAGCATAGACCTGATGGGCACTCGTGCATTGGTGCTGGCCTTCTCTTGCTGCCCTGTGCCTGCCACCATGTGTAGAAGCCTGGCCTAGCCTGTGAGATGATAACACACACATGGCCCAGAAGCCTCTCACTCCAGCCGACTGTCAGCCAGTCTCCAGAAGCAGAGTCAACTAGCTGAGCAGCAGTTGACCACAGATGCCTGAGTCAGCCCAGCTGAGACTAGCAGAAGATAAGGCCAGTCTAGCCTAGCCCAAATTGCCTGCTCTCAGGAAAAAAAAATGGATGTGTCTCAGTCTACCAAATTTTGGGGTAGTTTGTTATATGGTAAATTGTTCTGATATGGGTACCTCATTTTTACAGGTGTTTGTAAAGTATATGGCACACAAGGGAGGTGTTCAGCAAATTACATTCATTTTATCCCCTCCTGATGGACAAAAATTATTATAATGATAATATTTCCAATTTAATGAGTTCACACTATATGTCAGGGATGCTAAATGCTTTATACATACTTATTTAAATAACCCTGGGGAAGAGATGAGGGCATGTCCATTTTTAGATGAGAAAAAAGAATGAAAGAGAGGTAAATTATTGGATAGCAACAATTTGCTATCAAACAGGAAAACTGGCAGAGCTGGGATCTGAACTCAAGTCATCTGGCCCTAAAGCCCACCTCAACCATCACAATGCCCTGCTTCTTCAAGAGGAAAGAAGGAAAGGTTCTGATGCTACCCCTTTCCACATGTGGCCTCCACTTTTGAAGTGTTCTTCTCTGCCTTTGCTGGTGCATATCCCACTCTTTCTTCCTTTAAGGTCCAGAAGCAGCTCTTCAGGAAGGCATCCTTGACCCCCCCAAGGTCACTACTCCCAGCCCTCTTTTCTTCATGGTAACTGGGATGCTGATTCCTTCCTTTGGCACAGTGGAAACTCCATACAGCCCTGATGGTCCTGGACGGAATGTAGCATGAAATACTGGAGCAATGTGATGGGAACGAAGTTCAGTTGCCACGAGGACAGACAGAGTTTTGGAAGTGGGCGCTTTGTCCTGAGCACAAAAGCTGGGGGCCAGGGGTGACCGCAGTGGCTGCAGCACAAGGAGATGTTGTTTCTCTCAGTCTGATTCTGATACCCACTTCCTCCAATCCTCCCAGTTCTCATGGAACTTCCTTATGGCTTTACCTTAGCCACAGGGAATTCCTTAGAGGAAACTCCAGTGGAAGATGGATCATGAAGACTCCCTGGAAGAAAAATCTTCAATGGTTCTATCTCCATATACGACTCTACTCACCACTTCCTGGCGTGGCAGGAAGAACCTCGCCGTGTAAGCGATGGTGGAAATCACATAGCACAGATTTCCTGGAGGAAACCAGTCTCAGATATTCATCTCATTGTCTATTTTCATGAAGATATGTTACTTTCAATAAAGGCAATTCACTAAATATGTCCCTACATGAGATTTAATTTTTGTCTTTGTGGGGGTTTCTTATCCTCACTCCACCCCTGATATGCTCTGTGCTTCGTCCCCAGTTGACCTTCCCTTCCTTGCCCTCCCTCCTAAGCCTTCTCTTGAGCCTTCTGAAGCCTCTTATCAAACCCCCAGTATCATTCCAGGATGGCCCTTTCCAACAAAACAAACCTTTCCTTTCCCACCAAACAAGGCTCTTCCTGGAGGATGCCTATTCATGTGTTTTTGAATCTGCTGAGTCTCTAATCAGGATTCAAGGTGGAGTTGACACTCTCCTCTCCCCTGGTGCCTCTTCTACACCTCCACTCTTCCACCCTAGTGTAAAAAACATCTCCTCTGTAAGAATCAGACATCAGACACCATTGCCCTCTGCCCATGTTGTTCTTCTCACTTAAGTGCCAGGCAGTCAGCTACATCCATCAAGGTCTTTGGCACCAGGCTCACAGCTTCCTCTACATCACACTGGGCAGCATTCACGTTGCACTGTGGCCTCAATTCTGGGGTGGTATGCTGTGTTCCACTTTAGCCCACCCACACCTAGACCCCAGCTCTTAGTGCCCCAAACTACTTTACCTCTGAAGTCTAATACTCCATTGCCCTACTTTTGCCCAATCACCTTGCTGTGGTTTGACTGTGTCCCCCAAAGTTCATGTGTTGAAAACTTGATCCTTAATGTGGTGGTGCTGGGAGGTAGGGCCTAATGGAAGGTGTTTGGATCACTGGAGCACTGCCCTCATGAATGGATTAGTGCCATCATCAAGGGAATGGGTTCCTTGTAAAAGGACAAGTTTAGTCCCCTCTCTAGCCCTTCTTTCTACACTTCCACCATGGGATGACACCACAAGAAGGCCCTCACCGGATGCTGGCCCCTTGATATTGGCCTTCCCAGCTTCCATAGCCATGAGCTGATGAATTTCTCTTCATTATAAATTTCTCAGCCTCAGGTTATAGCAACACAAAATGACACACCTATTAATCTTGATTACCCACTCTCTTACTTCCCAATGCCTGCTCATCAACCTAATTGAGGCCTTTGGAATAATAATTTTCTTTCTTTCCTTCTATACTTACCACTCTTTCCTGACCTCTCCCTAGAAATGCTGCGCCCAATTTTTAATAATGGCACTCTTGCTAGCAGCTTCAATTTTTAAATTCCTTACTTTTTCTGCCTTTTACACCCTGTAAACCCCACCTCTATAGCCTTGTTCACCTTCTCCACACCTGTTCCCTGGAGGCTAGCACCACCAGAGAAAATTCATGGAACTGGGTAAATTAAATCCACCACAAACTCATGATCTTTAACCTCAACCAGGTACTTCAACACAACCTAGTATTACTTCTTTGGGTACCTGCTCAGCAGCTGAGCCACTTTCACTCTGCAGGGTTTCTAAACCTTCTCCATTCTCTCACATACCCAGATCCCCTTATGCTTCAGTTGCAAGACAGCCTGCAAACTTGTTCCTCCTGGGCCTCAGCAGAAGTTCATTTCCTGTGCTCCAGGACCATCCCACCTCTCCTCACCCTGTCCCCACCCCCAGGGATATTGCTTTGTTAATTGCCCCCTTAAATAGATCTCTCTACTTATTTCTTCCCTTCAGTCTCAAAACATGTTCCCTTATTGCTTTCTTTAAAAAG